>NC_000012.12:89335128-89960128 GCF_000001405.40 Homo sapiens
TTAGAAGCCACTTATCTCTTTTAGAAGAACTTCCCTTGCCAATCACCTTTTGGAAAAGGCCTGGAAGAGACACTCCCTGAGGACGTGCAGAATCCTAGGTCAACAGCATATACAGTGGAAATAAATAACTAAAGTATCTACATCTTAGGATGGTCCCTTTCCTTCCTAAGACAATCAGTCTTTTCAGAGCAATTGAAACACATATGCAGGTGTACACACATGGACGTGGGTGTACACACACACACACACACACACACATTGCAATATCTCCTCTAGTACATTCTTTGATATGTGACCATTACTTCTTCTCTAATAATTGTGATTAAAACTCCCAAAACAAGGAATGTCTTTGGAGATGGAAAGGCCACTAAAATTCATATTGTTCAATGCTCTCATTTTGCAAATGATGATGCTGAGATCCAGTATGTTAAATTTATCCCAAAGAATTTATATGCTCCTAGAATTTTCAGATAAGATTAGAGTTTCTCCTTTTGAGACCTCTTAGCGGAAAGATCAAAGGCTCTGAGGTCAGCCCAGCCCGGTTTCAAATCTCAGCGCTACTGTTTACCACTTGGAGATCCTAGATAATTAATCACTCTAAGCCTCCATTTTCCCATCTACAAAATGGAGATAATAAGAGCTGAAAGAATCCAGAATATAACACTGTGAAGAGTTTTCTTCTAAACATTCGTTATCTGCTTAAAAGCAGAGCCTCCTAAAAGAATTCAACTGTTAAAACTCCCCTCCCAGGAGTTTTGTAACCAGGAAAGATTGAAATCACCTAAACAGGCATTGTCACAAAATGATAGTATCTCCCATCTATTCTCCTACAGGCCTATTTATCTTTCCTACAAGTCATTTGTTTTCCTATAAGTAATCTTCTCCCTCTCTCCTCCTTCACCTATTCCTTCACCCTCTCCTTCACCCAATTCTAAGCACCTCCTTGAGTCATACTTTTTGGTAAATTCCCAAGTACTTATGTGAATAAAAATACATGTTTTCTCTTGCTAATCTATCTTTTGTGAGTTTAATTTTCAAGCCTCCAAAAGTTAAACCTAAGAGGATAGAGGAAAAAGTTTCCCTCCCCGACAGAGCTAACATGTATTAATTACTTACAACAATCAAGGCCCTGTTCTAATCATACTGAGTGTATTAATTCAGTTACTTCTGACCATGTCTTTTTTTTTTTATTTTTATTTTACAGATAAGGAAACTAAGGCACAGAGAGGTTAGCCAACTTGCTTAGCGTCAGACAGCTAGTAAGTGATGGAGCCAGAATTTGCACCTAGCCATCAAGCTCCAGAGCCCTTGTGCTTAACCACTGTGTGACAGTAACCTTACCTCGCAAGAGGGTACTAAAGATGAGATGAGATCATCTGCACACAGCTTCCAGCCTGGCACAAAGGAAGGGCTCCATAAATGTAGATGCCATTTTGACCATTAGAAAACCATCTGTCAATCTGCTGTTGATAAAACCAGGGTGTTTCCCATCTCTCATCAAGGGATTAGAGTAGCGCAAAGACTCTAACCTGTAAGCAATGTAACTAATTTGTGTTTTCATTAGCCACAGCTTAATGGCCGGTGTGGAGGGTATTGGAGTTCCAGAAAACAGACAAGGACAAGAGAGCCAAAGGATAAAAATCTATCAGAGGTATCCAGCATCATTCAATCGAACTTAACCTTCCAGTAACTTAAAAGATGTGGTTTTGTCTGTTTTGTTTGTTTTACCGCAGAGCAGGAATATTTCTCTTGACCTTTATATAACTTAGATGAAGTATGGCACAAACTCCTTTGATTTTGATTCCGGCCTCATCAGCAATGTTGTGATCGCAAATTCAACTCTATTCTCACCCTGGGAAGAGAGTAGTCTGTACCATGAGCAATATACCATGAGAAGAGTATAAAGCAGATGTTAAAAAGCTGGGCTTTTGGCCAGGCACAATGGCTCACACCTGTAATCCCAGCACTTTGGGAGGCCGAGGTGGGTGGATCACCTGAGGTCAGGAGTTTGAGACCAGCCTGGCCAACGTGGTGAAACCCTGTCTCTACTAAAAAAATACAAAAATTAGCTGGGTGCAGTGGTGGCCGCCTGTAATCCCAGCTACTCAGGAAGCTGAGGCAGGAGAACTGCTTGAACCTGGGAGGCAGAGGTTGCAATGAGCCGAGATTACACCACTGCATTCCAGCCTGGGCAACAGAGCCAGACTCTGTCAAAAAAAAAAAAAAAAAAAAGCAGCAGCTGGGCTTTCAAGTCAAACATCCCTGTGAGCAAATACCAGCTTCATCAAGTACCTGGGGAACCTTCAGCAAGTTACTTAATTTAAACTCTCTGAGTTTCTGTTTAAGCATCTAAAGGATGGAAATTTAATATCCCTACAAAACCTACCTCGTAGGATAGTTGAGCCAGCCTGATGGCAAACAGCACAATGTATTCTTTTTTAAATTCA
Organism: Homo sapiens; assembly: GCF_000001405.40. Lineage (NCBI taxonomy): Eukaryota > Metazoa > Chordata > Mammalia > Primates > Hominidae > Homo > Homo sapiens. The sequence continues at coordinate 89,337,576 of NC_000012.12, forward strand.
TAAATTGCACCAGGCATGGTGGCTCATGTCTGTAATCCCAGCACTTTGGGAGGCCAAGGTGGGCAGATCACTTGAAGTCAAGAGTTGGAGACTAGGCCGGGCGCGGTGGCTCACGCCTGTAATCCTAGCACTTTGGGAGGCCGAGACGGGCGGATCACGAGGTCAGGAGATCGAGACCATCTTGGCTAAAACGGTGAAACCCCGTTTCTACTAAAAATACAAAAAATTAGCCGGGCGTGTTGGCGGGCGCCTGTAGTCCCAGCTACTTGGGAGGCTGAGGCAGAAGAATGGCATGAACCTGGGAGGCGGAGCTTGCAGTGAGCCGAGATCGCGCCACTGCACTCCAACCTGGGAGACACAGCGAGACTCCGTCTCAAAAAAAAAAAAAAAAAAAAAAAAAAAAAAAAAGAGTTGGAGACTAGCCTGGCCAACATGGCAGAACCCTGTCTCTACTAAAAATAGAAAAATTAGCCATGCATGGTGGTGCATGCCTGTAATTCCAGCTATTCAGGAGGCTGAGGCACGATAATCGATTAAACCCAAGAGGCAGCAGCTGCTGTGAGCTGAGATTGCACCACTGCACACCAACCTGGGTGACAGGGTGAGACTCTGTCTCAAAAAAACAAACAAACAAAAATAATAGATTGGCTTTATGATTTATCAGTCTCTTGCAAGAAGTCTTCCATGACCTTTCCCTTCCACAAATGGATATAAACAAAAGAAAAATAAAATCCCCTGCTCCACTAAATTTTTGCAGTACTTCTGGATCTTACTTATGAAAGCAGTTTATGTTACACATTATGTGACAGTCGAAGTGCTGAGCATTTTACGTGCATTTTCTCATTTAATCCGGATAACAACAGTGTGAGGTAAATACCATTATTATTTCCATTTTTTAACAGATGGGAAACTTACTAAGATTAAGCACCTGGCCTAAGGTTACACAGGTAGCTAGTGATGAAGCTTATATTTGAACCTGCAAGAGTCTAAATCCAGAGACTATGTTCTTTATGCTACTTGTTACTTTATATCTTATAATGATTTATGTTCAAGGCTGTTTTCATTTCAAGGCTGAAAGGTCAAATTTGTGTCTAATTTATCTCTTTATGGCACTCAGAACATTCCCTGAATATAATAGGTTGTCTATGCCTTGTTGAATTAATAAATGAATAGTGGCATACATAATTCCATTCCCCAGAGCCTCATCAATTACAATTTATTTGCATTTTTCTAGGTGCTTTACGTCAATTTTCTCATTGAATCCTCCCAACTCCATCAGCTAAGTGTTATTATTATTCTCATTGCACAGGTGAAGAAACCAAGGCTCAGAGAGACTTGTCTGAAATTGAGGATCTACACAGACTAGGCAAGGTCACATGGCTAACAAGTGACAGATCTGGGTTCACATCTGGGAAAACTGAACCCACTGACTGAGCTTGTAACCATCACTCCTCAGCTGAAAATAGGATCAGAACAGAGATAGCCTCATCAAACCATGGGCATAATTTATGGTCCACTCAGCCAGCATTTCTCATTTTAAAAGTTTTAAACCTGAATTGCTTCTGTCAAAGAGTTAGAAGGGACTCAAAAATGTGAAACCTTGGATAGAGATCAGTGGCAATTCCAAAATATCCTTATAGGAAGGGTTTGGGAATAACAATCTCATTGAAATTGGGGGAGGGGGATAAGGAATTTTGAAATTATCGTAAAGCTATATTTTAATATGAAGCTCACTGTTTTGTCAATCAGATTCTATTATTGTGGGCTGCTGATGGATATTATAAGGGCATATTAAAGAAGTAATCACTATTCTGCTGGAGGATATATTAAAAATGTGTATTTCATGAATCTGTATGTATGTATGCCTATCATTTTTCAAAAGTGGTTTAAACATCAATAAAGTGAAAATTCAAATCAATAGATGACACAGAGATTTTTTGAGAATTCAAACATCATCATGACAATAATAAACGTCAGGAAGGTCTTGCAGAGATGTGTGAGTAGCCAGTAAATAGCCGTGCTCAGTGCAGTTGGTTGCACAGGAATAGCTGCAGGAAAAGAGAACGCACCTCGTGCTTAGAAGACCAAGGACTCCGAGTGCAGACGTGATCCAGGAAAAGGATGATGGCATCATTGCCGACCATTCCCTGAAGGGGTCGGTCCAATGTATTGTGGCAGTCACAAAAGCAAGCATCATCAGGAAGGATGTCAAAAACAAAATAGAAAGCACAATCTTATGAGCGTTTGCACACACGCACACACATATACACAGAGAGACACCAGAATTCATTGGCTCCAGAAATACTGAGTATAGTTCCAGCCATCAAACCTGAAAAATGGCATAATGAAACTGGAACTTACTTAAAGGAGGTCCCTTAAAATGATTAGGGTTTGAAAAGAAACCAAAGAGACTTTAAAACACTTCAGCCTAGAAAGACAAAACATAAGAGTTGGCGGATCAGGTTGATAAAATCACAAAGGGTACTGATTAAGTGAACACAGATTCTGACACCAAATCCCAGCAAAGCAGACCTAGAAGCCCTGGTAAAATTTTTAAAAAAGTGCTTTTAGGACTATTTATATTTTCAAGTGCTACTTTATAGGGCAAGTAACAAACTAGAAAAAAAATCATAACTCTAAAAGTCTATAGTTGTGAGCCCATGATAGTTATGGTGCAGTTATACCTACACTATATGCTCAGCCTTTTGATGTCCATCTTTGGAAAGACATCTAGCAAGCTCCCTTTAATGCTGTTGTTCTTTGAATGCCCTAAGAGAGGAGATGCTAGATTAAATGTTGGTTTACTACACATGGCAGATCTGGTAATTCCCAAACAGGACAATCAAAAGAATCACCTGAGGGCCATTTATAAAAAACCAGATTCCCAGGCTTCATTTCCAAAAATTCTGAATCAGTAAGTCCGGGGCTTAGCAACTCTAAGAGAAAATCCTTTCCATAGATGAATCCAAGGTATAAGTTGATTGGCTGAAATGGAATCATGTCCCACCCCTGAAACAATCACTGAAACCAGAAAATGAGGCCTTTTTTGGCCTGGGCTGGGTTATATACCCTTCCCTATGATGGGAATGGAGTTTTCTCCAGAAAAGAAGAAGGTAGATGACTAACATTCAGTGCCCCCTACTTCCTGAGAAACAGAACCTCAGTTATATTGGTACAAAAGTAATAGCAGTTTTTGCAATGATTGTAATGGCAAAAAACACAATTACTTTTGCACCAAACTAATATTAGGGGAAGCTTGTGTCCAACTGAAAGTCTGTATCCCCAGCCTCTCTAGCTATGGCCATGTGGCTAATTCCAGCCATTAAGAACATGGAGTACAAGTCTGCTGTAGGATTTCCAGCAGGCATCTTTAAGAGAATTGACTCAAGGAAGTAAACCTTTTTTCTTTTTCTCTTTCCTTCTTTCGGTGACAGAATGTATGACTGGACAGGGAATCTCTATCTTGTGATCTTTAAGATCAAAGACAGAAGAAGCCTGAATCTCAAATGATCTCATAAAATTGTCCTACCAGGCTTGAATTTCCCACTCCTGGCTTTTATAGATGAGAATAAACCCTCATGAGTTTTGATAATTTTCAGTTTTCATTCTCTGTTGTAGACTTCTGAACCTAGTCCTCCCTGATACTGTAGAATTCCACAACTACAAGTAACTGGGAAGGGAGGATAGGCAGACAAAAAAAATACAGTTATTTCTGCACTTTGCAACTTCTCTTTAAATTTTATCTCTCATATCCCTAAGCATCTTGATTTTTTATCTCTGTTTTACATCTTGAAAAATATTGTTGCCATCTCTTGCGAGGAAGTTTGTCTTTTACTACTTCCAAAGCTGGGTGTAATTCATTACTCACAACTGTCACATCTTTTCCACATCTATGTGAAAAACTAGCCCCTCTTCAAAACTGAGTTCAAGATTTAGTATAACCAAAAACACTTCTAGGCCAGCCCCACTTCAATCGAGATAATCAAAAGTATCTATTCTTTCAACTTAATCTCTCTGACTCTGTTTCCACATTTGTTAAATGGATTCAATGAGTGGATTTCAAATATGTTTAGGCACAAGTCCCACATGAGTCTCCTAGAACTCCATGTAGGGTTATACAGGTTGGGCATGGCCATTTGTATCATTATCTTTCTGACTGATACCCTGTAGAGCTGTGCAGTGTACATCCTGCCTCCAAATGTAGCCTGGTCCTTCCCTGAGGAACAAAGTTTGAAAAGCATTGTACTGATATTTTTAATGCATATACTCAATAGAGGACTAGTATTTAGAGTGTCCAAGCACCTCTGATATCAATACAAAAAAATAGAAGTAACACAACTGAAACTTGACAACAGATTTGAACAGGCTCTTCACAAAATAAAATATCTTATGGCCAATGAACACAAGAAAAGGATCCAACCTCATTAGGAATCAGAATAATGGAAATTAGAATCAAAATAAACTACCATTTCACATCTACTAGATAGGTGAAAACTAAAAAGTGTAAACAAAACAAGTGTTTATAAAAAATTTGGGAGAGTATGAAAAGTTAAATATCATTAGTGGGAATATAAGTTGGAATATCCACTTCAAAAACGATTTTAATTGTCTGAAATTGAGGTTCTACACAAACTATGCTTATTCCACTCCTCTGCAAACCACCGGGAAACGTGTACACATGAGCATTAGAATACATGCACAAAAGTATTCTTAGCAGTATTGTTCAAAATAGTCAAAATTAGGGGGAAAAACCCAAATTCTACCAATGTAAGATTACCTACTATAATGTAATACATGAAACACTATATTTTGCATGAAAATAATGTATACCATAGCTACACTCAATAACTTGGGCGACTCAATCTCAAATATAATGTTTTCTCTGACAAAATAAAAAAATTAATATTCTTTTATAAAAACTGTTTTATTTTATGGGTCAATCTAAAAATTTTTTTGTTTCTTTGTTTGAGCTGGAGTCTCGCTCTGTCACCAGGCTGGAGTGCAGTGGCATGATCTCGGCTCACTGCAACCTCTGCCTCCCGGGTTCAAGCGATTCTCCTGCCTTAGCCTCCGGAGTAGCTGGGACTACAGGCGTGCGCCACCACGCCCAGCTAATTTTTGTATTTTTAGTAGAGACAGGGTTTCACCATGTGGGCCAGGATGGTCTCGATCTCTTGACCTCGTGATCCACCCGCCTCAGCCTCCCAAAATGCTGGAAATACAGGCGTAAGCCACCGCACCCGGCCTTTAAAGAGTGTTTTGACGGCATTACTCTACTGTTAACGTTAGAAACAGATGAAAAAAATAGGAATAAAGGAACAATTATAGCAGTTGTTGAATGTTTTCAAGATTGAACCAAGAAATTAGTATGGCTAAACACTTTCATATCTATCTCCGTGGGTACTCACTATTACTCTCACAGTCCCACATTGAAACAACATTCACGCAACCAAGATGTGGCACATTGTACTTTCCAAGAACAACTGCAACAATATTTTCCATCTCTTGTGCTTTTTCAGAATTTTTCCTCTCCTCCATTAAAAGATGGATTTTTACGTTCTTTCTCCTTAAACTTTGTATGCAGCAGAAGTGACCTCTGAGCAGGTCATAAAAATCAACATAGTTTCCACCAGCCTCTCTCTCTCTCTCTCTCTCTGGGGATTTCACCCATGGAACCCAGCCACCATACTATGTGGAAATTTAGGCCACATGGAGAACCAAAGTCCCCAGCCCCGGCCCCTGGCAGAGGTCCCAGTGGGCAGCCAAAGCCAAAACCAACTCACCAGCAAAGTGAGTGAACTATCTTAGAAATGAATCCTCTGGCCAGCAGTTGAGCTGCCCCTGACAAAACTGCGCTGATCAGAGGCCAGCCTCCCCTGCTGAGCCCTGACCAAATGCAGACTTAGGAACAAAATAAATGACTGTTATTTGAAGCCACTAAGTTTTGGGGCGCTTTGTAATGTAGCAATAAATAAATGGAACATAAGATAAAAGGGTATTCCTGCTACAATTTTTCAGAGAGCCAGGTACACCCGAAGATCCCCTGCTGCTCCTTCCGCTCTTTCTTTCCTCCTTCTGTTCGTGTTTGCAGTAGGAATTAAACTGGACCCAATGAAAAATACTTAACGTGATAAATACTTAGATTTTCCCCAAAAGTAGGAAACAGAATTCTTTAGAATTAGCAACCTTTTCCAGACTTGCTTCGTGCTTTCTCGGATGTCATTATCAAAAAGTGAATGATATTTCCTCACTTTTCCTTTGAGTGTCTGAGAGTTCATGTTTGACGGTATGGTGGTTTAACATGTTTTTATTACATCAGTGATGGCTAATAGATATGCACGCCTTCTCTAGTGGTGTTTTCCATGACAAAGTAAGAAAGTGAGTGGGTCAAATTGCATACATGTGGGCCATTAATCCTTTCCTATATAAAAAAATAAAATGTGGGATCTAAAATGTTAGTTGGAAGCAGATAGGGAAATACAAGACCTTGCCCGGTAGTTTCTTCAGGGCTCCTCTTTGATTTGGGCACTTTAGCGGTTCCATCTAGAAACGGGTCATTGCCTTCAGCCTCTGAGGGCTCCTGGGAGGTCTTTCGTTGCCTTTTATTTTTAACTTGTTTCATCGAACCAGTGCAATGCACACCAAGGCCTGGATAAATATTTGTGAGTTGTTTGAACTTTGTTCTGTGCCCTTCAATATTCTCAGGAAATCGATTTTGGACTTTAAAGAAGTTTGAAAATTCGTTCACCATAACTGGACTGATTCAGGGCCAATTGCTAAGTGAGCAGTGAGAACACGGGAGGAACAAGGGTATTTGAAAGTCTTGCAGGATCTTTCCGAAAACGATTATGGCTGTGTGAGGAACTGCATATAAATTTACACCCAAAGTAATCCTTCTGAAGCAGCTGAAAGTCTGAAGACTGACTTTTTTTAAGAGGACATTTCAAGGATATTTTCTTACAGCCAGCTACCACATGATCTGCCCTGGCTGTATCCTAAAAACCCCCATCTCCATTATTTGCTAATTTGCTGGTCAGTTTACCTCTCTTCTTCTGTAGACCTGCACCATATATATGTCTTCTGCCTCTCCTCCTTGCTTCTTCACACCCTTCCCCTTTCCCCTGACCCACCTCCCTCTCCCAGTTTGCCTCTAGGAGGGATAAGAGTGAGGAAGTGAACTTCTTTGGGGCCAGTTTAGTTGTGTCATCCTGAAAGGGGAGTATGGGCAAGGGTCAGGGTCAGGCCCTATGCTAGCTGGTAGCCATTTTAGAGATACTTAGGAAAAGTAGTTTTATAATTTAAGTGCCAATGGGACCAAGGAAGAGCAACTTCTCTGCGGAGAAGGAGGATGGAAGTTTACCCCCGGTGGACACCTCTCTGACAGCACACCAGCTGGGGCCTCCCATGTGGCTGTGGAATTCACATGGAATTTGGCTAGTCATTTAACCTCTGCTTCCTCCACTTCCTCAGCTGTATAATGGGGACAGCATTTCCTAGCCGACATCATGAGACTTTATAAAGGGGAGCAAATACTGATGACAAGCAGTTTCCAACAGGAAGAGCCAAAGGCTCAAGGTTCAGTTCTGCAGTAACAAGCACTGGATATGCAAACCTTCTCTAACATTATGTGTCAGGTGTCCCATAAAGGTGGCTTTAGGCTTTATTGGCCTTTCTCTGCCTCAGTTTCCTCTTTGCAAAATAAAGATAATAATAGGACCTATCTCACAGAGCTGTTTTGAAGATTAAATGAGATACAAAGTATAGTATCTGGTACTCATGATAAATGTTAGTTATTTGTTTCACCTGCTCCGCACCTCATTTTATCATGTAATAAGTGTCACCAATCCATGAACAGAAGCTGGAATTATGAGAGAATCCTAGAATGGGAGGTAAAAACTCCCTCATTTTTACAGACAAGAAAAAAGAAATGCGGTAAGATTGGGTGCCCTGCCCAGGGCTACCTGATTCATTAGCAAGAAAGCAGCAGCTACAGTTCAGGTCTCCTAATTGTCAAGGTTGGTGCAAGTCTCAGTTTTCATTCCTTTGAAGACTGTGTTGGTATTTTTATCCCCAGATAACCCTTTTTCATTCCTATTTTAACGCTAAGACCAGTTCATACTATTAACCACTGCAATCTCTGTCTCCTGCAGCTCCCAGGAAACCTGCTGATAACCTCCCCTTCCCAAAAGCCATACCCCACCCTACCCCCCTGCCCCTGCAAAAGGCCAGGAAAGGTAGCGCTTTCTCAGAGACCTGAGGAAGCTACTAATGGGGACAGCAGGTGAGGAAGGAGGCGGTGGAACTGCAGCTGCTGGCAAAGGTTGCCCTAGTAACCGTGCGGGCTCCATTCAGGAAGCCAGCCCAACTCCAAGATGCAAAATGATCGCCTTCACGCGGCTACTGCAAGCACAAAGGAACCAGAGGAGCCCTGATATAGCTGGAAGAAAGGGAGGCACAGAGAGAGGTGGGGGCCCATGCTGTCAGTTACAACCTTCCACCTTCCACAGAAGAAAAAGAAGGAAAGAGAATAGCTCTTTGAATCTTCTGGCCTATGTGAACCGTAAAAACCACCCATTTAACATGAGTCCTTTGGTGAGAATAGAGGGAAACAGGCACCCCTCTGTTCACCAGCCTTCTGAAACAATATGTCAGGAGAAGGGGGAGAAACCTCAAACATTGCAACTTTATGGAGGCTCTAAGCTCTTCATACTCTCTCTCTCCTTTATTCAGACTGGTGACAAAGACCATTTGCTCCCAATTTATTGGAAACTTTTTTTTTTTTCACAGCTTGAGCTGCTTAGATGCAGCGAGCTCCCTCTCCCCAAATTGCAGTCAGACACTTGCTGAATGGGCCAGGCTCAATTATGCTCCCTCCACAGGTTCAGCTCACACTGTGACCCTGCATGGCTTCCTGCTATTCATATGTGTTACTTCCCCTTTGTGGTAATGGCTTGTGGCACTTAGCCAGAAAACATTATTAATTTCAGAAGTGGACTGACAAACAACAAACCCACAGTAAAACGAGAGGAAGTGCTGGGGAGGCCAGCTGTCGGCTTGAGCCAAGCAGTAGGAACTCAATGTATGCAGGTTCTAGGAGGAAAGAGATAATAATCCACAAAGAGGAAATGCACTAAAATTATCCACAGCCCATATTTTTTTAAAAAACGAAAGAAAGAAAAAGAAAGAGAAAAGAAATCAGAGAAAAGAAAGGGGGGAAAAGCACCCAGCTACTTGAGCTGCAGCTGGACAGGAAATTGCTAACGCTGCTTGCAAATCCTTACTTTGAACAGGCAGTTTAGGGAATGCCAGGAGCGGAAACCGTTCAGAACTGGATTAACACGAGCCAAGTTGAACTGCAATCCACTTCTCCTTTCTGTGCTCTTGCTGACTTGGGACACCCAAATAGGACAGACTGACTTGGTATATATATATATTTGCACTATTTCTGTTTGCTTTTTATACTTAGTTGCTTAAAAATCACCATGGACAGTTTTATATGATTGCCATCGAATGAAGGCCACTTGCCTCCTAAGTTAGTGTAGACGACCAAGCAGTCAACTCATGTGCCATGTAGGTGAAAAGCTCATTCTTCTCCCCACTTCACATGAAGGGACTGAGCTCATGCAAAAAGAGCCCCAAATATAAGTACGTTCTAGTTCTTTTGATTCCATACACCTGCCTTTTATTTTGGTTTGTGTATTTTTACATTTGAGGTAAGGAGAGGGTAGGTCCCAAGAAAAATGGCAAGATATAAAGTCTTTAGCTTGAAAAGAAACTAAAATAATCCCCACAAGTTTCAATAAGGGTTTCTGACCCACATCCCAAGCCAGTTAAACAAAAAAGCACATTACAACAGGGATGACAAAGTTGCCTCCTAAGTGCCAATGTAAAATTCTAAAGCCATATCCTGACACGGTGAGGAAGCTTAGATATGCCTTGCCATGCGCATGCTAGGGGAAAAAGTGGAGACATCATTCTGGATTCAGCATTCTCACACTAGGATATCTGCAGGTAGAATTGCCCATGACAACAGACTGGAAAAAGAATTATCCCTACTTCCTCTTTGGCATTATCTCAGCATTATAAAGCAGAAGATCCTGACAGTGAAGGATAGGGAGGAGGTTAACATGTGGCTGTCATCTTGGTATTCTGCTACACCTCTCTGTGGTTAATATCCAAATTGTATTCCTCAGCAAGCTATGCTCTATAGGTTCATTTTTCTTCAGGGGCTTTAAAATCTTAAGCCGGAACTATACTCATAAGAGGTATTGTTCATATACACGGTACAGTCGGTCCATTCTAGGATGTCATCTTTATTCGTGGCAAACGATGAATTTCATAAACTGCTGCTGAAAAACGTTCTAGGAAAAGCTTAAAAGAACCTTGCCCTACTATGCCTACAAGTCAAAATCAATCCCTGAATGAAAAAGTTCTAAAATGTGTCACTTCACACATAGGTATAACTGAGTTTTTAAAAACACACATTCAATAGCCAAAATAGTTATTTATTAATAATTTAAGGTTTTACATTCTTATAATAAATTCCAGCTCTAAACTTTACACCACGAACATAATGGAGAATTTAACTCTCCCTTCTTCACAATCAAATGCATTTCTCTTATCAAATGGGTACCCATGCTCACACACACACACTTCCAGTTTTATACAAATTTTTTTAAAGGAAAGAAACCAACCCAAAGTATTGCATTTGAGGTGACACTCCCTGAAGAATTTTATACAGAGGTAATATACTGTTTAGCACAGCTGAAGGTTTTTTTATTCTTTCTTTTTTTAAAGTGAGCCCATGATTTGGTGTCTTTCCCAGATTATCCCCTTTGCGACAACACAAGCAAAAATATTTACAAAGGTAAGGCATAGTCAAACTACATAAAGAGAAAAAATCATGAGGAAAATACATGAAAAAGACTAAAGACTTCGCCATAACAAGGTCTTAGTGATAATAGTGTCCGTAAAGATGTCATCAGAATTGGTAAAGTCAAGCATGCTGCAAATATACCCTTTGGATTAGAAAAGAGCACAATTTTCTTTTTTTGTTTTGTTCTGTTTTAAGAAGTGGCATACTGCTCTTTCTCCCTTTGGATAATTTCTTTTAAGCCCATCAAAGGAAAAAACAAACACAATTCAAACAAACACTGTCAAGTGATTCAAGATCAAATATTTACAATAATCAAATGGAGTATCAGATTTTTTTTTCCAAACTGATACCACAAATACAGAGCTGAAATCTCTCTTTGGCTCCTCTATATGCAAAATTGAATTAGTCTTCATTGAAGACAATTATATAGTCAGTTCCAGATGCAAAAGGAAACAGCCTTACAAGGCCCTAAAGAACACATGCTCCTACCCTATCATTTGGTTCTACCCTATGCGCCTGGAAGTCCTCGAATCCCAGTCCCTGCATGGGTAGGCTGTACACATGGGTACAGAGCAAACCTACTGCCTGTATCTATACAGCATGTCCTGTTATTCCAAAGAGAATGGAGCAAATCTCTCTGTTAGTATTAACCAATTCCGCACTTGGTAACCTTGTCTAGTACAGACAGCTGGTGTCATTTTGACACCTGGGGCCACACACAAAGAAAGCAGCCCAGCTGATGCTGCCAAGAGAAACTGCTGAAGGGCCAGACACATTCCAGCAAGGAGGGGTGTGGGGTCTTTCACGTAGATTGCAGAGAGTCCACCTGGTATACATTCTGGTTGGAAGGGGTGGTAAAATACAGCTGCTGTGCTGGAACCCTGTTGTCACATGGGCTGCTGAGTCCCAGCGTCCTCTCGAAGTCCAGCAGCTGACCCATGAAGTTGAAGTTAGGGGATATGTTGGATTTTTTCATTTTGACAATGTCATAGGCATCGTTCATCGACAGATTGAGCTTCTGCATAAGGTAAGCCACAGTCACAGTGACTGAGCGGCTAATGCCAGCCAAGCAATGTACCAAGACACCACAGTTCTTGCCCCGGGCTTCATCTGTGAACACAAAAAGAAAAGCAAGATCTCAGCAGACTGAAAACCACCCTTTGTGAATGATCAGTCTAAAAACTGAACTTGAAAACATAATAATAATAATAGTTGTGTGTGGCAGTTGAGCCCTACAAGCAGCAGAAAATGTATCACTGAAATGAAACATGTACACTGGACACAATTACATATTTCAGATATTTTCTGAAAAGAGAGCTTTTGTATTAAGTTTCTGCCAACAAAAAACTCCTTAATGGGTGCATTCTTTGCCTCGGCATGTGAATACCAGAAACCCTGCAATATGTTCGTGAATGCCTTTTACACAGACAACCAGACTGCAAGGGTCTATTAAATTATGCTCCAAATGTTGTGCAGCTAACAATGGAGGTATTCAGGCATTTTAAAAGAGAGAGGGAAGTCACAGGGGACGGCCCATTAGGAGGAACAGGATGTCGACACGGCCTGAAAATGAGTTCCTTTGTAATAGGAAATGCATTACAATGCCTGGAGATTCACTTCTCCCAGGCTTCCAGCCCACAGTTCTTCCTGCTGGGCTCAGGTTACCCACTGTCTCACTGTTACCAGTATCACCGCATCATTCAACTGGATAACATTCAGCATTCATACTGCTTTCCAACAACTAACTTGATGTCCTAAAATAACTCCTAGATGTTTTTAAATTATAAAGCAATGCTGGAATTCCTGTCTATAGTGAGTACTTCTATCTGACCCTTCCCCTGAGTCCAAAGACTGGGGGGAAAAATCTGTTGTCCGATTATGAACGACTGTCAATGACTGAATTCAAAGATTCAAGAAACAGCGTTTCAAATACACCTGTGATCTGCAGCCATGTCAAAAGGCAGGTTTTCTTCCTTTAGCAAGAAGATAAACCAGAATTAAGGACGCTCTAGGAACATTAGAGACCTGCAGTCAGACAAATTAGCAAGCAGCAAGAACGATTAACAGCTTAAACTCTATGAATGGCTAGGAATTTTGCATTTAAATGTCAGAGCGACGACTATTAATTAGTCTCACCTATGAAAGAAATGGCCTCAGGGAAAAACTGGGACAGGTTTTGGCTCCAGTGATCCGAGATGGGGATTTGCTTGTATTTAAACTCTCCTGCGTTCTCAAAGAGATTCGGCAAATTGGGGGTGACGTTCAAGATGTACTTGATGCCGAATTCCTCCAACACGTCCAAGTTGGTGGAGTCTTTGGCACAGCCCAAGTAGAGGAAGGGCAAGATCTCCACTGGGAAGGAAGGCTGGCTGTTGGACAGCGGACTACCATCCGAGTCTGTTGCACTATTGGGGTCTCGGTCAAGGTCAGACTCGATGTCCGAGGAAGAGTCAGAGCTGATCCGCAGGCCCCCGAGCCCCAGCACTGGCAACGGCGGCGAGCTGCTGCTACACGAGCCGTCTAGATTGGTCTCGCAATGCAGGGAGAACTCGGCTTGGAACTTACTGAAGCCACCTGCCAGAACGAGAAAAGCAATCATCTAACCTGAGAAGCCGTAGTAGTTTTCACAGCTTGTAAGAACCGCAGCCCGGCGCAAGAAACACCACAAGCATCCTACGAACCCCCTACATACAGAACCATCTATAAGAGAAACACACTTTAAATGTGCACCATCGGGAATGGAACGAACGGGCCCGCCTCGCCAGGGAACCCTTATTCGCTTGAATCCGGAAATAGACAAAATGGCAACTTTTTGGAATATTTTGAGAGCTAAGATGTGCCAATTTGCATCCCCAACAATCTCTCCCGTCCTGCAAATCTTAATTCAAAATCGAACGATAGAAAACAGGGTGATGGTGGAGGATGTTCTGGCTAAGAAGGCGCAGAACCCGTTAGAAAGAAACCGCCGGTACCCGCAGCCGGAAGCGAGTGGATTCTGAGCCGGCCCGGTTCTCTGGTGCGGAACGCGCGGTTCGCGGCCCCTACCTCGCCGGCTGCCGGTCCCTAGGCGGGCAGCGCGGCTCCGAAGCTCCAGCTGAGCGGAGCAGAGGTATTTTCAATCCACGCGCCCCGCCCGCAGCCCTGCGCCCCTAGCCCTGCCCCGCGCGCGGAGTTCCCTGGGCGCGTACCTTCCAGGTAGAACGCCCGGCAGCCCTCGTCCTTGAGCTTCTTGAGCAGCAGCCCGAGCACCGACTCGCCGCCCGTATTCTCGTTCCAGTCGCTGCTGCTCTCGTCGTAGAGCACCACTGTGTCGGTGCCACAGCGCCGGGTGAAGCGGTCCCGGTCCTCGCCGCGCGTGAAGAGCGCGCGCACCGGCAGGTTACCCTTCTGCAGGCGCCGCAGCATGATGCCCGGGATGGCCACGTTGATGGCCGACTCGATGTGCGACGACTCGTATAGCTCCTGCGGCCGGCAGTCCATCAGCAGCAGCCGCTCGTTGCCCAGCTCCAGCTGCTCGTTGAGCCACGCCACCGTCTTGCTGATCGCCATTTCCGACGCGAAGGGCACGGGTCTGAGCGTATCTATCATGGGGGTCGAGCTGCGGGAGAGGGCGGGGTGCCTACCAGACGCCCCTCGGGGCAGGCATAGGCCGAGCGCACCGCGCGCGAAGCTGCCGCTCTCGGAGCGGGGTTTAATTCCGCCTCGCCTTACCCAAGCCGAGGCTAGCGGTTGGGGCAGACGAGACAGAAGTAAAGCCGGAGGTTCTCTCTGCACCCAGCTGCAGCCGCTGGCTCTTAGTGTCAATGAATCTCTCTCAATGAAGCTGCCCAGATAGTTTTTGTTCCTCCCCAGTGAATGAAATCCAATTAATTCGGACTCCGTGCTACTGAGAGGGGAGGAAAAAAAGTCTAGCGGCTTCTAATCCCTCCCTCCAAGGCTGCACCTCAAATCTACCCGGGCGTCTTTCTCCCCGGATTATTTAAGACTCGATTTGCTATCTCTTGGACTCAGCCTCGCACACCCCCTGCGCGAGGCAGCTCCTCAATGGATACAAACAGCGAGCGTCTCAATGGATACATTCTCCGGGCCAGCCAATGAGCGTGCTGCGGAAGGGGCTGTTGCCGTGGGGACGGGCCGGCTGGAACAGGTTGTGTTGATGAATTGTTAATGAGTTTGTCATTCACAAAAACGGAAAGGAATTTCCGCTCCGGATAAGCCCCAGTGCAAACAAGCTGCAACAGCGGGCTCGGCGGGAGGAAGGAGAAAGAAGGGGAGGCGGCAGCGGAGGAGGAGCAGGGCACATAAACCAGGGCACTTCAGTTGTCTCATGTTTCCTTCTGTTGAGAGTTCACACTTCGCGTCGGAACTTTTGCGCACCAATGGCGCAATTAGCATGCACAAAAGCCCTTGTTCGCGACGCTTGCGTTCGCGAGCTAGCTTTAGGAAAACTTGTGCTGACTTTTCGTTCTTTGTATTCCCTTCAAACTCATTTGGACCCAAGTTCGCCTTAACCCTCCCCTCCCCCAACCCCCCTTCTTTAGGCGGTGTGTGGCATTTGTTTGCCACTTTTAAAGGCCCAGCTCTGTTTGCTCTGATGTTCTTTTAGCCGAGGCTGTGTTGGGGCTGGTGAACTGACTGGGCTTTAGTGACCGATGAGGTGTTAAATGCTAATCCAACATATTTCGAAACAAACCAGGATTTTGTTGAAACATTTTAAAGCAAACAAACAAACGTCTGGTTGTGCAGAAAATCAGAAGAAAACCTTTTTTCTTAAAATAACATTTTATTTTCATTAAAACAATGTAGAGTGCAGAAACAAACTCTTAGGTCAGTCCAGTGCTTTTACTGTATTCCGCTCCGGCGGCGTGGGGAGTTACAAGCCATTGTTCGGGGGAATCTATATCTCTCCCCCCGCCCCACCACCACCATCGCCTGCTGGGAGGTCGCGCTGGTTAATGATTTCTGGGCAAGGAGCTCGGCTTCTGACGGGGGAGCCGGTCTGGCGGGGCTGCCTGAGCGAGGTGTGCTGGGACGCGCCGGGCCGGGCCAGCAGTCCCCGCCATGGGCGAGGCGTGAGGAAGTCCTCCCGCAAGACCTGCAGGCTGCGGGGGCTCGGCAGGGGGGCTCGACGATTGGTTACAGTTGGCAGGGAGGCATGTCAGAGGGGGCCTCCCCAGCCCTCTCCTGCCGCCGCCTCCTCCCTTTGTCCAGCGCCGGGCACTCCGGGGAGCACCAGCCGCGCCTGCGCGCTGCGCTCCCTGCCACCGCCCCGCCGTCCCCGTCTCCCCGCTTGGGCACGGGGCTGTGCGCGACGCAGTGGACGGGTGCGGGGCTCAGCGAGGGACTCCCGGGTCCATAGAGATCTGGGGAGGGTGGGGGGAGCAAGGACGAGTGCCTGCCGGGACCCCCCTGGCTCCTCGCTCCCAAGGAGTCGAGGGGAACGTCTCTACCGCGCTGCAAAGCCAGCAGGTAACTTTGGGGAGGTGCGGGCCAGGCCAGCGAGCAGCACTCGGCCCAGGCGCCGCGGGGCGGACGGATTGGAAGCCGGATGGAGGCGTGGCCGGGTGGGGGCCGCGGCGGCGGGGAGGCGCGTTCCCGGCGCGCAGAGCTCTATTGTTATATAAAAGTGCCGAAGCCTGCCCCTCCCGAGCGGAAAACCACCTGTGTGCGGCCGGCGCGGCGCGAGAGGGATGCAGCCGGAAGGCGCGGGCCCTAATCCGGCCTTCCCTCCCTAAACCCCGGCGGAAAAGAGGCCGCGCTTTGTCCCACCGCTGCCTGAGAGGCGGAAGCGGGGGCAGCCGTCCGGCGGGGTGCGGCTTTGGGGAGTGTCCCTTGCTGCGCTTTGCGCCTACCGTGAACACCGCGAGGGCGCCTAAGGTCGCGGGGTCTCCCTTCGCCCGACGCCCCGCACCCACGGGCATGCCTGCTAACACCCCCGCTGCAATTTGCATTTTTAGTCACCCGCCTCTTCCCTGGTTTGGGAAATGTAGGCTAAAAAAAGGCGGCTGCGAGGCCTAGGTTGCCAATTTTGGAGCTCTGCTTCAGGCAGGCCGCCCCTGGAGGAGCGTGTTCGACAAAGGTGGGGATTGCCGAGCTCCTCTCCGCACCATTTTTGGGCAGTCCTTGGAACAAAACTCGTATATTTCACTGGGTATCTTCTAGTTTCAGCCGGGGGAGGCCTGCGCTGGAGTTGACTCCCCCTGTCCTCCACGATCTGTCACAGAAGTTCCCACCCCGAGACGTTTCAGTCATTGGGACCTGGGGACAGGGAGGGAAGAGGCAGGATGCCCTTCAGCGGAACTGAGAAGAGCAAACCTGTTGGAGGTTCAGCACAGGACCTCCAACAGAAGAGAAAGGGAGGGAAGTTGGGTTTCTACTTTGCCTGTTTTAATACGCAGCTACTTGAGTATGACTATAGATTCGGGAGGATACATCGAAACTGTAGTTTTACCCATGCTTCTGAACTTTATCGCCAAGGGAATGCCAGTGTTTCCTGGCGCATTGATTAAAGTGGCGTTCTGACTGCTCAGTACTAGAAATGCTGCGAAAAGGGCTTCTGGAGTGGGACGGCCCTCGTTTGCATTATGTCCCCCGCTTCTTCCTAGGTAAGCGCCCTTAGTTAAATCATTTAGCCGTTCTAAGTTGCAGTCTTCCACGTCGGCATAACGAAGATAAAACTATCTGCTTCATAGGGTCCCTGTGACGACAAAATGGGTACGGTGAAACGTCCTAAAGTGGTGGTGGGGTGCTATTAGCCGTTGGAATTAATTTTTCATTCTGAATTGAGGACCTGTAAAAAGGCCTCGGCTTGGGGACACGGTTTGGGCATCCCACAGATGCCCCTTGAGGCTCGCTTGACAGCCCGCCTGGACTCGCTCATCTGCAGCAAAGCCCTCTGAGATACTACCCTAACCGATTTAATCCGTTCCAATTCAGCTGTCAAGTAAAGGGGGTGTTATCGTAGACCAGGATCAAAAATCCTTTAGCACAGTTATCAGAATGGACCCAGCTACATTTCTGATTTCTCCCTACTGGTCACCTTTGGAACACGCTGTTCTCCAGCCACAGCAAACTGATACAACAATGCATATTGGGCACTTAACTGCATGATGGGTACCGTCTTGTTTCTGTGTTTACTTGCATAATTTCGGACAGTCTTCAGAAAAAACATGTAAATTATCCCATTTACAAAGATTAAAGAATTTGCCCAAGGGCACACAGTAGCAACAGAGTGTCAAGACGTGAGGCCAAACCCTTTACAGACTCTTAAGGATGCCCACATGCACGGATTACATAGAGTGTTATGGACACTATATTCACCTCCACGTGGTATTCCCTGCCCACATGTGAAGAATTTCAAGGTCAGCATTTTGAATTTTGACCTCCAGGCTTTCTCCAGCCTCACGTTTTCTGTTGCATCCTCCATGTCAAAGATCAAAAGCGAGGCTGCTTTCCCTGCTCCTTTTACACACCAGTGGTTTTCTTTGCACGCAACCCTTCATCAGTCAAACATTCACTAAATGTTGCATATTTTATCTCTCTTAGAATATGCCCTAGATCCTAATCTTCACAAGTGTCATTGGTTATCTAGTGCGTCAGCACAGCACATAAGCCTAGGTTCAAACCTCTGTCACTCAGTAGTAGTCTGGGCCTCACTTCATTCATTCATTGATGCATTTATTCTAGATTCCAGGAAAGCAGTAGAGAATAAACAGACAACAATAACCTGCCTCACTGAAGTTTACATTCTAATGAGGACAGTCCAATTAACAAAACAAATAATTATATATTAGAAAGTGAAAGCGCTATAGAGAAAAAGCAAGAAAAGGAATTCGGAAGTGTGTAACATTGGGAATATATATTCCTCCCTCAAAGGACTGTGAGGATTAGACACAACTGAGATGACACACGAGAAGTGTAGGGCACAAAGTCGGTATTCAGAAGATGATTTTTAAAATATCACCACTTCATTCCTGCATAAGGAATGCTGTTGGTGGTGATATTGCCATTCCTGTGAGGCACTGAGGAAAAGCTCTCTTAGGAGATAAGGGCTGTAGTAGTTGGAAGAATTACAGGCTTCCTTAATTCCAGAGGCCTCAGTGCCCTTCAGAGGATATCATTCATATGAAGAGGTCTGTATTTAAAAATTGGAGATAGCAGATCATCTGTGATCCATTCTCATGAGTGCAGAGAAGCACTTTCATAGATTCTTGTTTCTTCCTCTGTGTGTGTGTGTGTGTGTGTGTGTGTATGTATGTGTGCACCGAGCACCTGTGCTTGTGCTTGAATTCCTCCTGGTGTTTCCCCCTGGAAAGTTCCTTAAAAATTGTTAGTTAAAAAAAAAAAATTTTTAAAGCAGTGTATTTTGGTTATAAAATTTTCTCTAGGCCATTTGAGAAACATTCCACTTTTGCAGGAATTTTCCTGAGTTTGAGGGCACTTGAGATTTATAAGATGCAAATGGGCTAGCATGACCTTTAATCTTCTTGGAATAATCTCTGTGAATACAATGACATTTATTAACACATCATGTGAAAACAGTTAAACAGATTTTCAGCAAATAAGGAGAGTTTTGGAAGTTCTGACTTAAAATGTAAATGCATTTAGGGGTCCCAGGTAGGCCCTCAAAGTGACAGTGGCTTTCAGTGCAGCTAAAACTTCAAAACTGAATTTAACTGTATTTGAAGGATACACCTGAAATAGTATGGCTTAATGTAAAATGTATATGGGTTGCACAAAACTGTCCCTAAGGTCTTCTGATGAGTGCTTTTAAAAGATACCAAGAAGTTGTACCACAACAGTAGCAACCGAGAAACACAAGAAGCCTAAGGAACTGACAGTAGGTAACATGACTTACAGGCAGTGATAGGCTGTGAGAAAGCCAAAGGGAATTTCAAATAGCCCCCAATTAAAATTCCATGAGGGCAGCCCCTGGGAATTGCAGATCCAGGTTTGCAATCAAACTGCTTCTCACGTGGAAGCTCCGTGCAGCTTGCCCCATGATGAGGAGCTGCAAGGGCTTATTGAGCACGGGTTAATGATTTCTCCAAACAATGCGGGGGAAGGGGAAAGGCAGGCTAGGTTAGACCTCAAGGCAGAGGTAGCTGGACAGCAACACCAGAATCACACCCACAAGCATATCTAGGGGGAGATTGGAGCTTCCCCATGAACGAGATGGCACATTCACGCATTGCCAGGATGATACCACCTGAAGAAAAACATGAACTATTGTGAAATTCAGACCTTAGCCAATTTGGCTAAGCTTTTAAAAATTACGGTCTTCGTCAGCTTTCTTGCATTTCTGTTTCCCGTCATCTGATGAAAGACAAATTAATTTACATTCAGGCTCCTGTAGAGACTTTATCTAGAATTTTTTTAAAAGCTAGACGGTCTCTAGCAAAGAAATTCATTAAAAGATAGCAATGTTAATTTTTTATTTCAGATGTTTTAATTCCATGCCTTCCACTGGGAAAATATTCATTGATTCTTCTTCCTTATCCTTTATTTTTACAAAGCAGGAAATGTAAAAAGCATATATAAATGTATATATAAGAAACTCATGACGTTGGCATTTCTGCAGTACATTTCTGAGTAAGCGCATTTACCTTCTTTTGGAAAGGAGTTGACGGTACCTTGTTTCCCGTTGTACTATTTTGAAAGCCCCAGCGATGATCCTTAGTGGGAAAGTATAGCTTACATTGCCAGCCAGGTAAGTGAGAGACTATATGTATTCAGCTCTCCAAAACCTTCTCATGTCGTGTCATGAAGCACCACATGTGTGGTGTCGGGCATTATCCATGTTGCATCTTCATGTGGAATATTTGCCGTGAGCCTCCCTGTGTGGGCTGTTTCCTCTGGTGACTTTTCTCTCCATCTTGTGTTGCTTTATTTACGCAGGTGTGAGTAGTACATATAGCTGTTGTGTAAGAGAACTCATTATTTTCCTAAGTGGGTACTATTTCCTGCCACCCTATTTTTGCTTCAGAAATCAGTGGAAGTAACTGTGTGTGTCCACAATACAGGAATGCTTTAGCTCAGTTTTTCAAACTTTAAGAACTTGCAGATCCCCCAAGAATATATTAATAGAACCCTAGGGAGCCCCAAACTCCAGTCTAAACAACACTGCTTAAGGCTGTTGGTGGGTTCATTATAAAAGTTATATCTGGACATATCATGAAATAACAACATAGTGGCTACAACTTATTCTACACCAACCATTGTACGGGTTAAATCTAACCATTGTGATAACCTTGCAAAACAGGTATACCATTATCACAACTTTAAGGTGGGGAAGCCTGAGCTCTAATGTCAGGTAATTTATGCTGGAATCCAAACTTGCATCTCAGTCCCTTCAAAGCTCCTTAGTACATACACACTGCTGCCAACCTGATGAGTGGCCCTGAATGAATTCAACCTGGTATACCATGATAGCTTCTACATAATTTGTTACACTTTATCTTGCTAGTCAAGACTAGGACTTGTGGAATCAGCCCAACCTGGATTCTAATCCTGGCTTACCTACTTTCTGGCCCTATGACTCAGGGAAACCATTTCATCTCCCCATGTCTCAGTTTCCTTATCTGTAAAATGGGAATACTCTATCACAGAGCTATTGCAATCAATGATTTATATTTGTAAAGTGGGTAGAAACAGTCCTAGAACAATAACTCATTGATTGCTACCTGTTTTTATTGTTACACACACACACACACATATACACACAATTCTTTTTTTTTTCTTTGAGACAGTCTCACTCTGTCACCAGGGTGGAGTGCAGTGGCACGATCTCGGCTCACTACAACTTCCGCCTACCAGGTTGAAGCAATTCTTGTGCCTCAACCTCTCAAGTAGCTGCAATTACAGACGTGCACTACTATGCCCAGCTAATTTTTGTATTTTTAGTAGAGACAGGGTTTTGCCACATTGCCCAGGATGGTCTTGAACTCCTGGCCTCAAGTGATCCACCAGCCTTCCAAAGTGCTGGGATTACAGATGTAAGCTACCGCACCCAACCACAACTCTTAATAAATGTTTATTGACTTTGCTGAAAAGGGATCATATAACAAAAAAACACTATAGTGTTAATTTAGTTCTCAGGAAGAGAAAAACAATCCATACACATTTTTTGAAAAAAGTTTCAAAGAACAGAATCAACTGCTTTACGGCCCCTCTTAGTTGCTGATATAAGCAACCCAGAAATTGAGGTTTCTTAATGGGCTGAGATACCTGGATAGTTTGGGGACAGTGAAAACACACTGCGTACCAGGGGTTCCCCATCACTCTAGGACTCACCTGCTGAAGTAGCAGGCACTTTCCCTGCTCCATCAATGCTGGCTCATAGCTGATCCTATGGACTGCATATTGTGCAAGAGGAGAATTGGAAATCTACTAGCCTGAGCCACATAGCTGTCGTCTCTCAGTAATCTGGGTTCAAGGCAGCTAATGGAAACACACATTTATATTATGAGTCCTGCATATAAGAAGTCCCATTCTCTGGGAATCTCCTTTCTCCTTCCGACTTCATGCCCAGCAGGAGCTTTTCAGAATACAAGGAGGGGGAAGAGGGGAGGGTCAGAGCTGAGCATGAGAGCCACTCTTCTGTGACTGGAAGGAAACTTCCATTCATGGACAGATGAGAAAGCCTGTGCTAGAAGCCACCTTGTAGAAACATACCCAGGTTTGAGTAAACAGACACCTGCTTAGCACAGTTTCCATACTAATTTTTGCACATATATGATTCCAAGATTATTTTTATTAAACATCCGATAAGTATATATCCTTTGGTATAAATCCATCAGGTTTTGCTGGACCTACCAGAAGTTTTAGATTCCTTACCCAAACCTCCAAAGTGTAAACCTGGCCGGGCATGGTGGCTCACGCCTGTAATCCCAGCATTTTTGGGAGGCCAAGGCAGGCAGATCACGAGGTCAGGAGATGGAGACCATCCTGGCTAACAAGGTGAAACCCCATCTCTACTAAAAAATACAAAAAAAAAAAAAAAAAAAAAAAATTGGCCGGGTGTTGTGATGGGCACCTGTAGTCTCAGCTACTCGGGAGGCTGAGGCA
Source organism: Homo sapiens (assembly GCF_000001405.40). Classification (NCBI taxonomy): domain Eukaryota; kingdom Metazoa; phylum Chordata; class Mammalia; order Primates; family Hominidae; genus Homo; species Homo sapiens. The sequence goes on from NC_000012.12 coordinate 89,360,518, forward strand.
GGAGAATGGCATGAACCCGGGAGGTGGAGCTTGCAGTGAGCCAAGATCGTGCCACTGCACTCCAGCCTGGGCGACAGAGCAAGACTCCCTCTCAAAAAAAAAAAAAAAAAAAAAGTGTAAACCCTTGCTAGGTCATGCCCCTCCCTAACCAATTTCCCAGGGAAAAAGCCTTTATGATGGGATTTCTCTGTCCTTTTGTTATATTTTCTGTATGGTAATTTGCTTTTGTTTTTGGCTTAACACAAATTTATTATTTTTCAGTTCTGTACGTCATAAGTCCCAAAGGGGTCTCCCTGGACTAAACTCAAGGTGTCAGCAGGGCTGCTTTTCATTTTGGAGGCTCTAGGGGAAAACCTGTTTCCCTGATTATTCAGGTTGTTGGCTGAATTTAGTCCTTATGGGTGTAGGACTCTGGTCCCTGTTTGCTTGCTATGTTCCCAACTTCTAGAGGCCACCTGCATTCCTTTGCATGTGCCTCCTTTCCTGTGTCTTCAAGGCCAACAACAGCAGATCACATGGTTTTCATGCCTCAAATCTCTGCTGCCTCTTCTACCACTTCTCTCCTCTTCTACGTTTAAGGACTCATGAGGTTACATTGGGCCCACCTAGGTAATCCAGGATAGTCTCCCCATCTCAAGGTCTTTAAAGTCTCCTTTGCCATGTAAGGTAACATATTCACAGGTTCCAGGCATTAGGGCATAGATATCTGGGAGATCATGCTGCCTGCATGTGGTTGTCTTGAAGAGACAGGTAATTTGTTGGAAAGGGGAATGGGGGAACTTTTTGGAGTGAGGGAAATGTTCTATATCTTGATTAGGGTGGTGGTGGGTATTCAAATGTTAAATCTTTTAAATTTTAGTTTAACATCTATATTATTGCATTTTCCAACTGTTATATTTTGCTTGTAATTATTTATTTAGAAGCAACTTTGTGTGAGGCATTGTATTAAGCACTTTATGTAATCATCTCATGCATTGTTTTCTCCTAGTACTCTGGTGTTATCACATAATAAGTTTACTTTAACCGATTAAGTTTGATGATGCAGTGTAGTGACTAGAGTCTTTCAGGTACATATTGTTCCACTTTATGGCTATTTTCCATTTCAATTTAAAGGCCAAGGGGGTTTTCTCATTTACGAGTTTATTATAAAAGCTATTACAAAGGATACAGATGAAGAGATGTGTAGGGCAAGGCATGTGGGAAGGGGCTTCAGTTTCCATGCCCTTTCCAGGTGCACCATACTCCAGGAACCTCCATGAACTCAGCTATCCCAATGCTCTAGTAATTTAAGTAATTCAGTGTAACCAGCTGTAGTACTCTATGCTTTAGGCAGGAATAATTAGCTGGCATTTTTTTAATGTGAATCCACTTGATGACCTTTAAAATTTAGTATAAAGGATATTAAAAACAAATTCTTTCTTTTTTTTTTTTGGCAGGGGGACAGAGTCTCACTCTTGTCACCCAGGCTGGAGTGCAATGGCGCAATCTCGGCTCACCGCAACCTCCGCCTCCTGGGTTCGAGTCATTATCCTGCCTCAGCCTCCTGAGTAGCTGGGATTACAGGCACCTGCCACCACGCCCGGCTAATTTTGTATTTTTAGTAGAGATGGGGTTTCTCCATGTTGGTCAGGCTGTTCTAGAACTCCCGACCTCAGGTGATCCGCCTACCTTGGCCTCCCAAAGTGCTGGGATTACAGGCGTGAGCCACTGCACCTGGCCTAAAAACAAATTATTTATGTTCTTGAAATTGGTGCACTTACAATATGTGGTAGAGGAGGTGTGGCAGGACACATGGACCTTGCATGACCAAGGTACAAGACAGCAGACAGCTCAACTGTCTGTGTCATGGTGCGGCTTCCAGCACTGAGCCTAGGATCCTGCCCCCATGAGATGACACGACCTGCAGGTTCACCTTTAGAACATTGCTGACTTCAGTGTGGCCCTTTCATGCAATGTGCTGTTAATTAGAGTACTTATGGCAGAGAGAAGGACTTTTTCCCAGTGTGTATAACTGTACCTACTGCTAAAGCATGATTTTTAATCTAGTTAAATTTGCTGTGAAATTTACATTTATAGTGAGAGTGAGATGAAGTGTGGTGTGGAATGTAACCTAAATCTGGAGCCTCTAACTACTAACCCCTGATTTTGATCAAAAGAATCTGACAAGTACTCTATAGACAAACTGGCTTAAAAGGAAAGCTTTTTAAAAAAATATAGGTGCCCAAGTCCCATAACCAGTAATTCTGATTTAATTGATGTAAGGTGGATCTTGGCATTGATATTTTCCAAAAGCTGCCCAGAGAATTCTGATATGTGGCCTGGACTAACAACTGGTTTAGAAGCATTCACAACAATCATCCCCTAACAGTCCCTTGCCTAGGCAGAGGTTTCCAGTGAGCCCAAGAGCTTCCCACCCAGACCAGTAGGTCTAGAAATGAAATGTTTAGAAACACCTGGAGGTACTTGCTCTCAGTCCATATCCTGGCCTACCCGACAGGGACTCTGATTCGGAAGATCTAGGGATGGGCTCAGGCAACTATATTGTAGTCCAGCAGCCAGCAGTGGCTTATACAGGTGGACCAAACTTTGAGAAGCTTCCAGTGACATCCCAGATAGTCAGATTCCTCACTCATCCACTCTGTTCAGCAATTGTAGAAATGTTCTTGAAGTAACTGGAAAGATGAGTCAAATAGTATTCTTTAGACACAAGCATCAGAACTTCGTAACAGGAAAATGCTGTGTCAGGCATAACTAATCTGCTTGCCCTTGTAAATGCAACTCTTGAACTGGTATGCACTCTGATGAGTTATTTACTGGTGAAACCTGTCACAAAGCGTTGGGAGATTACAAAGAACAGAAGAAGGTATCTTGGTGGCAGCATCGTGTGTTTATTGAACACCCGTTGTGTGTCTAAAACTGAAATGACTGCTGGGGCTTATGAAAATGAGTGAGATTCAGGCCCTGCTGTCACAAAAAAATATAAGTCTAACTGGGGAGGTTAGACATGTGCCCAGGTAGCTAGAATGTAATGTAATAAATGTGGTCATTGCAGTAGAAAGGAAGTGCTATGGGAACAAGAGGAGGAAATGGTTCATCTACCTTAGGGTGGGAGGTGGAAGGTAGAGGTGGGGTGCTGGGAAGTGTCCCAGGGGAGGCAGCATCTGAGTTAGATTCCCCAGGGAGCAGATTTCTCACTGTCCCCATCCAGTGGGATAGGAGAAGAACCACACACACTCTGGGCAAGACAGAAAGATGACATGAGCTAAGGTTTGGAGGGATGGACATGTGTGACCAGTGCAGTGCAGGTGAATGGTATGGAAGGCAAAGATTGGCAGAGAATACAGGAAAGGTAGTGTAGTGCCAGATGGAAATGGGCTTTGGATGTCATGGTAAGAAGTTTTGAATTTTTCTTTAGGTGAAGTCATCATAGATATTTATACAGGGGTGTGACATGATTTCAGGATATAATTCTGTAACAAAGGGGGCGAGTAGACTGGAAGGGAGAGAGAAACTGGGGGCAGGAAAACCAATTAGGAAGCGATTGCAATTGTCCAGAAAAAGGATGCAGTACCACCACGATCATCCTCTTCCTAAAATAATGTATTCATCAACCTGCTTAGTTTTATTCCTCCTATTTCTGCAGCTAGAAAAATCACTTAGCCCTCTTGTGACTCAGAATTTCTCCCTATTAATAGAAGATGACAGAATACTTATCTCACCTCACACAGGGAGATACTGAGAGATGCTTGCAATTGTAGCCACGAAAGAGGGGGAAATGTTATTCCAAATGCCAGTGGCAGTAATTACTCTGGAGTAGTGAGGGGAGGGACACTGCCTTTCCTCACTAACAGTCCATTATAAAAATTTCAAACCTATAGAAAAGTTGAAAGTTGAGTAAGAGCATCAGAAATACTCTTTGGAGGGAAGCTTCTGCAGAAATTCCAAGTACTCACCACCCAGGAAGTGGCATTTCCAATCTAAGGGCCCATTGCCTTCAGGATGAGAATGCCATTGCAGCCTATTTGGTTACAAACAGTGTTCTATAATATGAGATTTTGTAAAGAAAGGCCCATTTTCCCATTGTTTTCCATTACAAACAAAAGTGTAAGGAATGATATTCTTATTATTCCTATTGCTGAAATGGGGCTGGGGAGGGCCATATTTGAAGGAGTTATACCATCATCTACATGCTTTCAAGCTGTGTTTTGCCCTTTGGGGTTTGGAGTCTGCCCTTGTAGCAAGAGGCACGTAGTCATACCTTTTCCATCTGCTGCTGGGCCCCTTCCCATACTAGGTCTCCATTTCAGCACCCTGGACCACATCAGAATTCTTTCTTGTTTTTGGAAAAGCATCATTGATATCTACCGCAGGGTGTGTGACAGACATAAACTGCTTTAAGTTTTGCCAAAATGACTGTGTCTTCTACCTTTGAAAAAAAATCTGTGCTCTCTATATTTGCTGAGTTGGTATAAGATATTCCAAGGGATAAAAAGATAAATAATGAAGAGACACTGCCCTCAAGAAGCTAACAGATAGGACTGTGACCTAATGAAGAAGTTAGGAGGGTAGCATTCAGTGCTTTTTTAGAACAGTATCAACTTTCAAGATTCAAAAGGATGGTCGTGTTCAATGACTGATGGAGTCCTTCCAACTGGAATGGGGTGATTTGAACTTACAATGAGGAAACCCAAAGTACTTCATTTTATATATGAAAATCAAATGGTTATTGAGTGATATAATAAGGAGACCTATCAGGAATACGTAAGGAGAAGATAATTTATGCTCCTTTCTAAAGTACATTTACGTAAGTAATGAATGATTAGCTCTTTCAAATGGAAATGTTTTCTCTAGTACAGTAAATTATTCTGATTCATTTGTTCACTCTTAACATGCATTTCTTGGAAAACTTACTGGCAAAATTTGTCACAAAGCAATTAGGAGACTACAAAGTACAGAAGAATAGCCTTTAAATCCTTACACAAATTAGTTCTTATTTTAAGGACAGTTTAAATCTCACAACATCACAGCCTGCTTTTGCATGCACTCTTTCATTTACTTGTTAGATTCCTTTACTGCAAAGAGCTCAAGGAAAACAACTAGAAACAAACCATGGCTATGCTGACAAGAAAGTGTCAGTTATAAAGGGAAATGAATGAAGATTTATTCATTTATTAATAAAGTAATGTGGGCAGCCATTTGATAATTCTAATTTCTGATTTAGTCTTTAAAGTTGACTTATTTGCATACATTTTTAAAAGTCTGTGCTGTTGCCAAGTGACTTGGAACTACACAGCATAGTTTACTTACAAATTAGATGAAAGCCTCTTTTAAAATGTCTGCACATATTGTACTTTTTTTCTCTTAAAAATAAGCCATTGTTGATTTATTTTTGGACAGGTGATATTTGTGAATGGAACAAAATATAAAAGGAAGGATATGGCATACAGTAAGTCAGTCTCTCCTGGCCACCCAGTTCCTCTCCCTGGCACCAACCACTTTTGACTAGCATTTTGTGTATCTTCTCAGGGGGAGTCTATGCATGTACAAGGATATGCATTTATTATTGGTGTTATTGGTATGCAATTGTAGCAGACTCGTTTTTAATGACTACATAGTATTCTATTGCATGGACATAGCATAATTTATTTAGTCAGCCATCCTATCGATAGATATTGAGGTTGTTCGTAATCTTTTTGCTATTGCAAGCAATGACTGCAATGATTATGTTTTATACACTCATCCACCTTGTGGTGAATATATCTGTAGGGTAAATTCTTAAATATGGAATTGTTTGGTCAGAGTATATGAGTTTATAATTTTGATAATTATTGCCCAAATGCCCCCTTCAGAGATCGCACTAATTTGCATTCCCACCAGTAATGTATTTCCCCATACTTTAGCTGACACAATGTGTTCTCAAACCTTTGCCACTCTGAGAGATGAATATTGGTATCTCATGGTAACTTTAATTTGCCTTTCTCTTAAGAGTCAATTTGAGCGTGTTTTTGTATGTTTAAAGGCTGTTTGAATTTTTTTCTGTGAACTGTCTATTCATATCCTTTACTCATTTTTTGAGTAGATTGTTGATCCTATTTTATTTTTATACCTTATTTTGCAACCATAATGTTAAGTTCATTTTAGCCTCTGAACTCAAATACCATTTGTCAATCATTAGTCCAAATAAAAAAAAAGTGGAGCCACTTAATAATCCTAACGCACAGTTTGAAACATAATTCATTGATGCCTGACTTTTCCTTCTCAACTAGTTTTAATCTCAAATTTTAATGGGAACTGTCCTCACTCCTTAGGCCCAGTCAGGGTCAAAGAGTCCTGGGTTTTATTTGTTTTATTTGAACCCCAGGAGAGTTGCTTGTCTGAAGCTCTGTTTTAGCAATAGATTATTTATACAAACTCTCTGATAAATTTTAACTCATTAAATAGCAGCGTTAATATACTCATCTAGCACCACATTCCCTGCCTTCTGCATGAGCAGAGGAGAGAGAGTGATACTATTAAATATTCAAAAGCCTTTATCCTTATCCCAACCCCTCCATAGGAAGATGCTATCTTGCCTGGGCTAGGTGTAGTGGCTCACACCTGTAATCCCAGTGCTTTGGGAGGCCAAGGTGGGAGGATCACTTGACACCCAGAGTTCAAGACCAGCCTGGGCAACATAGTGAGACCCCATCTCTACAAAAATAAAACTAAAAAAATTAGCCAGGTGTTGCAGGCACCTGTATTCCTAGCTACTCAAGAGGCTGAAGTGGGAGGATCACTTGAGCCCAGGAGTTTGAGGTTACAGTGAGCTATTATCAGGTCACTGCACTCTAGCCTGGGAGACAGAGCGAGACCCTTTTTTTTTTGAGACAGGGTCTCACTCTGTCACCCAGGCTGGAGGGCAGTGGCGAAATCTTGGATCACTGCAACCTCTGCCTCCTAGTTTCAAGTGATTCTCCTACCTCAACCTCCCGAGTAGCACGCCTGGCTAATATATATATATTTTTTTAATGGAGACAGTGTTTCACCATAGTGGCCAGGCTGGTCTCGAAAACCTGACCTCAATTGATCCACCTGCCTCGGCCTACCAAAGTGCTGGGATTACAGGCATGAGCCACCATACCCAGCCAACCCTGTCTCTTAAAGAAGAAGAAGAAGGGAGAGGAGGAGGAGGAGGAGGATGAGAAGGAGGAGGAGGAGGAGGAGGAGGAGAAGGAGAAGAAGAGAAGGAAGAGGCAGAGGGGGAGGAGGAGGAGGACTAGAAGGAGGAGGAGGAATTATCTTATTATCTTGCCCATTAAATAAAAAAGCGTAAAAGTCCCTTGCTTCTTTCTTTTTCAGAATGGGGATAGTTTAAAAGTGTCTGTTTGCAATCCCCAAATATCATATTGCTTTTGGCAGCTGATATTCTTTAGCAGCTGATTAAGTGATACATATTTTACACAAAACAGAATATCCTGAATCAAAGGGATTTTGAATATTTATTTGAACTGGCTTTATCTCAGGTATATATCTGGAATTCACTGAAAATAAAATGGGTGGTAAGGACTCAAAGATGACAGAGGATAGCAACAACAATAACAAGATGGAGATCAGGAAGTAGGTATGCAAATACCTGTAGGTTGGATGTATATAGGAAAAGCTACCATATCAAACTGGGCAGAAGCAACCAATCCAGAAAAATAACTTCTAGCATCCAATCATATTGTGGTGAGATTAAACTCACAAGAAAGTTAAATGAGGTTTAGAGAACATATTCTCAACCCATACATACTTCATTGGAGCAACTCTTGTTAATCTTAAGGGGAATTATGGAACTCCATTCTTCCTTCTTATTTAGAAGAAAATAGATTCAAGGCCAAATTTGTAGGCCAAATTGAAGATATAACGAGATTTTTTTTTTAACTCATCGTCTTTGCCAAATTCTCTAGAACATAAAACCTGAGGCAAAGATTACTTGCTAAGTCTATGTTGGGTGGTGCAATTTCAGGGCTATAAAAGGGAATGAGAAAAAGGTGAGGCAGGAAAGGAAGGAATGCAAATACTAGACGGTGTGTTAAGGAGCTGGACATAACTTCACAAAGAACAAAGCCTGTTGCTGGGTCCTGCATGTCACCTTGAAACAGTCCATCAGGTGGGGAGGGCAGTGGGAGGAGCAATGGGGGGAGAAAGAGGAATTTATCTTCTTGACCTCTAGTCCCTTGATTCAAAATTTAACTCTGATTTAAGGGAGCCGTTGGGTAAGCCAGATTCCACATCCCACTAAACTGCCTGGAAGAGGTGGGAGGAGAGCAGCCATTAAGGTATGAGGTACAGAGTCCCATCAGGTGAGACCCATGTCTGTAGCCACTGAGGTTCCTGTTGCAACAGGTGAGATGTGATCTTCCCAAAGCCCCAGCTTCTTCCGCAGGAGGCTGAGACAGCAGGCCCACGGATGTCCATTCAGGAAGAGGCTAAGGCTTGGGGGTCAGGTGAAGAATCTTGAGAGACACAAAAATTGTTCTAGTATAGTCATGACTTAAAATTATAAAGAATAATTTTCAAGTCTTTTAGCAAATCCATGAATTGGTGTTTTTGTGGAGATATGAATGACTTTCAGTAAAAGAGTCACCGAATCATAATAGGTATGGAGGTGGAAATTCTATTATTAAGATTTATGATTACTGAAATATTTTCATGATTACTCAGATCCATTTCTGGACTGACCTTATGCTTAACCAGATGATGTTTATTATTAAAGCTGATTTTTAACGAGTGTTCATTAATAAAAAATGCTCTTAACCACAAGGCTTTGTTTCCAAGTGATGTATAATAATATGTGCTAAAACACGAATCTCAATTTCCAGATGCATATTTTACCAAAACACCTATTGCACTAAGGAAAATATGACAAATTCTTTTTTTTGTTTGTTTTTTTCCTTTTTCCCTTTGCTTTTTATTGCTCAGGAAACTATGATTGATTGAGTTTATGAACACATGAACAGGCAAGCACGTACACTTAAAAGATGAAACAAAGAAAAAAGTTGATCCATGTCATTCCATGAGAAAGGCTGCCCGCAGCACTCCAGCTCAAACACAGTGTCCCCTCAAGCTCTCTATCCCCCTCCCCACTCCCTCACCTTCCCTCTGATTCAGGGAAATCAGATTGGGAGGTTAGTGCATCATTGACAGAGAATGCCCTCCTTCCACGCTCTGTAAGTCTCCCCCAGAAGCGGGGAAGGCAGTTCCCTTCAGTAGCGCACTTAGGGTTGATTAGTGTTGGTTCCACAAGTTAAGGCACTTCAGGCTGCTTTAGTGGCAGCGTGGTTCCTCCCCTCCTTTTTTAAGGCATGTGTCCTCTAAGAGTAGTAAAGCTTTGGAAACTGTGCAGACTGTTAAAGTTGACAGCTTAATACAGGATCATTGAAGTCAGCAGGCAAAAGGATCCTCGGAGACACCTCCCTCAGACCAGAAGCTTCCAGAAGGCCTGGGCAGCTCTGTGTTTCGGCTGGGCATGGCACACTGGAGCCCCCCGAGGCCAGAGGGTGGTGCGTTCAGGTAGCAAAGACAGGTGGGCTCCGTCCCGCCTTCACCTGCAGCTGCCCTGGCTGCTGGTGGAGAAAATATGACAAATTCTAATTTTTCTGCACATTAATGTGCTGTGGTATAGGTCTAAGGGAGGGGGCGCAGATGGTGGTGATGGAAGTGGAAACAAAAAAATCAATGAAAGAGACTCTTGATAAAACAAGCGTCATATATCTAAAAATAAAATAATAACAAATGGTTATCCTAGCGTATACATCCAGATGACATTTGGAAATTTGCATAGAAGTAACAGAAGGGCTAAATGAAGCCTTCTGGAAAAGTCATAGTCTTTCAAACTTTATGTACTCTTGGATTCTAGAAACTCACTTCAGTTATTTAAGTGAAATGACCAGAATTAGTGTCATCTCCATACATTGAGCAGGAAGTTAACTTTGAGGAACTATACATGAGCACTTGTCCCTGAGGTTGTAGTATCTTTATGTCCTTTCCACGCCCTCGCCACAAAAAGCCCCAGCAAGAACAATCAATGTTTTCCTGCTTAACCCGTATTTTTATCTGAATGTACATTCTCCCTCCTCCCTCTTCCCTCTAGGCATTTGCTAGGCCCTTAGGAGGTCAGGCAACTTGCACTGTGGCACATGAAGAATATTCACATACTTCATATCCTGCAGGAGAAAGGAGACAGCACAAGAAATTCTGTTGTCACTAATTGAAAGTAGTTTATCACTTTATCTTTAGAAGGTCTAATGCCAAAACTTCAAGGAGATAATAAATAGTCCAGTCTGGGTTTGAGCCTGGAGTTTGGATGTCTAAGATGACTCCGAGCGGATGTGGATTTACGTGTTAGTACCTGAAAGTGGGCACAGCCCCCACCTTGGAATGAATGTACACTTCCAAAGGACTCGTTCCCACAGGGTGGTGGAAGGAACAACAGAGACAGCTATGTGCCCACATGCTCAGCCATCTGCCATTCCAACCACATGTCTCTCCCCCCGTTTCCTGCAAATGATTCATCTATTCTTTTTCTCCTTCTTCAAAGATAACTCTGTAAGCACTTAAGGAGGGGAAAGTCATTAAGAAAAGTGGAATCTGGAGTTATTAGGATGAGATAGAGCAGATTAAACAGTCTGGAATTTCACAAAGCAAACAGCACAGGGTGCGGACCCTGGGCCCGTCTCTCTCCTGCTGGTGCATCATTTCACAGGTTATCATCCTTCATGAACAGGTCAACAAAAATGGCCACAGGTAAACATGAGCATATGAGTTGCTAAAGAGAAAGAAAGACAGAGAACAGCAGAAGTCAGGAGGATTCTGGATTTTCCAACTGGAGCCTCTGTGCATCTTATCCAGCATCACAGACAGTGTCTGTCGCTAAGTGATGCCAAAGGTTTTACACCAATGAATGGGATCTTTGTGACGTTTTCCCAATAACAGACCAAAAAGCTGCCACTAAAATCATGCTTTTAAAGGAGATCCTGAACAATAGCCAGTGAAGGTGATTATGGCCATGTCCCCATGTCCATGAGGAGGTGCTTGGTGGGTATTTGTTGAATTGCATCAAACTGGAGTTGGATGGGACTCAGTTCAAATCCTGACTCTGCTTCCAGCTTCTGGTACATTAGGCAAGTTGCTAAACCTCTGGGCTTAGGGGATAAAGACACTACCTCACAGGGTGGAGTGAGGAGTAGAAGATAATATACGTGAAGTACTTCATGTGGTCTTTGGAAAGAGGTAGATAGATAGGCAAATATCAGGTGATTACAAATACTCCTTATAATTTCACTTCAGTTTGTACCGCATCTCACACCCTGAAGCTAGCAGGGTAAAGAGCTCTCAGGAGAATGAAGAGGCCTCTGGCCCATTCTAGTATGGTCTCTCCCATCAGGAGGGGAAAGGCAAATATTGCATGGGACCTGGCAATAAGATTGAATGAGACATAAGCAAAGTCTGATCGCATCCTTATCCCCACCCCTTAACAGCCACTATATCCCTTGAGGCAAGTGAAGGGCCCCAGAAGTGAGGGATCTTATTGCTAAGTAGATCAGACAGAGTTCTTAAAGATTCTAATATGTTGCCTGTATTGTCTCATCTGTAAAATGGGTGTTAAAATAGCACTCATATCTTGGGTTATGAAGATGAAAGAAGATAATCTATGTAAAGGACTGAGCACAGGGCCTGGGACAGTTAGTGATAGATACATGTTAGCTACTGTTGCTATTTTGTATTCCATGTTCAATCTATGATATTGATTAACCTGTTTATTGATTGCTGGATTTTCATTTAGTAAATTAATTTTCAATAAATGATTTTCACTTAAGCATTTGTTCACGCAGTCACTTCATTCATTTATTTATCATAAAACATTTATCAAGGTCCTATTCTATACTGACACTATGCTGGGCTCAAGAGATGCTGAGGCTTTTTGGGCAAGAAGGTTGAAGACTAGGCAGGGAGAGAGACCTGAACTAAAGCAGGAGAAGGCAAGGTGTAGTATACACATCATGGAGACATGTATAAAGCATTCCTGGAACCCAGAGGAACCAGGAAGTGCTGCTCATAAAAGATGCTTTTTGAACTAGATCTTGAAGAGTGAGTAGCCCGAGGAGTTTGGGCTTGCGAATTCTAGATAACAAGAACAGCTTGCCAAAAGGGATAAAGTTGTGAAACAAACAAACAAACAAAAAACAGGGTTTGGAGCCAGGAGGACTTTGGTGTGAGTGGTGTTTGGCCATTCTGCCTGGTGCCTTCCTTTGAATTTAGGTTCGACCCCCTGTGGGGGCCACAGAGAGTCACCTGCAGCTCAGTCTTACCCCAGGTGCTGGGCCCAAGTCTGCTCTTAGAGGAAATGTAAGTAGCTTATATCACTCAGTATCGGGTCAGCTAGGCTCTGGGTTCTGTTCTGAGCTCCTGCTCTATTTCTAGCTGTGAAGTTTCCACTTGATTCCTGTCACAGGCTCTACCTTGTATTCCAGTTCAAATAACTGGGCTTTGGCCTTTGTTCTTTCTTCTACATTCTGCCTCTAAGTTTCTCTAAGACTGGAATTTTGCCTTTCCTTATCAGTCCTTCCTAGAACTTCAGTCCCTCCCAGAACTTCAGTCCCCTCCTTGGCCCTGGGGCCTCACTCCAGGCTGCTTGATCCACTTATGGTTATTGCTTGCTGGGTTCACCTTCTTCTCCTTTCTGCAGGTGGAACACAGACTGATGACAACCACGTGCTGAGATCCCCTGTTACTGCCTAGACACAAATTGCTATCTAGGTCCTGTTTCACTGCCTGGCAGAACTGCCTTGCTACTTCTGGTTTGGCTCGCCATTGCCTGAATTCCTAAACTCCATTCTGAATATTACTAGTGAAAAATGCACGGCAGGGCGCAGTGGCTCATGCCTGTAACCCCAGCCCTTTGGGAGGCTGAGGCAGGTGACTCACCTGAGGTCAGGAGTTCGAGACCAGCCTGGCGAACATGGTGAAACCTCGTCTTTACTAAAAATACAAAAATTAGCCAGGCATGGTAGTGGGCACCTGTAATTCCAGCTACTCAGGAGGCTGAGGCATGAGAATTGCTTGAACCCGGGAGGCAGAAGTTGTAGTGAGCCGAGATCACACCACTGCACTCTAGCATGGGCTATATAGAGCGAGACTCAGTCTCAAAAAAAAAAAAAAAAAAAGAAAAATGTGCTACTTTGGTATTGAAATTAGCATCCAACATCAGCTTTTGGAGATACAGGTTATGCCATATACTTTGGTAAATTTCCCCCAAGCATTTAGACTTACAGAAGATATGCAGTAAAAGCTGTTGGAGTATATGCTACAAATGAGCCTTGGTGGTATGGTCCCAGGCCTTCCTGTGCTGATTAGCATTTTATGGCATGTATAATTTTCCTTAACATTGCTCAGGGGATTAGGACACTAGTCATATGCTGCCAGCCACAAGTTTTAAAAAACCAACTTAGGAATAAAATCACAACAGGAAATGAAGGCCATTTGGAAATTTGAGAACCCACATGTTCTCTATGTTATTTTCTTTTCTTATTTTTTTTTTTTTTTAGGAAGAGTTTCAAAGTTTCAACCTGTTTTAATGCTTGCCCATCTGGTTGTTTTATTAATGAAAACAGCAGCATCTTCTAATGCTCTTGTGTGAGGCAACAGTATTTTCCCAAAAAAATCACAGAAAAAACTTTGGGATTTGATGTACCATATTTTGTCTTTTACTTTTTTTCTTTGAAAAAATAAATCCCAACTGGAGATCATTTTAGAGAGAGTATGTGCTTAGAAATATTCAGTGAGTCATGCCTGGTGTTGTAGGTCTATTCCGGTGCGTGGGGTTTCCAGAACAATTACATAAGTGTTAGCATAGCCAGGAACTTTTGACATTTGTGGCAGCCTAATGGAGTTCTTTTCATCATTGAAAATATTCTAACTGTTGTTTCCTTAAATCTAAAATGCATAAAACTAGTGAAGCAGGATAAATTGATTCTGAGGCATTTCTATCCAGTATGCTTTGTTGGCAAAGAAACTGAAGAAAATTTACTTGAAATAAAATACAGGTGATCAAGCTGTTAACAAATACAGTGATCTAATCATCTGGCAGAAAGTGAGAGGATAAATTGTAAGTGAGACCTTTTTGTTTCTTCTCTTTCTTTTATCTATCAAGATTTCCAGCCCAGGCGTGGTGGCTCACACCTGTAATCCTAAGCACTGTGGGAGGCTGAGGCGCGTGGATTGCCCGAGCTCAGGAGCTTGAGACCAGTCTGGGGAACACGGTGAAACCCCGTCTCTACTAAAAATACAAAAAATTAGCCAGGCATGGTGGCTTGTGCCTGTAATCCAAGCTACTCAGGAGGCTGAGCTAGGAGAATCGTTTGAACCCAGGAGGCAGAGGTTGCCGTGAGCCAAGATCATGCCATTGCACTCCAGCCTGGGCAACAGAGCGAGACTCCGTCTCAAAAAAAAGAAAAAAAAAAAAGATTTCCTTTTCTTTTACAGCCTGACCATAGCATATTGTTTACTTGCACAACCCTACATAATGAGATTATTCAATCACATGTTTTTTAAAATTCGGGGATTCCAAAAGCTATTAGATCAATACCTTTCTTTAATCTTTCAAAAGATCACCAGGAAATAATGTGATATTCCACTACTACTAATTTGTTTGTTAAAATATATTTTTAAGTACCTGTGTTCCAAAGTATCTCCTAGTATGAGAAACTAGAGAAAGACCCAACCGAAGTCATTATCAATTAATTTTTTCTATCTCAAAGGTGAGCTCCCCAAATCCAGAGTTTAGGGGCTTTCTAGGGAGGGTGAAGTCCTTAGTTTTGTTTTTTTTTTTTTTTGAGACGGAGTCTCGCTCTATTGGCAGGCTGGAGTGCAGTGGCGTGATCTTGGCTCACTGCCACCTCCGCCTCCCGGATTCAAGCAATTCTCCTGCCTCAGGCTCCCGAGTAGCTGGGACTTCAGGTGTGTGCCACCACGCCTGGCTAATTTTTGTATTTTTAGTAGAGACGGGGTTTCACCATGTTGGCCAGGATGGTCTTGATCTCTTGACCTTGTGATCCGCCCGCCTCGGCCTCCCAAAGTGCTGGAATTACAGGCGTGAGTCACTGCGCCCGGCCGGAAGTCCTTAGTTCTTATAGATGATTGTTCAGTGTCTTGCACAATTTTGCTACTGCCTTATTTTCCTGCAGATAAGACATTGTAGTTATGGGTGTTACTGTATTTATTGGTTCAAAAGACATGGTGCAAAGGACAAGTAGGCCAAGCAGGCTCTGACTCATAGAGGTTGCTGCCTGCTTGTGCCCTGTGTGCGCCTTTTGAGTAAAGAGCACAGTCCACCAAGTCCAGCTCTGCATGCTCAAGTGCTATTGAATTCTTTCCACCTGACCACAAGTACTTGAGCACCTTTCCTCCATAGCAGAGCTGATAGCACAGAGCACACTGAGAATCCCTATAGGGAAGGTGTGGTGAGGCTGTGTGAACTGTGTGGGCTGTGGTCACGTAGTTGATCATGTAAGTGGGATCACAAACTTAGTAAGCATCCTGTGACACACCGTCATCATTAGAGTGTGCTTGTTGATGTTGGAGTACTATGTGCTATTCAGGACTATTTCCAAGAATTTAGTTGAATATATATCCTGGGCTGTAGGATACAGGATGAAAAGAGGATTTGGTGTCCCTGCCAAGTTTCCTAGATAATGCAGATAATTTCTTTTAGCAGGAAGTGACGTGTACATCTCAGGGCTGGGAAGGTGCAGTTATAGGAAATTAGCCTTAGCAAGAAACAAAATGCCAAAATCAAGACCAAGTGAGAACATAACTTCTAGACCAACAGAAAGGAAGTGAGGGGATCTGAGCTGCCCTGTTTTGTTTCTGAAAAACCACTCATCTTGCTCTTCTATATTCCTGACTTTCTCCATCCAGTAGGCACCAAGTCCAGCTAGCTCTGTCTCTTCTGATTTTGGAATCTGTCTTCCCTTCACCATCTCTCCAGTCATGGAGTTCAGTCTCTTACCATACTCACCTGGATTACTGCAATAGACACTAACTGGTCTCCCTGCTTTCAGTCTTCAACACCCCATATCTCACCAAAGGGATCTTTGTTGTCTGTCCATTGTTAAATGGTTGGGATTTATTGGGAGGATTTCTGTCTGCTCTCAGGATGGACCAGAAGTTTCAGAAATTGATAGAAATGGGTCGGGTAGGGATGGGTAGGGTTAGAACATTCAACCGTGTTGTCAGTGCCCTGCCCCAGAATGAATGCTCTTCCATCATTTCTCCATCTTTTCACCCTCTTTCTTCACTCCAGGGAGTGAACATTGTTCCAGCTTGGGTCAGGTGGCTGTTTGTTGGTGAGTAAGGGGTTCAGGGAACAGATTTAACAACTCAGCAGGCAATCCTTCAAAGGGAAATCAAGGTGGAATGGATACTGAGTTCTCAAAAATCAACATGTTCCCATGATATGTTGACTATAGAAGGGTCATCTAAGTGCAGTAGCAAATATAGTTTATAGTATTTACTCGAATGGCTTGTTAATTTATCTCTCTTCCTCAATAGACATTGAAGTCCCTGGAAGAAGAACCATGTCTTATTCATCTTTGTATGCCTGGCCTCTCATAGACACATACAATAAGTACTCATTGTATCAAAGAATGAATCAATGTTCCCGTAAGTGAAAGCTGTGTTTGGTCTAGTCTATATGCTTCCAGAACTACTTTATGGTCCCCCAGCCCCAGCCTTCAGTGACCCTGCTTCCTGAGCTAGAACTGCTCAACACTGACCTCAGCAGCAACGCACCTTCTGAGTCCACTCACCCTCTGGGTGCTCCTGAAGGGGCAGAGAGAGCCAAGCGGCTATATGTCAGATACAAGACCTCACTGTCTGCTTCCTTTCGTCCATCTCTTTTTTTTTTTTTTTTTTTTTTTTTTTGAGACAGAGTCTCACTCTGTCGCCCAGGCTGGAGTGCAGTGGCGCCATCTTGGCTCACTGCAGGCTCTGCCTCCCGGGTTCACGCCATTCTCCTGCCTCAGCCTCCTGAGTAGCTGGAACTACAGGCGCCCGCCACCACGCCCGGCTAATTTTTTTGTATTTTTAGTAGAGACGGGATTTCACCATGTTAGCCAGGATGGTCTCAATCTCCTAACCTCGTGATACACCTGCCTTGGCCTCCCAAAGTGCTGGGATTACAGGTGCGAGCCATCGTGCCCAGCCCTTTCGTCTATCTCTTATAGCACCATTTTAGCCTTCAGGGACTCCTAACATGCATTTGTTCCTGGAGTGCTTAGTAGTTGTGGATGAACTGATATCTATCTTACTTGGCAATGTAATAAAAGGAATGTGCTTTGACATCAGACAGAGTTGCAATATGAACACTTCAAGTACTAGCTGTGTGACTCTGGATACTTTTTTTTAACCTCTCGGGGTCTTTGGTTACACACAAGTCCAATGAAGATACTACAAGTGTAAATGAAATAATATATGCAAAGACACTTGTTATAACGCTTGGCATTTGACAGGTGTCCTGTGAATGTCAGCTCCCTTCTGCCTTTGTGGCTTATAGCAATAGGGGCATGAGGAAAATTTGCAGTGCTAGTATAGGTAATTTGAGCTGAAAGGAAAAAGAGAAAAAAGGAGAATGAACGTACCCAGTTGCTCTAACATGAATCAAAGTCAATGATTAACTTTTTACTGACTATATAAAATGCAACAAAGTTTAAATAAATGTAACAACTGGGCTTAAGGGAGAAACAAACCCATATATTTTCTAAAACAATAGAATTAGATATTTGGCAAACTAGAACCGGCACGGGCATAACAATTAAATTTCTTCTCTAATGAGCGTTGTTTGTTTTACTCTAGGATGCATTTGGATAAAATATTGGGATAAAATTTAGAGAGGTCTGTTTAGAAAAGGGAATTAAACATGATTGGCTATTATTGTGTCTTTGTTTTCTCATTTAAAAAAATTACAGAGGCCGGGTGTGGTGGCTCACACCTGTAATTCCAGCACTTTGGGAGGCCAAGGTGGGCGGATCACGAGGTCAGGAGATCGAGACCATCCTGGCTAACACGGTGAAACCCCGTCTCTACTAAAAATACAAAAAATTAGCTGGGCGTGGTGTCGGGCGCCTGTAGTCCCAGCTACTTGGGAAGCTGAGGCAGGAGAATGGCGTGAACCTGGGAGGCGGAGCTTGTGGTGAGCTGAGATCACGCCACTGCACTACAGCCTTGGTGACCGAGCAGGACTCCATCTCAACAACAACAACAAAAATACAAACAGAAAATTCAAGTACTGCAGTGGAAATATGATGGAGTTTCTATCAAATTATATCAAAAGTTGTTCTGGGGAGAACTTAAACCAATTCAACAGCTCAAAAGGAGGGCATGAAACCCACTCCTCCCACCTCCAGTAGCACTCCTTTTACTCATTTTTTTCCCCTTCTCCAAAATTCTAAACTGCTCACGCATTCCAGATTGTTCCTGAGGAGAATGAGCATATGCTATCCTGGTGTGGAAATGCCTGGTATGCTAATTCATAGTTTGGAGGAGAGAGAAGATATGAGGTCGAACTGGAAGATAGTGAACTAAAAATAATATAACCCACCTCCATGCCTCTCTCTTTAGCTCAGTGCCACATCTTCCCCTGCCAAAGGGAAGCCACGGCGCCACAACATCCTGAGGAGAGAGAGCCTTGATTTTTCTGTTGGGGACCCACTTTTCCCCTATAGGAGAAACGACCATCAATCACAATACCTTCCCCTATCCTGGCCAAAGGGAGGTTGGATCCCTAGCTGAAGGTAGGCCTATCAGATACTCTTGACCTGGAATTTCAGTGTGGAGAGAAGTGACACAAAAACTGAGAATGGTTGGAAATCATTTACCCTGGAGGCAATGAAACTAAGGAAACTGCATTATTCACAAAACCTGAATTTCTAGAGCTTCTCTTGTCCTTGAATAAAGCAGATTCTTCAGCCTCTCCTTCTGTGAGATACTCTATCCTTCCGATAAATTTGTTTGCTTAAGCTATCCAGAGTCAACTTCTGTTAACCTCATCACAGAATTCTGATGAAAATAGCTTCTCAGATGCTTCAGGCTCCAATATGCAATGCTAAAGGTCAAAATTTAGGGGTGGGGGAGGAGTCACTTGGGTCAAACATTTACTAAGGCACCAAGCTCAATTTTTCTGAAGACATTCTTCTCCCAGAGGTTGGCTTTATGGCATCCCTTACAGAGCGAGGGCCGCACAGGCCTGGGAAGGAAAAGGAGCCCCTGAGTCCATCTTTTCCTGCAACTAATTTGGTTAAAATCACCAGATTCCCTAATTCTCCTAATGCAATTCCAATGAGTCCCACAGATTCTAGAAAAGTGTCAGTGGTGCTGGTCTAGGTGGGTAAGTTTCAATCTGTCTTGTAAGAGGCAGTGACAAAGTTACACAGTAATTATATAACAGATTATGGTGGAGAAGCAGCCGCTGCCTTTAAAAAAAAAATCACTGCGTGGGAACTTTTCAAATCACAACCCTCCATTAGAAGCCTATATTTCCCAGAAGATCCTCATTCCTTCATTTAGGCAGCAGTTTTAAAGTCAGCTGGAACCACTGTTTCCTCATGACAGCAACGGAAAGGGCCAAACTGTATCTTATTTTACTAAATAAGCAGCGTGTCCTAGTCATGGCACTTTGTATCCCTAGGATGTCACCTTGTTTTGAAGTTATTTCAGCTTTGGTTTGAAAAGTATCCTGTCAGCAAAACCAGCCTTCTCCCCATGGAGTTTAGGAGCCAGGAGGGAGTAAGGGAAGGGATGCGTAGGAGATGATGTTCCTGAATCATTTACCAGGAGCCCTCCACCTGTTGAAATTATGTTCTCTTCCTCTCCCCTTCCCCCTCCCCCTTCTCCTCCTCCTCCTCCTCCCTCTTCCCTCCTTCCCATTCCCTCCTCCCCTGCTTCCTTCTCTCCCTTCTACTTCTCGTCTTTTATTTATTTGGTTTTGCTGCAGGTGCAACTCCAGTATCCTGATGGGGGAAGCAACTTAAGTGTTTTTTTGTTTTTTTAAAACAGAATCTCACTCTTGTCCACCAGGCTGGGGTGCAGTGGCATGATCTGGGCTCACTGCAACCTCTGCCTCCTGGGTTCAAGCGATTCTCCTGCCTCAGCCTCCTGAGTAGCTGGGATTACAGGCACCCACCACCATGCCCAGCTAATTTTTGTATCTTTAGTAGAGACGGGATTTCACCATGTTGGCCAGGCTGGTCTCGAACTCCTGACCTCAGGTGATCCATCCGCCTCGGCCTCCCAAAGTGCTGGGATTACAGGTGTGAGTCACTGTGCCTGGCCCAGTGTATTCTTTTATTCAACAACATTTGTTGAGTATCCTGGACCAGGTACTGGTAAACTAGATAGGCAACGTCCTTGCCTTGGAGGAGCTTCTATTCCAATGGAGGGAGACAGAAGCCAATGATGATTTCAGATCTGCTTGGCCCACAGGGAGCCCCTGGGTCTAACATATGGGCAGGGGATTCCAAAGTCCTTACTTTCCAGGTGGAAATGGTTGCTTGTATGAAGTAGCAATTAGATGAACACTTCAGACAAGGACAATCAAAACAGGAAGTTGTCGATTTCAAATACCTTCAAAGAAGGAAAATGTTTCAGGGAAGCTTTTACTTCCATGGACTTATTTCAGCAGTTCTTTGGTCTTATGTGAGACCTTTTAATGAGTCCCTTGCATTTATGAAATGCTGTATGACTGCACACAGTCCCTTCGTGCATGTGACTTCACTTGGTCCTGTGAGAAGGACTGAGCAGGTATTATCCTGATTTTACAAATGAGAAAACTGAGGCTCAAACAACTTGCCCAAATGCACCCAGCTAGCTTAGGTGTATGACTAGAAACCAGGCTTTCCCCTTTCCTGATCAACACCACGAACCTCACTTCTCTCTTGCCTCCCTCATGGTCATCTTTTTCATCCATCACGAAGGGCGCTGCTGCTGTGGGTTTGACTGGGATTACCCATGATATTTTAGGAATATGATATTCTGGGAAAGAGGACATACCCCCCAACATACACACACTCCTAAAAAGTATATATCCCTGTAATTTGCTACCATCATTTGTCAAAAATTATTAGCTTCAAGCCTTTATGGGGGCCCTGGCTCAGAGACCATTCAGGAAAAGAACCAAATTTCCAGTGGCATCTATCTGTTCTAATGCCAGCACTGTGGTCATAGGAAGCCATCCACAGAGGATACAACATACCTAATTATTATTTGGCATCAAAAACACCAGGAGCAGGAATATTGATGACATATTAACAGTGACTTCTGAATGTATAACCATATTTGCCTGATTCATCCATCCCTATAAAAATTGATCAAGCTGGGCGCAGTGGCTCATACCTGTAATCCCAGCACTTTGGGAGGCTGAGGCTGGAGGATCAGCATAAGCCCAGGAGTTTAAGACCAGCCCAGACAGCACAGTGAGACCTCATATTTACAAAACTTAAAAAAAAATAGCTTGATATTTTGGCATATGTCTATAATCTCAGCTACTAGGGAGGCTGAGGCAGGAGGATTGCTTGAGCCCAAGAGGTTGAGGCTGCAGCAAGCTATAATCATGCCACTGCACTCCAGCCTTGGCAACAGAGCAAGATGCTCTCTCTCTCTCTCTCTCTTTTTTAAATGATCAGTTTAGTGATAACAGAGTGGAAACCACATATAAATAAACTTTATTACAATAATGTGTCCTCTACTAATGAAAGTTAAGATTTATCTAACATCTCTTATGAACCAGCCCCTATGCTAAGTGTTTCATGTAATTATCTCATATAATCTTTACCACAGCCTTTTAAGTTAGGTGCTGTTATTATAACCATTTTACAGATGAGGAAATTGAGGCTCCGAAAGGTAAACTGTTTTGCCCAACAATATATAGCTACATGGTGATAGAACTAGTGTTTGAAAGTTGGGCGGTCCGACTGTAAAATCTCTTTCCTAATCACTGTTCTAATTGGTGCACAGATTATTAGAGTTAGACCTTAGTTGAACTTCCTATTTTAGACAGATGGAAGCAGAGGCCCTAGCAGATTAAGGATCTGCTTAACGTCTTCACCAACAGAATGAGACTTGCTTCTACATTGCCTCTCAACTGGAGAAGAGCTGGAATGAGTCTTTTGATTTTCGCCTATAGATTTACAGAAGAATATCTTTTGAGAATTTGAGTAGAGAATATCCATGCCATGTAAAGTGGAATCTTGACAAACTTGTACTCATGAACCCCGTTATGAGGTTGTCTATTCAACCATAAGAAACATTTCTAAGTGACTAAAAACTAGCCATATTCTAGTAGGAGTCCCCTATTCTACCTAGGTCTGTTCTGATAAGAGAAACCTGGAGCAATCTGTTTCAAAACAATAAATTTATCTGAAGCTTCCAGAGGAGTCATCTTTGAAAAACTCATAAGCAAGGAGTTAACTGTTGTAATAAGCCGATGGTAATAGTGCAGGTTTTATTACTTTTGTTTTGGTTGGTTTTCTTTTCTTCTTTTTTTCTTTTTTGAGTTCAATAAACCACACTGAATGTTAATAATCCATTAGTTCTAGAGGAAACATTTTTAGCTCCAAGAAAATTACTTTTTCCTCCCAAATCTGAACCTGTAAACACCAAAGCTCTTTGTCTTATAAAAAGGCTTAGCGTTAGTTGTTTCAACAAGATTAGCCCTGTTGATCTGAAGCACCTGTGCTTCCAGAAAATGTAGGACATTATCAATTTTTAACATTTGTCCAGGAAGCTGTGCTTGGACTAATGTTATTTATCCAGCTGGGTATACTGACTAGGACAGAGCAGATGAAAGTAGTTGGGGATTGTGTAACATCTAAGATTGGCCCTGATAATCAATCCAGCCTGGAGCACATGGACATGATTACAAAATACCATCTTCCCTTTTTTTCAGGATACTGATAAAACAGAAGGCAGTGCTATCTGCCATAATCCACTTCAAGAATTCTGCGGACCTGTTTTTAGGTCACTTAGTTGTTCTGCTTAGTTTTCTGGATGGTGAGCACACAGAAGGCACAAGATGAAAACTCTAACACACAATTTGCATCAATGACACCCTTGGGGTTGTTAAAAGAACAAATAAAAAGGGGTGTGGGAGGAGGTCTGTGGAACTGTGTGCGCCACCTCCGTATGGGCTTACTTTGGCCTTCTCCAGGGAGGAACTCTGTGCAACTGCATCCCCATTCCTGTCCCCTCCGCCTGCACACACTGGAATAGCAAGAAGGCAGCAGAGAGCACACAAAAAGACACTCAGTAGGGGAAACAGTCCCACTGTTTAACCTTGGGTGTTCAATGAACACAGTAGGGCTGGGGGCGGGAGGGCCAAAACAGGAAGAGGAAAAATACAAGATGGTTTGGTAAGAAAGCAAAAATAGAAAGAGTCCCAAATTTTTAAAAATAAAAATAAAATCAAAACCAAAAACCACAGGCTGCATTTATCTGAGAAGCGAGAAAGTGAAGGAAGCAATTTAAACTAGAACGATGCAAAAGTGGCAGGCGGCACAGGGAGCTCCCACTGCCTTCCCCAGCAGGACTGCAAGGGTGGGAGGATCCATTCAAACCAAGCACCTCCAAGCTTGGCAAAGGATTGCTCTCTGAATGACGCCAGGCCTCACCCAGCTGCTTGGAAACAAGCTTGCATGAAGGTAGGAGGGAAAGGATTGCAGAGAACCTGCTGGCGTGCTTCTTCCCTATCTGAGTTTGAATGCTTCTCAGAGAACTTTAAAGGCTGACGGCTAAATTTAATCAGAGTTAAATCATTGAAATGAAGATGTTCTCATGCAATACAAATGAAAAGTGATTCTGCCAGTGCTTTCCCTATAAGGCAATGAATGGTACAGGCTCCTAAGGAGCAGCCCAGCAGTTTGGAAATGTTATGAATTCAGGGGAGGCAGGAAATGTGAAAGTCTGGTTCATTGCTACTATTGTCTTCCGGGGATTTTTGGCCTGGAGGTGAAACAGGCAGGGTTTTACAGCTGGTATTGTGCAATGACTGAGCACTTGCTCGCTCCCAGTTCAGTAAAATTCTTCATACATGGCATCCTAACTACATTATTTCAGACAGCTGTTTTCTCTAAGGAACTCCAAATATTTTCTGCAAAGGCACTTACATAAACCTTACAACCGTGGACTTAGACTGAATGAAACATTAGTTTGTTGTTTCAAGACAGTTTGGCAATCTGATTTGTGCCAGTTTAATCATTTTAGAAAATGTACAGGTCCAGTTCTGGTTCAGACTGGCTTATCTTCACATGATTTATTTTCCATAAAAGTAAATGTTAAATCATAGTGATAAGTCATGTATGCTTGATACAATGTGACGAGAAGAGCACTTTACCTCTGTAAGCTGTGCTTCCAAAAACCCGTAACTCCTGTCTAACCACAGGAAGAACATTAAATAAACCCAAATTGAAAAACATTCTACAGATTACCTCACTAGTTCTCCCCAGGGTCATCCCAAACCAGGAAAGTCTGGAAAACTGTCACAGTCCAGAGAAGCCTAAAGAGACATGACAACTAAATGTAATGCAGTATCCTGTTGATACATTGCTATTGACCTTTCCTGGAACAGGAAAGGATGCGGGGGAGAGACCAAGGCAATCTGAATAAAGTATGGTCTGCAGTCAATAGTAATGTATCAATTTTGGTTCCTTAATTGTGACAAGTATACATAATATAGGATGTTGACAATAAGCAAACTAGATGTGCAATACATGGAAACCTTCTATATTCACAACTTTTCTACAGATCTAAACTAGTCTAAAATTAAATGCTTATTAAAAAATAAATGTCACACCTGTAATCCCAACCCTTTGGGAGGCCAAGGCAGGAGGATCGCTTGAGCTCAGGAGTTTGAGACCAGCCTGTGCAACATGGTGAAACCCTGTCTCTACAAAAAATACAAAAGTTAGCTGGGTATGGTGGTGCACGCCTGTAGTCCCAGCTACTCTGGAGGTTGAGGTGGGAGGATGGTTTGAGCCTGGAAGGCAGAGCTTGCAGTGAGCACAGATTGTGCCACTATACTCCAGCCTGGGTGACAGAGTGAGACCCTGTCTCAGAAAAAAAAAAAAAAAAAAAAAGTCAAAAGTTAGTCTCATGAGTCTGCAAAATCAGTAATTTGAATCCATTTCAGGTTTCAAATCATGGTTGGTTTAGATCCCTGTTCCTAGTGTCCTATTTTTATTGGAATTTTACCAAGAGGAAAATTGAAACATAAAGACAGGGCTGAACACAAGGTGAGGGCTGATGTGACAAAGGAGAATTTCTCTTCTGGAACTCATCTACCTGGCTCTCCACTCAAGCACCTGGCCTCTGGACATTGCCTAATTACCTTCTGCCAAGATAGTGGGTAATAAAGGAATTTCAGGTGTTACCTTTGTAAGAGTTTATGTATTTTAATGGGATATTATGAAGAGAGAAAATGGGTGCTGAGGAATGATTTCAGCCCCTACCCAAACAACACAGGGTAGTCACTTAGTTTTACGGCAGCGGCTATCATTTCTGAGACTTAAAGGCACGACTCCCTGGAGACAATCCGGGATAATGTGACTTCTCAACTCACGCATATGAAATACAGTCAGTGTGGGAGTGAGTCCTGGAGCCATGACAGCAAGAGGCCAGCCTCTAAGAGATGATCCGTACCTTGCTTTTCGGTCTTTAATAACTTGAGATATTGCTGCCAGCTACTTAACCAAGCTCTGCAACTGCTGTAATGAGAAAGTGATGACCTTTGGACTTACAAAGTCCTGCACTCAAGTCCCCCATGTCCAAATTTGCCACTTCCTGGATGTGTGGCCCAGGTCAGCCTACTTAATCTTGCTGATATTCCAGTTTTTCATCAGGAACAAGGCTGATCATAATACTACCTTGAAGGATTGCTGTGAGGACTAGCTAGAGGGATTGTGTGAGAGTCCCTTGCCCAATGTCTGGAACACAGTAGGTATTGAACAAATATTCTTTCCTTTTGCCCTTTCCCTCCTTTCTCACACAGCAGGACAGTGGAGACAGGCACAGCCTGGCAGCTCAGCTCCTCTCACAAATCGTTCTCTCTGTTCTCACGAGATTAGCATTTCTAATAGGATCAGGAATTCTTTCTAATTCATTGATTATTAATCCTGATGTTTGCAAATAATCTCTCCTGATTTGCGCAGAACCAAGAACTTAATGCTCTTTCAGGGTTTAAATTTATTTATTATTATTTTGTTGTTATTCAGTGGAAAGGTCCAATTTTATTCCACCAGAAATTGTCTGGATGGCTCTCCTGCTAGATAATTAAAGCTAATGGAGCCCAGGAGCTATGCAAAGTAGACACTAAAAGAGGATTGTTTAAAACAAGATGGGAACCGTCTGCTAATAGTGCCTTGCAGCCAGAGATGTCAGGACATCTCAGTAGAATTGTGGTAACAAATAAGCAAGAAGCAAGGTACCTAAGAGAGCTAAGAGTGGTGGGGAGAAGAAGAAAAACAGAGCAAGCAGGCAGACAGGGTAAATAGGGAGAGACCCCTCAATACAGAGACGGTCTAGAGGTGAAAAAACTGGGGAAAGCTGTTTCTGAAATCTTCATAGGGGACTTCGAAGGGAAAAATTTCCCAACATCCAGGCCTTTTATAATTTTGAGTAACAGCTGCCTTCACAGTAAATGTGTTTCTGTCATGATACGTGTACAAGTACATCCCTTATTCCAGGCCTGTCCTCACAGTGTGGCCTGCCGAACTGTGCAGTTTACATCTAACCGACATAGAAAGCTTCTGCCTTTCAGCAAATCAAACGAGCATTCGAGTTAAATGGCCACACTTTCATTATTGTTCTTATTATTCACAGTCTGCATTACTACCACAACAGTGGCACCGTTAAGCAATCCGTCATTTGGGCCAAACGTGAGTTTGAGGAATTCCACAGAGATCTTTTCATATTTGACCCAATAGAGTCTTCCAAGGAGTCTTCTGAACCACTGGGGTCAGGAAGGAGACATGAATTTTAAGGGTTTTACTACCAAATGTCCTTTGCTTTATTATTATCATTATTATTATTATTATTTTTAAACAGGGTCTTGCTCTATCTCCCAGGCTGGAGTACAGTGGCTGGAGCGTGGCCCACTGCAGCCTTGACCTCCCAGGCTCATGTGATCCTCCCACCTCTTGGCCTCCCGAGTAGCTGGGACTACAGGCACACACCACCACACACAGCTAATTATTGTTTTTTTTTTTTTTTTAGAGATGAGGTTTTGCCATGTTGCCCAGGCTGGTCTCAAACTCCTGAGTTCAAGCAATCCTCCCACCTTGGCCTCCCAGAGTGCTGGGGTTACGGGTATGAGCCACTGCACGTGTCCCTTTGCTATGTTTAGAAATTTTTAAAATAAAAAACAGTTATCCATGTTTATGGTAGAAAATTTTGAAAGTAAGAACCATCTAAATAAATATCACCCATTACCTCATTAACCAAGGATAATGCTATAAACATTACTGTTTTCTTTTTCTTTATTTATTTCTTCTTCTTCTTCTTTTTTTTTTGAGCCAGAGTCTCCCTCTGTCGCCAGGCTGGAGTGCAGTGGTGCAATCTCGGCTCACTGCAACCTCCGCCTCCCTGGTTCAAGCAATTCTCCTACCTCAGCCTCCCGAGTAGCTGGGACTACAGGCACCTGCCACCATGCCCAGCTAAATTTTCTTGTATTTTTAGTAGAGATGGGGTTTCACCATGTTGGCCAGGATGGTCTCAATCTCCTGACCTTGTGATCTGTCCACCTCAGCCTCCCGAAGTGCTGGTATTACAGGCATGAACCACCGCACCCGGCCTCTTCTTTTTCTTTCAAAATTGTGTTTACATTTTCAATATAAAAGTGGCATAGAAAATGTGGAAAACAGGGAAAAGAAGAAAAAAAGTCCATAATTATTCCACCTTAACTACTATCAAAATTTTGGTACATTTTTTCCTTAGGTTCTTTTTTGTCTTTATGAATAACATTCCTCCTTTAACATGGCAGCAACCAAACTGTATATACAATTTAGTATTATGACACTTTTGCCTGACATCATCAGAAGCTTTTTCAGGGTGACAAGTTTTGTTTTCAAAAATTTTCATTTCTACCAGCACTCTAATACTACATAGAGTAGTTATATTGTTGCTTACATTAAACTATTTCCCTAGAGTTAAAATTTAGTTTGTTTCCAGAATTTGTTATTAGAAATACCATTGTGTCAACAGTACTACACTAATAATTTTATTTTATTTTATTTTACTTTTGAGATGGAGTTTCACTCTTGTTGCCCAGCCTGGAATGCAATTGCACAATCTTGGCTCACCGGAACCTCCGCCTCCCAGGTTCAAGCGATTCTCCTGCCTCATTCTCCCAGGTAGCTGGGATTACAGGCATGTGCCACCATGCCCGGCTAATTTTGTATTTTTAGTAGAGATGGGGTTTCTCCATGTTGGTCAGGCTGGTCTCGAACTCCCGACCTCGTGTGATCCGCCTGCCTCGGCCTCCCAAAGTGCTGGGATTACAGGCGTGAGCCACCGCGCCCGGCCTATAAAATTTTTTAAAGATCCTGGAAGTGGTATAATTCTGTTATCTCAAGTTGTTTCTATTATGTAACAGACAATTATTGAGTGCCTTGATACATGCAGGATGTTAGAATAGCTAACAGAATAAGATATAGACCCTATACTCTGGAGACTAGTCATATAGCAGAGATAGATACTTATACCACACCTTTAAGTTCACCTTGAGAAGTACTACAATAGAAGTGCCAGGATCTAATGTACAGAAATCATTTGTTCTGTATTTGGCTCATAGTAAGTGCCCAGTAACAAAATGATGACAATAATGATGACTGCAGCCACCACACTTTTTCTTTTTGAGACAGAGTCTTGCTCTGTTGCCCAGGCTGGAGTGCAGTGGCACGATCTCAACTCACAGCAGTCTCCACCTCCCAGTTCCAGCGATTCTCCTGCCTCAGCCTCCCAGGTAGCTTCAATTACAGCATATGCCACCATGCCCAGCCAATTTTTGTATTTTTAGTAGAGGCAGGGTTTCACCATGTTGGCCAGGCTGGTCTCGAACTCCTGACCTCAGGTGATCTGCTTGCCTCGGCCTCCCAAAGTGCTGGGATTACAGGCGTGAGCCACTGCACCAGGCCAGCCACCACATTTCTCATAGAATCATTTAAATGCTGGTTTCCGTGATCCACATTTATAGAAAAACAAAATCAAGAGAGCAACGAAAAGTTACTCATTAATTATAAAATCACTGCTAACCCACTATATGTCTAGGCTATGGCAGCAAATAGCAAAGATTATGAAGTTCCTTTTAATTGCTAAGACAAAGTTCCTCATAGAACACAAACCACTTCCATAGTAATATACTAATAGTGTGAGGTCAAACCAACTTAAATGCTGTCAGACAGCATGACTGTCCTCTTCTGAACATGACATGGGTCAGATAGAGTTATTTTTAGATAAGAGATAAGTCAGCTTAACTACACTTCTATGTCTTTAAAAATAAAAGCCCATATAACTTTGGGGACCAAGACAGATTAAGGGAATGCTAAAATTTTCCATAGGTAGATTTTTTTTTTTTTTGCATGTAATTCCTGATTCCCACCATTGCTTTCAGCAGCCCGGTCCACAGACCTGAACAATGGTTAATGTTTAAAAAGGTACAGCGTGTTCTGCTTAACAACTCTGCTCATTTCCTCTTCCTGATGGTGCTGCTGTGATTGCAGAACTCAAGTAAGGGCTTTTTACTATATGAGAATACATGAGAAATGATGCTCAAGTCATAATAAATGTGAGATTAAGGTCACTTGAAGATAAGAAGGTTGCAGCCTTAAGGAAAAACTTCAGTTGGCTTGGACCTCTGCGGGGGCAGGTTTACTGTAGTTTGTGGAAATAACCCACAGCTACTACTGAAATATGTGTAAGGATTTCAGACAGGAAATGAAGGAAATGCTGCATTAAACTAAAAGCACTTTAGGATTTAAATAAGCCGAATATAGATTCTCTGGTGAGAATTTGATCAGGGCACTGCTGGCATTGGCCCACCCTCTCATCTACAGTAGTGGAATTACAGTCTGCCTATCAAGTCCAGAATACAAAGTGCTTTCAGTCCTCTGACTATCCTCTTTCCTCTTTTATTAATTCCATTTCTCATTAAAATCCCCTGTACAATGTTCCATGAGAGTGAGCTCAAGGCAGCTACTGACATTTCCCATAAATGATACGCCCAATCTTCTTCCTACTAATCCAATTAGTTCTACTTCCTTCAAACTTCATTCAAAACTCAACTCATCTGATCTATGCCTGATGACCTTACAGTCATTCCTTGTCACTGTAAACCCTCAGCAGTTATTGTTGACTGATTTGCTCACTATGACCATGTGTTTACTTGTGCCTGGCATTAGGCTTGGTGCTGGGGCTACACTGATGAGTAAACCCCAGTCACTGCCCTCATGGAGGTCACAGTTCACATGAAAAAAACATCCTAATAAACTGTGATAAGGGCAATGGTCAAGATAGGCATGCGGAAGTATGAGGACAAGACATTCATCCTCTGGGGTGTCAGAAGGCTTCCTGGAAAAGCTGATGCCTGAGCTGGATTTTCAAGTAGAGGAAGGTCGGGGAGATATAGATGGTAGGTAGTGTAATCCATGAACAGTTGAGATGGCCCTGTGTGCCATGGTATGCTTGGGTGTATTCATGACTTTCACTTCATGAGAAGTTCCCTGTATTTGGGTTCTTTTCCTACAATTGAATTATAAGCTCTTCCAGGAACCATATTTTCTACTTATTTTGCCTTCTTCCCCTTGGGTCTCTTACAGTCCCCAGAGAGTTTTAAAGAGTTGTGTTTCACCATCCTGGGAAACACACTGCTGACTCACTGACCACCTCCAGGCCACTCTGCCCACCGTGTGTTAACAAGACTGTGTGGCCATGGAAAGATATGTAAGGCTGCAAGCCTTTTATCAGCTGTCAGGATAGACCCAGGAAGACACACAGGTCTGACTCAAAGCACATATATACTGCCTAATGGAAGAAACCATCCAAACCACTTACCCAGAAGTTCCACAAGCCCATCACATGCCATCCTTCCACTATTTCATATTCTTAGCCTTTGGTATGGTGATTTAAATTTTACATTCAAAGAGTTCTGCACCAATATTTCTATTAAGATTTCATTGGATAATTTTAAAAAGTCACTAAGCAAGTATGGAATGGATTTTCTACTCATCCCACAGAAACAGAAAGTAACCATTTTTTAAAATTAAAATCTTAAAATTGATATGGTGGATACTTTTACTGAGGTGGTCCCTGCCTCAAAAGTTGCCACTGCTGGGCAACTCACTGTCCTCTCTTAAGTCATGTGACTTTCTTTAGCAGTGGAAATACTTAGTGCACCTCATGAGTCTTGGAGAGTTTCGTTGAGTTCCTTTGCTTTGCAATGAGAAGATCGGATCCAGGTTGAGGTTGAGGGCGGGTATATGTGCTTTGTTTCCGGCCTCATATTTGGCCTCTAGGTAAATAGAACTCCACATTTCAAGGCTACCAAATCTTTCATGGATGGTTAAATCCCAATCCCTCCCCCACTCCAGGGTCAGGGGTGGAGGAAGGAGGAGAGGTAGAACAACAGGGTAAACTGAAAACAATCAATCAAAAAAAGACAGAAAAAAAGCACCGAGCCAGTTTCACAGGCTCCGTTGCTCCAAAGCCATCATTTCAAGGTTATGGCTTTAAAATTATGGAGGAGGCAGCTTTCACCTGAGCCCTCCTTAATGGAAACAGCTGGAATCTAGCCTGCCTTTGGAAATAAGAGAGGACAATCCTGGAGCATAAAGCCAGCTGGGAAAAACTGGTCACTGAACACAAAGCTTTTTGAACTACCAAATAAAATACATGGGTACTTTATTTCCGATGACCCAGTAGCAGGGCCTAAATCATATTTGAGTGTGAAAATGAAATTAATGGCCTGTGTAAATTCCCCAACTAGAGTTTCCAAATTCTGGTCACCGGTGTCCTAACAAGCAAACCGCACAGGGAGGAGATGGTTAAATAACAGCCACTTCCAAACCCAAGGCTCTATACCACTGAGGAGGAAGAAAGACAAGCCATACTTCCTAATTTAGTTAAACTAAATAGTATCCAGATCCAGTTACCCATTTCAAACATATTAGAATAACTTTATGCAAATACTTTGGGAAAGCAAATAATATTCATGAGTGACCTTAACTACAAGCCCCTGTGTCCTTATTAGTCTATCAGAGATATTAATATTAGAACTTAACTCAAAAGACAGTGAGGACATGTTTTCATATAAAAAAGACATGTAGGCCAGGCAAGGTGGCTCACACCTGTAATCCCAGCACTTTGGGAGGCTGAGGTGGGCGGATCACGAGGTCAAGAGATTGAGACCATCCTGGCCAACATGGTGAAACCCCATCTCCACTAAAAATACAAAAACTAGTTGGGCGTGGTGGCACGTGCCTGTAATCCCAGCTACTCGAGAGGCTGAGGTAGGAGAATCACTTGAACTCAGGAGGCGGAGGTTGCAGTGAGCCAAGATCGCACCATTGCACTCCAGCCCGGGTGACAAGAGCGAAACTCCATCTCAAAAAAAAAAAAAAAAAAAAAAAAAAGACATGTAATGTTTTCAAGTCCTCACATGGTAGGCACCTAAAGGTAATTTGCTTCCTCCTTTTCTTCCACGATTCTGACTCCATTTTCTTATGATCTTGGCAGTTGGCTATAAAACCAACTTCTGGCTTTTCTTTGCTCATGTTTGCATTCCCAGCAGGGTCTTGAAAACTCATCGAGAACAGAAATCTTGTCTGATATGCTGTTGTTCCCACAGAGGGCTGGACATAGTAGGTAGACAGTAGGTGCTCCATGCATTTCTTTTTATGCCTGCAATGAACTGCTTCACTCTTTTCAGATGTTTCTCCCCTCTTAATTACACACAAAGGATGGTAAGAAAACATAAAATGTTTTTCAATACTTCATGGCCTTTCCCCACATTTTAAGACAACCAGTCTAACAGGAAAGGAACCAGAAGGGGGAAGCTATTTCTTAACATATTTGACCTAATTAAAGGGCGATGCCTGAATTTCCCAACGAGGACAGCATTACTGGAGAGATAACCCTCCAAATGGCTTTTTAAGTACAGTCCCAGCAAAATGAAAGTTTAAAGGAATTATCCATCCAAGAGTGTGTTTTACAGATAACCCCTTAGCTTTACTGAACACAGCTCTCTAATCTGTTGCAAAATACCAGCACTCTTGTGGCTGCCTCATTGATACCATCAACCACCAGGCAGAGAAAGTTTGGGGTGACTTGAACTTCTATAGATAGACTTCTATAGACAGATACTGAAGGACATTCAAGATTACCCAGTTTTGCATTTCACAGATAAGCAAGCTGAAGCCAGAGAAGTTACATATGTTAGAGATGCAAAGATGAGTATGACGTTGTCCTTGCACTCAGGGAGCATGCATTCTAAGAGGGAATGAGAGACAAGAAATATTCAGCTGTACAACAACACAGAGTGATGAACGTAAAGGATAGCATGAGGGCCAAAATTCAGTTAAGGAGAGTGAGTCACTTACTTTAAGCCCTAAATTTAAAGGGACACCAAAAACTCAGTAATCAAAGAATATTATAAAGATAAAGACAGTATCACTAGCATTACTAATTTTTTCTTTTGATTCAGGCTCCAGTATGGCTCAGTAAGACACTATTGCTGATCCTGTCATTAGTATTTTAATAATTCGTTCACATGAATTTTTGTATTTAAAATATTGCAGGCTGGGCGCAGTGGCTCACGCCCGTAATCCCAGCACTTTGGGACGCCGAGGTGGGTGGATCATGAGATCAGGAGTTCGAGACCAGCC
This sequence comes from Homo sapiens, assembly GCF_000001405.40. Lineage (NCBI taxonomy): Eukaryota > Metazoa > Chordata > Mammalia > Primates > Hominidae > Homo > Homo sapiens. Next base: position 89,394,459 of record NC_000012.12, read on the forward strand.
TGGCCAACATGGTGAAACCCGTCCTGAATAAAAATACAAAAACTAGCCAGGCGTGGTGGCACACGCCTGTAATCCCAGCTACTCTGGAGGCTGAAGCAGGAGAATCACTTGAACCTGGGAGGCGAACTTTGCAGTGAGCTGAGATTGTGCCACTGCACTCCAGCCTGGGCGACAGAGCAAGACTCCATCTCGAAAAAATATAAATAAATAAATAAATAAAGTATTGCATTAAAATAGTCTTTCTCTTAGTTACTGAGTTTTTTGTTGCCACTTCCCCCTGCCTCCCTCTAAAATTTTGTACCCTAGGCAAGGGCCTCACTGTCCTCTCTGGGAGAATCTACCAGAGGCCAGGGTGGGGCTGGGAGGAAAAGGAGAGGCTTTTATGTGTATTCCAGCAGAAGTGCAAGGTTTTTAATTCCAATTTCAAAAGGCTTACAGAGCAGCTCTGCCTTGATCTGTTTTAACATTTTGTATGACAGTTTGCTATATTCCTTGTTTGGAAGAAAGAGATTCTCAGGTTTAAAAAATGTTTGAAAAGTTCTAACAGTAATGAGAAACAATTAGATTTAAATACATAAGGCCCATCACATAGATCGTGGGGTGTGAGCAGGTGATTTGGGGGAGAGAGTAAAGAGCCAAGACAGAAGGGTCTGAAGACGCATAGCCTCTGCCTGTCCCACCAGAGGTGCCATGAGTTTCAAAGGTCAGCTGTTTGCTTTCTTTTCAAGCTTCCTCTGTAGAGTCCTGTCAGCAAACTCATTCCACGGCATGTTTGGCCATTTTCCTAGGCCAAATGGCTTGCATCCCCACTTTGTGGGAGAGGGGGACTAAAAGGATAATTTTTAAAAATTGACTATTACAATAGAGTCTTCTTCTCTTAGACAAATGGTTAACATATGGGGAGGGTAGGCCGGGCGCGGTGGCTCACGCCTGTAATCCCAGCACTTTGGGAGGCCGAGGTGGGCAGATCACGAAGTCAGGAGATCAAGACCTTCCTGACCAATATGATGAAACCCTGTCTCTACTAAAACTATAAAAAATTAGCCGGGCATAGTGGTGGGCACCTGTAGTCCCAGCTACTCAGGAGGCTGAGGCAGGAGAATGGCGTGAACCCGGGAGGCAGAGCTTGCAGTGAGCCGAGATCGGGCCACTGCACTCCAGCCTGGGCGACAGAGCGAGACTCCGTTTCAAAACAAACATACAAACAAACAAATAAACAAAATATATATATGTGGAGGGAGAAGAACAGAGTGAGAAAAAGAAAATAACCTAGAAATGATATAAAATTGAATTAATCCAGCCAGACATTTTTGGGGGTTGTCACACCAACCAAATCCAGGGAGAGACTTCTCATTGTCATCTGCATGTAAATAGTGTTCCCCCTGGAGTCATGCAGTGCACGACCAGTTGACTATATGGGGCAGCAACAGTTCATGACAGTTCTGTAAATATCCACCAGGGAATGGCAGCTTGTGTTTACGTTTGACCAATTCACGAACTCTAATTCAAACAGTTAGGATTGCTTGGTTTTAACAAGATGGCTTCTCAAATTCCACAAATTTTCTTTAAGATCATTCCATAATTTTCTGAAGAGCAGAGATTTTCATTCTCTTGAATCCCTGCAATTATTAAAGGAAAAGGAGATGTGCGTGTTTATGTGTGTGCGTGTGTGTGTACTGACAAGTGATCAAGATGACAGGGGAATTTGGGAAGATGCTAAAAATAAAGGCTGCTAAGAAAGATTTCAAGGTCAGGCCAGGCGAGGTGGCTCATGCCTGTAATCCCAGCACTTTAGGATGCTGAGGTGGGTGGATCACGAGGTCAGGAGTTCAATACCAGCCTGGCCAACATAGTGAAACCCTGTCTGTACTAAAAATACAAAAAACTAGCCAGGCGTGGTGGCAGGCACCTGTAATCCCAGCTACTTGGGAGGCTAAGGCAGGAGAATCTCTTGAACCCAGGAGGCAGAGGTTGTAGTGAGCTGAGATCACACCATTGTACTCTAGCCCAGGTGACAGAGTGAGACTCCGTTTCAAAAAAAAAAAAAACAAGAAAGAAAGTCTGATTGGAGTGAGTTTAACAAAGAATGGGTGGAACTGGAAACAGTGAATGAAGACAACACTTTCTAGGGGTTTTTCTACAAAGAGAAGAAAAATAAATCTGCAGCTGAAAATGGAAATGGGGCCTAGAGAAGGGTTTTGTCTATTCGGGTTTTGTTTTTGTTTTGACATGGGGTCTTGCTGTGTTGCCCAGGCTGGTCTCGAATCCCTGTACTCATGTGATCCTTCTGCCTCAGCCTCCCAAGTAGCTGGGACTATAGGTGACAGCCACTAAGCCCAGCTTGTCTATCTCTAGATGCAAAAAATTAAAGCTGCATGCTGATGACAATGAACCACAGAAGAAAAAGAAGAAAAACTTGATGGTTCAAGTAAGAGAAATTTGCCAAAATAAAGTTTTTTAGAGACTTACTGGAGCTACATCCTCGGGTAGGCAAAGGGGGCTAGGATCCAGTGCCCAAAGTGAAGTCAGTTCTTCCATGTCAAGAGAAGGGGAGGCAAGGCTTAGGGTCGCAGATACTGGAAGGTGGGTAGAAGGGTTGGTGGGGATTTCAAAAACTTCCAGAGGCATCTATTTTCTCACCAAAATAGGAAGCAATGCCATCAGCAGAGAGTGGGCAGTCTGAAAGTGTAAAAGAATGAGCCGACTAGGGAAATGGCATATGATTATTAGGACATATGAAAGAGATGAACAGGTATAACTTTACGATTATTATTATTTTTGAGACAGAATCTGGCTCTGTTGCCCAGGCTGGAGTGCAGCGGTGTGATCTCAGCTCACTGCAACCTCCGTCTCCTGAGATCAAGCAATTCTCCTGCTTCAGCCTCCTGAGTAGCCAGGATTACAGGTGCACACCACCGCACCTGGCTAATTTTTGTATTTTTAGTAAAGACAGGGTTTTGCCACGTTGGCCAGGCTGGTCTTAAACTCCTGACCTCAAGTGATCAGCCTACCTCGGCTTCCCAAAGTGAGCCACCGTGCCTGGCCAGAAGAGGTATAACTTTAGAGCAGGAAAATCAGGAAAGAAAGAAAACTTAAATATGTATAAACTCTCACTTGGCAACACCACTTCTGGGAATTTTTCTTAAGGAAATGATTAAGGAACTTTGCCTGAATGTTCACTGGCTGGACTGTTTGTAAGAGCAGGCAGTTAGAAACAAATCTAAGAGCCTCACAATAGCAGATTGGTTATATTTAACCAATTTCCTAATCGGTGCAGCCTTTCCAATGTATTTGGTGTATACGTTGATATTGGAAGTTATTAATCATACATTTAGAAGAAAAAAAAGTCCCCATGTTTGTAAAAACTTTTACTTGTATGTTTATCTCTATCGATTAATATGCATCTATGTGTTTAAAATTGGTAATCCTGGCCGGGCGCAGTGGCTCAAGCCTGTAATTCCAGCATTTTGGGAGGCTGAGGTGGGTGGATCACGAGTTCAAGAGATAGAGGCCATCCTGGCCAACATGATGAAACCCCATCTCTACTAAAAATACAAAAATTAGCTAGGCGTGGTGGCATGCACCTGTAGTCCCAACTACTCGGGAGGCTGAGGCGGGAGAATCGCTTGAACCCAGGAGGTGGAGGTTGCAGCGAGCTGAGATCATGCCACTGCACCCCAGCCTGGGTGACAGAGTGAGACTCCGTCTCAAAAAAAAAAAAAAAAAAAAAGCAACATGACCTAGAGTAATATTTTGGTTTGATACTGCATAAACATGTTTCATAATCTGTGTAATAGCAAACTTGATACTTCCTGAATGTGTCTGTCATTAGCACACCCTTTTCTGTTAGAAGAGAGAAAAAAATATTTTCTTCCTGTTCATAATCAAGGAAATCATTAAACTGAGAAAACTCGTTGCCCTCAGTTATATACTGTCTTTCACTTTTCTTTTCACCTGTCTTCTTTTCATCTTCTCATGCAGAGATGGAGCAAAGAAACCGTCATACTCCAAATGGTGGTGTTTAACCTCAAGTTTGTTTTAAATATACCTGCCTGACTCTGACCAGAGATCAAAGTGAACATCACAAATAACGGGACAAATTGACATTATGTGTCTTCTGATATGACGCTCTGAGAGGAACACAGCACCATAAGGTGGTATCTGTGATATCTCTGGCCAACCATAAGGAAACAATTACACAAACCCAAACTGAGAAGCCTGCAAAATAACTGGCATGAAATCTTCAAAAATATTGAGATCATGAAAGGTAAGAAAAGATAGAAGAATTATTCTAGGTTGAAGAAGACTGAAGAAACATCAAAAGTAAATGAATCGCATGATCATGGGTTGGATTCAAAAATAGGAGGAAAAAAAATGTCCATACATATTGGAACAATAGGTTAATTAGAATGGGATGACTGAGATGGTGTACTAAATGGTGATACTGTGGAAATGCCAACTTGCTGCTCTTGACAACTGTGGCTGTGTAGGAGAATGGCCTTGTCTTTTGTCTTTTTTTTTTTTGACGGAGTCTTGCTCTGCCACCCAGGCTGGAGTGCAGTGGCCCGATCTCGGCTCACTGCAAGCTCCGCCTCCCAGGTTCACACCATTCTCCTGCCTCAGCCTCCCGAGTAGCTGGAACTACAGGTGTCTGCCACCACACCTGGCTAATTTATTTATTTTTTATATTTTTAGTAGAGACGGGGTTTCACCGTGTTAGCCAGGATGGTCTCGATCTCCTGACCTCGTGATCTGCCCGCCTCGGCCTCCAAAAGTGCTGGGATTACAGGCGTAAGTCACCGTGCCTGGCCTTTGGCCTTGTCTTTTAGGAAATTCACACTGACATTCCTAGTGGAACTGGAGTATCATGTCTCCAATTTTCAATTGTTTCAGAAAATAGGTAAGACAGATAGCTAATGATAAAGCAGCAAAATGTTAACAACTGGGGAACCTGGGTAAAAGGTGTATGGCAATTCCTTGTGTTATTACTTCATCTTTTCTGTAAATTTGAAATTTTTTTCAAAATAAAAAAGTTAAAATAAGAACTGTTGAAGTGCATCATGAAGCAATTGTCATTAGGTTACTTATTTACCATTACTATTAAAATGAATATGCTATCTCCATAAAACAAATTGCAAATACAGTATATCTATAGATAGACATACACATACATATTATAAGATATAAACAAATAATTATTTTTTGAGACAGAATCTTGCTCTGTAACCCAGGCTGGAGTGCAGTGCTGCGATCATAGCTCACTGTAGCCTTGAACTCCTGAGCTCAAGCAATCCTCCTGTCTCAACCTCCCAAGTAGCTGGGACTACAGGTGCGTTCCCCCACACCTGGCTAATTAAAAACAAATTTTTTTAAGAGATAGGGTCTCACTGTGCTGCCTAGGCTGGTCATAAACTCCTGGCCTCAAGTGATTCTCCTGCTTCAGCCTCCCAAAGCTCTAGGATTATAAAAATGACCCACCATGTCTGGCCTATTTATTTATATCTTACCTATGCATATGTATATCATTCATCTGGGATCCTACAGACTTGCTGAATTCGAATCTGGGTGAGCTCCCAGAAGCTCCAGGGATTATTGTGGTACATAGCCAGCATGGCAAACCAACCTTGAATCAACTGCTCCCAGTTCCAGGAGCTCTGGGTTGGGCCTGGGAAGGAGGAAATTCTGTTTCCTGTCCTTGTTTTTCTCTCACATTTCAAGTCCTGCGCCCACCATCTTTTCTGTCTTGCTATTTCACACATGAAGGTGTAAATACCTGATAATAACTTAGTGTAGATTCCCAAACTGTGCTCCTCAACACGGATGTGTTCCCAGAAAACAAATGAATACAGAAGCAGACAACCCATCTGATTCTTGGGTTAAATACGTCTGCATAATGCTTCACTCTGTAGTTCCTTCCTGGAAATGGGTAATATGTATTAGGTTTTATAAATGGCTCTAAAGTAGCCTACTTCATTTTGCTTGATTCCATACTTTGCAAACATTTTTGGCGTGGGAACACTCCCCCAGCCCACCTTAACACCTGTCACATAATATCCAGGGACTCTTGTGTTCTCCAGGTTTACTTCCTCCAGAAAGCTGCGTGAACCGCTTAGGATGCCGATGGGAAACACCTAAAGGTAATCAGGCTCAGGCATGACTCAGTCACCTGGCTCAAGTCATCTGTTGTTCTCACATCTCACATCTCTGCCTTCTTGTGTGTGTGTCAGCTTTATCCTCAGAGTGACTTCCCTCGTGAAATTTCAAGATGCCGTGAGCAGCATGCAACTGGATCTAAGGCTTCTCCCTTCATAGTGAGGGAAAGAATGGATTTGCATTTTGTCCACTCTGGTTGTACTACCCCTGATTCAATTACTGGATCAAGGAAAATAGGATTGTTGTGTTGGCTTGGACCCATCTGGGCTCATCCTAATGGCTTCTAGGGTCCCATTCACACATGGCGGCTACACAACAGATGTTGAGGAGGAAATCAGCATGTCCTCCACCTGAACATCCTCCACAATGTGGAATGGAAGCCAGCAGGGCATTGCACCATTCTTTACCCTGTTTACCTGTCCTGGGGCAAGGAAGGCGCCCTCTGAGTATAGTCCTTTCCTGAGGTGGAATAAGCAGGGCAGGGCCAGAGGCACAAGACAGGGCACTGAGGAAATGATAAGAATACCAGTGTATTGGCAGGGCGAGGTGGCTCACGCCTGTAATCCCAACACTTTGGGAGGCCGAGGTGGGCGGATCACGAGGTCAGGAGATCGAGATCATCTGGCTAACGGTGAAACCCCATCTCTACTAAAAACACAAAAAATAGCTGGGCGTGGTGGCACGCACCTGTAGTCCCAGCTACTCTGGAGGCTGAGGTAGGACAACTGCTTGAATCCGGGAGGCAGACGTTGCAGTGAGCCGAGATCATGCCACTGCACTCCAGCCTGGGTGACAGAACAAGGCTCCATCTCAAAAAAAAAAAAAAAAAAAGGAAAAAAAAAACAGTGTATTGAGTTGCCTTTTTCATTTTTTTTTTTATTCCCATGCTTTCCCACGATTAGATTTTTCTTTTTCTTCTTCTTTAGACTCACCCAGATTTCCTGTGAGCCTGGCTCTGGAGCACACTGGTTACTGTTCACCTACATTCAGGACACTTCTGAAAAAAATATTGAACAAAGATTGCTTGCCAGTTCCCTCACTGGAGGTTGAATTCCAAAGGTTATTTTCTTTAAGCCTTAATCTCAATCTTTTGAAGTCAAATCCTTCTCAAGATGGGTCCTCACAAAGTCCTAAGAACTGAACAATGTGTCATTATGACACTTGCAGTAATTTGCAAATAGCATTAGTGAATTCAAGTATTTGTAAGCAACTTTGCATGGGTCAGCCATGCTGTAATCAAGAAAACTACAGTTCTAGGTTAATGTTGGAGCATTAGGTTGACCTAATGCAAACAACGAACAATACGAGTCAAACTTTCTCTTTTTTCCTGAGAAATAGTTAATGTCAAAGTACAGTGCTTTCATGTGACTACCACTAGTGTGGAAAGTGGGCCATCATTCATTTATCACCCCAAGGAGATGAGAGATTCTAGTGCTCAGAGCTGCTCACTGTAGGAAGCCTTGGAAGTGGCCGGTGCCTGTTCCACAGCAGGTGTCCAGTTAAGTGTTATCTCTCTTCTTCCTTCTCTTTTTTGTTTCTCCCTTCCTTCCCGTCCCTTAAAACATTGCCCCAGAGGAAAAGATTCCAAACTTACTGAAAGTTAGTGTAATGAGTTATTCCCCACAGCTATTCTGCTATTGTCCTTCTTGAAGTCTTCAGCCCTGTGATTAGATTACTGCCTAATTCATTTAATTAATTCCTATATGACAAGATGTGTTATCACAAATACACACACACACACACACACACACACACACACCCCTTTAAAAATTTTTTTTTAGGTTCAGGGGTACATGTGAATGTTTGTTACATAGGTAAACCTATGTACGGGGGGTTGTTGGACAGATTTTGTTACCCAGGTATTAAGCCCAGTACCCAATAGTTATCTTTTCTGCTCCTCTCCCTCCTCCCACCCTCCACTCTCTAGTAGACCCCAGTGTTGGTTGTTTCCTTCTTTGTGTTCATAAGTTCTTATCATTTAGCTCCAACTTACAAGTCAGAACATGCGGTATTTGGTTTTCTGTTCCTGCATTAGTTTGCTGAGAATAATGGCCTCCAGTTTCATCCATGTTCCAGCAAAAGACGTGATCTCATTCTTTTTTATGGTTGCATAGTATTCTATGGACATACATACTTTCTTTTTTTTGAGACAAGGTCTCGCTCTTTCACCCAGGCTAGAGCACAGTGGCACAATCTTGGCTCACTGCAACCTTCGCCTCCCAGGTTCAAGCAATTCTCAAGCCTCAGCCTCCTCCCAAATACCTGGCTAATTTTTGTATTTTTAGTAGAGACTAAAAATGTTTCACCATGTTGGCCAGGCTGGTCTGGAACTTCTGCCTCTGCCTCGCACAGTGCTGGGATTATAGGCGTGAGGCATCTTCACCTGGCCGACACAAACACATTTTTTTTTTTTTGAGATGGAGTCTTACTCTGTCACCCAGGCTGGAATGCAGTGTCTCCATCTCGGCTCACTGCAACCTCCACCTCCCAGGTTCAAGCAATCCTCCTGCCTCAGCCTCCCAAGTAGCTGGCATTACAGACGCCCGCCACCACACCCAGCTAATTTTTGTATTTTTAGTAGAGATAGGGTTTCACCATGTTGGCCAGGCTGGGTTCTAACTCCTGACTTCAAGTGTCTGCTCGCCTTGGCCTCCCAAAGTGATGGGATTATAGGCGTGAGCCACCACGCCCAGCCCTGACACACGTACATTTTTAACTTGAGGTTTTCAATGCCTCAATTTGAAACTGTGATGAGAGCTGAGAAATCTCTTCAACGTCCAGTGCTTGGTACTCTCTGAAATCAACCCTCAAGGTAAACTGAGTTTGAAATTTTTTATGGTCACTTTGTGGTATGAGTGACCCCTTAAAGCCTACCTCTGGTTAAATATCTGCCTCAGAGAAGAGTCAGAGCCTGATATTTCTGAGAGTTTTTTGAGGCTCAAAATTCCTCAAGGCCATCTTAGACTTTTGAGACTCCTCTGGTCCTAGAATTACTTCTACATGTCCCATTTTGGCAGATGTAAATCATCAGCAGATGATCTAAATGTTCTAATCTCCATTCTAAGCTACCATTTCCCGGCCATGAAGCCATCTATCATCCCTTAAAACATTTCCAGGAACGAGCTACACTCTATCTCTAAAGGAGGCCCGTTTTGCTTTCAGATAGTACTCATTGTTTGAAAGTCTTCATTAGTTGTCTCTATCCTCCCTTTGCCTTCTGGAGTAAAATAAAAAATGTTGGCCGGGCGCAGTGGCCCACACCTCTAATCCCAGCACTTTGGGAGGCCCAGGCGGGAGGATCACCTGAGGTCTGCAGTTCGAGACCTGCCTGACCAACATGGGGAAACCCTGTCTCTACTAAAAATACAAAATTAGCCAGGCGTGGTGGCGCATGCCTGTAATCCCAGCTACTCGGGAGGCTGAGGTAGAAGAATTGCTTGAACTTGGGAGGTGGAGGTTGCGATAAGCTGAGATCGCGCCATTGTATTCCAACCTGGACAACAAGAATGAAACTCCATCTTAAAAAAAAAAAAAAAAGTCCAGAGTTTCAATATGGCAGCCTTTCAAATACCTAGGTCAGCAGCTGTTTCCTACAGAGGCTTCTGATGGCTGAGTAGGTGGGTCTGCTGTGTCCACCATTCCAAGCTGAGGGATGCAACTTACTTCCTTATACCTAAGTGGCCATGTTCTGTGTGTTTCCACCATCCTGGTCCATTTATGGGCTCATGTGTGACCTATGAGGAAACCCAGCACAAGTGTTTGTCTTACTAAGGACAGTTCATCAATGAGATTCTTTCTCTCAGCACTTTTGTCTGGAAACATGGGAAAAGGTCAATTAGACAGTAACATTAACAAAGCAGAGACACAAAATGAAAAATAGCCAAGTCATGTTAATGTTAATGATGGAGCACTAGAATAGGAGTCCTGTGGCTGGAGGTACAGTATAATAACCAGCTTACCTATAATTTCAATAGGTTCTATCAATAATTTTGAATGATTTCCTGCACTAGATCTCAGCTCTAGGCTCAGTTAGACCCAGCTACAACATGACTCTTCCTTCCAACTAACTTGACTGTCAGCTCTTCCTGGGTTGCCACAATCGAGAGTCTTGCCTGTATTTTCACATATATCCTTCTAAAAATTCCTGAATTACCTAAAATAAACCAGATGAGTCCCTAATCCAGGAACCCACAAGAAACTAACTAATAGTTCTTACCTTCTCTAAGTGTTCTCTTCTCCAGGTAAAGATCTCCAAACTTTCAAACCACTTCTTCAACTTGTCTACCTCCTACTCTCTCCCACCGCCCCCTCTAAGTTTCTGACTCCTACCTCCTCACCCCTAGTATTCGGCATCACCAATGAAGTAGATCAGTGGCAACCCATGGTGAGCACTGTGCTCTGCCTCCTCCAGCATATGTAGAACACCTTTATGATAACAAACATAAAATGTTTACCATCAAATGGATACCTTTCCATGTTTTGAATGATCAAACATTTTTCTACCTGATCTACCCCATGGAACGCAAGGATTGTCAGAACCAAACTTGTAAAAAATGAACTAACATGGTTAAAAAAAATGAACTAACATGGTTGATGGAAGGAAATTCTCTTGAAGGAAATATGAAAATATGATATAGTCCCCTATTGATCTCCTGACTAGCCTTCTTCATTGGATGAGATAATAACAAATATGGGCTCTCATTTCAAGTTACTCAGGTAGTAGTGGGAAAAGAAGTACAATAAAATCCTGGCCAGGTGTGGTGGCTCATGCCTGTAATCCCAGTACTTTGGGAGGCAGAGGTGGGTGGATCACCTGAGGCCAGGAGTTCAAGACCAGCCTGGCCAACGTGGTGAAAATCTGTCTCTACTAAAAATACAAAAATTAGCCGGGCATGGTGGCGTATGCCTGTAATCCTAAACTCCAGATAATACATTTAAATTTAATATCTGAAAAAAAGTAAATATTCTTTTGTGTAGCTAGTTTTTGGCTGCAAGTAATAAAAAAAAATAGTTGTTTAAGCCATAAGGATATTATTTAATGAGGTATCTAAAAATGAGTGCAGGGCCGGGGCGGTGGCTCACACCTGTAATCCTGCACTATGGGAGGTCGAGATGGGAGGATGGCTTGAGTCCAGGAGTTTGAGACCAGCATGGGCAGCATGGTGAGACCCTGTCTCTACAAAAATGTTTAAAATTAGCCAGGTGTGGTGTCACGCATCAGTAGTCCCAGATACTTGGGAGGCTGAGATGGGAGGAATCCTTGACTGAGCCCAAGAATTTGAGGGTGTAGTGAAATATGACTGTGCCACTGCACTCCCACCTGGGTGAAAGAGTGAGATCCTATCCCTTAAAAAAAAAAAAGTGCAAGTTTTGAGTGTTTTTTTTTTTTTTTTGGTTGTTGTTTTCTTCACTGGAGGTTAGAATTCTGCTTGGCATTTTTGTATAACTATGTTCAAGACTGAAAGTCCTGGAAATCCTGAGGCACCAGCAGACTTCCCCCCACATCTCATTAGAGAAGACAGAGACACATGGCCAAGCTGAGTTGCAAAGGAGGCAGGGAAGTGAGTGTCTGGCAAAGGGAAATAGGATTGTCATGACTAGGCAAAGTGTCTGTTTCAGTGTGTTTAGAATCTTTAAAAATAGAGTTTCATTTTATTACAAAAGTTAATACATACTTTTTAGAGAAAGTTTGGAAAATAGAAGGAAAACATTCCCTAATGCTGCTATTCAAAGACTTCTCGATACACCATTTGAATACTGTTCTAATCATATTGCACATAGAGTGTGATCTTTTCTTTCTTCTTTTCCACTTGATATATGATTAACTTAAGGCTCTATGGTTTTGGAAAGATGTTTTCCATTTTGAAATAAAACTTAAACTAAAGGAGGCAGCATAGAGCAGTGGCAAGAGGACTGGCTTGAGAATAAAGAGATGGTGCTTGTTGTCTGCGTTCTGGCACGAATCCATCACTGTATCTCCATTTCCTCAAAATAAATAAGTATGTTTTCTTAGGTCTCCTATTCCCGGGTCTGCAAGAGCATGAGAGCTGTGCCTTTGAGACACACAAGTCACACTGTTCAGATACTGGTTCAACAAAGCAGGTTAGGGCCATGAAGACAAGCAGAAAAGGTAAAACTGGAGGTTATCGCCATGGGAAACTACATGCCCGATACGTAATAATATAATATATAATATGTGATATATAAGATAATACCAGGTCTTCCAATTTTTCAACAGAAACCAGAAATCTAGGCCGGGCACAGTGGCTCACACCTGTAATCCCAGCACTTTGGGAGGTGGAGACGATAGGATCACCTGCGGTCAGGAGTTCAAGACCAGCCTGGCCAACATGCCGAAACCCCCGTCTCTACTAAAAAATACAAAAATTAGCCGGGCGTGATGGAGGGCTCCTGTGGTCCCAGCTACTCAAGAAGCTGAGGCAGGGAGAATTGCTTGAACCTGGGAGGTGGAGGTTGCAGTGAGCAGAGATCATGCCACTGAACTCCAGCCTGGGTGACAGAGCGAGACTCCGTCTCAAAAAAAAAAAAAAAAAAAAAAAGGAAACCAGAAATCTAGATTTTCACTTGATATTGATTTTTCTTTTTTCTTTTTTTGGGGGGTGTGTGTCGGAGGGTGGGCGGATGGAGTCTCATTCTATTGCCCAGGCTGGAGTACAGTGGCACCATCTTGGCTCACTGCAGCCTCCGCCTCCCGGGTTCAAGCGATTCTTCTGCCTCAGCCTCCCAAGTAGCTGGGATTATAGGTGCCTGACACCATGCCCAGCTAATTTTTTTTTGTATTTTTAGTAGAGACGGGGGTTTCACCATGTTGGCCAGGCTGGTCTCAAACTCCTAACCTCGAGTGATCCATGGGCCTCAGCCTCCCAAAGTACTGGGATAACAGGCATCAGCCACCAAGCCCAGCCATTCACTTGATATTGATATTTAAATATTGGCACCTAATTTGAAAACCAAAACAAATCACTGCAGGGGCCAAACAAAACATGTCTATTGGTTGTCAGTTTGTAACTTCAGCTAACCCAGGAGCCAACTTGATCAACACTGGAGCAAGGATGCATATAAAGGGGTTAAGAAGAACTGCTTATAAGACATTTTGACTATGCAGCAACTTAATTGTTACAATGAGGCTAAAACACCAAATGATTGCACTAATAGTGAATAAACATAGCCTAGGATTTATTATTATTATTATACTTTAAGTTCTGGGATACATGTGCAGAACGTGCAGGTTTGTCACATAGGTATACATGTAACATGGTGGTTTGCTGTACCTATCAACCCATCATCTACATTAGGTATTTCCGCTAATGCTATCCCTCCCCTAGCCTCCCACTCCCTGACAGGCCCCAGTGTATGATGTTCCTCTCCCTGTGCCCATATGTTCTCACTGTTCAACTCCCACTTATGAGTGAGAACATGCGGTGTTTGGTTTTCTGTTCCCTGTGTTAGTTTGCTGAGAATGATGGTTTCCAGCTTCATCCATGTCCCTCCAAAGACATGAACTCATCCTTTTTTAGGGCTGCATAGTATTCCATGGTGTATATGTGCCACATTTTCTTTAGCCAGTCTAACATTGATGGGCATTTGGGTTGGTTCCAAGTCTTTGCTATTGTGAATAGTGCTGCAATAAACATATGTGTACATGTGTCTTTATAGTAGAATGAATTATAATCCTGTGGGTATATACCCAGTAATGGGATGGCTGGGCCAAATGGTATTTCTAGTTCTAGTTCCTTGAGGAATCGCCACAGTGTCTTCCACAATGGCTGAACTAATTTACACTCCCACCGACAGTGTAAAAGCGTTCCTATTTCTCCACAACTGCTCCAGCATGTGTTGTTTCCTGACTTCTGGTTTTTTTTTTTTTTTTTGAGACGGAGTCTCGCTCTGTCACCCAGGCTGGAGTGCAGTGGTGCGATCTCGGCTCACTGCAAGCTACACCTCCTGGGTTCACGCCATTCTCCCGCCTCAGCCTCCCAAGTAGCTGGGGACTACAGGCGCCTGCCACCACGCCCGGCTAATTTTTTGTATTTTTTAGTAGAGACGGGGTTTCACCATGTTATCCAGGATGGTCTCGATCTCCTGACCTCGTAATCTGCCTGCCTCAGCCTCCCAGAGTGCTGGGATTACAGGCGTGAGCCACCGCGCCTGGCCTGTTTCCTGACTTTTTAATGATCGCCATTCTAACTGGTGTGAGATGGTATCTTATTGCGGTTTTGATTTGCATTTCTCTAATGACCAGTGATGATGAGCTTTTTTTCATATGCTTGTTGGCTGCATAAATGTCTTCTTTTGAAAAGTGTCTGTTCATATCCTTTGCCCACTTTTTGAAGGGTTTGTTTTTTTCTTGAAAATTTGTTTAAGTTCCTTACAGATTCTGAATATTAGCCCTTTGTCAGATGGGTAGATTGCAAAAACTTTCTCCCATTCTGTAGGTTGCCTGTTCACTCTGATGGTAGTTCCTTTTGCTGTGCAGAAGCTCTTTAGTTTAATTAGACCCTATTTGTCACATTTTGACTTTTGTTGCAATTGCTTTTGGTGTTTCAGTCATGAAGTCTTTGCCCATGCCTATGTCCTGAATGGTATTGCCTAGGTTTTCTTCTACGGTTTTTAATGGTTTTAGGTCTTACGTTTAAATCTTTAATCCATCTTGAGTTAATTTTTGTATAAGATGTAAGGAAGGGGTCCAGTTTCAGTTTTCTGTATATGGTTAGCCAGTTTTCCCAACACCATTTACTAAACAGGGAATCCTTTCCCCATTACTTGTTTTTGTCAGGTTTATCAAAGATCAGATGGTTGTAGATGCGTGGTGTTATTTCTGAGGGCTCTGTTCTGTTCCATTGGTCTATATATCTGTTTTGGTACCAGTACCATGCTGTTTTGGTTACTGTAGCCTTGTATCATATAAAATAGATAGACCGCTAGCCAGACTAATAAAGAAGAAAAGAGAGAAGAATCAAATAGACACAATAAAAAATGATAAAGGGGAGCTCACCACTGATCCGACAGAAACACAAACTACCATTAGAGAATACTATAAACACCTCTGTGCAAATAAACTAGAAAATCTAGAAGAAATGGATAAATTCCCGGACACATACACCCTCCCAAGATTAAACCATGAAGAAGTCGAATACCTGAATGGACCAACAACAAGTTCTGAAATTGAGGCACTAATTAATAGCCTACCAACCAAGAAAAGCCAAGGAGCAGACAGATTCACAGCTGAATTCCACCTGAGGTACAAAGAGGATCTGGTACCACTCCTTCTGAAACTATTCCAAACAATAGAAAAAAAGGGACTCCTCCCTATCTCATTTTATGAGGCCAGCATCATCCTAATACCAAAACCTGGCAGAGACACAACAAAAAAAGAAAATTTCAGGCCAATATCCCTGATGAACATCGATGTGAAAATCCTCAATAAAATACTGGCAAACTGAATCCAGCAGCACATCAAAAAGCCTATCTACTACGATCAGGTCTGCTTCATCCCTGGGATGCAAGGCTGGCTCAACATATTCAAATCAATAAATGTAATCCATCACATAAACAGAACCAGTGACAAAAACCACATGGTTATCTCAATAGATGCAGAAAAAGCCTTTGATAAAATTCAACATCCCTTCATGCTAAAAACACTCAATAAACTAGGTATTGACGGAACGTCTCTCAAAATAATAAGAGATATTTATGACAAACCCACAGCCAATATCATACCAAACGGGCAAAAGCTGGAAGCATTCCCTTTGAAAACCGGCACAAGGTCGGGCGCGGTGGCTCACACCTGTAATCCCAGCACTTTGGGAGGCCAAGGCAGGCAGATCAACGAGGTCAGGAGATCGAGACCATCCTGGCTAACACGGTGAAACCCCATCTCTACTAAAAATACAAAACATTAGCCGGGCATGGTGGCGGGCGCCTGTAGCCCCAGCTACTCGGGAGGCTGAGGCAGGAGAATGGCGTGAACCTGAGAGGCGGAGCTTGCAGTGAGCCGAGATCCGCCACTGCACTCCAGCCTGGGCAACAGAGTGAGACTCCGTCTCAAAAAAAAAAAAAAGGAAAAAGAAAACTGGCACAAGACAAGGATCCCTCTCTCACCACTCCTATTCAACATAGTATTGGAAGTTCTGGCCAAGGCAATCAGTCAAGAGAAGGAAATAAAGCTATTCAAATAGGAAAAGAAGAAGCCAAATTATCTCTGTTTGCAGATGACATGATTGTATATTTAGAAAACCCCACTGTCTCAGCCCAAAATGTCCTTAAGCTGATAGGCAACTTTAGCAAAGTCTCAGGATATGAAATCAATGTGCAAAAATCACAAGCATTCCTATACACCAATAATAGACACACAGAGAGCCAAATCATGAGCAAACTCCCATTCACAATTGCTATAAAGATAATTGAATACCTAGGAATACAACTTACAAGGGATGTGAAGGACCTCTTCAAGGAGAACAACAAACCACTGCTCAAGGAAATAAGGGAGGACATAAACAAATGGAGAAACATTCTATGCTTATGGATAGGAAGAATTAATATCGTGACAATGGCCATACTGCCTAAAGTAATTTATAGATTCAATGCTATTCCCATCAAGCTACCATTGGCTTTCTTCACAGAATTAGAAAAAACTATTTTAAATTTCATATGGAACCAAAAAAAACCCATATAGCCAAGACAATCCTAAGCAAAAAGAACAAAGCCGGAGGCATCACGCTGCCTAGAATTTTATCATCTCTGGTTGTTTTATATGCACATTATAATTACTTCCCATTGCTGATTCCAAAAATGAAATGCCCTTGGGAATGGGCTGAGCTTTGATGTGCTCTCTTGAATAAGTTTGTACTGGATTGGAAGCTACTAAATTAGGACCCTCCTAGGCCTCAAGTCCTTTCAAATGTATTTTTCAGGATCACATATGATTCAAAATCAAGTCCTGTGTCTTTTGCCTTAATCACTCAGTTTAAGGTGAAAATAATGAAAGTCTTAGATGTTCTCGTGAGTAAGAACTGCCACCTCAAGCAGTTGATTCTTTTCCTCCCGCCTCAATGTTGCATCTTTAATCTCTCCTTTTCAGAGAAGGAATGATCAACATCACCAGTTGTGAGACTCTCCAACTCTCACTTGCTGAAAGCGGTGAAGAAGGGGGATTTAACAACTTTGAACTTTTCATGTGATTTTTGCCTTTGACACAGTTGTTATTAGTGTTCTGAAAAAGCAACACCCCCTTGCAAGAACATCAGGTTTCTAAATGATTTATCTTCTCACAGACCTTGATATTCAATCCAGGTGTGGAAATAAATAGTATAGACCTCGGGTTCTATCCTCTAGGCTTGGAAAGGCTTCAGTGGAATTCTATAGCAAAAGGCCCAGGCACTTCCCCTGACTTCGTCTTTGTTCTGCTAACTTTTTATCTCTGAAAAGCAAAGGGATTTCCTCTGGGGATTAAGCAGGGGAAACAACCTAAGGTAGTGATAGTGTTTCATCAGAATTAAGAGATGCAAATCTCAGCAAGAAGTCCTTGTCCACAACCTTGGACTGTTCCCCCTCCGTATCTGGCATCGAGCTTCACAAATCCTTGCCCTGCTGAGCTTTCTTATTCTTCTTTCTCCTGGCCACAGAAGTATCTTGGGTAAACAGTAGTCGTTTCTTAAGTAAGGGTGTCTCATCTCAAAGTGATCCGTGCTGGCATTATTTTTTCTTTTTCTTTGTTTCTTTTTTCTTTTTTTTTTTTTTGTAGTTTTCAAAAGTTTTTAATGTAGGCCAGGCGCAGTGGCTCACACCTGTAATCCCAGCACTTTGGGAGGCCAAGTCAGGTGGATCACTTGAGGTGAGGAGTTTGAGACCAGCCTGGCCAACATGATAAAACCTCGTCTCTACTAAAAACACAAAAATTAGCAGGGCATGGTGGGTGCCTGTAATCCCAGCAATTCGGGAGGCTGAGGCAGAAGAATCCGCTTGAACCCGGGAGGTGGAAGTTGCAGTGAGCCGAGATCGCACCAATGCACTCCAGCCTGGGCGACAGAGTAAGACTCCGTCTCAAAAAAAAAAAAAAGTTTTTAATGTATTAAAAGCATTCTGAAATAAATACTTAAAAATCCATAGATGCTCTCTCATCCTGCCATGTCTTGGTTTCGAGTTCATGAAACCATCAGAGGGAGAGAAACACATGTTCCTTCCTTCCTTCCTTCCTTCCTTCCTTCCTTCCTTCCTTTCCTTCCTCCCTCCCTTCCTTCCTCCCTTCCTTACTTCCTCCTTCCCTCCCTTCCTCCCTCCCTTCTTTGTCTCACTCACTCTCGTCACCCAGGCTGGAGTGCAAGTAGCATGATATCGGCTCACTGCAGCCTCCGCCTCCTGGATTCAAGAAATTTTCCTGCCTCAGCCTCCCCAGTAGCTGGCATTACAGGCACCCGCCACTATTCCCAGCTAATTTTTGTACTTTTAGTAGAGACCTGGTTTCGCCATGTTGGCCAGGCTGTTCTCAAATTCCTTATCTCACGTGACCCACCTGCCCCAGCCTCCCAAAGTGCTGGGATTACAGGTGGGAGCCACCATGCCTTGCCTTTTTTCTTCCTTTTTTAAAATTTAGAAACAGGGTCTCACTATGTCACCCAGGCTGGAGTGCACTGGTGCAATAATAGCTCTCTGCAGACTCGAACTCCTGGGCTCAAGCAATCCCCCTGCCTCGGCCTCCCAAGTAGCTAAGACTATAGGAATGCACCCAATTAATTTTTAAAATTTTGTGGAGATGGAGTCTCACTATGCTGCCCAGGCTGGCCTCCAACTCCTGGCCTTAAGTGATCCTCCCATCTCAGCCTCCCAAAATGCTGGGATAATAGATGTGAGCTACTATGCCCAGCCTGTTTTTATTCTAAAATACTCTTTACTACATGTTGGGGTTTCCTTTCTCACACAGACGTTGTTCAGTGAAGTTTAAGTTTTCTTTTTCATATTTTCTGTGTGATTGAGCATTTTTAGTTATTTCCATTTTTATGATATACTTTCTGCATATTTGGCATATAGAGTTTTGACTAACCCTTACATTGTGTGGTTCAGAATATGACCAAGCTTTGTTTAAGATACCCTTGGCCAAAAAAGTGAATTTTTTTTTACTTCCATGCAGTTTTTTACATATATGTTAAGTCTGCCTTATTACCTTTGTATTGTGTGAACTAAATTCTACTTTTGAAATGTTGATATTCCCAATTTTGTGTTGCATTTCTGCCAATTATTTATTTGTTTATTTATTTATTTATTTATTTATTTTTTCTTTTCAGATGGAGTCTTGCTTTGTCGCCCAGGCTGGTGTGCAGTGGCACCATCTTGGCTCACTGCAACCTCCGCCTCCCAGGCTCAAACAATTCTCCTGCCTGAGCCTCCCAGGTAGCTGGGATTACAGGCGCCCATCATCATGCCCGGCTAATTTTTTGTATTTTTAGTAGAGATGGGGTTTCACCATGTTGGCCATGCTGGTCTTGAACTCCTGACCTCAAGTGATCCGCCCACCTCGGCCTCCCAAAGTGCTGAGCTTACAGGTGTGAGCCACCATGCCCAGCCAATTTTTTCTATTCATGTATTTTTTGTTTTATAAGTTTAGAATTTTTAGGTGATCGTTATTTCTCCTATTGCTTTTGTTGTAAATCTATTTTATAATGAGAAGAATCTCAAATCAAATGTTTATTTTTAGTAGGAACACGTTTGAGATTTGACTCCGAAGAAAATGCAACTAATGTACCTTGCAAAGAAAAAAGTAGTTGTGCACATACCCCTGCCACCCATGCTTCCCATTAACCTCTGCCTCTTGGCAAGCCATTGACCTATTTTCCTAGTAAGCTCAGGCTGCAATTGTGTTACCTGACTGAGTCACAGTTGGGGCTTATGGAGGACAACCTGGCAATTACATTGTGTTCCTAGATTCACTGTACATTCATAAATCCTCTGGTGCATGAAGTCTAAAACCTCGTGACTTGCTAAGGCAAAGAGTTGTATAAGCCATCAAGGAAAATGAAGCATATCAATTATATAATTTCACTTAAAAATCTACTAGAGACCCACCTGTTTTTATTATTAAATTTGCTCATAGATTGATCAGATTTGTCAATAACCCTCAAATATTAGAATAACTGTTTTTTTTGTCTCAGCAGCCAACTATTTCTACCCAGGAACAGATAGTTTATCTTCCAATCCTCTTAGATGCATAGAATTCATGGGACTAACAGCCTCCAAGTTTGCTCTACATATAAATGAAATGTTAAGTGAGGGTCCGTACTATCTTGTCTTTAGAGAAAAGGCAGTAAGCAGATAATACCTGTTCTCCAAATGGTCAAAGGGCAAAAATAGTTTGAGTTCCAGGCAAGCCTTTTTCTTAATGACATTTACTTGATTCACATTCCAAGCCCTTCCCCCACTTCTGGTTTTTGCCTCACTTTTATTTAGGATAATTATGACATTAGTCTTCTAAGGCTGAATTCCTCAGGAGTTGCTCAATTGCCAGCATTTGGCCAGAACTTTGAGGTTTTCTATGTATGAAAGGCTAATTTCTTTTATATAATCATTCTTTTTGTTAAATTTTTAAAAATGCAACATTCGCTTTGAATTAAATATCACACATTTATTCACTACCACTTAGTAACAGTCCCTGTATCTGATTTCAGTAGTTACAGTTGAAATCATACTTTTTGGAAATGGAGTCCAGAGAAACAAAATGATTTATTAATAACAATAATAGCCGGGTGCGGTGGCTCACGCCTGTAATCCCAGCACTTTGGGAGGCCGAGGCGGGTGGATCACGAGGTCAAGAGATCAAGACCATCCTGGCCAACATGGTGAAACCCCGTCTCTACTAAATATACAAAAAATTAGCCGGGCGTGGTAGCGGGTGCCTGTAGTCCCAGCTACTCGGGAGGCTGAGGCAGGAGAATGGCGTGAACCCGGGAGGCGGAGCTTGCACTGAGCCGAGATCGCGCCACTGCACTCCAGCCTGGGCGACACAGCGAGACTCCGTCTCAAAAAAAAAAAAAATAATAAAGAAAATAATAACAACAATAGCTACCATTTATTGATCACTTACTCCGTGACAGCTACTGTGCTAATCATTTCACAAATGCAGTTCACGTTATTATTTTCACCTTTTATGGTTAAGGAAACTAAGCTTTGTGAATACCTTCCCTGACAGTCGCACTGTTAGAAAATGGCATAGCCAGAATTTGCATCAAGTTTTTCTGGCTTATAAGACTGTCTACGTAACTGCTGAGCTATCTAACAACTGGCAGGTTATAGCAGTGCCCACTTAGCCCCAAATATCGAGTGTCTAAATGTTTGCCTATCCTATTTCTTCCAGCCCACCCGCCCTAGTTTTAACTGCTTTTGGCTTTAAGTGAAGCATAGAGCAATGTTTTAGAAAGAAACACTTCAATAAATGAAAATAAAAAATACTCATTTATTCAAGAACGAATTGTTGAGCTCCTCCTATGAGCCAGACAACGCACTAGGTGGAGAATCTAAAGATGACAACGCCTGCCTTTTGGGTAGGTTAAGTCATAGTGGAAGAGGCAGAGCTGCAACTGTATTGCAATCTCTGTTGTACCAGAGATAAGCACAGAATGCTGAGGAAGCACAACAGAAAAAGAATGAAGGGATACGCAAGCTGCCTTTTAAAGGATGAATAGGGGTTTTCCAGGAAGAGAAGAGTTATGTAGGGTGACAGGGAAAAAGCATGCTCAATATAAGTGGAATTGGGAAGGGAGAGGTGCTTCATCCCATAATGGTGAAAAGTTCAGCAGGGCTGAGGAAAAGATGCATGATTGTGGGGGAAGGGATAAAGAATGTAGAAAAGGAGGCATGCTCGGAAAATAACCTCGAAAAGGTAAGGATTGAGGACAGATGGTGGCAGTTTTAGAACACTATGTGAAAGACTTGGATATCTACAGTGTTAACTAGGCAGAGGCCAGACAGGTAATGTTTAGCAGTGGAGGGGGATGGAGACAATATGGAGTAGTGTATGTCTGCTTCACCCTGCCCTAGTTCATTGCTGCCATGGAGGAATACAGGCCCAATAGTTGCAGATCTTCTGATTTCTTAAGACAAGCCAGAGACCTAATTTAGTTAATATAAAATTTCCAACTTTTAAATGTCAGTAGGTAAATAAAAATTATTTTTTAAAAACTATGAGCCAAGCAAAACAGCTCAGCAGCTGGATTTGTGTTCATCCCACAGGCAAGTGGCTTGCTCTGTCTCTGGAAGCAATGAGTAGCACAAGTTTGTATTAAAATTCCAAAGCCTTAGTAAAGGACCCAGAGGTCCTATCAACTAAATAATCACATATTGTTAGAAAGGTAAAGCCTATCAACTTACCTTCTTTCCACATAGTAGTTTTTAAGTATATTCCATAATTATTGAATAAACAAAATCTTCCCTGAAATTATTTTCACATATTCCACTAAAGTTCACTAATTGAACTTCCTATTTTCTTCTGTACTATTTAAATAAACTAATCTTCAAGATTAAAATAAGAAATAATCTATTTGTAAATGAGATACAAACTAACCTTTGTTTTGTTAAAATAATTAATTGGGAGCCCATTACACTGAGGCAGCTCTAGCGCCCAGAGATCCTATGTAAGCAAACTGAAACCTAACTCAGAGTAAGTGGTCATATCCTAGGAAGACCATATTTAACAAATCAGAACCCACCAACTAATCTCCACCTAGAGACTTTAAGGCTGCTGTTCCACTTTAACCAATCCAAATATTTTCTGTCTTGCTTCCTCAAACACCTTATAAAAGTTTTCCCCTTGCACTCCCTTCAGGGGAGCCCAAACGGCTTGCAGTTTGGCAATGTCTGATTCGTGAGTCACTGTTGCTCAAATAAACTTTAAAAAAATTTAATGTGCCTCTGCTTAATAGATACATCAAGCAAATGAGAAGTTATCTTTTTTAAAAAAGTCTGTAAAACCTTTAACATCTACTATAACAACTTGTATAAGTCCAAGAGAAATATTTATGTGCAAGAAAATAATCCTATCTGTAGCAGCTAGGAAGACAGATATAGAGAAATCCTATTATATTCTATTTGGTTGAGCCATACTCACTAAGAAGGAAGTGATAGTATCAGATGATGTGGCTGAAGATTAATATGGCTCCTTTGGTGTTTTTCCCCTATCACAGATATCCTGAGGACTCACTCCTGCTCAGCCACTCACATCAAATTTAGTTTCTTGAAATGGGCTGCTGAGGCATTCTGCTCAGGAATTAATCATAGCTGAGAAGCTGCTTCAGGGGTGGAGGAAAAAAATCTGCAACTTATTGTTATCCTATATTCACACAATATACGCTGTGTGCCTACTACAAACTGGAAACCGTTCTCAGCTGTAAGATCCATCAATGCGGAGTTGCTTACCAGGGGAAGACATGTGTGAACTGATGTATGTGTCAGATGGTAATAAGTGCACTGGAGAAAATGAAGCCTGGCAAAGGGTCAGGGAGTGAATGGAGGGTCACTTGGGCAGTCAGGGAGGGCACTTCTGAACAGGTACCAGGTGAGCAAAGGTTGAATGTTTTAAGGCATTGATGCCTGAGGGCAGAAAGTTCTAGGCAGAGGAAATGTACAGATGCCCTCAGGAGGGAACACTTTGCTTCTTCAAAGGGTTGCAAAGAGGCCGCTATGGCCAGAGGGTGGTGAGTGAGGATTATTCAAGGAGAAGGAAAGGGAAGTTTAAAGAGGAGAAGTTGCGTCTTGGCCTTTTACTCTGGAATGGGAAGCCCTGAAGTGTTCTGTGCTGAAGAGCCACGTGCTTTGACTCAGGCTTTTCAAGAACCACTGTGGCCCGCTGTGCAAGGGTGACATCAGGGAGACCAGTCAGGAGGTGCTATGGTTTGGATATGGTTGTTTGGCCCCACCAAGTCTCATGTTGAAATCTGATCCCTACTGTTGGAGATGGGGCTTAAGGGGAGTTGTTTGGGTCATGGGGGTGGATCCCTCATGAATGGCTTGGTGCCCTCCTCGAAGTAGAGAGTGAGTTCTCAGTCTTAGTCCCTGTGAGAACTGACTGTTAAAAAGAACTTGGCACCACTCTCCCCTTTCCTTCCTCCTCTGTCACCATGTGCTGCTGGCTCTCCTTCACTTTCCACCATGAGTGAAAGCAGCTTGAAGCCCTCACTAGAAGCATCTGCACTATGCTTCTTGTGCAGTGTGCAGAACTATGAGCCAAATACACCTCTTTTCTTTATAAATTATCCAGCCTCAGGTATTCCTCTATAGCAACACAAAGGGAATAAGATAGGAGGCAACTGTAGTCTTCCAGCCAAGAGATTAGTGGCTTGGATCATGGTGGGAAATGAAGGTGGTAAGAAGTGGTCAGGTGTTTTCTACATTCTGACAAAATGTCCTGAAGGAATGAACTGTGGGGTGTGAAGAAGAATCAAAGAGGATTCCACGTCTTCAGCTTGAGCAACAGGAAGGAAAGCTGTCATTTTATTGACACATGCAAGTCCAGGAAAGAAGCTGCTAGTGATGCTGGCTGGGGTGCAGAGTTAGAGGTAGAGGGCAGAAAAATTGGTTTTGGACCTATCTAGAGATGCCTGTTAGAGTTCCAAGTGGAGACGCTGATCAGGCAGCTGGATATTCAAGTTAGGAAAGGGATGGGCTGGAATCTGATGAAGATGAAGGAGATTCCTCAAATGCTAAAAATAAATAAATAAATAAAGAGGGAAGTTAGAAAAATTGAGTCTGTTGAAAAAGTTTCAAGGCATCTGCATTTATATCATCACTATTTTTGTATCACTTATAAAGTTCTGTGATGACTGTAAAAACTATGTGGCAACATCAGGTTCTAAGAAGTGGCTACAGGTGGTTCCTAAAGTGTGGACCTCAGGCCAAAAGCATCAGCATCACCTATGAGATTGTTAGAGATGCAAATGATTGGGCCCCACCTGACCCATGGAGTCAGCTCTGGAGATAGGGCCCAGGAAACTGTTTTGACAAGCTCTCCAGAAGATTCGCACACACATTAAAGACTGAGTGAGCTGGATGATAAGATGTTTAGTACTTCCGGGTTTTAATCATTTAAAAAGAAAAGGAACAACTTTTTCTTTTAAAGCAGAAATGTCTTTATTGTTTGAAGCATGACAAAATAAAATTGATAGGACATTTCATTTCTTACTTAGTCTTCTCAATGGGGTTATAAAAATACAATGCCACTTAGTTTTTGTAAGCTCTTGAAAATGTCCAGAAGCTCACACTTAGTATGATATTAAAAGGCACTTATAACACACAATAAGATACTTAGAAACCCATCTCATAGATACAATTGAAATTTCTTTGAGAAAAATTTCTAAATATAGAAATAAATAGGACGGCACTATTTCTTCTTTTCCAAAACACAGAATAGCATTTTCCCCATGTTACCTATACACACCATAAATGTGGACACCTCCTCCCATTTTTGTTCTTGATACAGGTTGATAATCAAGCTGAAATTAATTTGCTTGCTTTTCTTCAATTTAATCTCAATTTGGTTTAAAATAAAGCAAAATTCTTAATTTGTATCCAGGATCTTTTAGAATACCTGGCTTATTTTCATTTTGTTTTAAATCACAATTCATTAAATAGGAAGATGATGATGCAAAAATTTTAAAAAGTACTTACTATTTAGCTGCCCAAATCACCCTAAGCAACAATATTTCTGAAGCATGTGTACATACATGTGTGTATATTTTTAAATATCACTTTTGTATCACTCTGACTTTTTAGCATACTGAAAACACACTAACATAATTTTTGTGAACCATGATCAGATACAACCCAAATCATTCATCTAGCACATTCATCTGTGATAGAAAGATAGGTGAGTTTCATTTCCTTCAGGTTGGCCAATGGATAAACAAAGTACGCCATAAATTAACTAAAAAACCCACTGCCCTATGCTATATCTGTGCTATTGTTAATTAAAATAAGTGTATTCTTGCTGTGGAAATTCTGTGGTCTGGGAATTTTTATTTGTTCATTCTTTCAAGGCATTAGTAAGAAAGGATAATTTCTATTTTGAACAGAAAGACATACAACTAGTCAGATCAATAACTCATTATTGGCATATAGGATGCTATTTTGGAGGTAAGTGAATTATTTCACCCCATGACTGTCTGAATATGGTCAATCTGAAATGACTTAACAGTGAAATCCAGAGATCTGGTTACTTTCCTGGCAGGATTTGGCCTATAAATGAAAATGGACATTTAAAATAATATGGGGAAAATACAGAGTTGCTTGAATGCTTATCACTTTATTACTGCAATCATAAATGATAGTAATTTAAATTAGTCCTTCACATTGATATGTGTTTAAATTAGTCCTTAGGTATGCCTTTTCTGCCTTTTGTTCTGTTGCTCACCCTTTTAAGAAATGCCATGATAAATAGCACATGGTTGTGTTGTATGGAGTATCTTGTACTACCTTCCTGAGTGTATGTACATTTGTTCATTTATTGGGCCTCTGCCCAACAAATGAAAATGAATTTTTTATTCAGCTTTTCTGTTGGACAGCACTGAAAAGCTTTTGCTGATTTTCAAGGCAGTCTTTCAGCTTATCCTCTGTCAAAGTCAGTCGCTGCTCCAAGATTGAAACAGTCTGCAAAAAGGAGGATAAAATAATCAATGCCTGGTCCTCTGGTGGTGAGGATGACAATGACAATCTCTGCATAGGAAATCCTTTTAAGAACTGGGATGCCCACCCTTCTACCAAGAAGTTGGCTCAAAAATGAGCCCCAGAACTTGCTGTGCTTCTGGGCCCAACCATAGGGCAAGGCATTATCAAGCAGTTGGAGAAAAGAAAAGAAAAAGAAAAAACCCAAACTGATGTGTTTGAGAAAAAAAGCAGTGGAAGATCAGACCTCTTATGCCTGATCTTCTAAAGCACCAAAACCAGGGAAGAGGCCACACAGCGTTCTAAGTGGTGCCATAAGCTACACACTTAGTGGAGAAGGGGAGGGGGTGCGAAATTCCACATGCCAGCCAGATGCCACTGAAATGTCATCACTACTCATTCTGTCACAATCCAATCCATGGCAAACCGTACCTATAGCACTGCAGATGGATGGCTAGATTGCTTTGAAAATATCCTAACAATCGCCTCCAGTTCCCTCACACAGAAGATGCTAATATTACCTCGTGGAGTTGTTAGGAGGATTGAATAAAATAATGCATGTAAAATGCTTACGCTAGTGTTGGACACACACGGTTTGAATAATCCTGTACTCACTTATTAGCTGAAGGAGTTAGAACACATCCAGAATACATATACAAACACATATACATATATATATTAAATGTTAACATATGTTTTATATATATGTTAAACTTGGGATATCTAATTTTTGTGATACTGGCTACTCTGCCTTCATTCTTTTGTATCTTTTTTTTTTAAAAAAACTTATTATAAAATGAAACATAGATTATTCAGGAACCCACACAAGGTACATGTGTTATTTAATGGATTCTTATAAGAAATACATCCTCAAAACCATCACCCATAGCAAGAACTAGACTCTGCCAGCCACCCCAGAGGAGCCTTCCACGTGCCTACCACGACTTCCTTGCCCGCCCTCTGTAACAGCCACTATCCTGACCTTTACAATGATTGCTTTCTTGTGTTTCTTTATGGTTTTATTTCTCAGATGTACATCCCTAGACATTAAAATTTTCTTTCGCATGTCAAGAATTAATGTGTCACTTAAAGTCTCTCTTAATCTACAGGTACCCACCCTCTCCCTCTCTTTTCTTTACAATTTCTCTGTTGATAAGCTCAGGCCATCTGTCAAGCTCAGAAACTGCACACTCAGGGTGCAGCTCAGCCTGTTCTTCCATCTTCTGTACATTCTCTAAGTTGGCTATTGGATCCAAAGGCTTGATCAGGTTACATGCCTTGGAAAGACTACAGGTGGTGGCCTATTCTCTGATTAGAAGGCAGATTAATAATGTTTGGTCATTTCTCATGAATGTCATAGTGACTCAATGTCTATATCTATTAATTCCTGGAGTTTGCAAATGATGATATTCTAATTCTATTATTAAAACATTCTGTTAGTTGGGATAACTAATAAGTAAGAGACATTTTCCTCATCTACTATTTGGTTACCTAATGGTAGAGTTCATACAGGAAAGGCATGACACTTGCTTGGTATTTTAGTCAACCAGTTTTAAGATAAAAAAATGGAATCCCTATCATCTTTTGAATGCAACCAATTTTTAAAGATATTATTTAATAGCTTTTGCCTTCATATTTTATATTATCTATAGATCATTACTAATGAAAAATAATGGTGATGCTGTTAATACAGTCTACCATTTACTGAGTGCCTACTATGTGCCAAGCATTTTATTACACACTTTTTTTTGAGACAGGGTCTTAGTCTGTCACCCAGGCTGGAGTGTAATGGCTTGATCTTAGCTCCCTGCAACCTCTGCCTCGTGGGCTCAAGTGATCTTCCCACCTCGGTCTCCTGGGTAGCTGTGACCATAGGTGCGTGCCACCCTGCTCGGCTAATTAACTTGTTGTTGCTGTTGTTGTTGTTGTAGAAATGAGGTCTTAGCATTTTGGGAGGCCGAGCTGGGCGAATCGCTTGAGCCCAGGAGTTTTAGACGAGCCTAGGCAACATAGCGAGACACTGTCTCTAAATAATAAAGAATAAAAGAAGAAATGGGGTCTCACTATATTGCCCAGGTTGGTCTTGAACTCCTGGGCTCAAGCAATCCTTCTGCCTCGGCTGCCCAAAGTGCTGGGATTATAGGTGTGAGCCATTGTGCCCAGCCCTTCAGACACTTTTATACATTATCACAGTTCCAAATGCTAGAAGTTATTTATACATTTATTATTAACACCTTTAACACTGGTTAACTCCATCTGTCTACCATCTAAAACATAATTTCATTTAAATTTATTTCTAATTATAGTTCAGTAACGATAAACACCGTCCAACTTAGTTAGGTGATGTTAAGTCATCTGTAATTAAAGTAAATCAGAACACATTTATTTTACTTGCTGCTTGCCCACAGATTCACTGCTCCCCTTTTGCAAGTGTGTTGTGCCTGCTTCTAACCTTTTTAATATGTAAAATGAATCCATCCCCTAAAAATTAAAAATCATAGAGAAATTCAGTACAGCTTAAAGTGATTTATTTAGCTTTGAATCTGGTAAAAAGGAGGAGAAATAGGTCATGAAACTGAAAGAACAGGGAATGGAAGGATTCACTTCGGAGGGACCCTAATGAGAACTCAATGTTGAAAGGTAACAGTTGAGGTGAGGAAGTTATGGCAATATGGGAAACAAACCAACTACAACTAAATTTGACATGAAGGGAAGAGGGCAATGGCCTTTAAGGAAAAGAGATGTCTGATAAATATAGAGAAAGTCACGTCTAGTACAACATTACAAAATGAAAGTGAGTGATTTTTAATATGATTTTCATTGAGCAAATCATATGATGACTCCAAGTTCTCACATGGCTCTTTCTCACAATCTGTCAGATGCCTCCAAAGGCCCTGAGGTGATAACTACAGGATAAAAATATTCACTTAAATTAGTGGTTTTCAACACTGGCTGTAAAACAGAATCATATGTGGGTTCTTAAAAGACTGATGCTAGGGGCTTATCCCAGACCAATGGAAATGGACTCTCTGGAGGTGAAAACCAGGTATATGTACATTTTTTAGCTGCTCTAATGATTATAATGTACAGTCAGGGTTGAGAACCAGTTGGGTGATTTCTATGCAAAAGCTATTTCTATTTGAAATATTTTTCTGGACAAGCAATTGACATCTCTGTAGTTCATATTTTACCATCTTTTTATATAACTTGCTACTGTCCACTCTGACAAATATTAGTATTTAGTATTCTCATTCTACACATCAAAGAGGAAGAAGAGAAGACTTATTCAAAGGGAACAATGAATCAACAGAGTTGGAAGAGAAACCTTTGGTGTATGCATTTCAACATACCACTTCCCTTAAATTATGTCTGTACCTTGTAACCAAGAATTTTGGTATATTATTTAAGATGCATTGTATTTTTCTTTGCAAAGGTAAACTGGCCTCAAAAAAGTGGATAATATTCTAACATGGGAATGCAAAACCATCATGCCTGGAAGATCACTGCATCAAGGTAAGAGGCTTTGGGATAAGAGAAGTTAAATACTGGACAGTGAGAACATTTTCAAAGTAAAAAACTATAAACATTAGCAATATTTCATACTAACCAGAAATGGTTACTCCCAATACATTTTTCTTATGGCTCTAAATATTTTCTTACAAATGGCTTAAGCTGTGTGAGTGTGTGTGTGTGTGCACGTGTGCACACAAATGCATAGGCTCTGAGCTTATCTCTACAAGATCTTGTTTAGGGCATTGCCACCTTGAGTTTGCTTTGCTAGTATAGAGAAATCTCCCCTGCTCTGCTAGTTCTGCAACTTGCTGTATCCAGAATTGTTTTGTGTATTTTACCCCCAAGTGCAACTCATGCAACCTGTGTCATGCCCACCTGTGTCAAAACATTGAGTTGTTCCATAATATGCTCTAAAGCATCAGTCACAGCGAGAGGTATGCTCCTTTGACTTTCACAGGGGAGGTCACTCATGTCTTCTGTTTTCTTTTTCGTGGTTGTTGGCAAACATTCTGGTGACATTAAGGAAGGGTTCAAGAAATATCCACAGGCCTCTTCACCCTTGTCTGGCAGAGTCCTACCACTGGTTTCTGTTGTCTTTAATGTCACAGAAAATGTAGGAAGAGTTATATTTTCCAAACTTTAAAATGATATATATAAAAGTTTAAAATATTCCTCTTCTAAAAAGCCCAGGCTTACATTGAAGATTTATCCCCAACTATAATAAGTTATGGAAATTACTATAATTAAATAAGGAATTATTATAATTCTTATAATAAGGAAACAAAGCTAACAGTGAATAGAGACAATTTCCTTGACTTTCTTTTCAATGAAACACACTTTCCATACACTGATCTGAGGGATCTACCATTAAAAAGATTGTTAGATGCAGTTTAATTCTTAATTTAAAAACAATATTCACATCTATTAGGGTGACTATTATCAAAAAAATGAAAAATAACAAGTGTTGGTGAGAATGTGGAGAAACTGAAACACTTGTCCATTGCTAGTAGGAATGTAAAATGGTTCAGCTGCTTTGGAAAATAGTTTGGCTGTTAGTTACCCCCAAAATTAAACATAAAATTACCATATGATCCAGCAATTCTACTCCTACGTATACATCCAGGAGAACTCTGAAAGCAGGGACTCAACTGGATACTTGTACAGCAATGTTCATAGCAACATTATTCACAATAGCCAAAAGCTAGAAACAACGATAGATGAACGTATACACAAAATGTGGTATAAACATACAATGAAATATAATTCAGCCATAAAAAGGAATGGAATTCTGATACATGTTATAACATGGATACATCTTGAAAACATGCTAAGTAAAATGAGCCAGACACAAAAGGACAAAGACTATGTGACTGCACTTATATGAGGTGCCTAGAATAGGTAAATTCCTAGAGACAAAAAGTACAGTAGAGGTTACCAGGGGCTGGAGGTAGGGGTAATGGGGAGTTATTGCTCAATGAGTACAGAGTTTCTACTTGGAATGATGACAAAATTCTGGAAATAGATAGTGATGATGGTTATAAAACACTGAATACTGTGAATATACTTAATGCCAGTGAATTGTATACTTAAGAATGGTTAAAATGATAAATTTTACATTATGTATATGTTACCACAAGAGAAAAACAGAAAGTCCTCCATATGGCAATGAACAATCCAAAAATAAAATTAAGAAAATAATTCCATTTACAATGGAATAGCATAAAAAATATTTATGAAAAAAGTTAACAAAAGAAATGTAAGGCTGGGTGTGGTGGCTCAAGCCTGTAATCCCAGCACTTTGGGAGGCCAAGGTGGGCGGATCACCTGAGGCCAGGAGTTTGAGACCAGCCTGGCCAACATGGTGAAAGTCTCTACTAAAAATACAAAAATTAGCCAGGTGTGGTGGTACACGCCTGTAATCCCAGCTACTTGGGAGGCTGAGGCAAAAGAATCACTTGAACCTGGGAGACAGACGTTGCAGTGAGCCAAGATCACGCCACTTTACTCCAGCCTGGGTGACAGACCAAGGCCATGTTTCAAAAAAAAAAAAAAAGAAATGTAAGACTTGTGTACTGGAAACTATTATACAAACCATCATTGAAAGAAATAAAAGATCTAAACAAATAAACATCCCATATCCCAAATTTATGAATCAAAAACCTTAATATTATTAAGATGGCAATACTCCCCACATTGATATGCAGATTCAGTGCAAACCCTATCAAAATCCCATTTGTCTTTTTTGCAGAGGTTGATAAGCTGATCCTAAAACTCATATGGAAATGCAAGAAACCCATAACAGCTAAAATAATATTGATGAAAAAAATGTGAAGGACTCATACTTCCAAATTTCCAAACTTATTGTAAAACTATAGTAATTAAGACAGTGTGGCACTGACATAAGAATAGACATATAAATCAAAGAAACAAAACTGAGAGTGCAGAAATAAACCCTTCCATTTATGGTCAGTTGATTTTTGACAAGGTTGCCAAGACAATTTAATCTGGAAAGAATTATCTTTTTAACAAATGGCGTGAGGAAAACCCAATATCCACATTCAAAACAATGAATTTGGGTCTCTACCTCACACCATCTACAAAATTAACTCAAAATGGATCATAAAGGGCAGGGCATAGTGGTTCATGCCTGTAATCCCAAAGTGTTAAGAGACGAAAATGGGAGGATTGCTTGAGGCCAAGAGTTTGAGATCAGCCTGGGCAACATAAGGAGACCCCATCTCTACAAAAAATAAAAAAATAAAAAACTTAGACAGGCATGCTAGTGTGTGCCTGTAGTTCTAGCTACTCAGGAGGCTGAGGCTGGAGAATGGCTTGAGCCCAAGAGTTTGAGGCTGCAGTGAGCTATGATGGCACCACTGCACTCCAGCCTGGGCTACAGAGTGAGAAACTCTGTCTCTTAAAAACAAAACAAAACAAAACAAAACCACATCCTCAAAACGATCCTATTAGTATCACTTCGAGTTACTCAACTCCTTATGACAGAGAAAAGCTAAAACTGTACTGAAAACGTCCAGAAGAAAGGCTCCTAACAATCACAGATTCTGAAAGATCAAGTTAACATAAAGGATTTTTAATGCTATTCAGTCATACTTAGAAGCATCTATGGACCAACCACCTATTCATGCTCTGAGCTAAAGGAACTAGGAAGACAACATACAGCACTTATCTACATGGGTCTGCAGCTACTGAGCTGACAGCAAGGACTAAAATGGGAGCACTGTAGAGGTGAGTATGGAAATACAAAGGATTCTCTAAGAAATCTTGACTCATGATCATAGTCTACATTCCTGATCCTAGACCTCATTCACTGGGAACAAAATATGGATGTCCATGCTCCACAACCATCCTCACCCCCAAACAAATAGTTCCTGCTCAAAGAACAGGCTTTAAAAAACAAACCAACAAACAAACAAAAAACATTGCTTCTGCTCTGCCTGCAATGGCTTTCTCTGCCATCCTAGCATGACTGCATCCTTCTTGACCTCCAAATTTCAGCTTAACTGTCCCATCTTCAGAAATGCAGTCCCTGCCCTGACTACCCTACTGAAGCTGGACCTTTCATTCTCCAGCATGGCATCCTGATGCTTTCCTCTGTAACTGACCAGAATTTGTATTTATGTATTTGCTGCTTGTCTATTGTCTGTCTCCCTCACTAGACTACTATGTTTACTCTTCTCATCACTGTATCCCTTGGATCATTTCTAGTACTTAGCAGAAGCTTGAATATTTTAGAAAATGTTAACCACTTGTATACAGATTTTTTTTTTTGAGATGGAGTCTCATTCTGTTGCCCAGGCTGGAGTGCAGTGGCGCAATCTCAGCTCACTGCAAGCTCTGCTTCCTGGGTTCACACCATTCTCCTGCCTCAGCCTCCCGAGTAGCTGGGACTACAGGTGCCCACCACCACCTCCAGCTACTTTTTTGTATTTTCAGTAGAGACGGGGTTTCACCATGTTAGCCAGGATGGTCTCGATCTCCTGACCTCGTGATCTGCCCGCCTCGGCCTCCCAAAGTGCTGGGATTACAGGAGTGAGCCACTGAGCCCGGCTGTATGCAGATTTTATTATTGCTCTCACAGGTGGAAACCAAATTATCTATAACCAAGACAGTTTTTTTGAAAAAATATGGATCACAACATATCTAAGTATGTACATACATGGCCACAAATATTATTAATCATATTGTAATAACAGCTTCAGACCTTCTTGGAAAAAGGCCCCAATCATTCATTGAACTCTGGAGGTTTGCAGTCAAGGTCGTTAGTATAGAAAGGACAATAGGAAAATTGGCAAAGATGATTTAAGACCATAGACAATCTAAGCAATAAAAGAGCTCCAATAGGTTTTCTTGTTTGGCACAAGCAAAAAATATATTATTATCATATGACATATGGAAATGAAAGAAAAAAGGGAAAAGCATATGTGCAGAGAGAAAAAAGGGTGCCAGCTCTCCATCCTACAACATTAGCCAACTGACATCTCTCTTTGTCTCTCAAAGGTATTGAAACCTAGGTATTAGCAGATAGCTTTCTACCAACTAACCCTGTCTTTACATCCTGTTTGTACAGGAGAAAAGTGAGATGCACAGCATGGGGGAGGTTCAATACATTCCATTCATAAGTATTTTTTAAAAAGGTACAAAGGGAAAAACATGGTGTTTAAGATTCCTGGCTGATAGAAGTCCAGCAAGTGAGTCTGTAGTACCTGCTTCTCTCAGCACATTGAGATACTCTCCTATTTCAAAGGTGCTAATATTCAGTTCTGAGTAAATACTTACTGAGCATCTATCTATACATACTATCATACAATGATAAATGTACGTATGGTATGATGCCCGCTCTCAAGGATTCCCTGTTGCGATGAGAGAATTCAGACCAGGCAGGGCCCAAATCCCCCACAATGCCTGGCTCATCTCTGGCACTGCTGAATGAGCAGGAAATAAACAAGCAGACAGAACATAAGCAAACACATGATTGCAAGACTGCAGAAAAAACAAATGCTTTGGTAGTTCATAAAAAGAAGAAATTATATCATGTTCTCATTTCCCACCTCTTACTTCTATTGCTAACATTGTGTGATACAGTGAAGCAATAGTAATACAATCATTGATTGATCCTACAAATAAGGACCTCCTATGGTAGGCATTAGAGCTATAGCAAAGAACAAGTCAGACATGGTATCTTCCTTCATGGAGCTTACAATACTCTGGGGAAGTACTTTATCAAAAAGGATGGCAGGGCAATCACTATTCTTAAGTTCTTCTTTGGATAACCCCATGGTTGCCATCTTGAAGATGGGAAATGCAGCCTCACCAAGGGCAAAGAATGAATCTAAGGGCTGAGAAATCCTTATCTATATAGGTCAAAAGGACTCACTTTTCACCTGAACAAATGAAATGGAGTAAAAGATACAGATCTGACTGATGCAAAGAACTACGAAAGTCCTGAGAACTGAATACAAAACATATCACATCCTGGGGACAAATGACTCTTAAAAGGTTCTTTAAATACCATGGTTAATTCTAATGCATACATCTTCATTTGTCACTTATTTTTGAGGATGAATTATTTTAATGCATCAATGAAAACTGAAAATTTTCGCATTGCCAAACACATTTTTATTAGAAAATTAACCATTCAACAACATAACCATGGTCCACACATCTAAACTATTATTATTTACATAATTAACAAAGGAATATTCAAGATACTGTGGTGCTCAACTACGTGCGAAAGTTCATACATTATATCTACTCCCCTTCCTCCTTTCCTCTTCTCTCCTTCTACCACCACCCTTTCCACCACCCACCCTCTGGGCTGGCGAGTCAGAATTAATCACTAGTGCCATTTCACTCCCACAAGACTTCGTGCCATCAGTAGAGGATTTCTCACTCCTTATTATATTTGTGTTTACATATCCGTATTCCCCATTAGATTATGAACCCCTCATGTGGGGTCAGTAACTTTATCATCTCAGGTGCTTGGCATAGCACATGAGACACAGACAAAGCTCCACATTGGTTGAACTGAATTTAATGGACTGTCCTGCATCAGCTGAGCCAATCACAAAAAATTAAATATTAGCAATTTGATAGTATTTGAAGAGAAATATTACCCCCCAAAGTTAAACTAATGCCATTTTCTATTAAAAATTACAATCTTAAATGCCTTCTCAGAGGTACAGTGAGGAAGCAATGTAAGCATATATTATCTAACTTCAAATCACTGGTAGATTTTTATCCCCTAAAGGCATACTTGATAGCTTCTGGCTGAATAACAGATGGATTTTTCTAACAAATGTGAGTGCAAAAGTAGGCATTTCACATGTAAAGATAATCAGTGACTTGAACTTTAGATATACATTCAATCAGTTGGTTAAAATAAGTTAGTTTTGGTTTACAACTAACATTTCTACTCTTGGTTTAATTCTGTAAGTAGAGAAGAAAACAGATAAAAGGCAGAAAATATCTAAGCCAAAGTGTTTCCCATTATTGAAGGTTCTAAAATAGACTTGGGAAGGTCATTTGTCAGAGATATTGTGAAAGATATACAAACATCAAATCAGGAAATTCAATTGAATGCCTTTTAAAGCCCTTTTTATTCCTGATGTTCTGAGATTTTTAAATCACTACACACACACACACACACACACGCACATGCACACACACACGTATGTATAAAACGTCTGCCTGAAATAGACTAGAATAACAACAAAAAAAGCCTTTTGCCTTGGACAAAAATAAAAGCAAATATTTTTCAAAGAAAGACTATATCATTTATTTTCAATGATAAAATTTAGAGTAGGGATTGGAAACTTCAATAATCTCTACATAAGATCTAAGATAATGAATATATGCCAATTGTTCAAGCAAAATTATTTTATTTAGCACCTATGTGCCAGGCAAAATTCCAGGTGCCAGAGATACAGGACTGTGTTCATTTCCTACTGCTGCTGTAACAAATTACCACAAACTTAGTGGTTTAAAACAACATAGATTTATTATCTTATAGTTTTGGAGATTGCAAGTCCAAAACAGGATTAACGGGGCTAAAAACAAGGTGTCAGTAAGCTGCATTCCTTCTGAAGGCTCTAGGAGAGAATCCATTCCTTGCCTTTCCAGCTTCTAGAGGCTGTCCACATTCCTTAGCCCATGGCTGCATCACTCCAATAACTGCTTTAATTGTTATATCTTCTCTAATTCTCATGAATCCCTCTTTCCGTATAAGGACCCTTGTGATTATATGGGGCCCGGTCAGATAATCCAGGATAACCTCCCCATCTCAAGAGCCTTAACTTGGCCGGGCATGGTGGCTCATGCCTGTAATCCTAGCACTTTGGGAGGTCGAGGTGGGCGGATTGCCTGAGCTCAAGAGTTTGAGACCAGCCTGGGCAACACGGTGAAACCCTGTCTCTACTAAAATACAAAAGAAATTAGCCAGGTGTTGCGGCATGCACCCGTAGTCCCAGCTACTCAGGAGGCTGAGGCAGGACAATCACTTGAACCTGGGAGGTGGAGGTTGCAGTGAGCCCAGATCGAGCCACTGTACTTCCAGCCTGGGCAACGAGACTCTGTTTCTTAAAAAAAAAAAAAAAAAAAAAAAAAAAAAAGCCTTAACTTAATCACATTGGCAAAGCCCTCTTTGCCATGTAAGGAAACATTTTCATAGATTCTGGGGATGAAGACATAAATATTTTTGAGAGGAATGGTTGTTCTGCCTACCTCAAGGAGTGAATAAAGAGGCCCTGCTATCATGGTTATACTCTAGTGGGTGAAGGAGAAAAGTAAATATGTAGATATGTGATGTAATGCTAGGTGACAAGGGTTAGGAAGAAAAATAAAGCTAAGCAATGTGCTGTGTTATGATGTAGCTATGCTGATGCAAATTTTATGGAGAAGTGGTAAAGAATAAATTTTGGACGTGTTATGTTTGAGAGGCCTATCAGACTTTCAAGGGGAACAGTCATTAATACAATTGGAAATATATGATTCTAGATTTCTGTGGAGAAGCTGGGTCTAGAAATATAAATTTGGGAGTTACTGGCACGTAGATCTTTTTATCCATGGGTCTATGATCACTAGGAAGGAGCCAAACAAGAGAAGAGTTGCAGAGACTTTAGAAGGCAGGAGCAGGAAAGGTGACTGGTGGCCCTTGAGGTTGAAGACTACTGGCCCAGAAGTCAAGTGAGGAAAGAGCTTCCAGGAGGAAACAGTGATCACCAGGATCAAGTGCCACACACAGGTGGACCGAGATGAGTCCTTCGGACCCTGACATGAATGGAAGAGTGGGGATGAATGCTTGATTGGATAGCACTCAGAAGAATGCAAAGTGAAGAAATAAAGACAGTGAATCTAAGCAACAATTTTTTTTAGAAGACTTTTGCTATAAATGGGAGAAG
The DNA here is from genome assembly GCF_000001405.40 of Homo sapiens. NCBI lineage: Eukaryota > Metazoa > Chordata > Mammalia > Primates > Hominidae > Homo > Homo sapiens. The sequence continues at coordinate 89,433,203 of NC_000012.12, forward strand.
AGCAATGAGACAGGAGCTGGAAAGGGATGAGGGGCCAAATGAGGTTTTCATTTATAAAGATGAGAAATATATCACAAATGTGTGCTGATAGAAAGAGCAAGCATAAAGAGAGCACTGATGACACAGGAGAGTGAGGGGATAACTACTCGATAAATGGGCTGGATAGACAGTGGCTGAGTGCCCATGGAGCTTTGTGTAAATAAATTTATGGTGAGACGAGCCAAGATGGCTGTCTAGTCAAATCCAGCCCCTTGGGTGTAGGTGTGAAGGAGCCAGAGAAACAGATTTAACCCAGGTTGGCATTTTTCTAGGTGAGGATAACAGAGGGAGAAAGGGACAAGACCATGGATGTAATGATGGACCACAGAATGTAAGTTGGGTAAAGGAGGCCCAGACACAGGGAGCAGGCAGTGTAAAGCAGGAGGCTTGCTGGATGGACGCCTTTCTGGGGCTGACGAATTACCAAAATGGGAGGACTAGAAGAGTGTTGGCCAAAGAGTGGGAGGCTTTACACTAAGTTTGCCATCAGCACAAAGGACTCGGATAGTCACAGAGTTCATCTGAGAATCTTGACAAAGAGGATGGCTGCCTTTCAGAAGTGACTCAGAGTTTTGCTCTAAATTTGGTTCGTTTCTTAAGATCAAAAGCCAATGTTGACTAAGGAGTGGATGGATCCATTAGGGAAACAGAAAAAGGAACTGCAGACTCACCCAGATGGGGCTGTCACAGGACCACAACAAAGAATTCATTTTCAATTCTTAACATTCTTGAAAACATAGGCTGTTGATCCTGAAGGAAAAAATGACAATTTTCTGTCTTCTGAACAGTGGATTATGTATCCTTGTAGGAACATACTCATCTGATCAAGTCTGATTGACTTAAAAGTATGACTAGGATATAATCAAAAAATGTCATGTGAAATTTTGTCCTCCAAACTAAATTTGCTGAATTAAGACTTGTTTGTCCCTCAGGAGAAAACATACATCTTTTTCTCAAAGAAAGAACCTTCAGCTTTGGGGATAAGATTTTATAGAGGACTTTGCTTTTTCTTCTTGAGAGCAAATTGGAAATTGCATTTTTATCAGAAGACTTGAAAAATATACCATGTAGCTATCAACTGAAATATCCAAATGATTAATTCAGTCACCTCGGAAAAGACAGCTGAGGCTACAAGTCTACTGTCTGTCTTTGTCTTTAATCTTTATTATAATCTCTAGAGAAACCTATTAATTTTGAAGCCATTAATGGGTAGTATACAGCTAGGACAAATGGAATCTGTATAAAAATTTCCTTCTATGTTTCACTTCTTATATGATTAAGAAAACACAAACCATTAATTCCTCAAAGGAGGATCTACTTCCTAATGCTGTATGCTGATCTAAAAGTGCACTGCACCAGATGGATCTTAATTAATGATACTCCAAATGAACATAACACCAACTTTCTGCATAAAATTTCCTGCAAACTCAAAAGGGAAAACAAGTAGCCATTACTTCTTTTGTGAACTGTGCCATTACACTTTGAAGGGCATTCAGAGTAAGGGATCCATCCTCATTATCTGTTCCATAACAAATTCAACAAGAATCTTTTACACAACATGCTAAGTGAATAAGGCAAAGATCTATAGTTATCTTTCACACTGTTCAACAAACCCCAAAGAAAAAAATAAGATATTTTCAGATGTAGTTTTAAAAGGGATAAAAGATTTTCATTTTCAGGCAGCTGAGTGAAAAATGTATTTAATATTTTTTCTAAAAAAACTTAGCAGACAAAGATCTATCATCTATTTTAAAAATCTAGTTCCATTGTTTTACTGGATGAAAAATGATTTCCTAACAATAATATAGGAAGCCAATCTAACATCAAACAATTAGATCTATGAAATTAATAAAAAATATTTAACCCTATGATAAAGATTATATAACTGGATACAGTTGAAAAACTGTGGCATAAAAATCTCCAGGAAGAATGACATTCTTTTTTTTTTTTTTTTTTTGAGATGGAGTCTCACTTTGTTGCCCAGGCTGGAGTGCAGTGGTGCCATCTCGGCTCACTGCAACCTCCGCCTCCTGGGTTCAAGAAATTCTCTTGTCTCAGCCTCCTGAGTAGCTGGGACTACAGGTGCACACCACCACACCCAGCTAGTTTTTGTATTTTTAGTAGAGACAGGGTTTCACCATATTGGTCAGGCTAGTCTCAAACTCCTGACCTAAGGTGATCCACCTGCCTTGGCTTCCCAAAGTGGTGGGACTATAGGCGTGAACCACCGTGCCCAGCCACAATAGCATTCTTAAATTGCTTATGAGTAGAGTATCAAATCCTTCATCATAAATAACAAAAAATAAGATTCTATGATAACATGATGCAGTTTAAATATTTTTCCTCCATATATTTTCACGTGTAAAATCATGTAGGTGTTTTCCTCCTTTCTTATTTTGCTGGTGGAAGAAACTCAGAAAGCAAAGATAATAAAAACAATGGCTATGTTTACATAGAAAGATTTTTTTTCCTATAATTACCATGGGGAAAAATGGCCCACCAAAAATAACATTCAAATTTAACCATAAAATTCAAAAATACTTTTCATAGATGCCATGAGTCAAAGAGAATATGAGCTAGATTCTTTTACTTTATAATCAGAATGATGAAGAATTATGATAATATATCTTTTCTCAAACACGCATATGCATGTGTGTGTATGAACATACACACAGATGAGTAAGCAGGAAGTTTTTTTCTTGTTTGTTTGTTTTTTTTTTTTGAGACAGAATCTCACTATGTCGCCAGGCTGGAATGTAGTGGCACGATCTCGACTCACCACAACCTCTGCCTCCCAGGTTCAAGCGATTCTCTTGCCTCAGCCTCCTGAGTAGCTGAGACTACAGGTGCACACCACCATTCCCAGCTAATTTTTCTATTTTTAGTAGAGATGGGGTTTCACCATGTTGGCCAGGATGGTCTTGATCTCTTGATCTCTTGACCTTGTGATCCACCCATCTCGGCCTTCCAAAGTGCTGGGATTACAGGCACAAGACACCGTGCACGACCGCAGGAAGTTTTTAAAGAGGAAGTCATGATACCACTAAAGCATGTCACTACATTATGACATACTTTATACGAAACAAAACCCGTTATGTTTCATAGCCATTAAACATGATGGGCTTTATCCATTTAAAATTTCAGTCTCAGAATTTACCAAATAACCAGCATGATTCAAATAAGCATTCTTTGCTGGGCACAATGGCTCATGCCTGTAATCCCAGCACTTTGGGAGGCTGAGATGGGTGGATGACCTCAGGTCAGAAGTTTGAGACCAGCCTGGCCAACATGGCAAAACCCCATCTCTACTAAAAATACAAAAATTAGCTGGGCTTGGTGGCATGTGCCTGTAGTCCCAGCTATTTGGGAGGCTGAGGCAGAAGAATCACTTGAACCTGGGAGACGGAGGTTGCAGTGAGCCGAGATCGCTATACTGTATTCCAGCTTGGGCGATGGAGCAAGACTCAATCTCAAAAAAAAAACAACCAAAAAAAAACCCAAAAAACAAAAAAAACAAGCATTCTTTTAATGATGCCTCTTGATAAATGAGGTGCAATTAATGTAGATCATCTCTTTATCATAATCATTATCGAATACTATGGAGCAGCAGTTTACGGGTCACCCTGTGGGACCAAGTGTCTGAATCAATCAAGTCAAGATTCTCAAATCCAGATTTCTGTACTGGATGCTCCACACCCAACTCCTGTCTCTTCCTGTCCTAATAAACAGTGCCATTATCCAGCCAGCAGCCAAAAATTTGAGAGATATTCTTGACTCTTCCCTCTTCTCCCATGTACAATCAGTAAACAGAACTTATTGACTCTCTTCAATACCTCATGAGCCAGTCTCCTCTCTTCATCCCCTATGCTACAGCACTCGATCAGACAGTTGTCACCTCATGTCTGGATTACTATTACAATAGCCTCCTAATCCTCCATGCCTCTAGTTTTATCTCCCTCCAACCCCTCCTTTTTCACATCTCCAGAGTAACTGTTCTAAAATCCAAATTTGCTTTTGTCACTCTCCTGGCTGAAAATCCTTCACTGGTCCCCCCAATTCTTAGGGTGAATCCAAATACCTCCAAAAACCTTCAAAACACATTCGAGATCATTCACAATCCATCCTCATCTTTTCTTGTTCCTCAAACTCATGCAATGCTGAGGCAAACCTGAAATGTCCGGTTTCCTGAATTCACTCCCCTCTCAGGGCTTCTTGACTTGTACTTTCTGAGCTGTCCTCGTTCCTCTTATTATCAGGCAAATTTTTAAAGAATCAGCTCAAGTATCACTCACTTTTGGGAAGCTGTATCTGTAACTTTTCTGTCTTCCACTCAAATTCTCCGGGTACATATTTGACCCCCCCACCCCCACCATATAGTTTCTTTATTTAAACACTCCACTAATTACCCCCATAGCAATTTAGGCCCATATCATTATTATTGAACTTGCTCTTTCATTTGTACATTCTCATTGCTTGGTATATAACAGGTACTCAATAAATTTACTAAATAAGATTTTAAAAATTGGCCAGGTGCAGTGGCTCACGCCTGTAACCCCAGCACTTTGGGAGGCCGAGACGGGTGGATCACCTGAGGTCAGGAGTTTGAGACCAGCCTGGCCAACATGGTGAAACCCCATCTCGACTAAAAATACAAAAATTAGCAGGGAGTGTTGGTGTGGCCTGCAGTTCCAGCTACTCCAGAGGCTGAGGCAGGAGAATTGCTTGCTCAAACCTGGGAGGCGGAGGTTGCAGTGAGCCGACATTGTGCCACTGCACTCCAGCCTGGGCGACAGAGTGAGAAACCGTCTCAAAAAAAAAAAAAAAATTAAAAAATCTATTATAGCTTACTCCTTTTCTCACCCTTCCCTCTACTCACTTTTCTACTCCCTTCATACTGGTTCGCATCTGTATTACTCCATTAAAAAAGCTCTTCAGGCCGGGCGCGGTGGCTCACGCCTGTAATCCCAGCACTTTGGGAGGCCGAGGCGGGCGGATCACGAGGTCAGAAGATCGAGACCATCCTGGCTAACACGGTGAAACCCCGTCTCTACTAAAAATACAAAAAATTAGCTGGGTGCGGTGGCGGGCACCTGTAGTCCCAGCTACTCAGGAGGCTGAGGCAGGAGAATGGCGTGAAGCCGGGAGGCGGAGCTTGCAGTGAGCCGTGATAGCGCCACTGCACGCCCGCCTGGGTGAAAGAGCGAGACTCCGTCTCAAAAACAAACAAACAAACAAACAAACAAAAAGCTCTTCAAAAGGTTAGCAATAATCTCCACCAAATTATCAAACATTTTTCAAACTTTCTCTGGACTTTTGGCAATGCTGACTCCATCGTCCTCTTGAAACTATCCTTCCTTGGCTGCCATGACACCATACTCTTTGGCTTCCTTGTTACCTACTAGTCCTTCTCTGCCTTATTTGCAGGCTTATCATCTTTCATCAGATCATTTTATTAAAATTCCTCAGGGAATAGTCCCAAACCCTCTTCTAATTCTATACTTTCTACTCAGGCAGTTGTATCTATGGTTGCTGCTTCAGTTACCACATACATGCAGAATACTCACTTATTCTTCTTTCCACTCTAGACCTTTCCTTTAAGCTACAGATATGTGTACACAACTGCATGTCTGATAGGTACTCCTGGAGGTTTCAAAGGAACGTCAAACTCGGTATGTCCAAACCGGAACTTGAAATCGCAAATTTGTCCCCTTAGGAAATACCCTACTTCAATGAATGGCACATCATTGTATAAGCTAAAAACCCAGGGATTATCTTTGCTAACCCACTTCTTACCCCTGCTTACATATCTCTCAAACGAATTCCATTCTCTTGACTTCCACTAAGATGATCCTAATCCCAGCTACCTTCAGTTTTTGTCTGGACTACTGACTTTTTCTTTTAACTGGTTTCCATGTGTCTCTTCAACTGGCAGGAAGCTTGTTTTCAAGCTACAAATGGCAAAATCATGAAAACGCCTGCATGCCTGATTCCTATGATCCTCTCTAAGCTTGGCTCACATAACACCTTGCCCCACTCCATCTCTGGGTCCCAGACTTTTTTTTACAGGTCCTAAAGTAACACAAGCTCCCCCACAGACACAGCCTTTGTATATATTCGTCCTCTGCCTAGAACATTCCAGTTCTCCCAACCTTTCACTTCAACTCCTACTGATGCTTCAGATCAGCACTTCTCAAACTTTAATGCACACACAAATCACCTGGGGATCTTATTAAAATGCAGGGTCTGATTTGGTAGGTCTGGGGTGGGACCTGTGAATCTGGATTTCTACTAAACTCTTAGGTGATGCTCAAGCACACTGTCCATGAATCATATTTTGAGTAGCAAAGTTTTATTTTATTTTGTTTTATTTATTTATTTTTTGAGACAGAGTCTCACTCTATTGCCCAGGCTGGAGTGAAGTGGCATGATCTTGGCTCACTGCAACTCTGCCTCCTGGGTTCAAGTGATTCTCCTGCCTCAGCCTCCTGAGTAGCTGGGATTACATGCATGTACAACCATGCCTGGCTAATTTTTTTGTATTTTTAGTAGAGATGGGGTTTTGCCATTTGGCCAGGCTGGTCTTGAACTCCTGACCTCAGGTGATTCACCTGCCTCAGCCTCGCAAAGTGCTGGGATTACAGGCATGAGCCACTGTGCCCGGCCTTGAGTAGCAAGGTTTTAGATCTCAGCTCAAATACCTTTTCCAGGAAAACTCTCTCTGATCCCACACATTACTGCCTTCAATTCATACTTTCACTGTACTAACATTCATACTTTCACAGTTTTTGCTTACCGTTATAACCCACATGCATCCCCCATCCCCAGCTCCTACCTAGTGTCCGACACGTTCATTTTTGTGAAATGAATGAACAATGTCCATTGAACGTGACTTAAGCTGAGTCATTTCCCTTCATGATGCTAACACCACAAGATGCACTACCCTAAATTCAGCTCCCATGGAAATCCAGCTCATCTTTGGTTAGCACACTGAAAAATTTTCTGTTTCTTCCACTCATTTGGGGTCTGCAGAGATATGGACAGAAGAGTAATTGATTCTACATGCACTGGGCTTTCTACTCTAACAAGCTAGTTGGCCCCAGTCTCCACGTATCTACCACTGCACCAAATTCTCTTATGCCAGGTACATAAAAGTCTGAGGAAAACAGGGAAATCCTAGTTACCATGGTCAGATCCAAATATCCCACCTTGGTGTGAGGAATGGCTGGGGGAAGGATGAAGGTAGGAAGAAAAGAGACAAATTTTTAGTACATTTTCACTTTTTTCCCATTAAGAAAAAACAGCTTAAATTCTCTTAAAATTCATTTCTCCTTACACTTAGGAAAAAAATTTTCAGCCTGACCAATATGGAGAAACCCCATCTCTACTAAAAATACAGAATTAGAGGAGAGTAGGTTCCAAGATGGCCAAATAGGAACAGCTCCAGTCTACAGCTCCCAGCGTGAGCAACGCAGAAGACGGGTGACTTCTGCACTTCCAACTGAGGTACTGGGTTCATTTCACTGGGGCTTGTCGGACAGTGGGTGCAGCCCACAGAGCATGAGCCGAAGCAGGGCGGGGCATCGCCTCACCCAGGCGATGGGGTCAGGGAATTCCCTTTCCTAGCCAAGGGAAGCCATGACAGATGGTACCTGGAAAATCAGGACACTCCCACCCTAATACTGCGCTTTTCCAATGGTCTTAGCAAACAGCACACCAGGAGATTATATCCTGCACATGGCTTGGAGGGTCCCACGCCCATGGAGCCTTGCTCTCTGCTAGCACAGCAGTCTGAGATCGAACTGCAAGGCAGCAGCAAGGCTGGGGGAGGGGCGTCTGCCATTGCTGAGGCTTGAGTAGATAAACAAAGTTGCCAGGAAGCTCGAACAGGGTGGAACCCACCACAGCTCAAGGAGGCCTGCCCACCTCTGTAGACTTCACCTCTGGGGGCAGGGCATAGCTGAACAAAAGGCAGCAGAAACTTCTGCAGACTTAAACGTCCCTGTCTGACAGCTTTGAAGAGAGTAGTGGTTTTCCCAGCACAGAGTTTGAGATCTGAGAACAGACAGATTGCCTCCTCAAGTGGGTCCCTGACCCCCGAGTAGCCTAACTGGGAGGTACCTCCCAGTAGGGGCTGACTGACACCTCATATGGCCGGGTCCCCCTCTGAGACGAAGCTTCCAGAGGAAGGATCAGGGAGCAACATTTGCTGTTCTGCAATATTTGCTGTTCTGAAGCCTCTGCTGGTGATACCCAGGCAAACAGGGTCGGGAGTGGACCTCCAGCAAACTCCAACAGACCTGCAGCTGAGGGTCCTGACTGTTAGAAGGAAACCTAACAAACAGAAAGGACATCCACAACAAAACCCCATGTGTACGTCACCATCATCAAAGACCAAAGGTAGATAAAACCACAAAGATGGGGAGAAGCCAGAGCAGAAAAGCTGAAAATTCTAAAAATCAGAGTGCCTCTTCTCCTCCAAAGGAACGCAGCTCCTCGCCAGCAACGGAACAAAGCTGGATGGAGAATGACTTTGACAAGTTGAGAGAAGAAGGCTTCAGATGATCGGTAATAACAAACTTCTCTGAGCTAAAGAAAGATGTTCGAACCCATCGCAAAGAAGTTAAAAACCTTGAAAAAAGATTAGACGAATGGCTAACTAGAATAAACAGCGTTTATGACCTGATAGAGCTGAAAACCACGGCACGAGAACCATGTGACGCACGCACAAGCTTCAGTAGCTGATTCAATCAAGTGGAAGAAAGGGTATCAGTGATGAAGATCAAATGAATGAAATGAAGCGAGAAGTTTAGAGAAAAAAGAGTAAACAGAAATGAACAAAGCCTCCAAGAAATACGGGACTATGTGAAAAGACCAAATCTACGTCTGACTGGTGTACCGGAAAGTGATGGGGAGAATGGAACCAACTTGGAAAACACTCTTCAGGATATTATCCAGGAGAACTTCCCCAACCTAGCAAGGCAGGCCAACATTCAAATTCAGGAAATACAGAGAACGCCACAAAGATACTCCTTAAGAAGAACAACTCCAAGATACATAATTGTCAGATTCACCAAAGTTGAAATGAAGGAAAAAATGTTAAGGGCAGGCAGAGAGAAAGGTCAGGTTACCCACAAAGGGAAGCCCATCAGACGAACAGCAGATGTCTCGGCAGAAACTCTACAAGCCAGAAGGGAGTGGGGGCCAATATTCAACATTCTTAAAGAAAAGAATTTTCAACCCAGAATTTCATATCCAGCCAAACTAAGCTTCATAAGTGAAGGAAAAATAAAATCCTTTACAGACAAGCAATGCTGAGGGATTTTGTCACCACCAGGCCTGCCTTACAAGAGCTCCTGAAGGAAGCACTAAACATGGAAAGGAACAACCGGTACCAGCCACTGCAAAAACATGCCAAATTGTAAAGACCATTGATGCTAGGAAGGAACTGCATCAACTAATGAGCAAAATAACCAGCTAACATCATAATGACAGGATCAATTCATACATAACAATATTAACCTTCAATGTAAATGGGCTAAATGCTCCAATTAAAAGACACAGACTGGCAAATTGGATAAAGAGTCAAGACCCATCAGTGTGCTGTATTCAGGAGACCCATCTCATGTGCAGAGACACAATAGGCTCAAAATAAAGAGATGGAGGAAGATCTACCAAGAAAATGAAAAACAAAAAAAAGCAGGGGTTGCAACCTTAGTCTCTGATAAAACAGACTTTAAACCAACAAAGATCAAAAGAGACAAAGAAGGCCATTACATAATGGTCAAGGGATCAATCCAACAAGAAGAGCTAACTATCCTAAATATATATGCACCCAATGCAGGAGCACCCAGATTCATAAAGCAAGTCCTTAGAGACTTACAAAGAGACTTAGATTCCCACACAATAATAATGGGAGACTTTAACACCCCACTGTCAACATTAGACAGTTCAACAAGACAGAAAGTTAACAAGGATATCCAGGAATTGAACTCAGCTCTGCACCAAGTGGACCTAATGGACATCTATAGAACTCTCCACCCCAAATCAACAGAATATACATTTTTCTCAGCACCACATTGCACTTATTCCAAAATTGACCATATAGTTGGAAGTAAAGCACAACTCAGCAAATGTAAAAGAACAGAAATGATAACAAACTGTCTCTCAGACCACAATGCAATCAAACTAGAACTCAGGATTAAGAAACTCACTCAAAACCGCTCAACTACATGGAAACTGAACAACCTGCTCCTGAATGACTACTGGGTACATAACGAAATGAAGGCAGAAATAAAGATGTTCTTTGAAACCAATGAGAACAAAGACACAACATACCAGAATCTCTGGGACACATTCAAAGCAGTGTGTAGAGGGAAATTTATAGCACTAAATGCCCACAAGAGAAAGCAGGAAAGATCTAAAATTGACACCCTAACATCACAATTAAAAGAACTAGAGAAGCAAGAGCAAACACATTCAAAAGCTAGCAGAAGGCAAGAAATAACTAAGATCAGAGCAGAACTGAAGGAGATAGAGACACAAAAAACCCTTCAAAAAATCAATGAATCCAGGAGCTGGTTTTTTGAAAAGATCCACAAAATTGATAGACCACTAGCAAGACTAATAAAGAAGAAAAGAGAGAAGAATCAAATAGATGCAATAAAAAATGACAAAGGGGATATCACCACCAATCCCACAGAAATACAAACTACCATCAGAAAATAACATAAACACTTCTATGCAAAGAAACTAGAAAATCTAGAAGAAATGGATAAATTCCTGGACACATACATCCTCCCAAGACTAAACTAGGAAGAAGTTGAACCCCTGAATAGACCAATAACAGGCTCTGAAACTGAGGCAATAATTAAGAGCCTACCAACCAAAAAAAGTCCAGGACCAGAACGGTTTCACAGCCGAATTCTACCAGAGGTACAAAAAGGAGCTGGTACCATTCCTTCTGAAACTATTCCAATCAACAGAAAATGAGAGAATCCTCCCTAACTCATTTTATGAGGACAGCATCATCCTGATACCAAAGCCTGGCAGAGACACAACGAAAAAAGAATATTTTAGACCAATATCCCTGATGAACAGCGATGCAAAAATCCTCAATAAAATACTGGCAAACTGAATCCAGCAACACATCAAAAAGCTTATCCACCACGATCAAGTTGGCTTCATCCCTCAGATGGAAGACTGGTTCAACATATGCAAATCAATAAACGTAATCCAGCATATAAACAGAACCAAAGACAAAAACCACACAATTATCTCAATAGATGCAGAAAAGGCCTTCAACAAAATTCAACAGCACTTCCTGCTAAAAACTCTCAATAAACTACGTATTGATGGGACATATCTCAAAATAATAAGAACTATTTATGACAAACCCACAGCCAATATCATACTGAATGGGCAAAAACTGGAAGCATTCCCTTTGAAAACTGGCACAAGACAGGGATGCCCTCTCTCACCACTCCAATTGAACATAGTGTTGGAAGTTCTGGCCAGGTCAATCAGGCAGGAGAAAGAAATAAAGGGTATTCAATTAGGAAAAGAGGAAGTCAAATTGTCCCTGTTTGCAGGTGACATGATTGTATATTTAGAAAACCCCATCGTCTCAGCCCAAAATCTCCTTAAGCTGATAAGCAACTTCAGCAAAGTCTCAGGATACAAAATCAATGTGCAAAAATCACAAGCATTCCTATATACCAATAACAGACAAACAGAGAGCCAAATCATGAGTGAATTCCCATTCACAATTGCTTCAAAGAGAATAAAATACTTAGGAATCCAACTTACAAGGGGTGTGAAGGACCTCTTCAAGGAGAACTAGAAACCACTGCTCAACAAAATAAAAGAGGCCACAAATAAATGGAAGAACATTCCATGCTCACGGATAGGAAGAATCAATATTGTGAAAATGGCCATACTGCCCAAGGTAATTTATAGATTCAATGCCATTCCTATCAAGCTACCAATGACTTTCTTCACAGAATTGGAAGAAAATACTTTAAAGTTCATATGGAACCAAAAAAGAGCTCATATTGCCAAGACAATCCTAAGCCAAAAGAACAAAGCTGGAGGCATCATGCTACCTGACTTCAAACTATACTACAAGGGTACAGGAACCAAAACAGCATGGTACTGGTACCAAAATGAAGATATAGACCAATGGAACAGAACAGAGCCCTCAGAGATACTACCACACATCTACCACCATCTGATCTTTGATAAACCTGACAAAAACAAGAAATGGGGAAAGGATTCCCTATTTAATAAATGGTGCTGGGAAAACTGGCTAGCCATATGTAGAAAGCTGAAACTGGATCCCTTCCTTACACCTTATACAAAAATTAATTCAAGATGGATTAAAGACTTAAATGTTACACCTAAAACCATAAAAACCCTAGAAGAAAACCTAGGCAATACCATTCAGGACATAGGCATGGGCAAGGACTTCATGTCTAAAACACCAAAAGCAATGGCAACAAAAGCCAAAATTGACAAATGGGATCTAATTAAACTAAAAAGCTTCTGCACAGCAAAAGAAACTACCATCAGAGTGAACAGGCAACCTAAAGAATGGGAGAAAATTTTTACAATCTACCCATCTGAGAAACGGCTAATATCCAGCATCTACAAAGAACTTAAACAAATTTACAAGAAAAAAACAACCCAATCAAAAAATGGGCAAAGGATATAAACAGACACTTCTCAAAAGAAGACATTTATGCAGCCAACAGACACATGAAAAAATGCTCATCATCACTGGCTGTCAGAGAAATGGAAATCAAAACCACAATGAGATACCATCTCACACCAGTTAGAATGGCGATCATTAAAAAGTCAGGAAACAACAGGTGCTGGAGAGGATGTGGAGAAATAGGAACACTTTTACACTGTTGGTGGGACTGTAAACTAGTTCAACCATTGTGGAAGACAGTGTGGCGATTCCTCAAGGATCTAGAACTAGAAATACCATTTGACCCAGCCATCCCATTACTGGGTATATACCCAAAGGACTATAAATTGTGCTGCTATAAAGACACATGCACACATATGTTTATTGCGGCACTATTCACAATACAAAGACTTGGAACCAACCCAAATGTCCAACAACAATAGACTGGATTAAGAAAATGTGGCACATATACACTATGGAATACTATGCAGCCATAAAAAGGATGAGTTCATGTCCTTTTTAGGGACGTGGATGAAGGTGGAAACCATCATTCTCAGCAAACTATTGCAAGGACAGAAAACCAAACACCGCATGTTCTCACTCATAGGTGGGAACTGAACAATGAGAATACTTGGACACAGGGTGGGGAACATCACACACTGGGGCTTGTCGTGGGATGGGGAAGTGGGGAGGGATAGCATTAGGAGATATACCTAATGTAAATGACGAGTTAATGGGTGCAGCACACCAACATGGCACATGTACATATGTAACAAACTTAAAGTGTAATTAAAAAAAAAAAAGAAAAACATTTTGACTAAAAACCTATAGGAAAGATTATATAAATTAATTGCTGGATGAAACAGCTAGAACATGTGCATGAAATAGGTTGTTATAGGGAAACATAATGGAAGAGCTCAATTGCAAAAAACATATGACAGGCAGAAGCAATGCCACTGTTGCCGGGAGAAGTGCCTGGAAAGGGTACCAAGGCAAAAAGTAAAAATAAACAAAACATATTCACAAACATACTCATAGTTTGGGATATAAACTCCGTGACTGTCATTTTCCTTGATGAATAAATACATAAAAATAGTCATAGCACTTTGTAGGATAAATGAATAGATCTTAACACTTAACTAAATATTAATAATAAAACGTCTTAGAGAAAACTGCTGCTCTCTAAATCAAAAGTTTTCAATACATTTAAGGTGAGCAATAGTTTATTTTAAAATCAAAATTATTTTTCTCAATTGTAACTATTTGGTAAACTTATCAATATACTCAATTTAAAAAATGGTAACTTAAAAAAATAATATGACATGTTTGAAGTTTCTCATGTGATCTTTTGATACACAGTGCCCAAAATGTAAGACAGTCATATGTTTATTATATATATAATTCACGGAACATTGAAATATGTAAGTGATTTCTAGAAAAGGAAAGAACAAAGTAATTTCTAAAAGTGTACATATCTTGAATTTTTTCAGTAATTTTACTGTGTACGGAACTGTACAAAAAGTACACAAAATTTTCTAAAAGTACAAATCTGAGAGAGCATATTTCTTAGTCAAATTCTTCAAATTTCAACTGATTTTCCAAAGCATACAATTGTTTTTGCTTCAGCTTAATGATGCATTTCCAGTTCTATTTAAAATAAGGAATTATTTTAAATATTTATCATCTTGAAATTTCATTAAATTGCTATCCCCAGAATGCATAGTTCTGAATTAAGAATAATATTTACTCAGCATGGTACTTTACCTGATGCTAGATGTCATTTAAAATAAATTTATTTTATATATTATCAACCTTTGAGAATGGACCAAGTATGGCACAAATTCATTTTACGAACCTAAAGCTTCAAGCAGAAGTGTCCAAGTAAATAGCAAAATTCCTATGAAAGTTCCACCTATGGGGACAAGGTGTTAATACTGTAACACATACAGCTCTATGATATAATCAGTCCAAGAGAGGCAAACTGAGTCTGAGGAGCCCTGAACATGGAGCGACTGGACCTCCTGGAACTATAGATAACGCATGACCTGAGGAACACTAAGAGAGAGAGAGAGAGAGAAACTGGAAGACATAGCCTGGATTCTGCCTACAGCCACACAGTTTGTATCACGGACTTGGGCTTTCTTTTGAGCCTTGCCCCCAAGATTTCCAACCCAACTAACTGAGGATATTTACCAGGAAAGCATAGCTGTGTTTAAAAATAAAAGTCAGGATGGGCATGGTGGTTCATGCCTGTAATCTCAGTCCTTTGGGAGGCTGAAGCTGGAGGATGGCTTGAACTCAGGAGTTCAAGACAAACCTGGACAACATGGCGAGACCTCATCTCCATTTTAAAAAACAACAAAACAAACAAAACCCAACCAGCCAACCACACAACAGCAACAAAAGGCCAATTTAAAATAGGATTCACTTTATAAAAATCACCCTAACTAAATTTGATAAAAACTGATGTTCTCATCTATTCCAAAATAAAATAATACCTGCACACACCAGAACGGCAATAACACCATCAAAGGAAATTTCTGCATACACAGTTCCTACTGCTGAGAATATCCTTTCTCAACAGACAGACAAAAACTGAAAATTAGTGACAGGGCAGAAGTGAGAACCTGGGGAGAGCAATCAGTGAATAGTAACAAAGCCCTGCCAAGGGAGGTAAAGCCATTACATCATTATGAAAGAGAGTTAAAGACATGACAGATCAAATAATTATTCATATCAGGAAGCTATATCCACACAATTAGGCTTGAACAACCTATGATGAGCATGCCATATGGCACACCTTCTGGATAAACAGTAAGAGACAAGTGTGTCTTAAACACAATTCTTCCTGATGAGCATTCTAACACTAAGTTAAGGACTTGTGTGTGATGAAGTCTGGTGTGTGCCAAGGATTTATGTACTTGGCAAGTAGGAATAGGCAATGCTTAAATTCCCAAAGTAGCCTTCACAACCAGTTACTTACAAACATTGGTTGACTCAAGGGCCTATTTCTCCACCTGCTCCCAAACTGGAGGTCCTCAGTACTTTCCGTTTTTTTCCCCACAACCAGAGATATACATCAGGTCTCCTTGGCTACTATATTATGGTGAAAAAACATTTACTTAAGTTAAATCATACTGACCACAAGGAAGCTAAAACCAGGATTCAAAGTGGCAAGGCATCTGATCTGTGTGTCTAAACATCTGGAAGGCAGGTTGGTGCTGGTGTTCAGTCTGTCCTCTGAGGTTGTTTAATCGGAGCCTTGCTTGCCCCCATCATTTCCTTGCTGTGTGTCTGTGAGGAAGTTACCTTACCCCTTTAAGGCTAATTTGTGGAATGTGAGAATCTACATGCATGCTTAGTAGTAAAATGTTTAGTAGTATGTGAAAAATGGTGGCTATTTTTATGGGAACCACAGGCATGTAAATGAGAATGCTCCTAAATTGATTTACTGAAACACTGAGGTAACACATTTGTAAATTAGTTACATTTAACCATTCCACATGTATATATACTTTAAAACATCATGTTATACATAAGAAATACATACAATTTTATGTCAATTAAACAATAAATAAATGAAAGAAAAAAGGGGAAACAATTCCCTAAATATAATACTACATTCCTAGACAAGCAACTCAAATTGGCAAGTTGGCAATTCTCAAATTATTTTATAAATCTAGTGCAATGGCAATCGACATTCCAATGGGATGGTTTTTTGAAACAGAATAATTTTAAAATTCATATGGATAAGTAATAGGCAAGAACATCCAGGAAAGTTTTGAAGGAAAAAACTGTACATTATATAATATTTTAAAGAAATATTCTAAATCTACAATGATTAAAAAGGTATGATAATGGATCAAGAACAAACAGATAATGGATCAAGAACAAATAGATCAAGAACAGAGCAATAAGACAGAAGAGAAAGTCTCCAAAGAGACACAAGTTCATATGAATTTAATGTTTAAAGAAGGTTATTCAAATCAGTGAAACAATACAAATTGAGGGTACTTTGTTAACTATAAATCTGTACCTCATACCTAAATTAATACATATGGATTTTAAGGTTTTATCATTAAAAATAAAACCTCAAGAAGAGTAGCTAAGATGTTTGGGGATTGATGAGGGAATTTCTTTGCATAGAATCCAAACAACAACAAAAAATAGTTTTAAAAAAGGTAATGCAGCTAAACCTATCAAAAATCAGAAACTAAATTCAAGGAGAAATGAGAAAAAAGGAAAACATATTTGTAGCACATGGCAAGAGGTAAATCTTCTTCTTTTTTTTTTTTTGAGATGGAGTCTTGCACTGTCGCCTGGGCTGGAGTGCAGTGGCACGATCTTGGCTCACTGCAACCTATGCCTCTAGGGTTCAAGCAATTCTCCTGCTTTAGTTTCTCAAGTAGCTGGGATTACAGGCAGCCACCACCATGCCCAGCTAACTTTTATATTTTTAGTAGAGACAGGGTTTCGCCATGTTGGCCAGGCTGGTCTCAAACTCCTGATCTTGTGATTTGCCTGCCTCGGCCTCCCAAAGTGTTGGGATTACAGGTGTGAGCCACCGCGCCCTGCCCAAGGTCAATCTTCTTAATTAAAATTACCTAAGGATCAATTTTAAAATGAACAATAGGAAAATGGGCAAAGTACACAAATACACAATCTTCAGAAATACAAATAAACAGCAATCATGAACACGTCAAAACTCACAAGTCACTAAAAAATGAAATAAACTTGATAACATCTTTTGCTTATTAAGCTGTTTTAAGGCTTTTAACATTTTAAATAATTAAAAATAAATAGAAAACCTTTAAAGGTTTTTGTCATGTTGATGTTGTTATTACAAACAGTATTGGAATAGGCATCCTTGAATAGAAATCTTTGTATGTATATCTTATTATTTCTTTAGGATGATTTACTATGTATCACTCAGGGTTCAGCAGAAAAACAAAGTACAGCCATTATTTTAACAGAGAGAATTTAATATAGGGAACTGGTTAAACAGATTTCTAAGTCTGTAAATGCTAAAAGGGAGCTCTGAGGTAAGCAGAGATATTAAATGTATGAAACTAGCTCCCTAGAGTTGGGGAACAAAGGCAAGAGATTGGATTATTAGAAACTAGACACTCAAGAGTTCCCTTGCTGAGAGCTGAGATGGTTTGTTCACAAGGAGGAAAGAGGAATGTTCATTAAAAAGACATTCTGAAAAGGAAAAGGAAATGCCTGGCATTCCTTCTCTATCTCCCCTTCAACTTAAAACAAACAACTCTATGTGCTTCAGAAAAATAATCCAAATAGATACATAAAAAGTATGAGAATGTTGCCACCATAAATACTAAGGCCCACCAAAATTCTGTAGTGATTTGGAAAGTAGGTTAAAAAGTACATATGATATAAAATATGAGCTTTGTAGTGGCCATCATGATCCTGAGTAAAAGAAAAACAAAATACTCTAGGAATTAACACAAAAAATAGAAAATCAAATTACACTAAAAAAAATCTTCCATTGCAAAAGTCAATTGAAGTCAATTTGACATTTAAGTGATGAGTTGGTTGGTTGGTTGGCTGAAAGCAACATAATTTTATTTATGTTTCAGGATATATGATTGTGTGGCCTGACAATCTCAGAAAGTAAAAGCAAAGAAATTGAAAGACATGGAAAGAACTAGGCCGGGACCAGCACTGGGCCTTAATAACCAGTTCACTGAGATGGTAAGGTTCTAAATCTTTAGAAGCCCTAATAATATGTTTTACATAGTGTGACAGCATAAAGCAGGAAGAACTGACTGAAAAATATGTGTTAGCAGACTTGCTGACTACTTTCACCAAATAATTAACTGTCAAGTGGCAAAATAAAGGAGCAAAGCCAATAGCTTCACTATCTATGCAGCACCAAATAACTCAAAACCAGATGGGTATAGATGTGCAGAACAGTTGAAAGCTAAGTTCACTATTTTCCGTGAAGCTCCAACAGCCCCACAAATGGCATTTAGCTCCGTAGTAAACCATCCTATAGGTCAGCAGGAAGCTCATTATGGGCTGACAGTCCAGGAGACAAGCACTTTTCAGGGAGCTACGGTAGTAATTTCCTGTGTGAAAAGCTCACTGCTGTTCTTGCATTCCTCAGGGTGCATTTCTTCTCATCTCAGAGGATGTTTCTCTTCCACAGGAAGAGGAAGGAACCAGTTGTTACTGGATGTGTGGGCTGAGAGCTGTCGGGCATTTTCAGCATGCCTCGGTCTCAGCTGTGGGAACTGGGGATGCAGCTTAGATTCCCAGGCCCGGGACAGTCGGTATTACTGCAGTAGTCCGGGGCGTCACAGTTTAGAAATACAGTATCTCAGCAAGTTGGAAGGCAGAAATAATACCTGGAACACCTCCAGTTCCCAGAAACGTGCTAATTTTCTAAAGGAAATTCTAAAAAGTATTTATTGGGCTCCCAAATAGCATGATTTATAAATCCTTTTGTAAATTTTCCTTTTTTTTTTCTGTCTTCACATTTTATACGGCAGAGTTCAAGTCCCAAATCACGTTTGTCAATAGGAGTAAGGACAAGTTTCACTGCATAAAGTATTCTTTAACTAGGACTATTTTTAAAAACTTTAAGAGTATCAAATTTTTGGTAAATTCATTAATATGTTTTCTTTCCTTGTGACTTTGAAACTTAAAGAGAAAGAAGGTCAAATTAGCATATTTGTCAGTATATCTTAAAAAAATTGGGACTTAGTGATTATTACTATTTTTATTAAAAAGCATATTTTATTTGAAGGGGGGGAAAAGAAGCCTCTGGCTTTCACTGTTAATCTTTTATTACGGTGATACTGTTAGTAAACTTTACAGCTATACAGATTATCTATCTTGAAAAAAAAATAAACCACGTTCCTTTAACAAACTAAAACACTTTAGCATTTTAGTTGTTTTATTTATTTTTTTACAATCCCAAATCAATTTTTTTTAAAAGGTCAGCCATCACATTCGCAACTGTTAGCAGTTTTTATAACATATGGGTCATGAAGTACTTCAAAAGCAAGGATCCAACTAATTTGCAAATAGTCTCTTTCCAGTCTCTAATATTTTCTCTCCTTTCTCTATTTTAAAGATTGTATCTGAAAAAATATTAATGTGTTTTCTGTTTCTAAATGGCAAGAGATCTTTGAAAATGTTGTGTTTTTCCTCATTTACTTGTTAGTTATCATGTATGTTCTGTTTTTTAAATGTCTTTGACAATTTAATTACGTCACTTAATTTCGAAGGGGAATGTTTTTAAATTGTTTCTCAAACCTTATAAAAATTCCTCTTTTACTCCAATTAAGCATCTTAGGGCTTAACATTTAACTTCTTGAGTTACCGAATAAAAAATTACTGTATCCACTTGACATTTACTATCATTTGCAGTTAAGATAAAAAGTCTCTTAACTCTTAAAGGAAGATAAATTGAGGGAGGCACCAGCTAGGGAGTCCAGAGACCTGGATCCTATAAATGCCTAAGTTCATTTCCTTTCATACCCTTAGAGCAGGGACAGGAGAAACATACCGCAGAGCCACTAAACCAGCACTTAAAGATACCATACAAATGTCTGTTTCCTAATGCTTAGGAAGCAGCCACAAAGTTATAGATAAATACACCTAGTTTCAGAAGTCATATGCCCTAAACTGACAAATCAAATGCCACCATATAAACTGCTGCAAAGTTTAAAAACTTTACATTGCGTATGACCATTTTACACTTTCAAAGTTGTAAGTTTTAGTTTTAAGACACTGAAGTTCACATACACTGTGTTCTTTTAGTCTTTCCAAATCTTTGCTTATATAAGCAGTTAGGAACTGAAATAACTCTGAACTAGTTACTCAATGTTGTCTAGTAACCAGGATGAACTGTTGCCACAACATTCATGGAAATATTCTCTCTGTGTCTGCAAGTTTATTCTTTGTGTGTCCATATATTTTGTCAGCACGTTAATATTTTTCAGATAGTATACACCATATGACAATCTCCATGAAAGTGTATAACCTTTTTCTTCCTAAAAATAGGCTGATGCAAAAAAACTTTCTGAAAGAGAATCCAATGCACTTTGCTAGAAAATAAAAATCTAAATGACATTTAGGAAGGGAGTGTGCTTCCCAAAGTCATGGAAATGGCAGAGTATCTCTTGCACTGATTCAGCCGATCACTTTTCTGATCCTAGAACAGAACACAGGAAAACCACGATTCTTTTTCTCTCATCAGCCCCTCTGCCAAAATGATGCAGAGCCAGGAGATATTCTCAGCTATCCTGAGATTACTCAAGGCTACATCTTACTGTCCCTGGGGAAGGGAGATAGGGAATCCCACAGCTGACATTCACTCTGTCAGGAAATCCTCTTGGCTCTGCCTTCAAAATACACCCAGAATCCGATCGCTTATCACCACCTCCTCTGCTACCTCCCTGGGTCAAGCCAGTATTGCCTCCCGTCTGAGTATTTCATTAGCTTCCTAATTAGTCTCTTTGTCCACCCCCATCAACATCCCCAGCCTGTCCTCTTACAGCAGGCAGAGTGAACCTGTTAAGACACAAGTCACGTCATGTCCCTCCTCTGCAGGAAACCCCCCAGTGGCTCCTATGTCACCTGCAATCTGGCCTTCCATCTATCACTGCTCCCACTCTCCTGGAGAGCCCTTCCCAGATAGCCATGACTTGCTCCCTTCACTCCTTCAGCTCTTTACTCAAATGCCACCCCTGTCACGTGACTCTTGTCCTGGCCATACTAGCTAAAATGGCAGCCCTCTACCTATCTTTTCCTCTCTGCCTTCAGTGCCTTTTTCACCTTTGCATTCCCTGTACTATATACAGTTTATTTTTTAGATCTGTGAATTGCCTCTCTCTGACTGGAATGTAGAATGTAGGCTTCTCTGGAGCAGGTATTTTTGTTTCTTCACATTCTCTAAAGCCAAGAATAGTAAGTTAATAAATACTTATTCAGAGACATGTATGTGTGAGTAGGCATCCTTCCTGGATCCCACCACATCTGCTGTCAGTTGACTTAGGCAACTTAAAGATTCTAAACTAGACTGATGCATTTTTATTACCATGGTTCATATGTGTTTGATTTCTTCTGAAGCAACTACTTATACCTCGCTTTCCCTCCAGGCACGGTGGCTCATGCCTATAATCTCAGCACTTTGAGAGGCCGAGGTGGGTGGATCACTTGAGGTCAGGAGTTCGAGACCAGCTTGGCCAACATGGTGAAACCCTGTCTGTACTAAAAAATACAAAAATTAGCTGGGCATGATGGCAGGAGCCTGTAATCCGAGCTACTCAGGAAGCTGAGGCAGGAGAATCACTTGAACCCAGGAACTGGAGGCTGCAGTGAGCCGAGACAGTGCCACTGCACTTCAGCCTGGGTGACAGAGTGAGAGACCTTGTCTCAAAAAAGAAAAGAAAAAAGAAAAAAAGAACTGGTCAAAGGTTTTCTTCTAGAGAAGTCCTCTAGCTTACTGCAGCCCATTAATGATTTCCTCTGAATACTGCCCAATAACAATCTTTCACTGACATTTATGTATACTTGACATCTAATGTTCTGAAACCAACACTGATTTCTTCTTCCTCAGTTACTTCTGTCTGGCTAGGTTGTTTGTTTCTTGAGGTCAGGCAGCCAGCTTGGTATCTCCCTCAGCATCTCATGTAATGCCTTCATGTAGGACATCTTCAACTATTTTGATTGATAGAATATCAAAAGACTGTAGACCCTTGGATTTTTTTCTATAACATAACTGCATGTTTATTGTAAATTAATTTGACTTGAAAGAAATAATATCCCTACTTCTAAAGAAAGGCATACACATATTCTGCATTATGTTCATATTATGCACAGTTGCCAGGATGAAGATGAGAACACAGTGTCAACTCTCTGAGAAGAGTCCAGTATTTTGATAATCAAAGGAACAACAGCAAGATTACCAACTTCATTTTGTTCATTTATAAGACAAACAATAAAACTAATACATCAGAATTTAAGAATTTTCCTAAAGATAAAAAAAGTAATAACCCTAGAGTCTTTTAAGATAAATTTTATTTACAGTTAGTTTAAAACTCTTTTTTGTTGTTGTTGTTGTTGTTGTTGTTGTTGTTGTTGTTGAGATGGATGGAGTCTCCCAGGCTGGAGTGCAGTAGCACAATCTCGGCTCACTGCAACCTCCACCTCCTGGGTTCAAGCAGTTCTCCTGCCTCAGCCTCCCAAGTAGCTGGAATTATAAGCGCACACCACCACGCCCGGCTAATTTTTGTAGTTTTAGTAGAGGAGGGGTTTTGTCACATTGGCCAGGCTAGTCCGGAACCCCTGACCTCAGGTGATCCACCCGCCTTGGCCTTCCAAAGTGCTAGGATTACAGGTGTGAGCCACTGTGCCCAACCAGTTTAAAACTCTTTATATTAGGATACAGGAAACAAATTCGTATCTTGTTTGTCTTTTTAGAAGAGAGGAGTGGGACATCCCGTGTAGCCACACCACATGTCAATGCTAATGATAAATGCCCTACCATAATTTTGATGATAGAATCCTGGTCTAGTTCTAACTACAACATGAAAACATTAAAAGACTCAAATGGAATCTTGAACTAAATAATCTTTAGAAAATTAGTATATAAGTGACAATATAAAAAGAATAAAGAGTAAGGAATTTGAGAACAATATTTTAAAACTATGTTTATATGGCCACCAGTATATTCCTTTACAGAAACTTTTTTTTTTAACAATAAAGCTTTAAAAATAGAGATTAGTAACAGCTTATTTTGATCCACAATATTGTATCAAATTTCCTGCTTGGCATTAGAGACACAAGTGCAAGCCACAAAGATACCACCTGTTAAAGACTGTATGCCACAATTTCTTCTCTGTAGTGAGAAGACATCAGAGCACAGATATCAGTACACTTCGATCTACAAATCTTCCTGAATATAATATTAAATCAAGTGAAAGTAGAAATAGAGGCCAACTATTTCTTACACCATAACAAACTTCTTTTATGCTACTAAGAAATTTTACAAATTAAGGTTTAAAGAGACATCTTTTTTATGTCCTACCTTGATGAAATGAATTTTTAAGGAAATGTCCAATCTACAAAAACCAAACAAATCAACCCTCAAAAGAAACAGTAACTACAATAACAATAACAAAAATTACCTTTAAACACTACTTTTTTTGGCTTCCAGTATTTCTCCAGGTTTTTAAATTACAATCACATGCAAAGTACACACAAAAATATTGAATGCAATTGTGCTTCATGCCAAAGCAGAAATAAATCCCCTTTACAATTATGTCTGATTTGTTGTGCAGAAGCAAAAGAGAAACTGTCAGTGTAGGGAGGAGACTATAATTAAGGCTTATTTACCACTATATTAATGGAAAGGTAAATAGTTGAAAAAGTAATTTTATTTTAGTTTTCTAACCAATTATCTATCATTGAACTAAAAGAAAGAGATACACATTGAAAATTTAAAGAAAAGCCCTTTGGAGATATTCTTTTAAAAAGTCTAACTACTTTATGAGAATCTATGTCTTCAGAATGCACTATTAAAATAAAGTCCTTATACCTTGCTTGGCAGCAAGCAGCTATGTCCCAGATTACAATCTACCTAGATGGGAGTTTATTAGCATAATCTCAAACCAATTTATAGCAAACAAGATTTTGTTTTCCTGTGTTTTGTTTGTTTGTTTGTTTGCTGGATTTTTATATACTAGTGGAGTCTTCCTTTTAATGCGTATATATTGGGTGAAACCATGTGAAGTCATTGATATTAGACTGTTTTTGCCTACAAAATGACAATTTCATATAATTCAACCTAATATTATCCTTTGTGGATAATAATTTTACTCTTCCATTTTATTATTCTGTTTTGTAGCACAGCTATTAAATGTCATGTGTTTGTTATACAGAACTGTCTTCTCAAAGTCCCACATACCCCATATATTCCTCGAGTTATGGTCCTGTATTATAGATGTATACTACAACAGACACATATGATCTACAATAGATATGTACAATCTATACTACAAGGGACATCCTGCTGTCCCTTGCTAAGAGGCAGTTATGCCCACCTCAATAGCACTGTCTGTCAAAACTGTCTGGATTCCTCACGTAATGAGGCTTTGCAAAACTTGAAGGGTACTGGGAGAGACAGTGAGTCTCAAAAGGTGGACCAAAGATTTTTAATGATCTATGATATTTTCTAGGCCAGAAATGTGCAATTTTAGTCTACTGACTACCTCACAAGGAGGCAGCACATCTCATAAACCTCCTGTTTGCTCCTTCTCGCTACAGGGGGAAAACCTAACTCATCAGATTTTGTAAATTTCTACAACATGCATTTGGAGTAATTCATTGAACATAAACGTACTGAACACCTACTATAAGCCAAGCACTGTGGCAAGTTGTAGACATCCCATTAATTTTTAATTTCTTAAATTATTAATGCAGCAATGCTGCTAGAGTTATAAACATGAATACTGTAAGAAACAAGAACACAGATCGATTTGAAGTCCTAGTGGTCACCAGTGATTCTTGGAATTCCCTTTAACCATCAGCTCATTGGTTACCCTCACTTCGTTTTTGTCACTGAAACTCCTAATGAGAGATCTAGGAGGCTTCTCTGCTATGGGATTAACACTGAAAGGACCCTTGAATAATTAGAATGGTTTCTGGTACAAGATAGACTCAAAATGGACTAGTCCTCTGTAGAATTCCTCTACAATAAATACTATTCTTGAGATCTATTAGAGAATTTGTAATGTCATAATGTCAGGGTTTTATTTTGGCTACAAATTAAAAATGTACCCAAAATATTTAACTAAACTGACATCATAGCAGTAGTGTCGTCAAAGACCACGCTGTTCTTCCCATTTGTTCTTACGATTAGTTTTGCACTGACTAGCAGGATCAACTGTGGCAGTGATTTGCCTTGGAAAGAATTAGCAGAATCCTAAATGGAAAGGCTAAAATTCTTAATCTTTGAAAATTTTGAAAACACTGAATAAATAAATTTTATATATGTAATTTCTATCAACAAAATTGTAAGTATTAGAAATACTTCTTAATTTATGGATAATCCATCAAAAGAGATTAACCAACGGCAGTGCTGTTTTTCTTACAGCTTCTAATGAGAAGACTAGAAGTAAGTTTAGCACCTCTGAAGGACAAATAACACAATAGGGAATCTGCTCTGCAACAGCATGTGAAATGTTACCTGGGTGGCATCTTAATACGTGAGACAGTGGGTATGGATTAGACTGAGCTCAGGGACCTCAAAGTAAAAGCTTTCCTGGGAAGGGGAACATCACACACCAGGGCCTGTTGTGGGGTGGGGTGGCAGGGGGAGGGATAGCATTAGGAGATATACCTAATGTTAAATGACGAGTTAATGGGTGCAGCACACCAACATGGCACATGTATACATATGTAACTAACCTGCACGTTGTGCACATGTACCCTAAAACTTAAAGTATAAAAAAAAAAAAAAAAAAAAGCTTTCCTGGAAATTGTTGCTGCTCCCCCCTTGTGGTAAACTATTTAGATGCATTGTAAATATGACTATAAAGTTTTTCCTATACTAAAATGTTAGGCTACATAGGCCACGTTTTATCTCCTCCCCCAACATTTTTTAAAGGAAAATGGATTATGCCAAATGATTAAATGCCACTTAAGTGTCAAAAAAAAAAAAAAAAACCCGACTTACTGTGGTAGAATCAAAAGAAAGGATATCCATAACAGGGGGAGTAGAGATCTGCAAATCGATTACCTCAAGCTTTGGATTAATCTGTGTATATACATAAAAAAAAATTATGAGATTTTCATACCATAAGAAACCAAATACTATTTGTAAAAACCTGGAGGGCATTTTCTAATATATTCTAAAATTAAAATATATTGGTATATTCATTACTATGGATAAAAAAAATTTTAAGCTAAATGTTAGCCTACCAATTCTATCAACGTATAAGAAAAGATCATTTTGGTAAGGTTGAATTCACCCCAGAAATAAAAGGTTTTCACTTTAGAAAATCAATGTAATTTACCTAAAAAGGAATATTAAAAATAAAATAAAATGACCCACCTCAAAAGATGAAGAAAAAAATCCTAGCCAGTTCAGTAAGAAAAGGAAATAAAAGGTATTAAGATAACAATTAGAAAGAAATAATATTCTCATTCATATATAATGTTATCTAGAATTTATTGCTAAATCATTAGAATAGTCAGAGTTTAAGTTAGTCCCAAAATCAATATATGAAATCAACTGCATTTCTGCATTCTAGCACACAGTTAGAAAATGCAAAATTTTAAAGGACACCATTTACAATATCAAAGAAGTTTAAAAATACATCAGAATAAACATACAAAAAAGAGTAAGACCTTATGGAAAAGAATAAAACTTATGTTAACATTAAAAAAGGCTCAAATAAGTAGAAACTGTATCATAAATAACTCAAAAACAGAGTGCTGTATATGGAAAATAAATATATTCAGAATATTCGTAATGAGAAAAGTGAAATTAAAGCAAAATACCACTTAATACCTATTAGACTGCAAAAACTAGAAAGCTCAATGACGCCAACACTGTTTGTAGCAGCATTGTTTGTAATGGCCAAAAAACTATTGGAAGTACCCTAAGTGTCTATCAACAGTTAAACAGGCTGTAAGAATTACTACAGTGACAAATTCACTGGAATGCAATACAGCAGTGAAAACAATTTATGAATGCATGAATTCAGAATTCATATGTATGAATCTCAGGACTTTAATGTTAAATTAAAAAGTAAGTTACGGAAAATATACATTCAATATAATTCCATTTACATAAAGTTCAAACTCATTCAAAATTAAACAATAATTATAGATTCAAATATATAAAGTTACAAAGAAAAGCAACAGAATGATTACCTAGAGTGGTGACTAACTTTGAGGGAGGCTATTTCAGAATTTGAAAAGACATAAAAATTAAAAATAAAATTGAAACATTATGAATACAAAGAAGTAAACAAAGAGCAACAAAGATAGCAGAGTTTTATATCAAATGAATGGTACCAATAAGTGTACTAACGAACCTTAAAGAAGAAACTATTGACTGAGCGCTTATCAGGAGTGTCCAATCTTTGGCTTTCCCTGGGCCACATTGGAAGAATTGTCTTGGGCCACACATAAAATACACTAACATTAATGATAGCTGATGAGCTAAAAAAAAAAAAATTGCAAAAATATCTCATAATGTTTTAAGACAGTTTACGAATTTGTGTTGGGCTGGATTCAAAGCCAGCATGTGACCTGTGGGCTGGACAAGCTTGGCTTAGACAGTGAGAAAGACTTCCTATGGAGGAAACACGGCATATGACGGCTCTTTAATAAAAGATCTAGAAAACAAAAACAGAGAGGGAGATGAGTAAAAGAGCATTCTTCATGGCATAGTGGAAGAATGCTGACATACTTTCACACAGGGTTAGAAAGAAGATTGTCAAGGGTCAAATTGTGAAGGGTGAAGGAATTTGGGAAGGCACAGAAAGTTGGAAGCTACAATGTGCTGAATTGAAAGAGTAATCTGACAGACACATAAAGTGTCATGAATACATTAGGGACGGCAGTGAGGACACTACAGCGTTAATCCAGGTCTGTAGTGATGAAGACTTGGCCAGTGATAAGAGGAGTGGAATAATTTTTAAAGCACTTACCATGCTTGATGGGTATGGCTGTAGTTTTAGAAACAGTAAAATCATTTTATAATTATCCAGCCAGTGTGTTAAAGGGGAGATATAACTGCAATGCTATAGTAAAGAAGGAATAAAGCTGTGCATGGTAAGGATGAGGGGCAATCAGCTCAGCTAGCCAAAACCGTTATCTCTTCCTGGCTGTCCCATAAAGCAGAAATCAAACACAGCCTCCTGCCATTAACTCTAAGTCCAGAGTTGAGGTAAAGAACAGAAATGTGAGAGTGACTTGTTTTCCTTTTAATCTTAAGACTCCCTGTCCAGAGACTGCTTGCATACGTTTTATTCTCTTTTATCTACTGCCACCTAGTGTAGACAGAAAATTATTTACCTAGAAAATACAATCTAGTTGCACCATCTGAAATTGAAACTGCTCAAGAAATCTAAATCACGTAGAGTCAGCACCTGTCATTAAAAAAAATCCTTGACCTACAAGTTGGGAAACAAGTCCTGATGTAATTAACAGTATTTAACTGCGTAAGTTGCTGCCACATAAGTTAAATAGAGCTGGAAGTTCTTACTAAGTAACATTTATAGTCCTCTCCATAAAGAAAATATGCTGAGGGGGTGATATGGTTAAATTCTTTGCTAGCTAACTCTCAGGAATACTAACAGTACCTTGTAGCTCCTGATATTTATTAAAGGGAAGAATATGTTAATAATTAGAGCTGCCTTGAAATGAAGTGGGCTGCCTATGAGAGGCCAAGTTCTCCATGGCTGAACAAGGGTATATAACTGGGACTAATGAATGAGGTAAAGGTTAGCCTGTATGACCTCAAAGGTACCATCCCACATCCCCCATTGAGGTTCTCTGTGTCCATGATACTGAGGAGTCCACGAACATAAAACCTCTACTAATAAATTCCATAAGCCTTCACTAGACTACAAGCTTCTAAAGAGCAAGGAGTATGCCCATCTTGTTCACTGCTGCATACTCTAAAGCTAGTACAACGTCCAGCACACAGATACTTTAATATCTGTTAACAGGATAAAATGTAATTTTGTTTATATTGAAGCATTACATCAAAGTGGTTAAAAACACAGAATGGAACCAGAGTGCCTGGGTTGAAATTCTACTGCTGCCACTTACTAACTTTAAGATTTAACTAACATAGACCTCAATTTCTCATGGGATAATAGTGGTACTTATTTCACCGAGATTTTAGGAATATTAACTTAATTTGTATAAAACACTTAGAACAGTCTTGTATAACTGTTAGACTTTATCATCATGTAATGAACATTTACTGAGGCCTGAAACAGTATAAACATATACCCCAGTTAGAAGTAGAATACAAAATGGATAGACAAGTGGTCATTTTAAAAAATCATAAATGGTGATGTTTTCAACCTTATTAGAAGATTGAGATAAAAACCCAATCTCAGACTTAAAAACTTAAATTGATCACTTGTACTTTTCAACAATGAATCATGGTCAGACTATCACAAAATATTATTATATAAATATTTGGTTAAGGTAAAGGACATTTTCCTTCCTGCTAAATATCATACAGAATTTCATATGCAATTTATATGTTAAGGTAATCTAAAATGGCCATAAAAAACTGAAAGCCATCAGAACATTATTTTATTAAAAAAATCTTTTTAACCAATTATAATCCCTGCTTACAATATTCTGCAATTCTCCTAGAATAACTATTTTGATGCTTTACTGTCATTAAGAGCTATCGCCATCGCTTAGAGTGGCTCTACTGTCTTCTCATCAAAATGTGTAAGAAAGAAGGGAACTGCTGCTCCGGAGAAAAATATCACACACACACACACACTGAAGGAAAGTCTGGTTTTGTCTAGGGGCAGGACAATGCAATCCAACTCATGACAGTCTGAAGAAGATAAAGTCAGCATGAACTAGTGATGTGCTATAGCACAACATGGGTAGGGTCAAGATACCTTGTGTAAAAACTGGGCTTCTTTCCCATCAAAAAAAAGAGAGAGAGGTACTGTTCTCATGTTTTTAATTAAGATGGAGTGCCTAGGCCAGGAGTACTACGAAGGATCTGTAGTTAGATAAGTAGGAAGAACCCGGGAGGGGGCTATTTCACATAGAGAGAATTTGATATTTCATGCCTTCTTTCATGTGGCCTCCTTCTCTCATTTATTTTAAAAGTAATATGGCTATCACCCCCTCTATCCATGTAGGAATTAGTAATTTATACATTTAGTCAGCTGGTACCCAAGATCTAAGACTCTGCAGGATTCCCCACCTTCAAACAAGTGAAGCGCTTAAGGCTAGCAAAGGGGTGGCTTTTGCAAAAGGCCAAACTATTTTACTCAGCAGATTGAGATTATGCAATTCAGATGAGTCTCATAGAAAACATAATACAAATCATAAAAATGTTATCTCGTTTCAAACTCAGAAATAAAACACTCATGGTCACTGCAAACAGAGAAAGAAAAATTCATCAGTTCACTTAGATACCATTTATTCTACATATTTTAATAAGATGTTTATTTTCCTTAAATCCTAATACTGACCTCAAAAAAAGATTTCTTAGTTTTAAAATATTTCCCAAGTAACTGCATGTAAATTTGCCTAAAGCTTTGAAAAAAACTTAATCTACTGAATTTAGTATTTCAAAGTAAAGTTTACTAATCATAAATGAACACAGCACAACTTCTATTCTGACTATTCCATTCTGTGTGAAAGTTTTGAACTAAGTAGTCTTTGGCTTAGTGAGGGATCCATATTTATTAATTTGAAGTAGAGTCTTTAAAACACAATTTGGTACTTAACAATTATTTATTCATAATACTAAAGTTGTTCCCTGTCTAGAAAATTTCATAACCTTGACTTTTTTATAAGAGTTTTTTTTTTTTTTTTTTTTTTGAGACGGAGTCTTGCCCTGTTGCCCAGGCTGGAGTGCACTGACATGATCTCGGCTCACTACAACCTCCGCCTCCCAGGTTCAAGCGATTCTACTGCCTCAGCCTCCTGAGTAGCTGGGATTATAGGCACGCGCCACCACACCCAGCAAATTTTTGTATTTTTAGTAGAGACGGGATTTCACCATGTTGGTCAGGCTAGTCTCGAACTCCTGACATCATTAGCCGCCCACCTCGGCCTTCCAAAGTGCTGGGATTACAAACATGAGCCACCGCACCTGGCCCAAGAGATTTTTTCAGGAAAAAAAAAAAAAAAAGAAACAATTACAACAATTGGTTGTTCATATACAGAATCCTATCACTCTTCTGGCATTTTATATCACAGGGCCTCAAAGTGTTTTACAAAAGCAAGTCATGTTTTATACTTAATTTAAGCAGCCATGCATGTTTACAGATAATTTAAACTGTGTACACAGAGGCTGACTACCTTAAGGTCACAAAAAAAAAATTCAGTCACAAGGCTCAGCATTTTGTAGAGTGCAATTGAACTCTAATTCCACGATGAAGAAAAGTCAGTGTTTAATAGAATTTTTAGGGGTATACGTGAAAAATTTGTTTGAGAGTGGCTTTGCATGGCCTGGGTCAGCCTGACCCAGCAACACAAAGCAGCCCAGCTGGTTTAATGGCTTTTTGGCTATACCATAAGAGCAGAGCCACTCAGGCAACTCCTTGACATTTTAAAGAAAGCCTAGCACTCTGAAATGAACTAGGGCTGACAGTAAATCAGAGAAAAAATGGCTTGAGTCTCTGTGCTGAGGTGAGTGTGGAGTCATGGAAATAGCACCTAATTCACGAGGAAAGCAGTCTCGGGATCAGCCTGCAGTTCTGCCACCCAACACCCTGGAAAGTGGCCAAATGGATATTTCCCTCCTGATCAATCTTGGCCAAACCACAAGATGACAGAATAAAAATACCAAGAGTTAATAAAACCAACTTGGATAATACAAGAAAAAAATACTCAAGTTAAATTAAAATATATTTCACATGTATTTTATATGAATTTATATAATCACAGGGATAAGAAATATAACTAGAAACAGAAGCAAAAAATGGGAAAACCAAATTAGATTACTTTTTTCTTTTAAATAAAAGAAAAATGATAATACAATAAGTAGTACAAAGAAGTGGTAACATGATTAATACTTTAGAAGAACTGAAAAGATTGTCAGAAGTTGGAAAAGACAAAGATTATAGCCAAGAACTGAAAGTCAACACTACCAGGGAAAAGCAAAGGCAGAAATCCCAAGATATGGCTGGATTAAACAAAATCTAGAAAATAGTTTAAAAAACAAAGAACAAAAACATATACTTAGATGCACAACTGGAGACTAGCAGAAGTGCCTGAGATAACAGCAAAGACCAAGACTAAGGAAAACAAAATGAAAGAAGTGATGTGGCTGAGGGTACATGCACAGCATGAACAGTGAATGCGGCTACCGTGCATTGCTGCTCAGGAATACATCTCAAGAACTCAAAATACCTAACTCTAAAAGCAAAGAGACTGCCAGTGATAAAAATTCAGATGAACAGGTAATTTCTGAAGTCAGCTCTTAGAAGAGAAACAGCTGAAGAAGAATAATGCAAAATAAGAATAGGCTAACATCAGCTAAGCATCTAGCAAAGATAAATCTCTCTTTGAAGACAAAAGAATGCTTAAATCATAACACTTAAATTCATAGGACCTAAGGGAATTTGTCAGCAAAAACCTACAGCTAAATAGATAACTATATATGCAAAATATATTCAGGCAATAACATTGTCTTAATTATTAGATTTAATCACTAACTCTCTTCTTTTACCTGTCCATAAGATTTTTTTTTGCTGTAAAAGAGTTTTAAGCTACCTATTTCAATAACCATTATAAAAATTCTTGCCCTCCAGCCTTATTCTCATGACAGCCATCACATGACCTCCCTAAACACACCTAAAATATAAAGCTAGTTTAGACTTCACAGTCACCAGAGGCCTTAGATTTAATTTCTCATTTCCTATTACTATCAACACTATTTTTTAGTTTTACTTCTGGGCCTTCAAGAAACAAATATAAAACTTTATTACACACTATAGTGAAAACAACTGTTTATCAAAGTGCTGCTGTTTTAAGGCAGCACTAGGTTTTATATATAATTCAGTAATTTCAAACACCTCCTTCAGCAAAAGCCTCAAAATGTACACAAAATGTAGGACAAATATGAACAAAATACTCACTTCTACAGTCTCAACTTTTTCCTCATGGGGATGTGGTGTTCTTGGGTAGATATCAAGAAGATGTGGTGGTGAATCAAAATGTAATCTTTTGAGATTTCTTTTGGTAAGACCTTTACAATGCAATTCATCAAAGTTAGTCCTCCATAATAAGACCTATGAAAAAAGTCAATGATGTTGGCAGTTATTGACTTGCATGTACAAGCAATAGAGCTGATTTTAAAACCCACAATATACAGAATTGTCTCCCAAAGTAGGAAGGGTAGATATATATTTCAACTATGTTACTATTTCTCAATATCTTTTTTTAAGGTGTGGTTGAGGGAGAGATTTAACATTTTGAATTGCCTTCATGTCTGGTTTAAAATTCATATTAAGAAAATATCTGGTTATCTTAAAATCCTCTTTTTTTTTGGTCAAAGCCCAAAACCATGTTTTGGACTGGTCATTCACTTTATTCAATAAATCTGGCCATGAATGACTTTTGGTCATTTCAGATAAATGCAGATTTGGTATATAAATGATTTATATTTACCATCCTCAAGAAGCTTAAGATAAGGCAATGATTCAAGCAAAAGTGCTATATAATTACTGAAAGTGGACATATAGTGTCAGTTACATGTATAGTTAAGTGTAAAATGAGCAAAAGAAAATAACTATTTGAGTTCCCAAAATTTAGAACTGGCTCTGTTTCAGCTATGAGATAGCAGACTTCATGGTACTAATTAAAATATAAACTCATTGACAAACATCTTAACATACACAAACTAGCTGGTTGTAAAACTCTTAGCTGAGGTCAAGGATTCCTTTACCTTAACCAAATCAAAGAGGAGCTGAAAGATTTACAAACCTGTGTGTCTGCACCTCCTGATGCAAATAGCTCTCCACCTTTTGAAAATGAAACAGTAAAGACAGGTCCCTGAGAAATAAAGGGAAATAAAGAAAAAAAGTACTTGGTAATGCTTTCTCATGGCCAAGAAGACTATGGATATCAATTTCTCATCCTAATTTATGCATACTACTCATGCAATAAGTCTAATAAAACACATCAGTTGCTAGCAACTAATGCTGGCAGAGTGAAGATAATCAAAGAATCAACCCAATCATATTAAAACACAAATAAATGATACTAAAAAAATACTAAAAATTAATTAAAAAAATAACTTTTTTCTCCTTTCAAGAAAAGCTTTTACATATGTAAGTTCATAAGAATTTCTGTTAAGATTTTCTGGCTTTGGACTCTGTATTCAACCAATCACTAGCAGAAACTGAATGATAAATATGTAGGTAATGGGAATGAGGCTATTTACATGAAGTCCATTTCCTGACCAATGGGCTTCACTGAGTTCCCCCTTCATGTAGGCAACCATAAACCACTAAAAGTTTAAAGAGCAGAACACAGATAGGAGGAGAGCTGTGAATGATTAAAATCAGTATCACAATTCTGAGAAAGATGAATTGGAGTAAGATGCTTGGTTGGAGGCCAGTTAGGAAGTTCCTGTAATTATCTAGGTGAGAGGTAATGAAAACCTGAAATTGAGCAGTTACTGCGGAGTTGGACAAGACTGTGCTTGGCACAGTCACAAGATGGATAGCCTCTAGGTCAATTTTTCAGTCCAGATAAGAGTAAGTATTTCTTATCTCAAAAATATTAATATATACCATATGTTTTTAATATGTCCTTAATCTGTACAAGAAAAGTTTTAGGGAAAAACATCTTGTATTTTCCCAAGTAGACTATCCCACAGATTTAGTTTATAATATTAATAGCTTCATAAACACCTTTACTTCCAGACTAAAATTCCATCTTCATGTAGTGTTTTCCTACTGAAAGACTGTGTTTATCTTTTT
Source organism: Homo sapiens (assembly GCF_000001405.40). Taxonomy (NCBI): domain Eukaryota; kingdom Metazoa; phylum Chordata; class Mammalia; order Primates; family Hominidae; genus Homo; species Homo sapiens. Next base: position 89,468,618 of record NC_000012.12, read on the forward strand.
TCCCTATTATTTTGTACTTTTTTCATGGATATTTCAATCCTTGGCCACTTTTATTTGTTATGTTTATTCAGCCTAAATCCATGGATATGCATATATTTAAGCTGGTTAGTATTTATTTCTGCTTTACCCTAACACCACTGCAGAATAAATGATAACGCAAAGCAGGAAGCCAGGCAGAACCTGTGAAAAAGAAACTCTTCTCTTCTAGACCACAAGGCTCATTCTATTTCTAGATATAAACAGCTTATACTTGTTAAAAGGAAGTACCTCAAAAAAAAAAAGAGGATGCATTCTAAAAAATTCAGAGAAGTTTGAATATTGTCTGGAAGAAAAGACTAGTTTATATACTCAAAAAAATTTATCTAGGCTGGGCACAGTGGCTTACACTTGTAATCCCAGCACTTTGGGAGGCCAAGGCAGGCAGATTACCTGAGGTCAGGAGTTCAAAACAAGCCTGGCCAACATGGTGAAACCTTGTCTCTTCTAAACAAACAAACAAACAAAAAATTAGCTGGGCGTGGTGGTGCGCCTGTACAGAAGGCTGAGGTAGGAGAATCACTTGAACCCAGGAGGCAGAGGTTACAGTGAGCCGAGATTGTGCCACTGCACTCCAGCCTGGGTGACAGACTAAGAATCCATCTCAAAAATAAAGAAATAATAAATTTAAAAAATTGATCTATATGCCAGGGAGGGATCTTTGAACAGGCTCAATAAAAGGCACCCCTCTTACCTACTTGGTTCTAAACCAATTGAGAAATAAGACAAAGGAATACAGCACATAAGAATCGAAATATCACCTTTCTTTCTAATAAATGCTTGTAAAAAGAGAATGTGGCTTTTATGTGTAACACAAATAGGCTTTCTAGAACGGATGCCCAGAATGAGTCACAGGCAACACTAGACAAGGGCAGGTCTCCCCACAAGGAATATCAGAGAAAAACAGTGAAGAATGGCTACTCCCAAAGGCAGGAGAGTAGAAGGTGTTAGGCTGTGCTTACCCAATTTCTCCTAAACCCACCAACAAATTAGCAGAAGGAGTGAGGGAGAGGTGTGAGAGGCTGGGTGTCAGGGCTAAGCGGGACAGCCTCCACATGAAGGAAGGATCTGAAGTATGGAATCTACTTACCCATCACCATTTACCCAGTCAATCTATACAACATACTGATAAAGACAGCAGGAGAAGATTCATTTAATGGCCATTGAAAGATACACATTGATTTTGATAAGAATTACAACAAATAATATTTCTTTTTTTCTTCCATTTTTTTTTTTTGACAGTCTTGCTCTGTTGCCGGGCTGGAGTGCAGTGGTGCAATCTCAGCTCACTGCAGCCTCCCCCTCCTGGGTTCAAGTGATGCCCCTGCCTTAGCCTCCCAACCAAGTAGCTTGGATTACAGGCATGTGCCACCACACCTGGCTAATTTTTTGTATTTTAGTAGAAATGGGGTTTCATCATGTTGGCCAAGATGGTCTCGATCTCCTGACCTCAGGTGATCTGCCCGCCTCAGCCTCCCAAAGTGTTGGGATTACAGGCGTGAGCCACCACGCCCAGCCACAAATAATATTTCTAAGAGTTGCTTCCAGAGGATAAAAACAGCCTTGGAAGTAAAAAAATTTTATGATAGCAGCAATGTGTGCTATGTCTGGAAAAACAATAAAGGGACATAAAAATGGATCAGAAATTTAAAATATATATTATTTTATATTTTTATATATAAAAAGCAAGAATCTGAGTGTTAATACCGTATGTCCTTGAAGTGTATAGATGAGCCTTCCTTCTAAGAGGTCCAGAATCTTAAGGGTACCATCTGAAGAAGCTGTGATGAGATAGTTACCCGAAGGATGGAATGATATGCAATTAACTCCACCGCTGTGAACTGATTTGTAGAAAATAAAAGCAAAAAGTTCAGAGAACAATTCTTACTTTTGAAGATACCCCAGTGCCTTATTAGCAATAGGTTGTAAACAAGAGCACTGTTTCCACAACAACAAAACTCTATATGGCTCACTAAAACGAGTATTTTGGCATCACATAGCTCTAAGCTTCCAGTTAGAGAGCCAGAATAACTTTAAAAATGAGACTGTGTCACGGAAAGGTAATCTTATTGACCACATTACTATAAATTCTTTGGATATATTGCCAATAAAACTGACAGTTAATCATCACCAGCTCAGATAGGGTATATAACCTAGTCTCAAATTAAAGGTAATAACTAATTAGTGGCTTGGGATTAAAGGGAGAAAAGTGTGGAGACAGTTTGAAACGGGCACAGTCCTGCCATCATGCTTGAGACTTTGTCTCCAGACAGTATCCTTCCAACAGGAGGCAGTATAACACAATGATCAAAAGTTAATTTTTCTATGCACTGTGTAAGCAGGAAGACCTAAGTAGTTCTATTGATTCTTTGAGCAAGTTAATTACCCTATTTAAATCTCAATTTCCTTATCTTAAAAATGTGAGTAATAATGATACCTCCTAGGAATATTGTTTAGATTTGGCACAGTGTCTGCTACATAGTAAACACTGGAAAAGCTACTATGTTTAATAATCATTTCGATTTAATATAAATCCAATATAAACCAAGAAAATTCACTTCTCTTTTAGTTCAATATCAATACATAGGCATAGTAGGTAGTTGTTTTCTACCAGTTATAACACCTATTTGTGCTCACGTAACTCCCTGTGATTCAGAATTCAGTCATTTCTATCCTGACTTCTCACACAATGCTGATAACCAGAATTTGAAAATCTCATAGCAACTTCTTTTTTTTTCTTTAAACCAGCCCTCACATCATTTTTAAGGTCTCTTCACTTCCTGCTGTCCTTGAGCTTCTGAGACCCTGCTGTTGATGGGAGCTAATTATACTATTCTCTAGCCTGTTCCAAGGCAGCCCATGACCCCAAGTAAGACAGCCAAACCACACCAACAAGGAGAATCAGTCCTTCCAAAAGGAGTCCATTCGGTAACTGAATTTTTTGTTAGGAAAATTGTTACCTTGGTAATGCTGTAGTAATTTGTTCACTCTTACATCCCAGACTTTCACAGTTTGATCAGAACCTGCTGAAGCTATGCATGTACCACTAGGGTTAAAGTCCACAAAATTTGCAAATCTAGGAGGAAAGAATAAGATGACCTAATATTTCAATTTCTTTTTTTTTTTTTTTTGAGACGGAATCTCACTCTTGTCACCCAGGCTGGAGTGCAGTGGCGCAATGTCAGCTCACCGCAACCTCCGCCTCCTGGGTTCAAGTGATTCTTCCACCTCAGCCTCCCGAGTAGCTGGAATTACAGGCACATATCACCATGCCCAGGTAATTTTTGTATTTTTAGTGGAGACAGGGTTTCACTATGTTGGTCAGGCTGGTCTCAAACTCCTGACCTCAGGTGATCCGCCTGCCTCAGCCTCCCGAAGTGCTGGCATTACAGGCGTGAGCCACTGCACCCGGCCATATTTCAATTTCTTTACTCATTTATTTATTTAAATTGTTATAATCAAACGTCTCCTTAGAAAACTAACCCACATAAATGCACAAAGAAAGTGTACTTACCCAACGGAATCTGAGAAGTTATTAACACATTGCTTATTTGTGGTATCCCAAATTTTAATAGTTTTATCCTCACTACATGACACAATTAGTCTTCCATCGGGTGAAAATCTAGAAAGAAGAAGAAAGAAGATGTTTTATGTGAAAGGCTCTGGAGAGTCACCACCTCACCTCTACACCACAAATAAACCAGGCTGTAAATATTAAATACCAGAGACCACTGTTACCATCCCATGCAGTAAAGTCATATTCTGCAGCCAAGATCTTCATCATGACAAACAACACTGACAGACCATTAAAAGGTCAAAATATGCTATGTAGACTAACCAAGTTGCTTTTTTCCTTTTATTCTTTTATTAAAATAATTTTGGTTTTATTGCATCTGCTTTGGGGTTTTGATTCAATTCTGTACTCACTCTAAGCCAAGTGCCTTGTATTTTTAAAAGAACTCTCTTCTATTTCTGTCACTTGCCAGCATTATCCATATGATTCAAGAGAGAGCCTTTATTACTCATCCGACCAAGCTTGCAGTGAAACTTTTTGTAAGAAAAGGAATGGTGTGTTGAGAATTAAAATTAAGTGACATCACCAACAAAAGAACCTAACTGCCCATGCCTGTAACTTCCTGGACTTGGGGAGGCCAGAGAGCTCCAATGGACTGAAAATAGGACAATTCATTTATACAGAACAGAACAGAAGTTCCTTCATGGAGAAATCTATCATCCACACGCCCCATTAAAAAGCAAATGAGAAAAATCTCAGACATCTTGTCTGCTGTTTTATGCTGTCTATTCCTTTAATATCCTTCCCAAGGTTCTTTTTTTATTGTTTGGCCACAATGCCTTTTAAATATAAACAGAAAAGCAGAAGACCACAGAGAAAATAAAAACAAATTTTAGACTATTAGAAAACTATGAATAGTATTTTTATTATTAATATTTTCACAGTAACAAAAACCAAAAAAGACAGATTTGGGTCACAGACTATATTTCAATTTTATTTGTAGTTTCCCTCTATGCCCACAGTAAAGATTACTATGAGTCATCAATTAAGGGTGTGGAATATAATTGAAGATTTTTCTTTTTGTTCTCTCCCTACTCCCATTCTTAAGGCTGACCTAAAATTAATTCTTTGTGACAGAAACTTTGCATCTGGCGTTCACAGATTCACACAGAAAAAAGGCACAAAGAAGTTCCATGTGAAATAATATTTAAAAATCAAGAAGTCTGGGTGCAGTGGCTCATGCCCGTAATCCCAGCACTTTGGGAGGCTGAGGCAGGCGGATCACCTGAGGTCAGGAGTTCGAGACCAGCCTGGCCAACAGGGTGAAACCCTGCCTCCACTAAAATAGCCAGGCATAGTGGCAGGTGCCTGTAATCCCAGCTACTCAGGAGGCTGAGGCAGGAAAACCACCTGAACCCAGGAGGCAGAGGTTGCAGTAAGCTGCGATTGTGCCACTGCACTCCAGCTTGGGCGACAGAGCAAGACTCGCCTCAGAAAAGAAAAAAAAAAAAAAAAAAAAGTCAAGAAAATAACCTTTCAAGGAAAAATTTTCCATGCTGGGTAGTTTACCCTGATTTTACAGTAAGTAAAAATTTATTAATATTTTCTTTCAGAAAATGTGAGAAAGATTCAAATCTGAAGGGCAGTATTATAAAAAGGCTCCAAACAGAGGAAGCTTATTATATATAGAACCTGGGGAAAAAAACCTACTCAGTATCCCCACGGATAAACTTGGCATAATAATTATAAAAAACTGGCCAGGCGCGGTGGCTCATGCCTGTAATCCCAGCAGTTTGGGAGGCCGAGGCAGGCGGATCACCTGAGGTCAGGAGTTTGAGACCAGCCTGGACAACATGGTGAAACCCCATGTCTACTAAAAAATACAAAAATTAGTGGGGCATGGTGGCAGGTGCCTGTAATCCCAGCTACTTAGGAAGCTGAGGCAGGAGAATTGCTCGAACCCGGGAGGCAGAGGTTGCAGTGAGCCGAGATTGCACCACTGCACTCTAGCCTGGGTTACAGAGTAAGACTCTGTCTCAAAAGGAAAAAAAAAAAACCTGTAAAAAACTAATGCAAGGGATCAAATTGTCTTACTTACTAAGCTTCTTTTTAAAAAATATTACTTAATGTGACTATGTTAAGTGACCAAAATATTTCTATGAGAGGACTTAACTCTTACATTTCAAGAAAGCAATTATGGAGAAAAATATTTAATAAAATGAAATGCTTAGATAATAACAAAATATAGAAGTACTTACCCTATGACATCAACCAAATACTACCACCACCATCACATCATTATCCTACCCACATTCCTTGAGCACATGTGTCCTAGAACGGTTATTAACACATTACATGTAGCAACTCATTTAATTTTCAGCATAACCCAGTAAAACAGGTGCTACTGCTTGTCTCAATTTACAGTGAAGAAACAGAGGCACATAAAGGATAAGTAACTGCCAGTGTTATCAGGTCAGTGGGGAGAGGGGTCTGGATTTGAATCAGGCAGTTGTTTCCACAGCCAAATCTCTGAACCACTCTGCTTAAGTCTGACAAAAAGGAAAGTGTCTTCTACTGGCCCAAATTACTTAGAGCACTGGAAGTTCTGTGTGGCTTCTGTGTAAACAACAGAAGGTTCTAAAGTGGAGAGGAACCACGAGGCAGTGCTGTTAGGAGGCTATACACCATCCTTGAATAAACATCTGTGTGTGTTGCCATAAGCTGTAGGTAAAACAGACATGGTCCCTGTCCTTGTGGAGTTTGTGGGAAAAATTTTCACCCACTGATTCATTCAAAGATTCCCTGAGCACTTGTCAGTACCTGGCACTGGGCACTGCTGTGGGTAGTAGGAATATAGCTGTGAATGAGACTGGCAAGATCCCTGCCCTTATGAGGCTTTTGTTCTAGGGAGAAGGGAGGGCACACAAAAAACATAATTTTAGAAAGTGATAGGAAAAAGGGTTGTTAACAAAACAGGTGCCAATTTGTTACCAGAAGCTCCATAGAGGAAACAGGATTTTAAAGAAACTTGCAAATGAGGAAAAGTGTTATCTTGGTCAGCTAAAAGTGCCTCCTGAGCAGGAGGGCCCATAGCTGGGAGAAATTTCCCAGAGCAAAATAAATGAAGGGATGTGAACCTCGAATGAGTTAAAGTACAGGCAGTGGCTGGGAAGAACCTGGTGCCAGAAGGAGGCGAGGTTTCTACCATCAACTTAACAGAAACTAAAGGGGACTGAGGTTAAGGCCTTCCCCCTGCTCTGGTCACTGCATTATAATCCTGCATATGCTCTCTGTATGTGTTTTTTTGCATTTGAGGTGGCTGAAAGTGAGAATGATGATTTCTATTTCCTCCTCCTCCCTTTTATTTTTAATTAGATACATCAAAAATAGGTTAGCACCAATAAAACAGGCTTCTCTTTGCCTTGACTTTGATTAGGAAAGGTTAGTCCTTTATCGTCAGGGCTCAAATAACATCTAACTAGACTTTTAAGAATTTAAAGAGGATATAAAATTTCTACTAAGACATTAATAGATTTCTGACTCTCTTAATTTAGTACCACCCAACTGCCTTTAAAAACGTCTACAAAGTGTGTCACCAAGATGAATATTACATTAGTCAATAGTGACTACTGGATCAGCAAACATGGACATTCGAGAGTTTAAGAGGCATATGAGAAGTTAGCTGAACTACTACTGAATTCCTTAAACTTTACTGGTATTCACTCAAAAGAATGAGGGAATTCTTTTTTTTTTTTTTTTTTTTTTTTGAGACAGGGTCACCCAGGCTGGAAAGCAGTGGTGCAATCTCGGCTTATTTCAGCCTCGACCTCCAGGGCTCAGGTGATCATCCCACCTTAGCCTCCCAAATAACTGGGATTACAGGCTTGTGCCACCTTGCACGGCGAAGTTTTGTAATTTTTGTAGAGACAGGGTTTCGCCATGTTGCCCAGGCTGGTCTTGAACCCCTGGGCTCAAGCAATCCTCCTGCCTTCACCTCCCAAAGTGCTAGAATTACAGGCATGATCCACTGTGCCCAGCCCAGAATGAGGAAATTCTTGAACTTATTTCTAGTAAAACTGATTCACATGTCCTTGAAAATAGCCCAAATTATATAACAGGAGTCTTTTTAACTTGGAATCTACAGAGTTCCTGTAATTGTATGTAAAAATTTTATGTCTATATTCATAGTCATAGTTACTTGTTCATTACAGAACCAAAAACGTCCATGAACCATGAAAAGTCTTAAAGTGCTTTCATAAGGCCACGTGTGGTGGCTCATGCCTGTAATCCCAGCACTCTGGGAGGCTGAGGCAGGCAGATCATTGAGGCCATCAGTTTGAGACAAGCCTAGGCAATATGGTGAATCCCCATCTCTGCTAAAAATGCAAAAATTAGCTGGGCCTGGTGGTGCATGCCTGTAATCCCAGCTACTTGGGAGGCTAAGGCAAGAGAATCAGGGAGGCGGAGGCTGCAGTGAGCCAAGATCGCACCACTGCACTCCAGCCTGGGTGACAAAGTGAGACTGTCTCAATAGATAGATAGATAGATAGATAGATAGATAGATAGATAGATAGATAGATAGATAGATAGATAGACAGACAGACAGACAGACACTTTTATAAAAAATTCAAATTTTCCTTTGGCTATTTCTTATCTTCAGAATACATTTTCTATAAAAACACATTCCCAGCACTCAGGGCTCTGGGACCAAACAGGGCAGGCACTATTTCATGTCCCGTAAGACACAAATCATTAGTAAGAGGAACTCTGAAGCCAACAGCTCTTCAGTAGTAGGAGGAAGCAGTAAAAAGTAGTGGAAATAAGACTGCTCAGTAAATACCAAGTCCTGAATTCTAGGGCCAGTTCTGCAACTGTCCAGCTATGTAATCTTGTAAACTCACAACCGTAATGGCCACCATTTCCTATTTGTATAATGAAGGAGTCTGGATTGAATCAGCCCTAAAATTTTCACAGACTCTAAAAATTTGGCAGTCTCAGAGTTTGCGCTGATAGAATTTGATGTTTACAGATTGAAGGTGAAGTTCAAGTCAATAAGCAAAACATTTATTTTTTTTAAGTGTTGGTCAGCATTAGAAGAGAAACCATCTGTTGACTACAGTAGCAGGATTCATTTCTGCAACTGCTGAGAGACAAAAAGCAGATGAAAAATATGTAAAAAGATGAAGCATGCCATGAAAATTACTTGTTCGGGAATTTACCATCTATGTGCCCAGAATTCCTTCCTGGAATCTCCACCCATGAGTACAACTGCTTGCTGGGCATCCCCTTTTGGATATCCTGCAGGAACCTCCAGCTCTGAACTTGCCCAAATGAATTCACCCTCTTCCTCTTGAAGAGGAAGGTTCTCTTCTTCTCCTCTTTATTCAGTGTTTTCTTTCTTAGTAAATGGTTTCTCAAGCCAGAAACTCGGGGGTCTGGCTTGATTCTTCTTTCTCTTCTACTTCCCCACATTCCAATCCATTATTGGGTCCTGCCTCCTTAAACCACAATTGACCCTGTTGTCTTCCACTCTCCACAAGCAACAAAAGTGATCTTTAAATCTTAAATCAAACTGGGTCATCTTTCTGCTTAAAACCTTCGGTGGTTTCACGTTTCCTTTGGGGAGAAGTGTGACATGCTCATAGCTCTCTAGGACCTATCCTCCTGCGTCTTCATCTTCATCACCCTCCTCTTCTTTACCTTCTCTTAGGTCCCTTGCTCTTGCTCAGATGCTTCCCTGTGCCTCAAACACTGCCCCCTAGTCTTTACCTAGTTTAAAATCTATAAAAAGGATTTTACACCTCCTTCAAGCTCTCTGCTTCAATGTCACTTCCTCAGGAACGGCCTTCCTGAACACTGTCACCAGTAGGCTAGCACCCCAAGATGTGTTCTTGGAGTTGCCCACAACCACATTCATTCATTCATTCATTCATTCATTCATTCATTCATTCATTCATTTATTGATAGACTCTTGCTCTGTAGCCCAGGCTGGAGTGCAATGGCGGGATCTTAGCTCACTGCGACCTCCGCCTCCTGGGTTCAAGCGATTCTCATGCCTCAGCTACCCTGCTTCCCCAGGTAGCTGGGATTACAGGCATGTGCCACCATATCTGGCTAATTTATGTATTTTTAGTAGAGATGGGGTTTCGCCATGTTGGCTAGGCTGGTCTTGAACTCCTGGCCTCAAGTGATCCACCCGCCTCAGCCTCCCAAAGTGTTAGGATTACAGGCGTTAAACACCACGCCTGGCCCCACATCCACATTTATACCTCAGTGCTCCACGCTGGCTTCCCTAATAGAATATAAGCAAGAAGAGGCAACTCACATCTGTCTCACTCAATGCTCTATCCCCAGACACAGTGCCTGGCACTGAGTAGGTCCTTAGTAAATGTTTAGGAAATTAAAAAAAAAAGTTTTAAGGGAATTTAAACTAACTTAATATTATATATAGCCAATGTAAGCTGAGAAAAATCTTTGCAATTCGTTGCACAACAATGTGAATATACCTAATGCCACAGAACTGTATACATAAAAATGGTTAAAATGGTAAATTTTGTTATATATATTTTACCACAATTTCACAAAATCTTTTCAATTCAGATGGTCAAAAGATCACTTTGTAATCCTATCAACAACTGAAAATTATAGGCAGATATTTACTCCCAAAAAATCAATGCTGGAAAAGCAACAGACTCGGAAAAGTTCTCTACTACATTAACTTCTACTTATTTTTTATTAAGAACACTATAAAGAAATGTAAGTTATCCCACAATACGTGCATTGTTTTTAAAAACAAAGGGCTATACTAATTTTAACTTTTAGAAAAATTCTTTTGTAAGTAAAAAGATATTTCTCACCTACATACATGTATTTCAAATGATGTTTTCTTCATCATATGTTTAAAAGTTGAGAAATACAGAAAATTTTAAAAGTCCAGATCTTGTCACTCAAACACAATTACACTTAATATCTTGTGTATAATAGATACCTCATCTTTTGTTCATGCATAGGTCTTTTATAATATAACCACTGCATTCCATTTCCCCATGTAAACATATTTTCATGCCATAACTTGCATATAGACTCCCTTTTTACTGGTTACATCATAATCTAACTATATTTAACTAGGTTTTTTATTTGAAATAAAAATTGGAAAAATCGGTTATTTCTAATTTCTCATCATTTCAAATTATACTGAAAGCACCACCTTTGAATACAAAGCTTTTTCATGTGATGGCAAAAAAGTATTTATTTTGGACACATTTTTGGTTGTAGAATCACTGCAACAAAGATGCCTGACATATTTTGCAAATAGACTTATAAAAAGACTATACTATTTACATTTTAAAAGCATGAATGTATTTCCAAATATATGGTATACCTTATTTATTTAAATTAACCTTTGTTAAATTAGATTATAACAAAGGTTAGTCTAGAGAAACTACCTATTCACCTCCTCTTACACTAATGGGCACCATCTCTGTGCGACACTGAATAAGCTTGGGCTCCAAGAACAAACTCATAGAAAGTACTGGGCACCGAGATAGACACAGAATTTTAATTACTTAAGTCCATGGCATACATTTAAAATTCAAATACTAAAGGCAGAAACAATTGCTCTACTGATCCTCTACATTCATTTAAGTACACTATCCATGCACTGGGAGGAAAAGCAGTACCATTTGGATTATTTTAAATATCTAGTTGTTTAATTCATCTAAATTTTTTTGGTAAAATATTCAACTTTATATTTTTCCAAATATAAATCTAGTTATCTTAACTACATATTAAATAGACCATATATTTCCCCACTGATTGGAAATGCCACATTTATTGTAAGTTCTCATATACACATGTATCTGCTTCTGGGCTTTATATGACCTCTTTTCTTAATCCTGTACCATTATCACCATATTTTAATTACTATGGTTTTATATTATGTTTTGAAAACTGGTTGGACAAGTTTCTTCTTTCGTTTTTTTTTTTTGAGACAAGGTCTCACTCCATTAGTCAGGCTGAAGTGCAGTGGCACCGTCTCAACTTACCGCAGCATAGGCCTCCCAGGCTCAGGTGATCCTCCCACCTTAACCTCCAAAGTAGCTGGGACTACAGGTGCATGCCACCATGCCCAGATAATTTTTGTATTTTTTGTAGAGATGGGGTTTTGCCAGGCTGCCCAGGCTGGTCTCAAACTCCTGGACTCAAGCAATCCACTCACTTCTTGCAAGAGACTGATAAGTTATAAAGCTAATTTATAATTCTTTTTTTTTTTTTTATAGAGTCTCACTCTGCTGCCAGTCTGGAGTACGGTGGCATGATCTCGGCTCACTGCAACCTCTGCCTCCAAGGTTCACACGATTCTTGTGTCTCAGCCTCCCGAGTAGCTGGGAATACATGTGTGCGCCACCATGCCTGGCTAATTTTTGTATTTTTTTTTTTTTTTTTTTTTTTTGAGACGGAGTCTCACTGTCGCCCAGGCTGGAGTGCAGTGGCAAGATCTCGGCTCACTGCAGGCTCCGCCCCCTGGGGTTCACGCCATTCTCTTGCCTCAGCCTCCTGAGTAGCTGGGACTACAGGCGCCCGCCACCTCACCCGGCTAATTTTTTGTATTTTTAGTAGAGATGGAGTTTCACCATGTTAGCCAGGATGGTCTCGATCTCCTGACCTTGTGATCTGCCCGCCTTGGCCTCCCAAAATGCTGGGATTACAGGCATGAGCCACCACGCCCAGCCTAATTTTTGTATTTTTAATAGAGATGGGGTTTTGCCATGTTGGCCAGGCTGGTCTCAAACTCCTGGCCTCAAGTGATCCACCTGCCTCAGCCTCCCAAATTGCTGGGATTACAGGTGTGAGCCACCTGGCCCTAATTGTCAGGGCCTAATTGTTAGGGCCTAATTGTTAGGGCCATGTTGGCCAGGCTGGTCTCAAACTCCTGGCCTCGAGTGATCCACCCGCCTCGGCCTCCCAAAGTGCTGGGATTACAGGTGTGAGCCACCTGGCTCTAATTGTTTTCTTGTCAATTTTCCTTGGCTATTCTTGCACATTTATCACATCCATGTGAATTTTAAAATTAACTTGTCAGGTTCCACTAACTCCTTGGACAGAATTTCCAGTTCTGGCCATGGGGTAGTAAAGGTTATCAGACTTACTTCCCTACCATAAACAACCATACAACTGCCAAATATATGAAGCAACTGTTTTTAGGAACTAGGCAAGAGACAGCATAGGGTTACAAATCTTGACAGATGGGAAACACATGAGATAAGCACAAAATCTGTCCCAGATTTCTACATAGGAGCACTTTCTAAATCTTAGTACATGGAAGTAGAGCCCAAGGAGATAACAGCAGTCTCACTGGGCACAGGAAACAGAAATCAGAACTCAGGGCTGCTAATGGGCTGAAATTTTGAAGACAGGGTACAAGAGAAGATTTACGAAAAGCAGAATCCCCAAAAATTCTGCATTGGAAAAAAAATTTACAAGGAACCCCCTTGTATATAATACAATTCCCTTTGTATTGTCAAATACAAAGCTGCCCGTGCAAAGGCAACAAGGCTTGGCAGAGAACAACTACTGGGAGGCTGTGAACAGAGCAAAGATTACAGAGGTTACACAGAACTGAGAGATGCTCAAGCTCTGACCAGCCTTTTCTGAATACTCCAGGTATTCATTTGAAATTCTAGAAGGGCCAGTGGCACTACAGCCCATGAGTAAAGACTACACTAGATCCACCCTACACAGGCTAAATCCAAGCCTCAACAGAATCTCTTTATCTCTTTGGGCAAGCAGAAAGTTAATTTCATACCAGAACAAAACTTAACACTCTTTAGACAACGACAGCATAATCTAAACTCAAAAATTTAGCCATGTTTGGACATACAATTAAAAAATCACAGGACATATGAAGCAGCAGAAAAATTTGACCCAGATATGGCATAGATGTTGGAATTAGAGCTGTAAAACAATTATTATAAATATGTTCAAGGATTTAAAGGAAAAGACGGGCATCATGGGCAAACCAATGGAGAATCTCACCAGAGAAATGGATACAGTTAATTGGATCCTACAGCAGAACAGACCAGTGAACTTGAGGATAAGGCAATAGAAATTATACAAACTAAGCACAGGGAGAAAAAATGGAAAAATATGAACAAAGCCTCAAAAAACTGTGGGACAATATCAAGTGGTCAAACATACATGAATCTGGAGCTTCAGAAAGAGATGAGAAAGAAATTAGGGAAGAAAAATATATGAAGAAAGAACAACAATTTTTACAAATATGATGAAAAAATATCAATCCATAGATCCAAACAGTTCAGTGAACCATAAGAAAAATAGATAAAACCATACCTAGGCCCATTATGGTCAAATTGCTGAAAATAAAAGATCTGAGAGCAGCAGAGAAAAAAGATACATTATATATAGGGGAATTACATTAAAATGATTGCTGGCTTAACATTAAAAAATGCAAACTAAAAGACAATAGAATGACATCTTAGTCCATTCAGGCTGCTATAACAAAATACTGCACACTGGGTAGCATATAAACAACAGAAATTTATTTCTCACAGTTCTAAAGGCTAAGTTCAACATCAGAGCACCAGCAGATTTGGTGTCTAAGGAGGGCCTGTGATACAATTTGGCTGTGTACCCACCCAAATCTCATCTTGAATTATAGTTCCCATAATCCTCACTTGTCATGGGAGGGACCTGGTGGGAGGTAATTGAATCATGGGGGTGGTTACCCTAACGCTATTCTTTTTTTTTTTTTTTTGAGATGGAGTTTCGCTCTTGTTGCCCAGGCTGGAGTGCAACGGCTCACCTCAACCTCCACCTCCCAGGTTCAAGCAATTCTCCTGCCTCAGCCTCCCATAGCTGGGATTACAGGCATGCTCCACCACGCCCAGCTAATTTTTTTTTGTAATTTTAGTAGAGACGGGATTTCTCCATGTTGGTCAGGCTGGTCTCAGGTGATCCACCCACCTTGGCCTCCCAAAGTGCTGGGATTACAGGTGTGAGCTACCATGTCCGACATGCTATTCTTTTTATAATGAGTGAGTTCTCACGATATTCGATAGTTTTATAAGGGGCTTTTCCCCCTTTTGCTCAGCACTTCTCCTTGCTGCCACCATGTATTTGCTTCCCCTTCCACCACAATTTGTAAGTTTCCTGAGGCCTCCCAGCTCTGCGGAACTGTGAGTCAATTAAACCTCTCCTTTATAAATTACCCAGTCTCAGGTATGTCTTTATTAGTAGTGTGAGAACAAACTAATACAGCCTGTTTCCTGGCTCATAAATGACACCTTCTTGCTGTGTCCTCACATGGTGAGAGGCAAGGGTCTCTCTGGGGCTTCTTTTATAAGGGCATAAATCCCATTCATGAAGGGTGTGCTTCATGAGCTAATCACCTCCCCAAGGCCCCATCTTTTAATACCCTCACCTTTGGGGTATGGATTTCAACACATGAATTTTTTGGGAGACACAAACTCAGACCATAGTAAATGACATCATTAAAGCACTAAAAGAAAAAATTATCTGCCAAACTAGAATTCTACATCTCAGCAAAAATATCCTTTACAAAGGATAAACAAGAAGTTGAGAGAAGTCATCCATCACCAGGAGACCTTCACTACAAGAAATGGTAAGTGCAGTGTTTTAGGCAGAAAAGAAATGATATCAGATGGAAACTTGGATCTACACAAATGAATAAAGAATGCTGGAAGTAGCAAATATGGGGGTAAATATAAAAGACTTTTTTGTTTCTTATTTTCTTTAAAGAAAATTGGCTGCTTAACATATTGTGAGCTTACGCCATATGCAGGTGTAAATGGTCAAGAAGTAAATGGAGATATAGTTCTATAAGTTCTAACATTATACATAAAACAGCATAAAATTAATTCAGGAGTAGACTGTGACAAGTTAAGGATACATATTGTAATCTCTAGAGGTTACCACAAAACAAAAAAGACAAAGAGTAAAGCTAAGAATAAAATAGATGAGTAGAATACTAAGAAATAGTTGATTAATCCAAAAGGAGAGAGGATAAAGAAATAAACATGTGGGACAAATGGGATAAAGAGAAAACAGTAAGATGGTAGACTTAAATCCAATCACAGGACTGATTACATAAATTTAAACAGACTAAGAACTCCACTTAAAAAGCAGAGATTTTCAGACCCAACTACTTTGAAATAAAAGGACGTTCTTTTTAAGTTTACTACACAACATACATTTAATAGATGATAGTAGCTATCTATATTAGCAACCCCCAAAACTATGTGCAAATATGTGAAATGACTTTTGAATATCAGCTGACAGTGGCTCCAGTATAATCCCTAGGGGGAGGACTGGCATGTGAGGATAGTTAATAGCTGACATTAATTGGCACTTTACATTCATTAACTCATTTAATCTTCACAGTGACCTTATAAGGAAGGCACTTCCATTGTACTCATTTTATATGAGAGCAGACTAATGCCCAGAGAATGTGATGTGCCCAAGTAACATGCTAGTGAGCCCAGGCTCTTAACTACTCTGTGCTGCCTCTCTGCTGAAACTAATCACTGTACTGCATCACCTGAAAGATACTACGTCAACAGAGAGGAGGTGTGCAACAACTGCAACAAGCAAAGAGCAAGAGCTGGTCAGCAGCCTCCATCCTGGCTCAGGGGAAGGGTGACTGACCAGCAGTACTGATCACTGGCAGGTGCGTGGATGGGGAGATGGGCCCACCTCACTATCCTAACCTGAGAAAACTATCTAACAAGATTTTTTCTACAAACAACTCTTGCTTTAGTCCCAGGGCTCACTGAAAAGCCTTCTGATTATATCCTGACTTGGCAAAAGAAGAAGGCCCTGACTAAGGCATGCAAATGTTCCAGGCTCTCTGGCAGTTAGCATTGTCATTAAAAATAAGTAAACTGGCATCTGACTTATGTTTCAGACTCTCCTAAAGTTATTAAACATGACTCAAGCTCCCCAGAGCTTTCTCACCTTCAGGTATAGAGTGAAAATAGGACTTCTAGTCCTGCACATCTTTGAGAGTCCTGGATTAGAATGATTTCATCAAGGTTAAGTTCTCATGGGAAGATGCACAAAACACTCTGGGAGGCTGGGCCTTGGTGGTCAATCAGGCCCTCCAGACATTGGTCTAAACTCTCTTGTTCTAACTGCAATAAGGTAAGCCAAGAAGATATATTATAATACATGCATGAGAAAGAATCTGTAAGCATGTTGTAGTGTACATAAATAAAAAGTTGCCAAGAAGATGAAATCCTTATTCATTAAATTTAACCAACTTATTCATCAAAGAACATTCCTTGAGGACGGCCTCTGCAGAGTTTCACATTAATCATTCACTCCAAACAGTAAGAAAACTGATTTTTTAAAAAAAATCCCTCAGAACCTTAAGGTACCGGTAAGATAAAGACAGTCCATGAAGGCCAGGTGTGCCAAGTCAGCAACTGGCCAATTGAACAAGAGTCAACCAAAATGGACAAAGAAAGCAGTGAAGCCACATAAACATCTCCATGTAAAACATGCATGCACCAGTACTCCTGGATTTGCTAGAAAAGATTCACAAAAATAACTCTTCTCTGAAGAAATCCATGAAAATTACCTTTGCTTTAGAGATAAACCTAAGCCTACTCACCAACCTTTCACTGATTGATTCAACCATATTTTTGCACAACCCCTGACCCTTTCCCACCCTGTAGCTGATACTCTACAGTGCTTCTCAGATCATATCTGACCTATCTTGAACACTCTCCTGACACCGACCTTACTAACTTCCACAATATAGTCAAGTCTTGGCTCAAACGTCACCTTGGTAAATATGCCTTCCCTGACCTCGATATGTAAAAGACCACCTCCCAAACCCACCACTCTTCATCTTGTTACCCCCTACATCATTTTTCTCCAGAGTACTTATCACTAATATATTTGCTGTCTGTCTCTCTTCAGTAAAGGAAGCTCCACGAGAGTAGGAATTTTGTGTTTTATTTTCTGCTGTATTCATACAATTTACAACAGTGCCTGGCAAGAGAATACAACATAAATACTTGTAATTCGAAGTCTAATAGGGAAGAGAGGCCTAAGCTGATAAACAGACCTCATAAGAAGGGCAATGTGGTGGCATAAAGGAGTCACAATAAGCTTGGCCCAGGAGAAGCAGAAACCTTTCTTGGAGGAAGAGATGCAGAGCAGGTTGTGAAGGAAGGGTGGAAGCAGGGGGCGTCCCAGCATGGAAATCACCATATGGAAAGGCACAAGGCAAAAAGGGTCATTCACACTTGAGGAGACTTGTCTGGCTGCAAGAAGGTGAATGGTGAAAGTGACAGAAGAAAGACAGAAAGTGACAAAAGAAAGATAGGAGGGCAGTGCACACACACGCCAGGACAAGGAGTCACTGAGGGGTTTTAAGGCAAGAAACAGCATGACTAGATTTGTTTTTCACAAAAGCAGAGATGCAGGGGTGGAGGGTGGGAGGAGGTAATCTGTGGTCTGAGAGACCATTTAGGAGATTCCTGCAACAGTCTGCACAAAGGCCAATGGTGCTAAAACTACAGCAGCTGCGTTGAGGATGGAGCTAAAATGAATGTCTTGACCGGGTAAGAAGATTTCACTTTTCAAAACTCTGCTCCAGTATCACTTCCTATGGAAAGCATCTTTTTTAGGATAAAACAAAAAAGGAAAAGGCAATTTTTAAAAACTCTCTCTTTCTCTCTCTCTCTCTCTCACACACACACAGACACACACACACACACAGACACACATACACACACTCTCTATAATACTTTCAGGTATGGCTGTATCCAGAAACCAAATCATATGATTAGACAGAAATTCATTCTGTCTTCATCTCACAGCTCTGCTCTCTTCTGAATTAATATTATTTTTAGGTCAGTTCTTTGCCCAGGGTGTCCCTCAGCAGTCACAGGCTTAAATAAGCCTAAACACTGCCAACCAAGAGGAAAGGCCCATGGTTCCAACAAGACTCACTCCTCCAGGAGGGGATGCTATGTTTCCGTGGGCGAGCCTGAGCTGACTGTCCGCTCTGGAACTGGAGATAGGGCCACTCCTGCACTCCTGCACATGACACGGAGAGGACAAGGGGGCAAGCTGGTTCCTCAGGGCAAGCTTGAGCACTGCTACCAGAAAACAGGGAATAGGCAGACAGAAGTGCAGAGTTCCACCATCGTTTTCTTCTCTCAAATTGATAAAGGGGAAGAACATTTTCAGTGACTCCTCCCCGGTTCCAGAGTTTCTCCCTAAATAGCACCCAGCTGGAAGAGAGGTAGTCTTATGGCATCACTCAGTCCCAAACACCGTCAACTGGTACTTCTTATCCTCAGTCCAGTGAGAGAAGCCTCAATACCCTCAAGTTCCACAGAGGCTGAGAGCAGGGAGCTAACTTGCTCCAGGGTGATGCTATGGTGCAGGCAGGCATATGAATATTGGATAGTTTTGTCCCATATGCTCCCTGTGTTCTGACCACAGCTGAATAATTAATGTTCCTGGAGCACACTATGTACCTGCAGGCCACAGTGCTTTGCTCCTCCTGGCTCCCTCATGAAGACAGCTTGCCTTCCCTCTTCGCACCTGACAAATATGCCACTGCCTCCTCTTCCCCTTCTCTCCCCTCAGCTCTGGGACTGAAACGGCTTTCTTGACTTTTCCTCACACAAATCTTGTTCAATTCTCACTTATTTATTACTCCCTTATCATCTTTTGTGCCACTTTTTCCCTTAGGACACACCATTTTATAACTATTTAGTATCATGTTTCCCCACTGAAGTAACTGTCGGCTCCCTGAGGCCAAGACTGTGTCTTTCATCTCTACATACTTAATATAGCTATATGGTACAGGGCAGTGACTATACTTATTAAAGTAATATTTTGAAGACCAAATTTCACATTATTGGGACTTTTCATAAATTGTCTTACATTACGATTACCCTTTGATAAAAGACTTATATATAGATGATTCAATACAACGACAACGAATAAAGTATCTCCTATAATTTACTTCCATAAAAAATTTTCCCTTACATGAACAACTTGATAATATTCCTTCTTGTTATTAGAAAATGAAAACTATATCAGCCACCATCACTCCACTAATACCTCAGCTACAGGAATCAGGCTAAACATCATGCCAAATTTGTATCCTCAGGGTTACATGGTCTGCCGATTCCCTCTGATGACTGATGTATATACAGATATGAGAGTTATTAGAAAGCACCTTCATTTTAGAAGGAAACAGGAGCACATAGCACTGGACAAAAACAGCTATTATTATTATACAGCTATTATTATTATTGTTATTATTATTATTCTGAGATAGAGTCTAGCTCTGTTGCCCAGGCTGGAGTGAAGTGGCACAATCTCAGCTCACTGCAATCTCTGCTCCCAAGTTCAAGTGATTCTCCTGCCTCAGCCTCCCGAGTAGCTGGGATTACAGGCACCTGCCACCACGCCCAGCTAATTTTTGTATTTTTAGTAGAGACGGGGTTTCATCATGTTGGCCAGGCTGGTTTTGAACTCCTGACCTCAAGTGATCTGCCAGCTTCGGCCTCCCAAAGTGCTGGGATTACGGGCATGAGTCACTGCGCAGGGCCAATAGCAGCTATTATTATTATTCAGGGTGAAACTTAGGCATTCTATTTTGCTTAGTTAAATCAACCGTCACGTTTTTGCTTATTGTGCAGCTCCCTGTGAAGAATATGCTTCCTTTGCCAACCATACCCAGAGCTGGCTCACAGTGGGGGCTAAATAACTCTCTTCATACCTGACCCACCCCAGAACAGAGCCTGAACCTCTGCTCTCTGCCTCCTCTTCTTATTTACAGCATCACTTTATACATCAATACAAATGATCAGCCTCTTGGGACCATCGTGCGTTATCTCCTTAGTTGGGAAAAAATTGTCAACCCAAGTTACAAAGTATCTTTATAAATTTAGTAAGAATGAGTGTCCAGTGATGGTGATGAGAATGACAGCTAAGAATTATATACTGACTACTATGTGAGGTGCACCGTTCTAAGTGCTATCCAGATATTTACTCATTTGAATACTGTAACAACCTATGTGGCAGGTTACTACTATCATCTTCTTATTTTCATAGGTGAGAAAACTGAAGTATTGAGAAGTTAGGTAACTTCCCCACAGGTCTCACAGCTGATAAGTAGTGGGGTTGGAATTTTAACCTACAAATTTAGGTCCAGGGTCCATGTTTTTAGCCACACAGCTATATGGCATATACAGAAATAATTCTGAGATGGCTAGAGCCAAAAACTGGCTGAAACCTTTACAAGAAAAACCTAGTGACTAAAAGTCTGACCTTCTGCCTATCTTCTTATATTCTTCTTAGGCTCATGGCCATAGGTGATAATCAACATCTCCTGAGCAATAATGTCCCACAGAGACCATAACGACAGTGAGGAGTGTGGGCTGTAAGGCAAGACAGACAGAGCAAAGCTGAAACTCCCACTCCACCAAATCCTGGCTGGGGACACCTGGCATGTTATTTCATACAGCAGGCACAAAGCAGGATGGCTACAGGGGCCACAGTTTTCCCCTGCTGACCACCTCTGTGCCATACCCCATACCTGCTTCTTGTAAGAAGTGTCCCCTATCCCCATGCCTAGAACATATGTTTGTATGACCCCTCCTTCTTAGTCAGGGTAACTGGTTTCAGCCAGGCCCCTGACCTAAACTGCAGCAGCCACAGCATCTCACTGCTAGGCAAGGGATGGGCACAGGCTCCAGGATAGGCCAGAGTCACCACCTGGTACTCTTCTAACTGGAGCTGGGAGTAAAGAAGCTTTCCTTTTCAGTCAGTCACAAGGCTGTGAGGACTGAAGCCTGGAGCCGGCAGGGACCTGGGTACCAGCACATTTGAGAGAATGGAGCCAGCATATAGAGAGGCCCCCAGACACTACAAAGAGAGAGGCGTAACAGTACTAGACTCCCTGGTTCTAGTCTGTCCCTTCCCCACTCCAAACATACCAGCTACTTAACCACCTGGTGGGGAGAAAAAAAATGACTTAGGCTTCTGTCACTTCCAACTAGGTGAGTCTAACTTCACCTCTCTGAAACTCACTTTCCTTATCTGCAAAATAGGGAAAATAAAACAATCCTTCCCGCCCAGGCAGTTTTTGTTGTTGTTGTTGTTTGTTTGTTTGTTTTTTTGAGATGGAGTCTCACTCTGTTGCCCAGGCTGGATGGAGTGCAGTGGTATGATCTCAGCTCACTGCACCCTCTGCCTCCTGGATTCAAGTGATTCTCCTGCCTCAGTCTCCCAAGTAACTGGGACTACAGGCACCTGCCACCACGCCTAGCTAATTTTTGTATTTTTAGTAGAGACAGGGTTTTGCCACATTGGCCAGGCTGGTCTCAAACTCCTGACCTCAAGTGATCCACCCACCTTGGCCTCACAAAGTGCTGGGATTACAAGCATGAGCCACCGTGCCCAGCCCCCAGACAGTTCTGATAGGGAAATGCAATCTGCACTTTCAGTACTTTAGCAGAGTGTCCTATGAATAGGAAGACTCCACAGCTGTTGGCCAACAGGTAACAACACCTACAATAGCATTCACCTGCCAAGAGACTGCTACCAAAGATTCTGGAGTTCTTCCTGACTTTGCTGCGTCAAATCTGATGTGACAGCTCGTACTGCCAGTTGTAACTTCCAACTTTATCTAAAATCCAACCACATCTCAATTTTCACAGCCACCACCTTGATCCAAGCCAGGACCTGGACTGCTCAGCCTCCTAACAAGGTCTCCCTGCTTCTGGCCTGGCTTTGACAGTCTATTCTCCACACAGCAGTCTGAGCAATTCCAGCAAAATGTAGGTCAAAGAGAGGAGGGCACTACACTGGCATCTCCTCTCACCCAGGGCACAAGTCAGCGCTGCTCTTGACCTGGCCAGCCTCCCTGGGGCCCCTCCTACATCCCCACCCACCCTCACCTGTGCTTTTCCTCATACAGCCACCAGGCTCTGCCTCAGGGCTTCTGCCCTTGCTTCTCCTATCCAGAACATTCCTTTCCTGAATTTCTTCAAGCCTCACTCCCTCCTTTACATCTCTGTCCAAAGGTCACCCTTTGGACATCTTTCTTACAGAAAGGTCACACTTTCTGTAAGACATTCCCTGAATGTCATTTGAAATTACAGGCCCCTTGTAATAAAAGTGCTGGGAAAATCCAGCACTTTGGGAGGCCAAGGCAGGTGGATCACTTGAGCTGAGGAGTTTGAGACCAGCTTGGGCAACATGGTGAAACCCTGTCTCTACTAAAAATACAAAAAATTATCCAGGCATGGTGGTGCATGCCTGTAGTCCCAGCTACTCAGAGTCTGAGGTAGGAGAATCACCTGAACCCAGGAAGTCAAGGTTGCAATGAGCAGTAATGGCAGCACTGCACTCCAGCCTGGGTAACAAGAGTGAGACCGTGTCTCAAAAAAAAAAAAAAGAAAAAAAAAAAAGAAAAAAAAATTACGCGCCCCCTTCTAACCCAGCTCTTTCTCCATAGTGCTTACTGCCATCTGACCTGCTCCATTTTCCTACTTGTTTGTCTGTCTCTCTGGAATGTAAGAACAAGGATTTTCACTATTTTGTTTACTACCGTTCCCGCACAAAGCAGTCACACAACAAATATCTGTTGAATGAATGAATGAATATGTCCTCAAACCCTTTTTCTGGAAGTTGGGGGCAAACATGAAGCAGAAAAAATATGTGGACATCTTAATATGAAATTTTTTGCACTTACTTGGCACAGCGTACCCAGTGTGTATGTCGATACAAGGAATACAGGAAGCGCTGGCGATACATGCTCCATACTTTTATGGATTTGTCTTCAGAAGCTGTAGCTAGAAACTGGCCATCAGCTGAAAAGTCTACACTTCGAACTGGAGCTGTATGAGCTTTAAATTCTGAGAATTTTCCTCTCCTGGAAATAAACAGTTTAATATTTATAACTCATTTGATTTAATTATAGTTAATACTTAATCACAATACAGACTTTGAAACATATAAAATAGTTTAAATAAAATGGTTTAACTCTTGTAAAACCTAACAAAAGTATGAAAGGGCTATGTTGTACTGTACTCTTCGTCAACACTGAAATTTCCATGAAATTTCAGGTGTTGAGAACTAAAGGGTAGAAAAGAAGAGAATAGAAAAACAAAAGATGGGGAAAATAATGTGAGGCATTTGAGAAGTAGAAAACCTTAAAATGGGAGAAGGCTAGATAGTGTTGGAGTTACAAGGTGATATGTGATAAACGCTACTTTGTGTCAGTGTTCCCAAGTTGCCAAGGCATTTTCACCTTACATTGTATCTAGGACTCAGCAATTTTCCCATTTAGAAAATCATATTGATACTCAAGATAACCTATGGGGAAAATTGTCATAAATGCTTGAAAAACATCAGGCAACAGAATTTAGTTGGCCACAATATATGTGTCTCAGATGTTCAAATGTTCACACTGATCTCCCATACACCTGCACCTCATCCTGTATTTTGCTACCTTGGCTGGTCAGCGTGACATCCGCCTGTGTCCAAGCCAGAAGCCTGGAAGTCACACTCAACTCCTGCTTCCTCTCCCACATCCAGTAAGTTAGCAAACCATATCATCCTCACTTCCTAAATATCTTCTGAATCCTCCTCTTCTATGTTGGCTCTGCTTGCCTTAAGGTAAATATATCCTCAACATCCTTCACCTAGGTTACTGCAAAAGCCTCTTAACTGGTCTCTCTGCTCTAATCTTTTGTCCCCTGCCAGTCACCTACATATTGTGCTTATTACCTTGCTAAGAGCGTAACTCCAAGCATGTAAATCCCAGCGTAAATGTGTCACTGGCTCTTCTCCAAAAGAAAGCACAATGCCCAAGTACTTTGGTGAGGTATCCTGCCACTCACACTGAACTTTGTACTCGGAACAGTCACAGCCCTTCAAACACACCCCTGCCTTTGCACTTACTGCTTTCTCAGGCTGGACTATTTTCCCCATCCCCAGACCCCCTTGGCCAAGCCAGACAGGCTTAATGGCTCCCTATTTGCTACAACGATTTTGCTTACTACATTATACAGTGACTTTCTAAAGAACGATTTGTCTCCTCTTAAGCAGCACATTTTTGAAGCACAGGAATGATGATTTATTCATCTCTATAAGACTAGCATCTAGCAATATGTCAAGCACATAAAAAGAACTCAATACACGTTGAATTCCACTTGGAACAGTCAATAAAGGCTCGTAGATCCAACCTGGCTTACCCTTCCAGTGGTCTGTAGGGAGGAAAGGTAACTTTATCATAAATTTCCATCACCTGACATATGATATTACTCAGGAAAAACTGAAATACATATTAAACAAAAATTAGGAGGGAGCATCCAGGGACTAGCTCAGTGAAGTTTCAAGGGTAAATTTCATGAGTGGAAATCAGGAGTATAGTTTGGCCTGAATTCAAGTACAATGCCTAGAGAAAACAAAGAAAAGAAAAGGCATCTGCAATGACCAGGAAGCTAAGAGACAGACCATCAGTATCATCAAAATCTGCCCTGATTTTTAGTTCTGCACTCCACACTCCAGCAGGCTGTTCTGTTTGCCTCCTTTCTAAAAGGCTGTCCTCTCAGCCGTAGGCTAAACCAAGCACTGGATCCAGTCTCAACAGGAAACACAGAAGAAACCAAGATAGGAGTGCCTTATGTTTATTGTGCTGGTGCCTAACTGGTTTCTAGTTCCTCATCTTAACTTAATATAGGCTCTCTCCTTCCTACATATTTACTTGCCCTTTCAGCTAAATTCTCTTGACTGCCCACTGTGACCAACTCTGAGCCAGACTTGCTTTCAGGCTTGCTCCTACCTATTCTTTTCTTATTTATTTATTTTTTTGAGACGTGTTATCTTTCTGTCACAGATGCTAGAATACAGTGGTGCAATCGCTACTCACTGCAGCTCAAACTCCTGCGCTCAAGAGCTCCTCCCTCCTCAGCCTCCTGAGGAGCTAGGACTATAGGTGTGCATCACCATGCCCAGCTAATTTTATTTTTTTATTTTTATTTTTTATAGAGACAGGGTCTCGCTATGTTGCCCATGCTGGTCTTGAACTCTTGGCCTCAAGTGATCCTCCTGCCTCAGCCTCCCAAAGTGCTGGAATTACAGGTGCGAGTCATGCCCCCAGCCTCTCCCTATTCTTTCTTAGCCTTCTGGTCACCAGCTGTGGTGTCTATCTGCAAATATGGCTGCCAATACTCATCTCATCCCTGTACATGCATGTCTCTCCGCTTCACAAAAGGTGAAGTCTGTTTATTTCCCCTCCCTTTGAGGGGAGGTGTTGTGACTTTTGAGGGGAGGTGTTGTGAGAGGAGGTGTTGTGACTCATCTCATCCCTGTACACGCATGTCTCTCTGCTTCAAAGGAGGTGGAGTCTGTTTATTTCTCCTCCCTTTGGGCTGGTGTTGTGACTTTACTCTGAGGAACAGAACGTGGCAGAAGTGACACTGCAAGTTTTGGGCCTAGTTCTTAATTGGTCTAGCAGCTTCTGCTTTGATTCTCCTGGAACCCAGCTGTCATGCTGTGAGAAAACTACAGGTTATCCTGCTGGAGAGACGGCACATGGAGAACCAAGACGCCATTGCCACAACCCGCACCAAGGCCCCAGGCATACGAATGAGGAACAGAGCCCATCTTTCCTCTGCATGTGTAATCTCAGCCTGCACCATATAAGCAAAAGAACTGTGAAGCTGCATGAGTAATCTCAGCCTGCACCATATAAGCAAAACAACCATCCAGACAACCCACAAAATGTGACAAATCATTGTTTCTGTAGTAAGTACTAAGGTTTTGTGACTGTCATACAGCAATAGATAACTGACACATCATCTTCCTTCCCGTTGCCACGATCCACCATTATTGCTCTGTCCCTACTAAGACATGATTTAGAAAGAGAAACTAGGGACACCTACACAAGCCTAATCATTGTATTTAGATGAGTTATGACAAATTAATGACTCAGTGAGCTTTTAGCTCATCTACCCTTATACAATTTGTTCACTGAGATTTCCTTGAATTAGTAAAGGGAGACTGAAGTTATGCTGTGCAGAAGATAGTAAAAAAGCTAGTTCTAAATTCCCAAAGTTAAGGGTTTTGGAACATGCTTCTCCTCTTGGACCCCAAACTAGTTACTTCTCCCTTAAAATTCCCTGCTACATTGCCATCCATTATAACATGTCACTTCTCTTCAATAGTTTTCACTACCATTGGAATATATTCAGATTTCTCAGCATAGAGTTCCCCTTGGGTGGTGGCAGAAAAAAAGCACCCACTGGCATGGGAATGCCCATGAGCTTTTCTTCATTTGGGAGTGCCTGGGCCTGAATAGTCACAGACTACAAGTCAAATCCTGCCACAACAGGGTCAAGGAAATACTCAAATTCTTATCTTCTAAAGCAGTGGTCCCCAGTCTTTTTGGCACCAGAGACCAGTTCCATGGAAGACCATTTTTCCATGGGACCAGGGAGTCAGGGGGAAGGATGGATGATTTTGGGATGATTCAAGTGCATTATTACATTTATTGTGTACTTTATTCGTATTATTATTATTATTATTATTGAGAAGGAGTTTTGTTCTTTTCCACCCAGGATGGAGTACAATGGCATGATCTCGGCTCACTGCAACCTCCACCTCCCAGGTTCAAGCAATTCTCTTGCCTCAGCCTCCCGAGTAGCTGGGATTACAGGTGCGTGACACCACGCCTGGCTAACTTTGTATTTTTAGTAGAGACAGGGTTTCACCATGTTGGCCAGGCTGGTTTCAAATTCCTGACCTCAGGTGATCTGCCTGCCTTGGCCTCCCAAAGTGCTGTGATTACAGGCGTGAGCCACTGTGCCCAGCCCTATTTCTATTATTATTACATACTCACTATAATGTAGAATCAATGGAAGCCCTGAGCTTGTTTTTCTGCAACTAGATGGTCCCATCTGGGTTGAAGGGAGACAGTGACAGATCATCAGGCATGAGATTCTCATATGGAGTGTGCAACCTAGATCCCTCGCATGCACAGTTCACAATAGGGTTTGTGCTCCTATGAGAATCTAATGCCGCCGCTGATCCGACAAGAGGCAGAGCTCTGGCCTGGTTCCTAACAGGCCATGGACTGGTACTGGTCAGTGGCCCAGGGGTTGGGAATCTCTGCTCTGAAGTATTTATGGGGGGAAATGATATGTAGGATTTTTTCTAAAAATACTCCAGGGGAAAAAGTGAGGGGAGGTGTAGATGAAACAAGATGGGCAGAATCCTGACAACTGTTGAAGCTGATTGACGGGAATATGAGGCAGGGGAGTGATGCTATTCATTCTATTTTCATGTATGCTTGAAAATTTACATACTTTAAAGCTTAAAAACATTTTTAAAAATCATGGCTCAATAATTACTTAAAATAGATGGGCTATTAGTTAGGGTTTGAAAAGTCTCGTTACAGAGATTTGTTATAACGCATATGACCTTACACAAATTCAACGATTTAAACTTTTGTCAGAAATTTTCTTTAACAAGAAAATTCTGGACCCCGATAATGAGTGATACAAATCAAATCAAAGGCACAGGGTTTTCAATAGGGATCCAAGGGCCCTTGAAGGATCCATGAACGGGCGTTAGGAAGTTAATAAACTGAATTTTTGGTTATACATACTGATGTGTATCATTCTGGGGAGACAGTCTAAAGCTTACCTCAGATCTACAAAGGGATGGATAGCTACCACTACTCCCTCAAAAAAACTTAGACATATTAAGCATATTTCCATGGTAGGAAATAGTTTTCAAAAAGAAGACATAATTTTGAGGAAAAAAATTGTATGAATTAGTTTGACTTTACCACAAGGGCAGCATGCCTTTTATGTGACTGAGAATAACAGTGCAGGCAGCAGTGCATGAGCAGCAGCCAGGGTCAGCTTTCTTTCACATTTCCAAATCCAAAGGATATCAAGTGTTTCTTTGTTTCTCTTACTTATCAGGAATCCAGAGTCTCACGGTTCTGTCTCGTGAGGCAGACGCCAATAAGTTTCCATGTGGAGAAAACTGCACGCTGGTTACAACATCCTTGTGACCCACATATCTGTAAGCTCTAGCATGTGGCTTGAAATTCCATAGCATGAGAAAGGTATCCCAAGAAGCAGTAGCTATCAAGAAATAGAAGAACAAAACCACTGTTTGTTAAAATGCAAACATAGGTGTGTCTCATTACAATGAGCAGCATATCTAATAACAAGGCATCCAGGTAATAGAGCGGCTGGAGGTTGTAAGGCTGCCCAGGTAATAGCCAAATTACTTTTTAAAGGTACTCAAAACTACATCACTAATATGCAAGCTTGGCTGTGTCCTATGTAAGCACACAGCAGGATGACTGGCCCCCGTATTCAATTAGCGCTCAGTAACTTTATTTACTAGAAGGCCGCAGCACAGTGTAACAGAGGGTACACGGGACTAAGAGTCAGTTTTGTTTCTAACTCTGGGTAATGGAAAGCTAGTTAACCTCTGTGTCATGATGTCATGAGGACTGAATGTTTTTCCTGAGAGGGATGGATGAGATAATTTTTCAAACTGTTTATGTGGAAATAATTTCACACTTACAGAAAAGTTACAAGAATAGTACAAATAACACTAATATGCCTTTTACCCAAATCTACTTGTTAATGTTTTGCTTCATTTGGTTTGTAATTTGCTCTGTACTTGTTTCTCCTTGCGCATGAACACACGTAAACCCACACACACAAACACATACGTATTTTTTTGTTCCTGAACCATTTAGGAGTAAGTTATGCAACTCACAGCATCTTTATTCCTAAATACTTCAGTGTGTTTTTCCTAAGATTTAAGATAGTCTCTTAACACACCCATAGCACAGTTAGCAGCTTCATGAAGCTGATTATTAAAGATGCAATATTTTAATATAGCAACTATATTTTATCAACTGATCCAATAATACTTTTATAGCTGGATAAGATGATTTTATTAGTCTCTTTCTGCTCTATAATTTAATGGCATTTGATGATTAATAAAAGAATTAAAAGAATCGTGTGTGTCAGACAATAGTTTAAGGATTTACAAAAAGGAAAAATGCAATCAATGGTGGAAATAACTGACTTGACAAAGAATGAACAAATAAACAAATGAAAGGTAGATCTAACTCTTGCCTAAAAAACAAATTTTATTATATGCATGTAGCCCTAGAATGGCTCCAATAATAGGAAGTAGGTCAATGAGAATCACTAAATCTGGATTGTAGAGTGCTTAGAAAAAAATGTAATGTTATAAATTCGAACACAATTAGTATCACTGTTAGAGAAACATAGGGCCTGGCTATATAAAGTCACTGAAACCTATGTTCTTTTGCCAACATACAAAGTTCATTTGGGCTCAGCCCATGCATTATTTCCATGTAAAACAGTTAAAAGTGAGTTCAGCTACAATACTGCTTAGCACCCCCTTTTTAAAAAAATACAAAAAGTTAATATTCCACCAGAGCTTATCCAAATTACTAAAGATTTATAGCAGAGTCAGAATTACCCAAGGCTAATGCAGACAAAGCAAGGAAACTGATGAGTTATCATATGTAATAAACTCAGGACACTATTTGAGTTCTGTGTATCATGCTGCAAACGAGATAAACAAAAGCAAATAAGATACAATCCTTTCTTTCAAAGAACCACATAGTAGGGAAGACAGCATTAATAATAAACAGATACAGAAAACTTTTATATATTATTTACTCATCAATGTTAGGTGGGGTGATTGGGTGGTCCACTCTGAGGAAAGGACATTTGAGCAGAGAGGTGAGTGAAATAGGGAGCGATCCTGGCTGAGACATGGATAAAGAGTACTCTGAGCACAGGAATCCCTGTGCAAAAGCACCTGGAAGAATGAGGAATGACAAGGAGGTCAGCGTTTCCATAGTAGACAGGAGAGAAGAGACCGGTGGGAGGGAAGCTGAAAAGGGGGCAGATGGAGGAGGAGAAGCCATGGTGGGAGGTGTGTCTTCTTCTTCTAAAGTGCAATGTGCCATTATCCTAAGCGAATTAATGCAGGAACAGAAAACCAAATACCGTATGTTCTCATTTACAAGTGAGAGCTGAACAGTAGGTACAATAGACATAAAGATGGCAACAATAGCCACTGGGGACTACTAGAAGAGGGAGGAAAGGAGCGGGGAAAGGTTTGAAAAACTATTGAGAACAATGCTCACTACCTGGGTGATGGAATCAATTGTACCCCAAATCTCAGCATCATGGAGTAAACCCATGTAACAAACCTGCACATGTACTCCCTGAATCTAAAATAAAAGCTGAAATTATTGAAAGAAAAAAAAAACCTGCGATGGGAAACTACTCTAGATTTTGAGCAGGGGCAATCTCATGATCTGGTTTAAGAACACTGCCACTTTGACAATAAGGAAAGGATTTTTTTTTAATTGTGTTCTCAAAGGAGGGTACTAAATTATGGAAAGAAATAAAAAATAAAACAATTGTGGTGGGTCAACTGGATACTCATAAGGAAGAAAATTAATCTTGAATCCTACACTTTATACCACATACAAAAGTTAATTCCACGTAGAAAACAGATCTAAATGTGGTACGTAAAACAATAAGCTTTTAGAAGAGAACACAGAATATCTTCATGACCTTGGGGTAGGCAAACACTGCTTTAAAAAGACATTAACGTGTTTGTTGAGGGCAGAGCCAATGGCCGGGAAGTGTTGTTGGCGCACGCCTTCCAGATCGCAGCTCTTGCGGCGGCCATCGCCTTCGACTTAAGGGTGTTGCTTGGCCGCCGCCTGGTAGTCCGGCGATTCATTTCTTGCTCGGCCTCCTGGAGCTGTGGTCTGTGTGGGCTTCCACCTCAGACACCTGCGCTGGCTCAGCGGGGCCGGAACATGGCTGTGTCGGGTCTGGATCATCTCAAAAATGGCTACAGAAGAAGATTTTGTCAACCTTCCAGGGCACGTGACATTAACACAGAGCAAGGCCAGAATGTTCTGGAAATCTTACAAGACTGTTTTGAAGAAAAAAGTCTTGCCAATGATTTTAGCACAAATTCTACAAAATCAGTGCTTAATTCAACACGCAAAATAAAAGACACTTGTATTCAGTCACCAAGCAAAGAGTGCCAGAAATCACATCCAAAGTCAGTTCCACTTTCTTCAAGGAAGAAAGAAGCCTCTCTGCAGTTTGTTGTAGAACCAAGTGAAGCCACCAACAGATCAGTTCAGGCCCATGAAGTTCGTCAGAAAATTCTGGCAACTGATGTTAGTTCCAAAAATACACCTGACTTGAAAAAAATGTGAAGTAGAAACATAAATGATCATCACAGTGAAGCTGATGAAGAATTTTACTTATCTGTTGGCTCACCTTCTGTTCTTTTGGATGCAAAAACATCTGTATCGCAAAATGTTATTCCATCTAGTGCCCAAAAGAGAGAGACTTACACTTTTGAAAATTCAGTAAATATGCTGCCTTCAAGTACAGAGGTTTCACTTAAAACCAAAAAAAGATTAAACTTTGAAGATAAAGTTATTTTAAAGAAAATAGAAATAGATAGAAATAGATAATAAAGTATCAGATAAAGAGGATAAAACATCAGAAGGACAAGAAAGAAAACCATCAGGATCATCTCAGAATAGAATACGACATTCAGAATATGAAATTCAATGACAAGCTAAAAAAAGTTTTTCAACATTGTTTTTAGAAACAGTAAAACGAAAAAGTGAATCCAGTCCCATTGTTAGGCATGGAGGAATTGTTCCACCTCATTCGTGTCCTCCCGATGATATGAAGTTGATAGAGGATGAATTTATAATTGATAAGTCAGATCAAAGTTTTGCCAGTAGATCTTGGGATTACTATACCAAGAAAGGCGGGGCCTCTGAAACAACGCACCATATCCCCGGCTGAGAGCACTGCACTCCTTCAAGATAGAAAGTCAAGAGAAAAGCATCATAATATATTAGCTAAGACTTTGGCAAATGACAAACATTCCCATAAACCTCACCTAGTAGAGACATCTCAGCCCTCTGATAAAACAGTACTGGATACAAGTTATGCTTTGACAGGTGAAACAGAAAATGACTGTAGATCTACAAAATATGAAATGTATTCCAAGAATGCAGAAAAATCATCTGGAAGCAAAAGGACTATAAAACAAAAACAGAGAAGAAAATTTATGGCTAAACCAGCTGAAGAACAGCTCGATGTGGGACAGACTAAAGATGAAAACATACATATGTCACATATTACCCAAGACAAATTTCAAAGAAATTCAGACAGAAATATGGAAGAGCGTGAAGAGATGGGAAATGATTGTGCTTCCAAAATACAGATGCCACCTGTGGGAAGCAAGAAAAGTAGCACTAGAAAAGATAAGGAAGAATCTAAAAAGAAGCGCTTTTCTAGTGAGTCCAAGAACAAACTTGTGTCTGAAGAAGTGACTTCAACTGTCACGAGAAGTCGAAGAATTTCCAGGCATCCGTCTAATTGGTGGGTGGTAAAATCAGAGGAGAGTCCTGTTTATAGCAATTCTTCAATAAGAAATGAATTACCACTGCATCACAACAGTAGGCAAAAATCTGCTAAGAAAACAAATCAGTCATCTAAGAATATTGGGAAAAAAACTATTCCACTTAAAAGGCAGAAGACAGCAACTAAAGACAGCCAAAGAGTACAGAAGTTTTTAAATGCTAAAGGTTCTGGAGGTATCATTGGTCATGATGAAATTTCCAGTTGTTTCCTGAGTGAGCCATTGGAAAGTGATGAGGCAGACTTGGCTAAGAGGAAAAATCTGGATTGTTCTAGATCTACAGGAAGCTCAAAGAATGAAGATAATATTATGACTGCACAGAATGTTCCCCTAAAGCCTCAGACCAGTGGATATACATGTAATACACCAACAGAGTCAAACTTGGATTCTGGAGAGCATAAGACTTCAGTTTTAGAGGAAAGTGGACCTTCCAGGCTCAATAATAATTATTTAATGTCTGGAAAGAATAATAATGATGTGGATGATGAGGAAGTTCCTGGAAGTTCAGATGACTCAAAACGAACTAAAGTGATACCAAAGAACAGAATCCATCACAAACTAGTATTGCCCTCCAACACACCAAATGTTCGCAGGACCAAGAGAACACGTTTGAAACCTTTGGAGTACTGGCGAGGACAGCAAATAGATTATCAAGGAAGGCCATCAGGAGGATTCGTGATTAGTGGAATACTATCTCCAGGCAAAATATCGTCTAAAAGGAAGGCAAGAGAAAATATTGGAAAAGTTGACAAAAAAATCTAATAAGAAAAGGATCTGTCTTGATAACGATGAAAGAAAGACTAGCTTAATGGTAAATCTAGGTATACCTCTTGGAGATCCTTTGCAGCCAGCAATGGTAAAGGACCCAGAAACAAGAGAGATTATTCTCATGGATCTTGTAAGGCCACAAGATACATATCAATTTTTTGTTAAGCATGGTGAGTTGAAGGTATATAACACATTGGATACACCCTTTTTTTCTACTGGGAAATTGATATTAAGACCACAAGAAGAAAAGGGAAAGCAGCATGTTGGCCAGGATATATTGTTTTTTTATGTTAACTTTGGTGACCTTTCGTGTACTTTACACGAAATACCTTATATAATAAGTACTGGGGATTCGTTCTATGTTCCTTCAGGTAACTATTATAACATCAAAAATCTCCTGAATGAGGAAAGTGTTCTTCTTTTTACTCAGATAAAAAGATGAAAGATCAACCAACCTTAAATATATGTGTGTATATATGTATATGTGAAAAAGTTTGTATAGTTGGGACATTTGTCTTTGTAATTACTTGTGATGTTTTAAAATAAAAAAATTATTCATTTTTGTGAAAAAAAGACATCTATCCCTATCCCTATCCCTATCCCTATCCCTCTCTCCCCACGGTCTCCCTCTCCCTCTCTTTCCACAGTCTCCCTCTGATGCCCAGCCGAAGCTGGACTGTACTGCTGCCATCTCGGCTCACTGCAACCTTGCTGCCTGATTCTCCTGCCTCAGCCTGCCGAGTGCCTGCGATTGCAGGCACGCGCCGCCACGCCTGACTGGTTTTTGTATTTTTTTGGTGGAGACGGGGTTTCGCTGTGTTGGCCGGGCTGGTCTCCAGCTCCTAACCGCGAGTGATCTGCCAGCCTCGGCCTCCCGAGGTGCCGGGATTGCAGACGGAGTCTCATTCACTCAGTGCTCAATGTTGCCGAGGCTGGAGTGCAGTGGCATGATCTCAGCTAGCTACAACCTCCACCTCCCAGCCGCCTGCCTTGGCCTCCCAAAGTGCCAAGACTGCAGCCTCTGCCTGGCTGCCACCCCGTCTGGGAAGTGAGGAGCGTCTCTGCCCGGCCACCATCCCGTCTAGGAAGTGAGGAGCGTCTCTGCCCGGCCGCCCATCGTCTGAGATGTGGGGAGCGCCTCTGCCCCGCCACCCCATCTGGGATGTGAGGAGAGCCTCTGCCCTGCTGCGACCCCGTCTGGGAGGTGAGGAGCGTCTCTGCCCGGCCGCCCCGTCTGAGAAGTGAGGAGCCCCTCCGCCCGGCAGCCGCCCCATCTGAGAAGTGAGGAGCCCCTCCGCCCGGCAGCCGCCCCATCTGAGAAGTGAGGAGCCCCTCCGCCCGGCAGCCGCCCCGTCTGAGAAGTGAGGAGCCCCTCCGCCTGGCAGCCGCCCTGTCTGAGAAGTGAGGAGCCCCTCCGCCCCGCAGCCACCCTGTCTGGGAAGTGAGGAGCGTCTCCGCCCGGCAGCCGCCCCGTCCGGGAGGGAGGTGGGGGGCGCCTCTGCCCGGCCGCCGCCCCATCCAGGAGGTGGGGGGCGCCTCTGCCCGGCCGCCCCTTCTGGGAAGTGAGGAGCCCCTCTGCCCGGCCACCACCCCATCTGGGAGGTGTACCCAACAGCTCATTGAGAACGGGCCATGATGACGATGGCGGTTTTGTGGAATAGAAAAGGGGGAAATGTGGGGAAAAGATAGAGAAATCAGATTGTTGCTGTGTCTGTGGAGAAAGAAGTAGACATAGGAGACTCCATTTTGTTCTGTACTAAGAAAGATTCTTCTGCTTTGGGATGCTGTTGATCTATGACCTTGCCCCCAACCCTGTGCTCTCTGAAACATGTGCTGTGTCCACTCAGGGTTAAATGGATTAAGGGCGGTGCAAGATGTGCTTTGTTAAACAGATGCTTGAAGGCAGCATGCTCCTTAAGAGTCATCACCACTCCCTAACCTCAAGTACCCAGGGACACAAACACTGCGGAAGGCCGCAGGGTCCTCTGCCTAGGAAAACCAGAGACCTTTGTTCACTTGTTTATCTGCTGACCTTCCCTCCACTATTGTCCTATGACCCTGCCAAATCCCTCTCTGCAAGAAACACCCAAGAATGATCAATAAAAAAAAAAAAGAAAGAAAAAAGACATTAACGTTAATAAGTATAGAGGAAAAGAATGATAATTTGTACTGTGCAAAAATTAAGAAGTTTTGTTCACTGAGAGATACCACTAACCAAGTAGAAAAGCAAGCCACCAAGTGGCAAAGAAGATATTTACAACACATATATCCAACACATAACAAAGTGTGCATATACAGAATCTATAAAGAATGCTACGAATCAGCCAGGTACAGTGGCTCATGCCTGTAATCCCAGCAATTTGAGACGCCAAGGTGAGAGGACCACTTGAGGCCAGGAGTTTGAGACCAACTTGGGCAACATAATGAGACTCCATCTCTACAAAAAAAATAAAATTTAAAAAGAATGCTACAAATCAATAAGAAAAAGGCACACTACCCAACAACAACAACAAAAATAGGCAAAGGACTTAAACAGGCACTTTGCAAAAGAAGATACCCATATGGTCAATAAACATATGAAAATGTGCTCAATTCCATTAGTCATCACGAAAACGTAAATTAAAACCACAATGAGATATCCGTGCACACTCATCAGAATGATTACAATGAAAAAGATAAATAACACCAAATCTTGGTGAGGATGTAGAACAACTGGAATGTTCATATACTACTAGTGGTTATAACCACTTTGAAAATCTATTTTGAAATATCTATTGAAGCTGAATATATACTTAGTATTTGATTCAGCAATTCCACTTCTAGGAATATACCCACAGAAATTCTTATGTATGGTTAGCAAAAGACATGTGCAATGTTTGTGGCAATACTATTCACAATAGATCAAAGCTAGAAGCCCAACTATCCAAGTAAAATGAATACATAAATTGTGATATATTCATGTTGCATACCCACTGTGTTAAATTTTACTTATATGAAGTTTAAGAAGAAGCAAAATTAACCTATGAAGTTAGAAGCAAACATAGTGATTATGTGGATGGCAGGGAGGGAGTATAGTGGCTGGAAGGGAACACAAGAGGGGACTTCCGGAGATGCTGGTAATGTTATGCTTCTCACTCTGGGTTTTGGTTAAATAAGCAGGTCACATTCTAAATATTCATCAAGCTTTACAGTTATATGATTTGTGCAATTTTTGGAACATATCAATGCTTCAATAAAACATTTAGGAAAAAGCAGAAAACATCACTCTAGCTGTTGTGTGGAGAAGCTACAAGGGGCAAGGGACAGATCTATTAGGAGGCTACTGCAATCACGCAGTCAGGAGAAAGCAGTGGTCTGGACTAGACTGCGAGCCTTGGAAGGAGGAAAAAGAGTCAAAATCAAGATATACTGTAGGGTCTATGAGACTTGCTAATGACTAGATGTGAGGGAGAGAAAAAGAGAAGATGCTAGAATTTTGGCCTGGGCACTGAAGTGAGTTTTAGTGCCATTTAATGAGATGAGAAAGACCAGAAAAGGAGATCTGAAGTGATACAGGTTGGGGTGGACATAGTAGTTTTGAGATGCCAATTAGACATACAAGTGAAAATGTCAAGTAGGAAGATGGATATACCCCGCCTGGAGCCCAGGGAGAGGTTCTGACTGTACAGTGTGGTGGTTAAAAGAACACCCTGTGAAATTAGACTCACTGTGTTCAAATCCATGCTGTCACTTACTGCTGTGTGCCCTTGGGCAAGTTATTCCACCTCTCTGTGCCCAGGACATTTCATTTGCAAAATGAGGTGTTAAAAGTATTAAAGGAAATAGTACTTGCAATTTATGCCTGCCACATGAAAAATACTCAAATGTAGCTATTATTGCTAAAGTTTTCTCTGTTAGTAGTAACTTAGAGAAAGTACTAAAGACTGTAAACTAGATGGGATCACTGAGGAAATCAGTACAGATAAAGAAGAGGTTGAGGACACTTAACGTTCAGATAAGGAAGAGCAAAGGAAGGAGCCACAAACGAAGTAGGAGAGGAACAAGGACATTGTGGTGTCCAGGAAGAGAAGGAGCATTCCAAGAGGGTGACAAGTGTGTCAAATGAGGTTTAGTAAAATCAGGCCTGATCAGGACCTGCTACATAATTTGCAGGGCCTAGTGCAAAACGTAAATGTGAAGCTCTTATAGGAAAATAATTAAGAATTTCATAGCATTAAACTAAGCATGGGGCCCTGTGCAACTGTACAGGAGGTATGCCCACAAAGCTGGCCCTGGGCCCAAGAGAGAGGAGGTTCCAGCGGGGCTTCCTGGGTCGAGTAGGGGCTCAGAAAGCTGTGAAACTCACTCATTTCCTGCATCAGGACTTACTTTGGTCCTGGATAAATAATATTGAAGATATATACTTAAAATATTCCTAACATCAGAATTTGTCCATGTGTTTTCTTCCTCAAGAAAGTGGGATCAAAGCCAGAAAGGCATGGAGTCAGAAGAAAATAGGAGGGAGTTAATACATATTATATAACATATTACGACCCCCAAGGCAGCAGATCACTTCAGCCCAGAAGTCTGAGACCAGCTGGGCAACGTCTCGAAACCCCGTCTCTACAAAAAATAACAAAAAAATTAGCTGGGCATGGTGACCTGCACCTGTATTCCCAGCTACTCTGTGGGGGTGGGGGAGGCTGAGGTGGGAGATAGAGGCTGTACTGAGCCACGATTGCGCCACTGCACTCCAGCCTGCTCCAGACAGAGCAAGGCCCTGTCTCAAAAAAAAAAAAAAAAAAAAAAAAAACTATGAAAACCAACATTGAATTTCCCTCTTTACTTCCTTAACCTTCTTTCTTAGGAAAGAACTGTCCTACCAAACCCTAATACCATGATAATAAAATGTATTTGGTTATTGATGTCAGTGTTGTACTGTGTCAACTTGGAATTTGCTTTCATACATTTCCATTAAACCACACCCTATATAAACATTACCACATAATTTAAAATGTCAAAGCTTGTACCATTCATCTTCAACGGGTCTATTTCGAGATAAAATGTCAAAAGGGAGGAAATTAAGGGAAAACATTAACTAGTAATCTACCAGTTTAAAAAAACTATTTATGTTCTATAACAATAATCCATTGTTTCAAGAAATCCCTGTTGGCAGAAGAAAGAACAAAGCCCATGCTTACCTAGGTCAGTGCTTTGTCTCTGGAGGTGACAACAAAGAACAACAAATGGAAAACATGTTTGCTCTTTGTCTGTCACACAATGTCCAAATGGCCACCCGTCTTTGTGTCACCTTAAGTACCAATAACTTCCTTGAGTCAACTCAAGCTTTCTCACTCATTGATTTGACCAAAATCAGCTGCAGTTACTTAGAGGCTCTGTCTGGAACACTATTTTCTGAAAAGAAATGTTACCGTCTCCAGTTTTTTGTTTCTTACAAATTATCTTACGTATCTTTTCAGTTGGTAATATGTGTACCTGAAACAGAATTCCAATATTACAGAATTCCAACATTACAAAACAGCATTTAATGAAATCTCCTTCTAGTCCTTGGCAACCTGGTTCTCCTTCCCAGAAGCAACCAGCATTACTAATTTCTGGGGAATCCTTTGTGCTTATACAAATGTGTGTGTCTATTCTCATATGCTTTTTATACAAATGGTAGTATATTATTCTTGCTATTCTGCATTTTGCCTCTCTATCTTGCTTCCTCAGTCTACTTAGCATGATATATGTTGGAGACAATGTTTTGTTAATACCTAGAGCTGCCTCATTCCCTTTTCCCTCTTATTTTTGGTAAATTTTTATTTTGATAATTTTAAGCTTACAGAAAAATTACAGAAGAGTTCTTAGGTTGCTCTTTGTCTTTATTGACCTTGATGTTCTTGAAGACTATAGGCTTGTTATTTTGGTAGCATGTTTGTTAATTTTATTAGATTGAAGATATAATTTTGACAAGAATATCACAAAAGTTATGTTGTACCCTTAGCAGTGCATCATATTAGGGTGCACATGATGTCTCTTTGTCCTAATAGTGTTGATGTTTACTTTGATTGCTTGGTTTAGGTGATCCTACCTCTACCATGTAAAGTTACTATTTTTCCCTTTGGAATTAATTAGTAACTTGTAGCATAATATGGTTTGGCTGTGTCCCCACCGAAAATCTCATCTTGAATTGTAATCCGAATTATAATCCATGTGTTGGGGGAGGGACCTTGTGGGAGGTGATTAGATCATGGGGGCTGTTCTCATGATAGTGAGTGATTTCTCACAAGATCCGATGGTTTTATAAGGAGCTTCCCCACCTTTGCTCTGCACTTGTCTCTCCTGCTGCCATGTGAAGAAGGATGTGTTTGTTTCCCCTTAGGCTATGATCCTAAATTTCCTGAGGCCTACCCAGCCATGTGAAACTATGTGTCAATTAAACCTTTTTCCTTTATAAATTACCCAGTCTTAGGCGGTTCTTTATAGAAGTGTGTGAACAGACTAATAGATGGAGAGACAAGACTATATAAATATCGTCTTCCTCACCAAACTGTCACACACTAATTTTAGCATCCTTTCATAATTTTCTAACCCATCATTCTATGATTTACTACTTAATTGATGTTTAATTAGTAAGTTAATGAATATTTTAAAAATGTATTTACTGTTGTAAGGAAGAACCATCCATTTTCCTCCATTTATCTGTTTACTCATTTACTTATTTTTATCAGTGTGAATGCATAGATTATTTAATTCAACAGGTTATAATCCATAACTATCATTTATTTTGACTCTCAAATTGTTCCAGATTTGGCAAATGAAAGCCCCTTTAAAAGCTGGCCTCTGTGTCCTTTTGATATATTTCCATTCTTCAAATACTCCCTTATTTTCTAGAATTACACGATGTTCTAAGATGTACTTCTCCCACTCCAGCCCTGAAATGGGCCTTTTTTTTTCCCCTCCAAAAGCTCTGATTTCTTTTAATGGATAATGGTATTTAGAAACCAATATCTGGGCACAATGTTTGCTTATTGCTACTGGTGTGTCAGTGAACAGAGCTAAGGAGTAAGACAGAAATCTCAACGGGCAGAACTAAGAAATTAGCTATAAATAGAAAGCTATTATCTATCTATATGTAGGTATATCAATTGATATAGGTATTAAAAACCATGAGTTCTAATCTAACACCACAGAATACATTCTTGCCCTCCTTTTTTCCATATCTGTGACTCTCTTTTCCCACAATAAGAAACCTGGCTCCCATGCTCAATATATCTTTGCTCAATCCTAAAATACAAACAGTAGTTTCAGAATCATGGAACCACACCAC
The DNA here is from genome assembly GCF_000001405.40 of Homo sapiens. Taxonomy (NCBI): domain Eukaryota; kingdom Metazoa; phylum Chordata; class Mammalia; order Primates; family Hominidae; genus Homo; species Homo sapiens. The sequence goes on from NC_000012.12 coordinate 89,509,813, forward strand.
TGCAAAAACAATCCCACTAACTAGAGTTCAGGATTCAATTTTGGTTTTTTTGCGACAGAGTCTCACTCTGTTGCCCAGGCTGGAGTGCCGTGGGGCGATTTTGGCTCACTGCAACCTCTGCCTCCCGGGTTCAAGTGATTCTTGTGCCTCAGCCTCCCAAGTAGCTGGGATTACAAGCATGCGCCACCACACTCAGTTAATTTTTTTTGTATTTTTAGTAGAGACAGGGTTTCAGCATATTGTCCAGGCTGGTCTCGAACTCCTGGCCTCAAGTGATCTACCTGCCTTGGCCCCCCAAAATGCTGGGTTTGCAAGTGTGAGTCACCACGCCCAGCCTGTTTCGTTTTTTTAACTGGGAGGCAATTAAATTATAGGTGGCTCCTTTTTGTTCTTGTACACTTCCTTTTGTTCTTTGGTAGCATGGGTCTGCTTGAGCTTGGAAATTAGTCCTAGGGCATGGCCCTTTCTTTCAGGTGTGGTCCTGATTCCTAAAGACCTGGCCTTTCTGGTGTCTCAACTCAATGTCTGAAGTGCTCAGAGAGATTTCCTCTTTGTTGGAGCTAGAGACCTAGACATCCAGCCCTGCATGGTCATTAGTATCATTCAGCTCTCAGTCTAGCAGTGAGAGATCCCTGGTAGTCTCACAGTTTCCCACTCTGCACATCCTGAGCTCAGCCAGGCTGTTACTCTGAGGCTGCTCTACCTCTCTGCTGTGCAGCAGGAAAAGTGCTCCCAGGAAGAAAGCCAAGGAGATCATCACCTTGCATGTTTTCTTTCTTGCAAAGATCATAGTTTTCACACTCTCTGTAGGTCAGTGCCTGAAAACAGCTAACTCACATATATTTTGTCCAGTTTTACAATTATTAGGTTGTGCAAAATTGCAGTTTTTGCTATTGATATTTTCAGCAACAAATTAGTTTCGTCACTGGAGGAAGAAATATGTTTTTATTCTTTTTTTTTTTTGATATGGAGTCTCATTCTGTCGCCCAGGCTAGAATACAGTGGCACAATCTCAGCTCACTGCGGCCTCTGCCTCCTGGGTTCAAGCAATTCTCCTGCCTCAGCCTCCCAAGCAGCTGGGACTACAGGTGCCCACCACACTGGCTAATTTTTTTTGTATTTAGTACAGACAGGGTTTCACCATGTTGGCCAGGCTGGTCTCACACTCCTGGCCTCAGGTGATCTGCCTACTTCGGCCCCCCAAAGTGCTGGGATACAGGCGTGAGCCACCATGCCTGGCCAAACAGTACATATTTTAGATAACTTTGTACATTTGAAATACATTCCCTCTCAGGCCTTTTCATTCCATATTCAAAATAATCCTGACTGGCCAGGTGCAGTGGCTCACGCCTGTAAGCCCAACACTTTGGGAGGCTGAGGCGGGTAGATCACCTGAGGTCAGGAGTTCGAGACCAGCCTGGACAACATGGTGAAATCCCATCTCTACTAAAAATGCAAAAAAGTTAGCCAGGCACTGTGTTGCACACCAGCTACTTGGGAGGCTGAGGCAGGGGAATCGCTTGACTCCGGGAGGCAGAAGTTGCAATGAGCTGAGATGGTGCCACTGCACTCCAGCCTGGGCAACAAAGTGAGACTCTGTCTCAAAAAAAAAAAAAAAAATTCCTGATAATTCAGATTACCTTCATATAGAAATCCTTGGATTTTTCACTTATTTCAGAAGTCCTTCTCTGTATTTTCTACCTCCATTATGTCCTACTATAAAGTCCATTACTGAAAATAAACTCAGCTTTCTAGTTTTACCTGGTGCCATGACTTTGTACTTCATGCTGCATTTCCAGGTTCATGCTTGCCTTTGGGTCACAAAAGAAACACCAGACTGCTTTATTTGGGGGAAAAATAGGGAAATCTAAAGAAATCTATGAGAATGAGTTCTTTCTAAATATTTTTAAGAAAAGAAAAATAAAAGGCAATCCCCAGACATACATCCATAAACGTAGATGGGGCCTGGCATAATGGCTCACTGTAATCTCAGCACTTTGGGAGGCCAAGGCAGGTGAATCACTCGAGTCCAGGAATTTGAGACCAGTTTGGCCAATATGGTGAAACCCTGTCTCTACTAAAAATACAAAAATGAGCCAGGCGTGGTGGCGTGCACCTATAGTACTAGCTACTTGGGAGGCTGAGGCACGAGAATCACTAGAATCCAGGAGATTGGGGCTGTAGTGAGCTGAGATCGCAACACTGCCTTCCAGCGTGGGTGACAGAGTAAGACTGTCTCAAAACAACAATAAACCTAGATGGAAGTGAGGGAGAGGGTTGTACAATAAAAAGACAATATTCCAATCTTGACTAGACAAACTTTAATACTGTAATATGGTCAGAAGTAGTTTGTACTATGCAAGCACTGCATAATAATACAATTAACTGACAGCACTAACTTAAAATCCCTTTGCCTTGAATGAGGAAATAACTAAGCATATTTGCTTTCTAGCTGATACTAAGTAATTAGCTTGCTAGTATAAGCTGGGTCTAAAGGAGCTGTGGGTGCTTTAAAAAGTAATCTTTAGTAATGACAAGCTGAAGAAATTGAATTTAATTTATTCAAATTTCACATGTCTTTGAGGACTGGCAATAACAACAACAGAAACCTTTACTGAATTGGTACCATGGGCCTAGTATTTTTCAATACTGCGTAAGTATCAAGCCCAGGCACGGTGGCTCATGCCTGTAATCCCAGTGCTTCGAGAGGCCAAGGCAGAAGGACTACGATAGGCTAGGAGTTCAAGACCAGCCTCAGCAATATAGCGAGGCTCTCTACAAACAATTTAAAAAATTACCTGGGTTTCGTGGTGCATGCCTGTAGTCCCAGCTACTCCAGAGGCTGAGGGAGGCGGGCGGCTGGAGCTTGACCAGGAGGTCAAGGCTGCAGTGTGCTGTAACTGCATCACTGTACTCCAGACTAGGCGCCTTTATAAGTATTACTTTATTTAATCCTAACAACAAGGCAGATAAATATCATTATCTCTATTTTACAGAAGAGGAAACGAGGCTTAGTGAGGTTAGGTAACTGGTCAAGGTAATATAGATGAAAAGTGAAAAGAGCTCAATTTTTAACCCAGTTTTATAAGATTCCAAAGCCTAGGCTTTTAACCAATAAACCAGTGCTTCTCAAAGCAAAGGGAATTTATGAATTATCTTCATTACAGTTACTGGGATCCTTGTAAAAAAGACGTTATTTCTAGTAAATTATACATTATTTGGGGTGAGACCTGGGAATATAAATTTTTGACAAGTTTCTCACTGAATTCTGATGCACATTGAAATTTGAGAAACACTGCACTCTGTTACTACCTCTCAGTGTATACACTAAATTAGTTTAGCTTTTGTAATTTTTCAGCTTTTATAAATTTAGTAATTTTTTAAGCTATAATAGGAGAAGCTCCACAAAGTACCACATAGGCTGCCATCAAGAATTTGAAAAAAAAAAAAAAAAAGAATTCTTGGCAAACTTTTATTATGATTTCACTGCAGGGAAAGTAACTAAAAAGTTCAAATTTCAGTCTGCTTCTATTCAGTCAAAAAAGGAAAGATTAACTTGTTCTTTACCATCATTTGTTGTACAAGCACACCACATGTTACAGGATTGAATCAATGACAGGATAACCTTGAAGGAAATAGAGGGGGAAGTAACAACTTCAATGTTAAAATTATGTAATTTTCAACAGAAACTTCTAAAGTACAGCTCAGATTCTGCAAACCCTGTGAAAATACTTTAACAGGCTTTTACTGTTTGTTTAAACTTTAATGTGGCCCTCTGCGAAAGGGATGACTGGCCTAATGGAAAAGGGTATGGTTCTGAAATCAGACTCAAACCAGGCTCTATTAGGCTAGAGGTCCCCAACCCCCAGGCTGCGAACTGGTTCTGGTCCATGGCCTATTAGGAACTGGGCTGCACAGCAGGAGGTGAGCGGCAGGCAAGCAAACCTTAAGGCTTGAGCTCCAGCTCCAGTGAGATCAGCAGCGGCATTAGATTCTCATAGGAGTGTGAACCCTGCTGTGAAAATTGTCTTCCATGAAGCCAGTCCCTGGTGCCAAAAAGATTGGGGACCACTACTAGGCTCTGCTGCCTACTAGCTTTATAGTTTTGGGCAAGTTACTGAAATTTCAGCTTCCGCAACCATAAAAAGGGATGACAACACTTCACAGGCTATTTTGTTTTCTCCCATCCTCTTCCCTCTCATCACCTTTCCACCCATCCTGTGAAACCTAAGAGCCCCTATAATATGGTTTGGACTTATGACCCCACCCAAATCTCATGTTGAATTGTAATCCCCAGTGTTGGAGGAGGGGCCTGGAGGGACATGATTGGATCATAGGGGCAGAATTCCCCCTTGCCGTTCTCGTGATAGTGAGTGAGTTCTCACAAGATCTGGTTGTTTAAAAGTATATAGCACCTCCCCTTCTCTTCCTCCAGCTCTGGCCATGTAAGATGTGCCTGCTTCTCCTTCACCTACTGCCATGATTGTTAAGTTTCCTGAGGCCTCCCCAGCCATGTTTCCTGTATAGCCTGTGGAACTGTGAGCCAATCAAAACTCTTTTCTTTATAAGTTACTCAGTTTCATGTATTTCTTTTTTTTTTTTTTTTTTTTTTTTTAGACGAAGTCTTACTCTGTCGTCCAGGCTGGAGTACAGCGGCATGATCTCGGCTCATTGCAGCCTTTGCCTCCCGGGTTCAAGCAATTCTCCTCCCTCAGTCTCCCAAGTAGCTGGGACTACAGGCGCCTGCCACCACACCTGGCTAATTTTTTATTTTTAGTAGAGACGGGGTTTCACCATGTTGGCCAGGCTAGTCTCAAACTCCTGACTTCAAGTGATCTGCCTGCCTCAGCCTCCCAAAGTGCTGGGATTGCAGGCATAAGCCACTGCGCCCGGCCTCAGGTATTTCTTTATTGCAGTAGGAGAACAGACTAATATATCCTACCTTCTAAGAGTCTACTAAGAAAAAAATCCACATGCTTCAGGTCCTGCTTCCTCTAATCATGACCAGAAGTTGAAGCCTCAAGCCTCTCTGGTCATTAAGCATTGTGCAATCTCTCACTCCCATAATGCTATGGATATCCCCTTAAGCTGACCTGGTACCCACGCCTTCTCTCCTCAAAATTTACCACTGAGCCACATCACCCACTAGATGATGCCTCTTGTATTCACATCCTCCTCTCTGTAAGTCCCTCTTCCTCCTTAAGTACTTAAATCTTGACTCTGCTTGGGGACACCAAGTTTCCTGACACCTTTCAAGCAGCAATCATTTTCTCTTTCACATGTCAGCTACTTCAGGTCACAGTCTTCCTCTCCATTTCAACTCTGAGCATTATGAATTAACTCAACAGATATGTGACCCCAGCAACATGTAAGGCATTGTGGCAAAAAGGGGGAGTCCTAAGTAACAAAGCAGACAGAAATCTCTAATTGGGGAGCTTAAATTCAAGTGGAAACACAGACAAATATATCATTGTATTTATTTATTTATTTTTATTAATTTTTTGAAGATAGGGGTCCCACTATGTTCCCCAGGCTGGTCTCAAACTCCTGGGCTCAAGGTATCCCTCCTGCCTCAGCCCCTTGAGTAGGTGGGACTACAGGCATGCACCACTGTGCTTGGCTTTATATCATTTTAAATTGTGCTAAGAGGCATGAAAGATAAAGCAGGAAGTTTTATTTTGTGTGGGGGTGGAATCTTAATTTAGATAGAGTGATCAGGGGCATTTTAAGTGGAGGTGTGAAGGACAGGGAGTCAGCCAAATAAAGAGTGAGGTGGTGAAGAACATTTCAGACCAAGGGGAAAATAGGGCCTCTCCAAAGACCTTTTTTCTCCTGCCTCCTCAGCAACCCATTCTGAGGATCTTGTCACCAGCAGAACATGAGCACTTCTCAAATCTCTGATTGCAACCCACAGGACAACTTGCTTTCCTTATGACTCACTCACTTCCATCCCATCCAGAACTCCAAGACCCATGTTCTCATCCAGACCCATGTTCTCCATTGAGGCTCTCTTCTCACCATCTTCACTTCACTAACCAATTTATAACCTTCATTTCTCTCCTTATTCAATTATAATCCCCTTCATACACATAACGTTCAATCCCTTGACTCTCCCTCCTTCCTTCAAATTCCCCTGGCAAAAATCCCAATCACTCTGCCTTTTCTGAGATTATAACTATACCAGTGAGAATTGCTGGTCAACCCAACCCCCAAACAGATTGGAAACACTATAAATTTGATAACTAAGTTCACATGGGTCTTATATACTCCAAAGTGGTGCATGATTCTCTATTAGTTTCTTCCTCCACTCTCTCTAATGACTATTTAATATTGTCTCTATCTTCAACATTTCTACCCCACTCCTAACCCTTGGCTTTCATGATACCCTACTATAACGGCTTTCCCTCCTATCTTTCTGATTATTCTTTCTTAGGTTATTTTGCTATCTCCTCTTCTGATCTACAGGTTGGATATCTTCAATATTCAGACATGGGGTATTTGTTCTCATTGCTCTACATTCTTCCCAGGTGATCTCATTCATTCCCATGACACTAAATACCATTTATATGCTAATAATTCCCAAATTTCCATCTTGCCCAGACCATCACACTAATTTGAAGACCATTATCCTAGTTTGAACCAACATCATCTGCTGGTATTACTATAATCCCCCTAAGTGATTTCCCTACTAATAGTACAATCTCCATATAGTAGCCAGAGTGGTCTTTTTGAGGTACAAATCAAATCATGTTATTCCCTTACTAATCCCTCCAACAATTTCCACCACTCTCAGAACAAAATCCTAAAACATGTCAAGTTTCCTGTAGCTGCTGTAACAAATTACCATAAACCTGGAGGCATAAAACAACAGAAATTTATTATCTCACAGTTCCAGAAACCAGAAGCCTGAAATCATGGTGTTGGCCGGGCCACACTCTCTCCAAAGGCTCTAGGGGATATCTCATTCCCCACCTCTCCCAGGTCCTGATGTCTCTAGGCACTCACTGGCTTGTGGCTGTGTCACTCCAATCTCTGCCTCTGGCTTCACGTGGCCTCCTCTTATGTCCTCTGTATGTTTTTTACAAGGACACATCGCTGGATTTAGGGCCCACCCAGATAATTCAGGATGATCTCATAATCATTAAGATCCTTTGTAGACTTACATCTACAAAGACTTTTTCCTCCCAAATAAGGTCACATCACAGGTTCCAAGGACTACGACATGGACACATGTTTTGGAGGGCCACCATTTAAACCCACTATAGCTTCAAGGCCCTGCCTAAGCTATCTCTACCTCCCCCTACAGCTTCATCTCTGTTTACCAGGTTCTACCCATTCTGGCATTCTTATACTTTCTTGATCTAGGACAGCTCTTTCTCACCCATGATCTTTGCCTATGCTACTCTCCTTTTAGTCCTTACCTAGCTAACTTCTCCTTCTGGTCTTCAGTTAAATCTAACTTTCACAGGGAAGTATTCCTTGACCCCATAAATATAAGGATGTCTCCACTGTTATCCTCCCTTTAAAAAGCACTCTATGGCTGGGTGCAGTGGCTCACAACTGTAATCCCAGCACTTTGGGAGACTGAGGTGGGTGGATCACTTGAGGTCAGGAGTTCCAGACCACCCTGGCCAACATGGTGAAACCCCATCTCTACTAAAAATACAAAAATTAGCCAGGCATTATGGCATGCACCTATAGTCCCAGCTACTTGGGAGGCTGAGGCATGAGAATCGCTTGAACTTGGGAGATGGAGGTTGCAGTGAGCCAAGATCACACCACTGCACTCCAGCCTGGGCAACAGAGTGAGACTTGGTCTCAAAAAAAAAAAAGAAAAAAGCATTCTATTCCTTTCCTTCACAGCTTTGACTATTTTCCTTTGTTTCATCATGTTGTTCCAACAAATGGATTCGTGTTTACTTGTTAATTATTTGTCTCCACCACTGGACCATGAACTCTTCATACCATCTTATGAAGCACATCTGCTTTCTTCCCCTCTGTATGTATACCCAGAGCATAAAATGGCATCTGGCACACAGTAGCCTTAACTAAATAAGGGAGTAGTAAATAAATAGAGTGCCTCCTCTTCCCCTTTTGAACAGGATTAGATAAATGCAAATAGACAGGTTAGAATGGTGACCAGACACCCGAAGACACTGCTGGCCTGCAGTAGATATCACTCCCAGCCCAGCCTGGAAGATTGATAAAGCTTGGCACGAATGAAAAAGTAGTACCCCAATAATTATTAAGTTAGAAGGACTGCTCTAATTTTCCTTTTTTTTTTTTTTTAAACATGACACAGCATCAGGAGGTCCTGAGGACATGTGCCCTCTAATTTTCATTTCTGCTGTGGACAACTATACAACTCAGGAGCTCATTTCACCTTTTACAGTAATCTCCACCTCCTGTCCAAAAGGATTGATTGAAGTTTCTCTGAAATTTTAGGAAAAACTCCAATATAAACTGATTTCCAAGCCCCACCTAATACTAAGCAGACTGATTCATTCATATATATGTGTGTAACTTTCTTAATTCTGCAAATTACACAATGATTCAAGTATTATTAATACTAAATACTACTAGCCTGTTCTAAAGTCTAGCATGCACAGAGGCATGCAAAGAGGTCTAGCATGCAAAGAGAAATCTTTTCTGAGACACCTGAAATTCTCCAGCCTGCTTTTTTTCCTGAGGTATTTTTAAAAACTGAGATATTATTTAAATACCATAACATTTAGTCTTTTAAAGTACACCAGTGTTTTGCCCAACATTTGCACAACTTTTATCACAAATTCCAGAACATTCTCATAATCCCCTACCCCCTGCCACCTGCCAAAAATTCATCTCTGTTAGCGTTCTCTATTCCTCCCTTTCCCAGACCCTGGCAAACACTAATGTACTGTCTCTATGGATTTTCCAGTCTTTTTTATACTCGTGAAACTGAAACACAGAGAGATGAAGTGATTTACACAGAGCTGCAAGTCACTTAGAGAGTAAGGTTAGAATACAAGTATTTACAGGAACTTTTAAGTGTATAAAAATTAGTGAAAATATGTTTAGGTCACCTATATATATGCTAAATGCAGCTATAAGACCATCTGATTTTGTTAGAGTCCTTAGAAGAGTCATTCTCAGGCAGTGTGTCTGGCCAAGGAGAGACAGGGGTATAGGGATTTAGGAATCACTAAAGAGGAAGAGACAGGCCACTGGTGGAAGGGAATTTCATTTATGGACCGGGGAAATATGAGGATATGTGGTTTAGAGGACAGACATTTTTGTTTTCCACCCAGGGTAGTGAAATTGGTGCTAATATGTCCAGGTGCCCATTGCTTCCTTTTATAGTGGTCCAAGTGGGCCCCAGAGATCCCAGATCATTTCTAGTTTGCTCATGAGTAGTTAATAAAATAATGGTACTAACACCCCTTCAGAATACTTGCTGATTAATGACACGTTGTAAAATAATATGGGAATTTTGACTTTTTAAATATCCACTGTCTGAATTTTCAAATAAGTAAAAGAACTGCAAGCTGAACTTACTTCCATTGCCATTATAAATGTATACATAGGAGTATGTTCCCATAGGCTAAAATAATCACAATCTATTTGCAAAAATAATCAGGCACACTTTTTATTTTACATCTTAATCAACATTACAAATACAAAAGGAAAAAAGTCAGAAACAACTCATCACAGAGGAAAAAAACATCATTCAGAAGAGATTAATCTGAACTTCAACGTTCTTTGTGCTCATTTTAAAATTATTAAAACAGGAATTCAAAAGGACAAGCAAATAAAAACCAAGTATTTTATTAATTAAAATTGAGACCCTAAACCAACTAAGACTATACAACTTAAAAATAAGCTGTCTTCATCCTAGAAAAGTTTGATTTGCCATCTTATAATGAATATGCAGGAACTTACTAATGGGTAAGTAAACAAATTTTCTTTTACAAACAAGTTATTTTGAGTTATAGGGATCCTCCTGGTGACTAGATTTTTTTTAATGACTAAAAATGCCTATTTAGATAGTCAACCTATCCGTAAAGTTGGACACTAAATGACATAGTGAACATTTAAAGTTGAAACTCTTTGTCTACCAAATATTTTCCTAAAACTGTTTTTAAGCATATACATTAACTTAAAAGGTCAACTCTTAATTGTCTATAGCCAAAGAGAGCTTTGGTACCAATAAATTCGAATTAGGGAATCGGTTTTTTTAGATGTAGAATTACAGAGTATTTTTGGAATTAAATTGGAACGTGCCTAAATATGAAAATGTGAAAGTCCCACTTTTCTGTTATGTACTCTATTATGAGGAATGAACAGCCTAACTATACTGGATTATTGATATAAATAAAGCACCACTGTAAAATCTCTTCCTAAAAGATTGCTGGGTCACACCTAGCAATTTAGGGCAAAAAGTCAATAAAGAATTAAGGTACTTTATTTTTAAAAGCCTCATTTCCCTTTTGACAGGAGCATCAAGATACTAAAATAAAAATAATGTAATAAGTACTTTCAAAATATAACAATTTTCGTTCTCCCATATAACAGGTGGCTAACAAGAAAACCAAAAATAAATAAAAAGAGAAAATTTAAAAATAAGTAAAAAATAAAAAAATATTTTTAAAAAGCAGCCTGGGCAAGAGAAGTGGGTGGGTTTAGGAGAATCCCTTTCGAAAAATTCAGAGCATTATTATTAATCCTTCTTAAATTAAATGCAGGGCCAAGCATGCTGCACGTGGAATCTGGACAATTTTTTGATAAACTTTAAGGCTGCTAAATAATTTACAGAAACTGTGAATGCATTTTCATTTTACGAGGCAAAAGAGAAAATATTCAAGATTGCATAGCAATTTTATTTTTTGAAATGGTTATCCTAAAGAATTTCCTTAAATTCAGATTTTGCAAAATTCCTACTCTCCAAGTCATCAAGTGAACACTAAAAGCAACTTTACTCGTGAATACAGTGGACTCTTTACGAGGCATGCATTTTTCATAAATCTAGGCCAAAGTGAACTAATTGAGATTTAATTCTAAATTCATCCTGTGATTTCTGCATATAATATTGGTATAAAACCAGTAAAAATACTTTTAAAAAAAGCGTTTACTTCCCGAGTAATTTAGTTTGGAAATATTTACATTCTTAGTCAAAATATTACTTTCAGAGTCTAAAGGTTTTAAAAACAAAATTGGTTCAACAATTATCAAAACGAAACGACTATGAACACTGACTAGAACTTCTTAACCCACAGAAGTAAACCACTTCAGGTGAGTTCAGCTCACTTATTTTATTATTATTTTTTTTTTTTGAGACAGAGTCTTGCTCTGTCGCCCAGGCTGGAGTGCAGTGGCACGATCTCGGCTCACTGTAAGCTCTGCCTCACAGGTTCACGCCATTCTCCTGCCTCAGCCTCCTGAGTAGCTGGGACTACAGGCGCCCGCCACCACAGCTGGCTAATTTTTTGTATTTTTAGTAGAGACGAGGTTTCACCATGTTAGCCAGGATGGTCTGGATCTCCTGACCTCGTGATCCACCTGCCTTGGCCTCCCAAAGTGCTGGGATTACATGCGTGAGCCACCGCACCCGGCCTCCCCTCACTTAATTTTTAAAACCCATTTCTCTTCTCCAGCTTCACAACTGGACTGAACATTGCTCAACTGCTCAACAACATTACCTATGTCAAAAGTGAAAAGATAAAAAGTATTGTAAAGATTGCACAGTGAGTCAATCTGGGAAGAATATACTGTACAATCAGCATTTCAGAGCTGGAAGGGATCTTTAAGATCCAATCCAGCACCCACATTTTACCAATGAGAAAACTAAGCCCAAACACATCATAATAACTTGACCAAAGTTACATTCCTCAGCTGAGCCATTCATTCATTCATTCAGTCATTCATTCACCCACTTACTGAAAGCTGCCTAAGTGCCAGGCTCGGTGCTAGGAGATTGAAAGCACCATTCACAATTGCCAAGGCAGTCTTTTTTCCTTGCATTTTTAAGATAAATTCTTAAATTTCCTGATCAGCAGAACTCGTAGGAGAGTTCCACAGCCTTGGTAGAACCTAGCCCACTTTCAGTTTCACACATTTTAATAAACATAGTTGGGTTTAACTTCAGAGAGGCTTCAATTGTGTTTACTTTAAATGATTAAGCATTAACAAAGGGAGGCATAGTATTCTGGATGAGTCCCTTTCTAGTACATTCATAACTTAAGGAAGTGCAATCAGAAAATGCCCTACACACACAAACACGTTCACAGAGAAGACAGCTTACAAAATCAGAGGAATCTGAGGTATTAATATATACATCAGTGAAGTCCAATAGCTCAAGTTTACAAAGTACGGAATGTAAATATCTCCCCATTTCATTTAAATATGGGTATGTCTGCATGTTAAAAAGGCCTCCAAACTCACACTCAAACAAATGCCCTCTTCCAATTACACATATCTCTAAAACCAGGCCTTTTGCCTTAAGCTCAATTTTCTTTTTGATTAGAAAAAAATTAGATTAAAAAATAAAATCTAAAATTTAATGTGCTGGCTAAAAAAGAAATACAAATTCTATGTAATCAAAATAGCAATGGCTCAAACTGCACATTCATGAGTTTTGTTAAAAAGTGGGATGTGCGGTGAACTTACACATCAACATAAATCATACCTCATTTTACTTGGACCTTTACATTCTTTAATATTAAGTCTGGCACTTAAATGTTTTGTGTGTTTCAATTCATAGTCAACTTCTTTTAAGAAGAGACCATATTGACAAAACTCTTATATAAAACAACCAATAAGTAAGGCATTGTGAAATATTAAACAGCAGCACTCTGGGTACCCAGTTTCAGTGTGATATACCAAAATGAACCCCAGCTTTCCAGTGCTCCACAGATGACTGCTAGGTGGCTTTTGATAAAATAAAATACAATCTTCACTGAGGCTCTTAAGGCTCTTTGACTTTCTTGACACTACTGTCAGCTCATGACGAAAGTGCTGTTGTGCTCTATTTCTCAAAACTCCAAATTTGATTTTTATCTAGAGCATCACAAGTTCTCATTTGTACATCAGGTCGGCCCTCCGGTGTCCGATAAGCACTAAGACACAGTCCTGAGTGTGGGTGAAAAATAGTTCCATCTTCTTTAAAATGCCAAATAATGTTTGCTGGTACAGGGAACCCATCTTTGGGACAATTTTGCATTCCCACATAATTTTTTTGCTCAGGTACCTCTGCACATAACTCTGTCACAGAATTAAACCTTATTTCTTTGTTTGAAGTATATTCAAAGAATTGATTGCCTCCTTGACCATGGCATCCAAACAGTGAAAGGTTAGCACCTGTGGGGTTGTTGTCAGGAGAATTATAATCTAAACATTCAGACGAGATCCCTCTACTGCGAATAGCCCCATGCCAGCCTGGTCTATCCTCTGGAACATGTAAATTAGGAAAAACGTTTTTCAAATACCAGTCAAAGCTCTTGCATCTCAACCGCTCTCGTAGTAATTTTCTTTCAGAAATATCACCATAAGCTTCTTTTCTTGCTGGAGGGTTTCTATTGTAGAAGTGCTCTTTGTATTCATCCATCCAAACTTCTGCTGCCCGAGCAGTATTCTGTAGGAAATTGGGGCGAGCATATGGTGCCCGCTTGGGGAACACATGGCCCACGTGGGAACACGGGTGGATCTCCAATTTGCCACCACACTGCCACACCCTAAAAGACAGCTCAAGGTTTTCACCTCCCCACACTTCCATTCCTGTGTCATACGTTCCAAGGTACTGAAAATATTTCTTGCTGACAGCAAACAGTCCTCCAGCCATGGTAGGTGATCTGATGGGGTCAATTCTTGATATCCGCCTGTCCCTTTCCTGTTTGGGGACAGAATGCCACTGAAATGTTAAACGCCAGTCAAACCCACCAATCATGGGCTCCCCTATCTGCATATAGAATTCAAAAGTATTCCAATCAATTGTGTCTATAACAGGACACACAACTGCTGTTTCATCTCTCCCAATCCTTTCCAAAAGCGGTTCCAGCCAACCGGAATTACACTCACAGTGACAATCCAGGAAAGTGAGGACGTCCCCAGTGGCGAAAGTGGCCCCAATCAGACGGGCCCTAACCAGCCCCTCTCGCTTATTGGTCCTAATCAAGCGTACTCTATCAAGATTGCTGATGTAAGTTTCAAGTTGTGTCTTCAAATAAACTCTGTCACTCAAGTCATCCACCAAGATGATCTCTTTCAAAAGAACTGCAGGAGAAGTTTCTAAAACACTGTGAATGGTACGGAGCAAAGTCGACCAGGCTTCGTTATAGAAAGCAATGATAACAGAGGTGGTAGGAAGTGTCCTATAGTTGAACTTCTGGGACTTACACTCATACATTCTTTTATCCTCTATGTGTCGATGCAGGGAAATCCTGTCACTGAGGTAAATATTGATGGCGTATCTCTCAATGAGTTCTTCTTGCTGCTTCAGTTCATCCTCGTTGAGCTGGAGTTTGCTGGCTTTCCCCCACTCCCCAAGTGCACGGGAATCTGCAGGGGGCTTCTTATAAAGCGGTCGAGACAAATCCTCCGTATTTTTCTGGAGGTCTGAGAGCCTTCTTGACCCCAGCTCCCTGGCACGGCCGGCTCCTGCGGAGGCATGAAAAGTAGAGACCAAGAGCTCCACGAAGATATAGGCCACTGTTAAAAACGCCAGCAGCAGGCAGCTCTTGCCTGCCCAAGTCCACCTCACCGCCATCCGGATTCTCAGGGCTGAGGCGCAGACGCGGCCACCAAGCCACCACGCAGGGGAAGGGCGGCGGAACCCACAGCTCGAGCTCAGGTACTTCCCAGCAGGTTCTTCCTTTCATGCAGGCGCTAGGCTCCTTTCCAGCCACCCAGGCTTTCCAGGGGTCACCTGAGCCCTCTCGGTCCTCGGCCTCCGGCACAGCCCAACTCCTCTCTCCCTACTTCCTCCTGCTCGGCTCACAACTTTTCACAAACTCTCCAGCCAACACCCCACCCTCCCCGGGCCGAGGAGAAACCCCTCCCCTTCCCACTCACTCCTCCTGGTGGTTAGTTTGCGAAAGTCGTCCGCCAGGCCCAGACCGCTGGATAGGAGGCTCTTGGCCGGGCCGGGGGCTGGGGGCCGGGATGGCAGAGGGGGCCCTAGCTGCGCCCCGCCGCGCTGGGCCCTCGTCTCCGGGTGCTCTCAACCCTCATACAGGCCCTTAGCCGTTCTCCTAGGGACCCTGCCCGGACAGGAGGAAAGGTTTCCGGCCCATGGAGTTTAGTCTCATTACAAAAGCAAAACAAGAATAAGACTTACCAAGTTGCTTGCCGTTGGGGCTGAGGTCCAAGGAGGTGATCGCAGCTTTGTGGCCTTTGAAATAACGCTCCAGAACGGGGTCCTCCTGGAAAGGAAAGTTGTCAAGTTTTGAAAGCCGCCGCAGACCTCGAATTCTGGCGGCTGGGATCCACGCTGCCACTTCCCCGGAGTCCGGCTTGGGAATGGCCACCCAGGCGGCGGCTTGGCTGGGCGGCGGGGCCGGGCAGCAGCCCACCCACGGGCGCGGCGCCCAGTCCTGCTACAGGGAGACGCCGGCGCCAGCTCTCCCCGCAGAGCCCGCAAAACGCTCTGTTCGCGCTTCCCAGAGTCCAGCGCATCGCAGGAACCGCGGCCCCTTTGAAATGCACGTTCCCGGGCCCCGCCCGCTGGCCCAAGGCAGGCAGGTGCGAGGATGCGCCTCGGCTTTGGTACTTTTTTTTTTTTTAATACTTCCTAGGTGATTCTGACGCAGGCGCTCCACGGAAACCCTCCGAGAATTCTGGGGGCCGTGGGGCCGCCCAGCTCAGTCCGGAGCTCCGGAACTCGGGGAAGAGCGTCCGGGAGCCGGGTCTGGGTTCCGCACTCCGTCCGCCCCGATGGCAGAGAGTGAGATACGGACGCCCCGGGACGAGGGGCTCAGGACCCGGCTACGGACACCTGCCTCCATCTCCCTCCAGGTGCGGCTTCGGCCCGGACCTGGCCCCGCAGCCCGCGGGACAGGCTCCAGGGAGGGACCCCCCCCACCTCCAACCCGTCCTTACCGTGGCTGAGGCCATCGGGGGAGTGGTCGGCCCAAGGCTCCTGTGGGTGGGGGAACCCGGAGAGGGGAGGGGAGAGGATGGGGAAGGAGAGGGGACCGTGCGGCTCCCGGAACCGTCTGCCCAGAGCGGCAGCGCCTCCCGGTCACTACAACAACGGCGGCCCAGTCAAACCCCGCGCTCCAGGCATGGCCAGCCGAGCCCCGAGACACCGCCAGCCCTGTAAAGAGAGGACGGGAGGTATGCGCCGGGTCAGCTGTGGCCACACACCAAGCCATGTTAACTAACACTCGCGTTCTCCCTGGTTTGATGTCAGGAAGTGGGGTAGTAACCAGGACTGGAATAAGAGCGATGAATGGAAGGGCGTTGTGAGCCTGTGATCGATGCGATCAGAGTTCTATTACGTTTTAAAGAGACAGCACCCGTGACGTTTAAGGTGATCCCCTACCGCTTATTTTGTTGACGTAAAGCTTTGACATGAAGAGGGGCAGCTTGCTAGTTATTAATATACTAAAAGGAACTAAATCCCCTGAGGGCAGATTTGAATTTATTTAACCACTGTTTTCCACACAGTGCCCTGCAGGATATTGATATAGTTGCTGGATGTGCGTGATGAATGAATGAGTGAATGAATGAATAAATGTTGTGCATGCACTTAATAATTTTCTGCGATATGTTTCCATTCTCATCTGCTTATTTGCGTATACCTTAGAGCACTAAACTTACACAGCTGGATACTTAAAGTCTTTAGGAAGACTTGGAAACATGGTTTTTTTTGTTTGTTTTTTGTGAGACCACGTTTCTACAGCAGGCTTTGTTACACATAGTATCATTTGTGCTTCAGCCAAACAATGAAGTTGGTAGAATTACAAAATGTTTTCAATGTTTCCAAGTTATAAACTTGATTCCTAGATATTGGTCTTAGAGGTCACACAGAGACAGTTCTTCTAATTCCAAGTCCATATCCTTTTTTTTTTTTTAACCCTGCCTCAAAGCGTGATGTTCTGAGCTGAAAATTACATATAGTGTAAAGATCCTTAGCAACATCAAAGGGCATGATAGAACACAGCTGGTAAGACATGTGTTTTATGCAAATGAAAGGTATGCTACACACCTTAATTACAGATTCCCTAGTTGTCTAGTGATTGAGTTTAATTTTATTGAATATGGTACTTAACAACTAAACAGGTAGGCTTTAGATTACAGTATTAGTTAATTTAAGTATACACTTGTTAAATATCTGTTGTATGTTTGGCCTTGAGGGACACAATGATGACTAAGATATTTCCCCTACCTTCAAGAACTCAGCAATCTAGGGTTGGTGAGTCTCATGCTTTAGCATTTGTAATGTTGATTTGGGGGCTCCATTTCCAGAGATGCTGAATCAACATATACAAGGTGGGATCCAGGGCCCTTCTGATGTAACAAGCTCCATAGATGATTACTATGGGAGTCTCAGCTGTCTATGTTGAGAAACACTGCATTAGTCTAGGAGATGATATGTTAAGAGTGTTGATATCAGCAACTTGTCAGCAAACTGTTGCAGGACTCTTAGTTTTGCTACATATTACCAGTTTAGGCTTGATTTATTTTAAAAGCCTGCCATGTTTAAAACTAATGCTGGATACTGGTGGGAATGTAAAATGATGTAGCTCTGTGAAAAAGTTTGTCAGTTCCTAAAAAGTTAAACATACAATTACCTTATAATCCAGCAATTTCACTGCTAGGTATATCCCATAAGTATTGAAAGCAGAGACTCCAACAGATGCCAGTGTTCAAAGCAAGCATTATTTACAATAGCCAAAAAGTGGATACAATCCTAGTATCCAACAGATGAATGGATAAACAAAATGTATGTGATATATACATATAAGGAAATATTATCCTGCCATAAAAAGAAATGAAATTGTGATACAAGCTATAACATGGATGAACCTTGAAAACATTTTGCTAAGTGAATAAGCCAAACACAAATGAGCATATATTGTATGATTCCATTCATATGAGGTACCTAGAATAGGTGAATTCATAAGGACAGAAAGTAGAATAGAGGTTACTAGGGCTGGGGGTAAGGGAGACTGGGGAGTTACTGTTTAATGGGTGCAGAGTTTCTGTTTGGGATGATGAAGTTCTGGAAATAGATAGTGGTGATGTTTGCACAACATTGTGAATGTACTTAATGCCAGTGAATTGTACACCTAAAAAATGGGTAAAATGGTAAATTTCATTACAGGTATTTCACCCCAATAATAAAATAATAATGCCAGAAGCTGAAGAGTAATCAGGACCTCAGGATTACTCATAGGTATGTTACGTCTAATATTGGGCACAGGAGAAGCAGAAAAGGGAAGAAGTTGGAGATTTAGAAACTAGCTCACAAGAAGAAAAAATATAGATTTTTATTTAAGTGTTTTAGTAAAAGTTTAGCTTTTACTTTTTTTCTCAATTATCAAGAAACACATGTTTTAAATTTAAAAGATGGGAGGGAAACTACATATTAATCCTATTACCTAAAGTTGATCTTAAAAAATTTGTCACCTACTGATATGGTTTGGATTTGTGTCCCCACCCAACTGTCATGTAGAATTGTAATCCCCAGTGTTGGAGGAGGGGGCTGGTGGGAGGTGATTGGATCATGGGGGTGGATTTCTCCCTTGCTGTTCTGAGTGAGTTATCACGAGATCTGGTTGTTTAAAAGTGTGTAGCACTTCCCCCTTTGCTCTCTTCCTCCTGCTCCAGCCATGGAGCAGCCATGCTCTCTTCCCCTTTGCCTTCCACCATGTTTGTAAGTTTCCTGTGGCCTCCCCAGCCATACTTCCTGTACAGCCTGCAGAACCATGAGCCAATTAAACCCGCTTTTTTTGTAAATTACCCAGTCGCAGGTAGTTCTTCATAGCAATGTGAGAACGGACTAATATACCTACCTATGTTTTCACTACATGCCAGGACTTTTCTAAGTACCTTACAAATTTTGACATTTAGTGATCATAACGATCTTATTAGAGATGTGCTATTATTACCATTTCCGTTTTATAGATGAGTAAATTGATATGCAAAGACATTAAGTTACTTGCCCAAGGCACACTGCTAACTAGGAAGTGGCAGAGTTGAGATTTTTAGACACTCGCAGTCTGCCTCCAGAATCCACTCTCTCTTTTTTTTTTTTTTTTTTGAGACGGAGTCTCACTCTGTCGCCCAGACTGGAATGCAGTGGCGCGATCTCGGCTCACTGCAAGCTGCTCCGCCTCCCAGGTTCACGCCATTCCCCTGCCTCAGCCTCCCGAGCAGCTGGGACTACAGGCGCCCGCCACCAAGCCCGGCTAATTTTTTTTGTATTTTTTTTTTAATAGAGACTGGTTTTCACCGTGTTAGCCAGGATGGTCTCAATATCCTAACCTCGTGATCCGCCTGTCTCGGCCTCCCAAAGTGCTGGGATTACAGGTGTGAGCCACCTCACCTGGCCCAGAATCCACTCTCTTAATCACTGTCATGACTTTTGTGTGATTGCAAGTGTTATGTAAATGTATAAAACATTGCATTCTTGCCAAGGTTTATAATAATAAGTTTTACAAAATGAAAGTAATATCTCCTTTATTTTCATTCCACTGTCCTCATTTATTACTCTAAACTGCCCTTCCCATTGTTCTTTTCCATAGTATTTGATTTTGTTCTTTTCGGCTTTTCTTCACCTTTGCAAATAGCAAAAGCTCAGAGGTAGACAATTGGAAATGTGGTCAAAGTTGGGGAAGTTTTTTCTAACCTCAAGCCTAATTCCACTTGCTACAATGATTATTTAGACCTCTCTGGACTGCAACCTAATCATTTATGTGGGTGGGAGCCACAAGCAGGATCAGTATTTAAAAACCTACAAGGTTTTACTGGAGGCCGGGTACTAGCTAGGACAAACTGACCTCTAATTAGCCCTTCTTATACAGTTCCCCCTAAAACAGAAATTGAATGTACTTACTTGAGCATTATAAAGAGTTATTTTTATTTTAGCACTGGTTCTTCCTTGGCCTTCAAATTTGGAAATTCAGCATAGTACAAAAGTGCCATCTACTGTTCACCTTACTATATAGCACTTGGAGTGAACATATTTTGAGCCTGTTTACAGGCAATGGAACTCCCTTGTTGATACACTTCCTCCAAAGTATAGGAGAGCACATGGAAAAGTACAAGATGGGTTTGAATCAATAATGAATTACATTTTTGAAAACTGCATGATTCATTTAAGTTAACATTCAGTCTCCAAGTCCTATCAACTACCTCCTCACCATATATATATATATAATATATATGATGGGCTGCCCAGGCTGGCCTTGAACTCCTGAGTTCAAGTGATCCACCTGCAGCAGCCTCCCAGGTAGCTGGGATTACAAGCATGCTCCTCATCATATATTTTATCTTCCTATCTTTCTGTCTAATGGCTCCTGTCACTCCACAGACCCTGCCTTCTGCCTCCTAGAATATTTTAGTAACCACCAACTTGCTTTCTGACTTCAAAACTTCTCCCCTCCACCTGTCCACCCTGCATTTACCAACAAATAACATAAGATTCACCAGGGTATCTTGCTAAAAGTAAATGTTTTTAGGCCTCACCCCAGAGGTTTTGATTTAGAAGGTCTAGTGTGAATACTAGAAATCTGTTTTCAAACAAGCTTTCTAGGTGATTATAATATGCATCAACATTTGGGAACCACTGGCATATCATGCCATAGATCTTTAAAATGCACTTTAAGTTCACTTTTAAATGCCTCAAACCAAGTCCTATTTTATATCTAACCACTCATCTCCCCTGGGCCAATCCTTAAGCCATTGCAGTTAACCACACACACCCACCCTTTGGAGCCTTTGCTAGAGCGGTTTCTGTACTCATGAATGCCTGTGCTACTCTCTTGCTCCAACTTCTACACAAAGAAACATACCTCAGGACTTGGGAAGATATGTTCATGTAAAATCATCTTTCTCTGAACCTATTCCTCCTTATAAAAATAAAACATTATTTTTCCTTTGGGTCCTGATGGTATGAAACTTAGAGTTCTTTTTAGCACTATTTTATGTTGCTGCCTTTACATCTACATCATGTTTATGTGTCTATCAGCACTTAACTGTAGTGAAAGGTCAGTAAAGATAAGAACTGTGTTCTACTCATTTTAGTATCACTCTACAGGCACCACAATCCCTGACACATAGTAGGGGCATAATAAACATTTTCTGCATTGATTGAAAGATGACAGTGTGGCTGGCCAGCTCTATAGTTACTGAAAAAGTCTACAAAATAAATAGAAAACATGATCATTGTCCTCCAATAATTTAAAGTATCTTGTAATTTTATCGATACACTCTATTTGTACATTATGGGGTACATGTGAAATTTTGTTGCATGCATAAAATGTATAATGATCAAGTCAGCGCATTTAGGGTATCCATCACCTAAGGATTTATCATTTCTATATGTCAGGTACATTTCAAATTTTCTAGCCATTTTGGTACAGTGCATTATTGTTGTGTATAGTCACCTGATTCTGCTATCAAATATTAGAACTTATTTCTTCTATCTAACTGTATGATTGTACCTGTTAACCAACCTGTCTTCATTTCCCCCTCCCACCCACACATCCTTCACATTCTCTGGGAGAAAGAGAATTATCATTCCACTCCTCTCTATCTCCATGCGATCAACTTTTTTAGCTCTCATATATTAATGAGAACGTGTAATATTTATCTTCCTGTGCCTGACTTATTTCACTTAACATAGTGTTCTCCAGTTTTATTAATGTTCCTGCAAATGACATGATTTCATTCTTTTTCATGGTTGAATAGTATTCCATTGTGTGTGTGTATATATATATATATGTGTGTGTGTGTGTGTGTGTGTGTATGTGTGTATATATATATACACACACATATATATATATATATATATATATCACATTTTCTTTATCCATTCATCCATTGATGGGGATGCTTAGGTCAAACAGCTTAAAATCTAATTAGGGAAACAGGACTCACCACATGAAACAATCAATGAAAGTTATGTGGAGCAGTAGGTCAATCATAACCATGGGAATGTTACAAAATATCTGTATAATAACCATAGTATTGTATTTCTATAGTGTCAAATGTACTTAAGACATTTGATTGGTCTTTGGAAATGTTTTTGTATCAGGAAAGACTTATAGGGGAAGAAGGACTTCAATTGTGATTTTTTAAAGTGGTAGAATTAGTGGATTAATGATTGCCAGAGACTAGGGGGAGGAAAGAATGGGGAGGGATTACTAATGAAAAAATGGAATCTTTTTAGGGTGATGAAAATGTTCTGGAATTAGTGGTGATAGGTTTACAACTTCAAAGTACTAAAGACTACTGATTTTTATACTTAAAGCCACTAGATCAATGGTTCTCAAACCTTAGCGGGGATCAGAGTCACCCAAAGCACTTGATATAATGCAGATTCCACTCCAGAGTTTCTGTTTCAGTCTGTCTGGATTGTGGCACAAGAATTTACATTTATAATAAGTACAGGTTCCTAGGTATGATGCTTATGCTGACAGTGAACCATCCTGTAACAATCAGCAGAGTAAACAAAAAGGTAGTAAGGAGAGAGACAGAAAGTGGAATGGGCCGGGCGCGGTGGCTCACGCCTGTAATCCCAGCACTTTGGGAGGCCGAGGTGGGTGAATCACCCGAGGTCAGGAGTTCGAGACCAGCCTGGCCAACATGACGAAACCCCATCTCTACTAAAAATACAAATATTAGCTGGGCGCAGTGGTGGGCACCTGTAATCCCAGCTACTCGGGAGGCTGAGGCAGGAGAATTGCTTGAACCCGGGAAGCAGAGGTTGCAGTGAGTGGAGATCATGCCATTGCACTCCCGCCTGGGTGACAGAGCAAGACTCTGTCTCAAAAAAAAAAAAAAAAAAAAAAAAGGAAAGTAGAATGGTGTTTGCCATTTGCCAGGGGCTGTGGGGAGAGAGCATGGGGAATTATTGTTTAATGGGTGCGTGGAGTTTCAGTTTGTGAAACTGAAAAAGTTCTGGAGATGGACTGTGGTGATGGTTACAAAACAATGTGAATATATGTAATATAATTGGACTATATACACTTATAAATGGTTACATGGTAAATGTTATGTGTATGTTACTTCAATGAAGAACATAGGGGTAAACTGTTGAAAGAATGCACATTAGTAAAGGCATCACAGTCATGGGATGAACTTCAGTACAATGGAAGCCTGGTTCCTTACAGGACTGTACTGGTACGTGGCCCAGGGGTTGGGAATCCCTGTCCTAGACCACTATATTTGCTGTGGCTCTGCCTTCCAGTCATTTTCTATCCCATTATTGTGTTTTACTTTCTTCATAGCACTTGCTAGTTCTTCCACCATGAATGCTCTTCCCCCAAATGGAAGGCACTGCAAGAATTGACAGATTCTGGCATTATTGGAGTAGCAGCAGTAGAAACATAAAGAGATATTTGTTTAGGTATGGCATAATTAAAATGAACAGGGGAAGGGGGGCCAGGAAAAAAAACCCAGAAACACTTAGATGCTGTCCTTGGTCCTGAACCAGCAGTACCTGGTGAATGGCTATCTTACTTATCCCAAGAATCTGGTAACTTCTCTTCTAGGGCTTAGACTTTCATTTTTACCCTTTTACCAAAAAAAAAAAAAAAAAAAAAAAAAAAAAAAAAAAAAAAAAAAGGGCTGTAGCTTTTAGTGTCTCCAAAAAGTCAAATCATGGTAATAATTTACAATTTACCTAGCCAATTCCATGTAGTTTGACAGTTGTAATAGGTTTCTACTTAGAAAAATTTTTCTGTTCCCACTAGAAAGAAAAGAGGGTACATTCCCCCATTCCCTCTCCATCTCAATCCTAAGATTATGCATTTGTGATGTGAAGCATCACTCAGACCTTCCAAGTGACTGTAGTGAGAGAGATGAGGGCAAGATGGAACTGATGATGGCTAGCAGGTCTTGGCTAAGATGTCACTCCTCAAAGAGGCTTCCTAAAGTCCCCAACCTTTATGGCACCAGGGACCAATTTCATGGAAGACAGTTTTTCCATAGATAGGGGAATGAGGGGGAGGGATGGTTTCAGGATAAAAGTGTTCCAGCTCAGATCATCAGGCATTAGATTCTCATAAGGAACGCACAACCTAGATCCCTGCATGTGCATTTCACAATAGGGTTCACACTCCTGTGAGAATGTAACACCTCTGCTGATCTGACAGGAGAGAGAGCTCAGGCCATAATGCTGGCTCTCTCGCCTGCTGTTCACCTCCTGCTCTTCAGCCTGGTTCCTAACAGGCCATGGACCGGTACCGGGTACATGGCCCAGGGGTTAGGGATCCCTGTCCTAGGCCACTCTATTTGCTGTGGCTCTGCCTTCCAGTCATTTTCTATCCCATTACTGTGTTATACTTTTTTCACAGCCCTTGCTAGTTCCTCTGCCATGAATGCTCTTCTCCCAAATCTTTTCAAGACTCACTTCTTTCATTTCACTTAGTTCTTACCACATTTTCAAAATAAGCACTTCCTTTCATTCTCTATAACATTACACTTGTATTTTTCTTCAAACACATATCCCTCCCAGGTAAAAAAGGACAAACAATTTTGATAGACATTTCACCAAAAAGTTATATAAATAGCCAGTAAGCATATGAAAAGATGCCCAACATCATTAGGCAATAGGGGAAATATAAATCAACATCACAAAACCTACTTCATACCCACTGTGATAGCTATAATCAAATAGCCTGATAATAGTAAGTGTTGGTGAGGATGTAAAGGAATGGAAACCCTCATAAATTGCTGGTGGGAATGTAAAATTGTATAGCTCTTTACACAGGAATGGAATTGCTGAGCCCTATGGTAATTCTTTTGACTTCTTGAATTTGGGAGTTCCTTTAAAAGTTAAACATAGGGTTACCCTATCAGCCAGCAATTCCACTCCTAGGTAGGTACCCTTGATAATTGAATACATATGTCCACACAAAAACGCAGACACAAATGTTCATAGCAGCATTACTCACAATAGCCAAAAGTGGAAACAATCCAAATGTCTATCGACTGATTAATGGGTAAATAAAATGTGCTGCATCCATACACATTTATATGCCTGGCAAATAAAAGGAATGAAGTACTGATTCATGCTACAGTGTGGATGAAACTTGAAAACACTATGCTAAGTAAAGAAGCCAGACACAATGTATGGTTCCATCCATATAAAATGTTCAGAATAGCCAAATCCATAGAGACAGAATATGGATTGTGTGCCAGGGACTGGTTTCTTCTTGGGGTGATAAAATATTCTGGAATTATATAGTGGTGACAGTTCTGCAACTTGATAAATGTACTAATAAACCACTGATTTTTATACTTAAAAATAATAAGATTTTTTTTAAAAAAAGCAAGCATAAACAACCACTTATCTCTCCCTGAAATATACATTCTCTATGAGTAATCCCCATGAGAATGAGGGCAAAACCCTCAGAGGGAGTATGTCAGAATCACTTGTGGGACCATCACCAGGATATAAACTCCATGAGGGCAGAGACATTCTCTTTTTAATCCACCATATATCAGAACAATGACTGGCACATAGTAGGTACCCAATAAAATTTTGTGACTTAATGAGGGAATAAAAGAGGAAGAGATAATATCTGTGTAAAACAATTAGAGGATTTTTTAAAATCTTAAAAGTCTTCACTGTGTATTACAATAGAATTGTGATTTTAGTAGAAGGAAACTAGATTCTTTTAAAGATTGGTTCTTCTATCTAAAAAGAAAATTCCAAATCTCAACAGTGTCTAACATAATATAAGAATATATTTTAAACTTGGCCACCCTAGGGTTTCTTCTCAATTATAAAAACTACTGTAGTTTACTTCATTTAGTGATTTTTTTTTTTTTTTTTTGAGACAGAGTCTTGCTCTGTCGTCCAGGCTGGAGTGCAGTGGTGTGATCTCGGCTCACTGCAACCTCCACCTCCTGGGTTCAAGCTATTCTCTGCCTCAGCCTCCTGAGTAGCTGGGACTACAGGTGCGCGCCACCATGCCCAGCTAATTTTTGTATTTTTTAGTAGAGATGGGGTTTCACCATGATCACCAGGATGGTCTTGATCTCTTGACCTCGTGATCTGCCCACCTCGGCCTCCCAAAGTGTTGGAATTACAGGTGTGAGCCACCATGCCCAGCCCTCCATTTAGTGATCTTATACAGAGCCATTTTCGTTGTATTTATTTTATTGAGAAAACAGCTTTTATTCTATAACCTTGTAACCTTGCTCACTAATTGGTGGCCCACTGACTGAAACAAGTCCACTGATATGTTTTGTTTGGTCATTAATGTGTTCAAACATTCTTTAAAATTTAAACTCCTATAGGTGAGCCAAATATTCAATTTGACTCAGTACACTTCCTTGTGTTATTTTTGTACATGGTCTGATTCACAGGCATAAATGATCTCCCTGGCCCTTTGTATCAGTCACGAAGGTCTAAGTTTTGCTGCTGAAACAACCCCCAAATCTCAGTGGCTTAAAATAAGGAAGTCTTCTATTTTCTGCTCGCATTATGTTGCCATCAGAAGTCAACTAAGGGCTCAACTCTCAGGTCCTTGTTATCCTCACTTCAGGACATAGGCTGTCAGCGAAGCCACTGTCAGAAACATTATTGGTGACTGGCAGCTGGAAAAGAGCAGATGATGCCCACGATGGCTTTCTAAGATTTCCTTGACCAAGGAAAGTCACATATCTGGTAGAGACATATAATTCTTCCCCATGAAGAAAGTTGTGGAAAGTTATACAGTCTAACACTTGGAGGAATTTGGATTGAATATTGAATGCAGTTCAATATCAAGACCTTTTCTACATGAAAATCAAGAAATGTTTGTCAGTTTTTCAAGCATTTGTATTCCCCAACACACGTGAAGGTTAATGCACTCAGAGCTTTGATTCTCAGTTGAGGCCACACACCCCTGGATGAGGTGAGTGATGGGTCATAATCTTTATTTTGTTTTGGGGACAGAGATTGAAGGCAGAAAACATAGGCTTGAGTTTTATTTTTTATTTATTTTTATTTTTAAACTATTTTAGAAATGGAGTCTTACTATGTTGGCCAGGCTGGAGTGCAGTGTCTATCCACAGGTGCTCTCATAGCACATTGTAGCCTTGAACTTCTGGGCTCAAGTGATCCCCCTACTTCAGCCTCTGGTGTAGCTGGGACTACAGACATGAACCACCATGCCTGGCTTGAGATTTTATTTTATTTTTAAATAAAGGCCCCACAGGTGATTCTGGCATATTGCTCCAAGATGTTGTGTCCTCATTCCCACAAGGATTACTGATTTAGAGGCTCACAGCTTTCTGAGAATGCCAGATTCAGATAAATAACTAAAGATCAGAATGAAAACATTACAACCCAGACATCAATGATCAATAAAGGATTCAGCTATGCTGTTAGTGAAAAAGTTAAGTACTAGCACATTTTCAAGTTAAGATGAATAAGTAATTGGGAAAAGAGAGGAGACTGGAAATTTCCATTAATTTCCATAAAATAAGTGACATTCATTTTAGAAGTTAGCACCGCAGAGGTAATGTAGATATTATTACCATCTCCTCCCTGACAGATAGTGTTTATTACAAGTTAGAGCTATATCCCTCCATCTCCTGACCTTCCTAAGGTTTAGGTAAACACTCTTATCAAAAGAGGGAGAAGGAACACAGGTCAGAGGGCGGTGTCGTGGTGTCTTTGCTTCTCCAGCCTCACAGACCTAGTCTGAATCTCATGGAGAGAAAGGACTCAGGAAGCAGCAGAAGTAGCAGGTTTTTAAATTGAGTCTGGTGAGACAGTTGGGCACAGGCTGCTATGCTTGTGTAACCTGGAGGCAAAGTAGGAAACAGATTGGCAGAGGAGTCATCCTTCTTCCAGGACTGCATAGACCAGAGCATGGTGTGAACACAGTGAGGACCACAAAGACTTTGCCTTGCTGGATTGTAGTGAATTACCCAATTCAACAGAGTAATTTAAATGAATGATTCTCAACCAGGGACAAGTTTTCCCACATGGGACATTTGGCAATGTCTAGAGACACTTATGGTTATCACAAGTAAGAGTGTAGGTGCTACTGGCATCTGGTGGATGGAGATCAGGGATGCTGCTAAACATCCTACGATGCACAGAACAGCCTTCAAAACAAAGAGCCAACCCCAAATGTCAATAATACTGATATAAGAGGCCCATATTTAAATGAAAGCACTTAGTACAGTGCCTGGCATTTGTTAAATGCTTAATAAATGTTGATTCACCATGGGTTGATCTCCTGGTGTCCATAAGGTTTTAAATAATTGTCAATACCCTAAAATTAACCATATATAGTATACCCAGATTTCTCCATTACAAGATGTACTTTTTCAAAATCACTTTTTAAATTTCTTGAATTGGCGTGAGATGTAATAATTGATATATTTTCCCCTAAGAAGCTGTTATCAAATCTCAAATCATGGTGCATGTCAGTTGATGGCATCTTAAAGTCCTGAAAAAGGGCCAGGAGCTGTGGCTCATATCTGGAATCCCAGCACTTTGGGAAGCTGAGGCAGGCAGATCACTTGAGGCCAGGAATTCAAGACCAGGCTGGTCGACATGGCAAAACCCCATCTCTACTAAAAATACAAAAAATTAATCAGGTGTGGTGGCATGCACCTGTAGTCGCAGCTATTCGGGAGGCTGAGGCATGAGAATCAATTGAACCCAGGAGGTGGAGGTTGCAGTGAGCCGAGATGGCGAGATGGTGCCACTGCACTCCAGCTTAGTTGACAGATGAGATTCTGTCTAAAAAAACAAAAACAAAAACAAAAAAAAGCCTCTTGAAAAAGCTATGCTTCTAGGCTTCTATTACCTTTATTAGAAGAGGCATTTTCAAAATACTACCTGGGAATGTGACGAAGTAACCTATTCGTATATTAGCTGACTTGTTATCACCAGTTACATAATTTTAATCGACTGTTCTGCTGCTGACTAATACTGCTGTCAAATTCTGCACATATTAATCTTTCTCTGTGATGAATATTCAGAACAAAAGAAAATAAAAAACATTAACTTTGGTAGAAATCCTAGAGAGCAAGCGTTTCTCCTTCCTTTTAGAGATGAGAAATCAAAGGTTCATGAAGGCGTATTAACTGGCTCAACTGTATTCAGCTAGTCAGCAGTAAAGCCACGCCTATTAAGTCAAGGGTCCAGAATTCCAGCTCAGATCTGCTCCTCAGATAATTGCAAATGTGTACTCTTTATTCAAGTTGCGCTCAGCAAGAGGTTGTTACTCTTTATTCATCTATGTGACTAGTGATATTTTCTATGGAATATGATTTTGGTCTTCAGGCTATGTTTATATAATCATTCCATCAATGTTATTGAACATCTTACTATGGGCCAGGTAGTATGTTAGGTATTGTACTTATAAAAATAAGTAAAAATGACTACAAGGGTAAAAAGCTCACTTACCTTCTAAGCCCAAGTGGATAACAAAACTGGTTGAGGTAGGGTTGCCAGATACAATATAGGGTGCTTTAACTGAATTGCATGAGTTGCATTGGACCTACTTACACTAAAAAGTAAAAATAAAATAGTTGTTTATCTTTTCTGCACATTTAAACAGGCTTCTTGCATTCATATTTGCTAAATGCAGCAACCCTAACTAGCTGGGAACTGGGGAGAGCTAGAAAGTACATGCTTTATCTAAAGGGAGCAGCTACTACCTCCCCTCCCCAACCCCTCTCAGGAATCATTGCCACAAGGCATGCAACCCCAGTGAACTCATTGAAATTATCATGATATGCTGGAAATCCAGAACTCTAGCTAAAAGCTCCCTAATATTAAAAGTTGTAAACTGATTTGAAAAAAATTTAAAGACTATGTGGGCCAAAGGAAAAAAAAGAAAATAATGTCTGTGGATTTTGATGGTGTTTAAGCAACCTCCAAAATAAGACTTCTCTTTCTCACCCGAATGTGGAACCAGTTAAGCCACACAGGTTTCAGGCAGATTAAGGTCAAAATGTCAGCTTCGATACTGATGATGTAACCATAAAGGATTTGGCTTAAGTGTACAACCAAATAGGCTTGCTAGAAAGCTCCCGAATTGAACTAACCATCCTCCCCACAAATCAAGCCCTTCACCCCAGCAAGGCAGAGCTAACCCTCCAGTCAAGATAGTAAACTACAATATTCCCCTCCTTGCAGATAACACAAGTGTGAAGAGAGGGGAGAGCAGCAAAGGCTGAGCTGCGTGTGCCTGGTCCCTTCCAGACTTTCCAGATAACTTTGCCCCACGGAGGACAAGGAAAGCCAAAAGAGAGAAGCCAGGATTGTTAGTCTTGGAAAATGCCTCCATATAGAAACATGAGCCGGAGAATAAATCACTTGCCTCTCTAACCAGTTGGATTTGGTCCGTGAGTTCCTAGTTTTGTTCACCTGACTTAGTCCCTGACTTTTAAAGTCAAGTGCATCAACATGCTGCCAGTACTTTGATGAACATCTATACAGGATCCATCTCTACAGCAGTGAATTCCACCTGGGGTAAAGTATGCATGTAGGTTAGGATGCTACAGTGGGACTCTGTCTGCTTTTTCTGTCTGTTTCTGCTAAGGCCTCCACACATTAGATGGTCAGTACTCTTTGTTCTATGGGAAGGGCTAGAATACCTAAACAGGACTTTCACGGAGGGAGCAACAAACCAGTTTTGTGGCTCTCAGCAAACATCCATCTCAAAGGTGAGTTTGGAAATAATGGAGAGTATGTCAGTGTGTTTGTGTCTCAGGCCTACTTCCCACGCCTATGGGGGAAGGGTGGGACTTATCTCTCTCTTCCCTCAAGCCTGCTAAGAGGAGATTAGACTATATTTGAGATAAATACCTCCAGCACAGTGACAGCCATGCAGCTCATGCCTGTGAAATCAAAAGGCAAGAGGATGCGGCTGGCTGGCTGCTCTGAGGGCAGAGAGAAAAGACCAGACAGCTCTTGGAACAGACTGTTCTTCCAGTGACGATGGGGACAAAGATGCATGAGTGTATCTCCAGGACTGGATGTGAGCTGCATGGGAGAAAAAGAGTGCAGGCCTGCAGCCCGGGAAAACCCAAAAGGATGCCATAAACCCAACAGGAAGATGGGTTGTCAGGGCCCCAGGAGCTGAGAAAGGAATAAAAATGACAGAGAGAGAAAAGTACATTGTCCACATCATAAATAACACAGCTGAATGTGCCCAATGAGGTCCTCAGAGAACCCACAGAAGTGCCCATGGGAACAGTTCTCTCTGGGACTCAAACCCAGGGAGAGGTGCTTTTAAACATGCAAAGAGAGGGAACCATCATCATATTACATTGCAGTGTCCACATGAATAAGACCCTAACTTACCTCATATTTCTCCTCCTTCCTCTGCTTTAATCCAGGAGGAGCCAGAGACCTCTCAGTAAGTGAAGAAGAGGGGAAATAGGTAAAAAGCCACTATTCCCCATGTTAGATGAGGAAATAGGAACATTCTCCTCCTCTACCCAACACCCACTGTAGCTTTTAGTGGCTGGAGTCAGGAGAGAAAAGTTTTCATGTTAAATGAATTTCAGAGGTTTGACTATGACATAGAAATGGATATTTTAATTACTGAAATAAAACTGTTTTGTAATTAGAGGTGACTGGAAGACATTTTATCCTCAGCAGAAGAATAGATAAGGATAGGACCTTCCCTCCCCCTTGGACCCCACCAAGGTTTTATCCAGAGGCAGAGGAAGAAGTAACCCTTTATGTGAGTTTGAATGGGCAGAAGAAGAAAAGGATGAAGTTGTCTTCTAATTGCACTCTATGAATGTTGCTTTTTTGTTAACATAAATGTCACATATATTTTTAGCTGGTGTAACAAAAAAAAAAACATCTCAAGCCGGCTTGCATAATAACAGCTTTGGGCACAGTCTGATCAAGGCCCCGGTTCTGTTTGCTAGTGATCCTCCTGATTCTGCCCTCTCTCCATGCTAGTTTCTTCCTCAGATTGACATTCCTCTTGGTCACCAGATGCCTACAATCAGCGGGTGCAACTCTCTGCTCCCTGCTCACTTCTGAAGGGGAGAGCATGGATACCAACCACAGAACAAAGCCCTGCAGTCTCCCGCTGAGTAGAACACCCACGAAGAAGTGTTGGCCATTTCCCTATTGCCAGGGAAATATCATGTATTGGTTGGATTAGGCCTGTATTAATCCAGTTAATGGAACATAGTTAAACTATCCCAGACCCTCCATAGACACTAGAGAAAAGGTGAATCCAACCCAAATGTAAGACTGCTACTCAATAGGACAGAAAAGGCATGGATGTCAGTGAAATGGGAAAAAAAATGTGTGCCAAAGGAGATCAGGAAGGACTGAATAGAAGACATGGCCTTTGAATTGAAGCCTTTAATGAGGAAAGGGGATTGACATTGTATGAGGGCCAGGGTGGAGAGCGGGTTGTGAAGAGGATAGGGAAAATGCAAGGACACTGCGGATATAAGAATTAATGGGAGAATCATGGGCCACAAAGCAGCAGGATTATATTACAGAGATTGTAAGTAGTGTTTATTGAAGCACAGGGTACTGGGGAGGTGGAGGAAAGATGAAACTGTTAAGGAATTTAGACACAGCATGTAGTGGTTGGCAGGAAACAGATGACACTCTCAAACAGGGTAGTTGAGGAGAGCTAATAAAGGGACCATTTACCAAGGTGTAGTTAGGATTAAGAGAAAGCAAACTGGGATGGTGCTGTGCTATGGGCTAGCAACAGCAGGAAGTCATTTCTGTCCCTAGGTCTGAAGAGGGAAGCAGGGGAGCCAACACCAAGGAACCAGAGATCTTAGAGTCTGAAAGTCTGCATGATAGAAGCCATGGCCTTTAGTAGAGGGATCTTGCCTACTCTTAGCAGCCTGGCTTGGAGGGGCCTGGGGAAATAATACCCCAACCTCTCTCCTCTTCTTCAATATTGATGACTTCCATTGGTTAATATCAAACTGGAAGTTGGAGAGAAAGGGAGTCTATCTATACAAGTCAGCACCCTGTAGCCCAGAAGAGAGTAAAAAGGGGGTAAAAAGCAATTTCCGAGGGACAAACAGAAAACACCCAGCACAGAAGGAGGAACAAACATTTGGAGGAACAAACAGAAAATATCAGAAAACATTTTAATCCTGGGTCCTGGGACGTCATGGAAGGTTTTGAAGTTAGGAGCACCGCCATCCTCTAGGGGGAGCTCAAGCATTTCTCTCCACTCATCCCAAAGGCGGTGCATCAAAAGATCAGGGTGAAACTGACTTCAAGGAAAGAGCCCTCGGCTAGAGGAAGAAGCCTGGAGAAGTAAAGGGATTGCTCCTGGAATTGGAAATCTACCCTTTGCACTTCTATTTACTGCATTTGGATTGATTTGCAAGAATAACCATTAAAATAATCAAAGCTAAAAGTAAGTATGTACTGTGTGCCAAGTTCTTGACTCATTTGGCACAACTCTTCGGAGGTAAGCACCATTGAAATTCTCACCTTCTAGATTAAGAGGCTGATAGAACCTGGATTTGAGCCCATTGACAAAGGACCACTCTCTGCTCTGTTCTGTTCTCATGCTGCTGGTTTAGTCAGCTGAGTCAAAGGTTGCCTTTGCTTAGAAGGCCTAACAAAACCAGAGCAGGGTCCATGGAAAAGGAGACATGAAAAGGGACATATTTCCTGGTAAGATTTGTATTCATTTAACAATTTTAAGCACATATTTAATAACCAGGCACTCACTACCTGACAAGCTCTGAGCCAGGTGCAGGGTATCCGAGGGAACTAGGAGAGAGGCACTAAGTGCTGTACTAAGAACCTGAATGAGTGCATTTGAGTCCTGGGTCTGCTACATGTGTGACCTAGGAAAAGTCACTTAAATCATTTAACTGTCTCCTCATCTTTAACATATAGATGGTTAAAAAGTACACAGCACTTGGAATAATAAACGGGCAGATTGTTAATGTTGAAGGTGTGAGCTGCTGTTCTTACAACACAATGTCAGCCCTTGAAGCTCTTACAGTAGATGGAAAGATGGAGATGAGTAGGATCTAATTATTGGCCAAGTGCAAAGGAGCTAAAAAGGCCACCCACGCTGCTACTTACTTCAGCAATACCCAAGGAAACAAGGGCAAAAAAAGAGCTCTAGAGGCTCTTCTTGGTCTAGCCCTGCTTTTGAGTTTGGGGCCAAAGCTCTAATTCACTCTAATTCAGGGGTGTTAGCAAGGTTCTTGTCTGGCATTCTAGCTCTGAACAGTTGATACCAGCTTCCTGAACCATGTGTTAAGAGAGATCTCAGACTGCATGTAGAGAACGTATGCCTTGAGAGATAAGTGATGTCTGCCATTGATTGAGGGTGGAGAGGAGGAGCCAAGTGGTTCTAGAACAGTGTCCTTTTGCCTAGAATGTCCCTACAGCAGGAGCAGCTGGGCAAGACTCAGAAGTCCTGATTATAATCACAGATTAAGGTGACCAACTATCCCAGTTTGCCTAGGACTGTTCCAGTTTTAGAACTGAAATTCCTGCAACCCAGAAAACCTCTCAATCTTGGGCACATCCCAATCAGCTTTGCAGGCTTTCTCTATCTGACAATACCAAAAAAAAACAACAACTATGAGCTCTGACTAGAAGAGATTACTCTTTTTGTCTTGGCCAATTTCAGCCTGTGAAAATGCATCTTATTCTGGCCTGTATGTGCCAGCCATATGCCCTCAAATGTTCCCCCACTTCACAATAGCTGACCTCCATACCTCTCTCCTTTCTCAGCTATTTTTCCTGCTGTATCCACTGACGCCTTAGTAGGAAACAGATGGCACCATCAAAGGGTTTAGCTGAAGAGAATTTCATACAGGGATTATTTACAGAGGCGTGGGCAGGGTTAATGGAACCAACAAGAGCTGGGGAGACAGTCAGGGATTAGCTCTTACCACAGGAGGTCTGCAGGGACAAAGGGAGGGGATGCTGTTACCAGCCTGGTAAGAGCTGAAACTGTGCAGGAGAGGTCACTGGGCCTGGGAGCTGGAGCCTCTGTCTCATCTGCGGTGTGGCAGAGAGGAAAGAGGAGGAGGGCATAAAAATCCCTGGCCCGGCTCTCCTCCTGCCCTCTGGCCTCTTGCCAGTAGTTTCTTGCCAGAGTGCAAGGAAAAGCAAATGAAACAACAGGTCTAGTAGAGGGCAGCCTCCCAGGCCGCAGAGCGTGACAGGAAAAGGCAGAGAACAGATCTAAGAATAACCATCCCAGGCCACCCTATTGTCACTCAGCTTCCATTCTAACACTTTACTTAGCCAAAGAAACTCAGGTCCTCAACACAGGGAAAACATAGTCTCATCAGCTACTGTATCACTGAGTGATGATGTATTTCAGTCATATTACTTCCTGGACCCTAAACTGTAACTTTAGTCACCACCAGGATGCAAGGCAGCAAAGAAAGGTAAAAAAATAAATAACTATCATACTACAGCTCCACATCTAAGCATTTCTAATCTAATAATCCTGACTTCCTCCTCCCAGCACTCGTTCCATAATTCTTTACCCTCACCTAGCATCTTGACAGTTAAGGTGTCTTACTTGATGGGGTGAGCCAAACCTTCCTTGCCACAGGATCCGGGTGGTTCCATCTTTGTTGAGTTGCTGCCGTTTCTCATTGGCCATTACTACTGGACATGGGAGTGCAATGAATCCCATGGGCTCTAGATACAGTGTTGTTTCCATGTGATAGCAAAAATCCCAATTTCTCCTTGATAATCAAAATTAATCATACCAGTCCATACAAACAGCCAATGCTCTGCCTTTGATCAGTGTTGTGAACAACCTGAAATGTTGAAGGGGCATTCTCAGTGTTTCCTAGTAGAAATATATCTCCCCCTTGGGCACAAGAACCTCACGCCCATTAGATGCAATGTTTTAGGGACAAGAAGACAGTATTATTGAAGTGGGTTATTACTCATCCTGAGTTCCCAGAGCCATGTATTCAACACCATGTATCAACCACTGATCTGACCACTTATAGGACAGCACCCCAACTTCACAAGATGTTGTCTCCCAGCAGGCTCCATAAATGAGCCTTCGATAGGACATTTCATCATTCCATCAATCTAGCTGCTTCCAGGTAAGAACAATGAATTCTACGATGTGAGCGTAATACCACAGCTGTTTCACTGTAAATGAGTTCCTTGATCAGTGACAATGCTGTGTGTGACACCATGGGGATGAATAAGGCAGCCTATCAACCACATATGGTAGTGCTGGCGGAAGCAACATGCACAGGAAAGGGAAGTTACTCTCCAGTATATGTAATTATTCCCATGAAGACAAATTCCTGCCCCTTCCATAATGTAGTGGTCTGATATTATCAACCTGGGTGGCTGATACTTCCAAGAAATAGTGCCAAATAAGGGTTCAGTGTTGCCTTCCGTTTTAGAAATCTGGGCACTCAGCAGTGACAGTGGCAGATCAGCTGTGATGTGAGGAAGTCCATGTTTATTTATTTCATTGCCTCTGTTCCTATTCCCATGGCCACTTTGTACATGAGACATTTACCCAAGCACAAACATGGCCAGTGTCTTAGCATGCTCAACTGCTTTAACAAAACGCCGTAAACTGGGTTGTTTATAAACAGCAGAAATTTATTTCTCACAATTTTGGAGGCTGGGAAGTTCAAGATCAAGGTTCTAGCAGACTCTGCGTCTGGTGAGAGCCTATTTCCTGGTTCACAGAGGGCCACCTTCTGT
This sequence comes from Homo sapiens, assembly GCF_000001405.40. Classification (NCBI taxonomy): domain Eukaryota; kingdom Metazoa; phylum Chordata; class Mammalia; order Primates; family Hominidae; genus Homo; species Homo sapiens. Next base: position 89,546,642 of record NC_000012.12, read on the forward strand.
GTCTTCATATGGTGGAAAGGGCTATGCAGCTCTCTGGGATTTCTTTTATAAGGGCACTAATCCCATTCATAAGGGCACTTAACTTCCCTGGGGACTTAACCTCCCAGTGGCCTCACTTCCTAATACCATTCACATTGGTGATTAGGTTTCCACATATGAGTTTTGAAGGGACACAAATATTTAGACCATAGCAGCCAGGGAAGGAGGCTCACTACAACCAAGGGATAGGTCATCTTGGCCACCTCCTCATTTAGCTTTCTGTGAGGTAGATGTCCTCTGGGGGAACATTTATATGCTATTCAAATAGCCTCAAAGACTAGCCATTTTTAGAGGTCCATTATATAACTTCCCTTTAGGTGATCTTGGCACCAACCTTCCAGGTCCCTGATAATTTGACCAACCCATTAGCCCCTGCCTGTGTATTTCAGGAAACCTCAGCTTATCCCTTCTTTCATGTCAGTGGCCAACCAGATGTACTTCCTGAAGTTCTGTCTATGGGAAGATTTTCCTATGGCTTGCAGAGCCACCCCAGACAGATAATTCTTAAACCAGACCAGGCCACTGTCACCCTCTTTTCTCATCAAAGGGTCATAGGGAATACCCGGGGAGACCAGAGGTACGGTTTGAGGGAAAGGCGGGAAGCAGTAAGAAGTCTGACTCATCAGCTTTTGCAGAGAAGAGAAGTGCTGAGAATAGATCTGAGGGTGTGAGGGGATAAAGAATAACAGCTCACCCACGTCTGTGCAGTTCTTTACCCTAAAGTTTAAGTGAAATGATTCTTCATCAAGCTTCTTCTCACTTGATTTAAGAAAATCCTTAGAGATATAACAGCATCAATATTGCAAACCAATAAGGAAACAAAGCAATAGCTTAGCCCTTGACATATATTTCTGATAAGTAATGTATTTCATGGTCTTTCCTAAATGTACATGAGGTAGAAGTAGATATATCCAATGTCTATACTTAATTGATTTTTGCCAGAAAGTCTATCTTGAAATGTGAGCTTCTGATAAATTCCTTCTATTTGTGCTTTTTTAGAACAAGTTCCATTTTTATGTTGTCTTTGTCAGTGACGGAGGAAATCAGATCAATTTTTTAAAGTCAGTTTTTTATATAAGCATTACTGAAACTATTGAAATCTGAATATGGTGTTTTTAAAATAAACTGTGTTAAACTAATTTGTAATATCAGAAGTCAGGAAGGGAAGCATGAGGGGGCATCTAGGGGCTGGTAATGTTGTGTTTCCTCCTGTGGGTATTGGTTACCTGAGTTAATTTTTTTTTGTGAAATTACAACAAGCTGTGCACTTATGAAAGTTGTACTTTTCTATACATGTATTCTTATTCAATAAAAAGAAAAAAATGAAAGGTGCTCCATATAATGATGACCTTTTGGCAAACATTTCCATGAAATAGAAACTAGATGAAAAAATTTTATGAAATGCTGCGTAATTAGTGGATTCTTCTGGCTAAACAGCCCATCAAAAACACTTACTAAAGACCTAGAATTATTAAAGACCTAAGAATGCAATGACTTGCATTAGATATAGCTGATAGGCCAGTGAGAAGGACAACATATCACAGATTAATCAATTCATTCACAAAACGAAAACACTGAACACTTACTATGTGTCAGACACTAGTCTATATGCTTGAGGTTCCATGAGTAAGTAAATCATTCCATGTCCTTGTGGAACTGATGCCTAGTGAGGGGAGACAGCCAGCCAATTAACAATAAACAATGAGTAAATTACATGATATGTTAGATTGATAAGGGATGCTTAAGAAAAAGAGCAGAGTGAGTAAGCATTGTGGGGAAGTTTGCAGTTTTAAATAGGCTGTTCAGATCGGCATCACTAAGAAGGTGATATTTATGCAAAGGTATAAAGGAGAAGATATTGGCCATATGGGTAGCTGGGGAAGAGAATCCAGGCAGAGGGAATAGTGAGGCAGGAGAGAACCTGACAAGTTCAAGGCAAAAAAGCCAGTGTGATTAAGACAAAGTGAGAAAAAAGAAAAGGAGTTGATGTGAGGCCCGGGAATCAATGTGGGGAAGGAGAATTCCAGGCTGCTGCAAGATTTCCATTTTCACTTTCAATGAAATGGGGCACCATTGCAGGAATTGGGCCAGAGAGTGGCATAAGCTGACAAATTTTGAAAGTATCTTGCAGCTGTTTTGAGTAGAGGCTGAAGAGGAGAAATAATCCAGGTGAAAAATGATGGTAGCTTGGACTAGACTGATAGCAGTGGACATGTAAATAATGGTCAGAGTTTGAGTATATTTTGAACATTGACCCAACAGGATTTGTTGAAGGACTGGATACGAGATTTGAGGAAAGAGAAAAGTCACATTTGATTTTGAGGTCTTGATCCTGAACAAGGATGAAGCTGTCATTGACTCAGCTTCAGATCAGGGAGACTGTGGGCATAGGAGGATTGGAGAGGAAGATTAGAAATTCAGTGTTGGGCACATTAGGTTTGAAATGTGTATCAGACAGTCTAATAGAGAGGACAAGTAGGGAGTTAAGTAGAAGAGTTTAGAGTTTAGGATGAATGTATGAATACAAATGTAAATTTCACATTAATAGCCATAGAGATTATATTTATAAGACTAGATAATATAACACAGAAGAGAGTACATAATAGAGACAAGAACCAAAGACTAAGGCCTGGAGCACTACCAGAGAAGCACCCAATAATATAGAAAGAAAGAACAGCCAGTTCCATCCCAGAGTATTTCAAGTCTGCAACAGGACTAGTTGACTTAACACCACTTGCCACTGTAATAATTACTTCCCAGGAAAATAAGTCCAAGGATATTTTTCCAGTTTCTATGCCAAGCCATGATAATGATTAATTGCACAGTACCTGGCACATGGTAAGAGCTTCCTAATTATTACAAGTTGTTGAATGAATTATTTCAGGGCTCTGGGAATAAGCCAAAATCTCTTGAGACTTGAGCCTTTATTAGAGAGACCTGATATATGAGACACATTTAGGGCCTTTCCCTTTTGGGCTCTCCAGGAATATTGAGGACCAGATATATCAAGGTGATCCAACCTGAAACTAAACTGGAAGCCAGCAGGCTGCTCCATGCAAATCATCTGTGTTTCCTTCCTAATCAATTCTATCTGTTGTTTTTTTTTTTTTTCCTTGAACATCTATCCTTCTGCCTCAGAGCCTTTGGACTTGCTGTTCTCTTAGTCTGGATCATCTACTCCTTTGAATAGCTCATTGTCTCTCTTTACTGAAGTTTCAGTTTAAATTCACCTCTTCAGAGAAGCCTACGACTACTGTTGATCACTAGTGATCATTGTTTGGCCTCAGCCTACACTAGTCTCTTCCACTTATCTTTCTCTTTATACCACTTACTACTGCCTGCCATGGTATTATATTTATTTGGTTGGTTGGTTATCCTCTGATTCTCCCACTAAAAGGCAGTCTCCCTGAGACAGGGATTTATTTTGTTCTTCTTCCATCCGCAATATGTAGATCTAGAACAAAGCCTCGCCACTAGCAGGAAACTTGATAAATGTTGGTTTATGAATGAATCCACTCTCTCAGATCTGTTCCAGATACCACTGGACCAGTTAAAAATTATATGGATTTCCCACCATGTGGAAAGATTATTATTCAGCATAAGTAAAAGTGAAGAACACGTGATCCCAAACCCACAAAAGCCTGCAATCCGGTTGCTCTAGGTTAGACTGTTAGGCTGATAGCAGTTTACTTCCCATAATTCTATTTCCTGCCAGGCTCCCGAGAGGAGAGACAGTGCTTTGGGTGAAGAACAACACTCATTTTAGCAGAGGTTCCATGGTGTTTTCCATGAGAGTCATCTCTGGGCAAACAATGTAAGCTTCAAAGTAAATTTAGTTTCTCATCTGGGATGAATAACTTGTAATTGTGTCTTATAAATTGTACCCAGCAATCCTTTTCTCACCCCTAGCCCTTGAAGATTGGAGGAAATGGTGTTTCTGACTACACCAGTAACAGGATGGGAGCTTATTTTAAAGACACTTGTAGGAAAGGCTTTGGAGAAAAACTAGCTTATCGGGAGACTCCTAATTCAGGATCTTATATCCTTGATTAAACTCTGACTTTTACAATTTCCCAAAGTACACACACACACACACGCACACCAGAATTAACTGATTCAGAATGAAACCAGCTAACACAGTGGCGCATTGTGTAGAGGTTGATCTCTATTGTGACCTAACTCCATGGACTACATGGAGTTATAAGAACCAAAACTAGGTATTTGTGTGACCAAAAGATAAGGAAATTAAGAATACCTAAGGCTATTAAAGGAAAAAAAATAAGAAGGTAAGCAATAAGAAAAGCTTTCAGAGTCTCACAGCTCAGTCCTCTGTTAGGAGGTAAAAGTTTTATTTCTGTCTCAAGCGTAGGCTTAGGCAAACCCAAGTCTTGCTCTTTGTGGTGGGCTTATGAGCAGGGTGAATGGAAAAAGGGAAATTCCTGGCAAGCTCTGGCTTGGAGATGGTACAAAAAAACCTCAGTAAGTATAGTGTATTTCCTTCTTTCCTGAATCCATACTAACTTGCCCAGTAAAACTTTCTTTAGTCCTTTACTGATTCCAAGACTTATTTTAATTTTTGCCTTTCAATTCTTATTTCCTTTCCCACAGATGGTACTGGCTAAAACAGAAGCCTGTAAAAGTAAAGCTTAAAAGACGTTCTTTCCTTTTTTTGGCTTTAAAATGTTTCACATGACTACATGATAGTCCCACCTCATCCACCCACACTTACATTTTTCCTCTTCCTAGCATTAATAGGTCTAAACATGCAGTTAGGCAGGAAATTTAGAATAAGAAACTTTATTATTTTCTTGCCTCTTAGAGGAGTTTTCAAAAAAATATTGGAGGGGTTCTGATTCCAGGTACAACGGAGTAAGTGTACTCACACCACCCTGTTCCTCCCACTGAATGCGGCTAAAAAACCTGGGCAGAATAAGTGGAGCATCTGAGGACTCTGAAAAGTAAATAATAGCAGGCAGATTGGAGATGAAGACCAAAATGGTGAGTGTGTCATCTTTTCCCCTCCAGTTTCCTTTGAAATGAACACAAGACTGCCTGAAACCCAACATAGATACTAAGACACAGAGAGAGCTCAGGTGGGATCCTCCAATTATGGCTCGTAGAGTGGGAAAGGAATGCCTAGCACTAGGAGATGAAAACAATTATTTTAATTTTTTCCCCTTTTCCCCAGTCTTTTATTTATGTTAGCCCCTACTAATTACTGCAGTGGTAGCAATAACAGGAGCACATGGGAGTCACAACTGAGAAAGAGGAACATGCCTCTCCAGTTGGAGGAGCTGTGGCCCAGAGAGGGTGCGGCAAACTCCTGTGGCTTTTTCTACCTCCATGTTCCCTCATCACTTGATCTGAGATGTGGGGACAGTTTCAGAAAGTGCACAACAAAGTAAGGCTACCAGAAACCCAGATTTCTGACCAGAGAACAAGGTGAGAGCCCCAGGACACCAAGGGGTACTAAGGAGATCACAGAGAAAAAGGGATTCAGGATTATAGCCCTTAAAATTGTTTATGAGCTCTTGGGCTCACCCTTGATTTGGAAAGGCACAGATCTGATGCTACCCAACATAGGCATAAAGAACTGAACCAAAAGACTGTCCACTGCCCAGATCTTTGGCTTGAGACTGGGGAGGCACATACATGAGACAGATTTGAGCAGGACTACAAAGTCTTTATAAAACAGACTAGCATTGGAATCTTAACCCACAAATGGCTGGTCAGAATTTATGAGCTGAACCCATTGTGTCAATTACCTGCTAAAACAAAAATATAAACATTCTTTGCAGGAGTTAAACAAGACCCCACATCTTATAACATGTCATTCAAAACGTCTAGAATACAATCCACAAGTGTGCAGCATGCAAAGAACCAGGAAGATCATGACTCACTTAGGAACTAGCTGACAAAGACTTGCTAGCAGAGCTATTGTAAAAATGCTCCACCAAGTAAGGAAATAAAATCTTATATAGGTGGAATAACAGAATGTCTCAGCAAAGAAGTAGAAGATTTAAAGAAGAACTGTCTGAAATGTTAGAACTGAAAAATATAACTTAAAGAAACTCACTGGATAGGCTCAATAGCAGAAAAAAATTAACAAAGAAAAAAGTGTACTTGGAGATAGATCAATAGAAAGTATTGAATTTGCATAACAGAGAGAGGCTGAGTGCGGTGGCTCATGCCTGTAATCCCAGCACTTTTAGAGGCTGAGGTGGGTGGATTATGAGGTCAGGAGTTCAAGACCAGCCTGGCCAACATGGTGAAACCCCATTTCTACTAAAAATACAAAAAGTAGCCAGGCATGGTGGCACACACCTGTAATCCTAGCTACTCGGGAGGCTGAGGCAGGAGAATTGCTTGAACTTGGGAGGCAGAAGTTGCAGTGAGCCAAGATCATGCCATTGCACTCCAGCTCTGAGCAACAGAGCAAGACTCCATCTTGGAAAACAAAAACAAAAACAAAAAACACCATTCTCATATAAAGAAAAACTAGTATAATTCACTGATAGCAGTTGTATCTTAAAAGAGCTAAAAGGGGTTCTTCAGACAGAAGTGAAATGATCCTAGAAGGAAACTTGTGATGCAGAAGGAAGAGCAACAGACATGGCAAGTATATTGGAAAATAGGTTATTCTTCTTTTATGAATATTTTAACATATGCTTGATGGTTGAAAAATTATAACATTGCCTGGTAGAGTTTTCAATGTATATAAATATAATAAGACAACTACAACACAAAGCAGGGAGGGAAAATAAATCTGCATGGTGGTAAGGTTTCTATAGTCCATGTAGTAAAATATGGATTCGAAGTAAATTTTGGAAAGTTAAGTATATGCATTGAAACTATAAGACTTAACTAAAGCAGTGCTTAGAGGAAATTTACAGTTTCAAATCAATCATCAGAATTTTCAATTCAAGAAATTAGAGAAAAGAAGATTAAAATAATCCCAAAGCAATCAGAAGGAAAAAATAAATAAATATAAGAGCCCAGTCCATGAAACCAAAACCAGAAAAACGATAGAAAAGTCAATGAAACCAATAGCTGGTTCTTTAAAGTATGTATATTTAAAGAACCAGAATACATACACATATTTTAAAGAACAAGAATGGGCCAGGCATGGTGGCTCATGCCTGTAATCCCAATACTTTGGGAGGCCGAGGCAGGCGGATCACCTGAGGTCAGAGGTTTGAGAGCAGCTTGACCAACATGGAGAAACCCCGTCTCTACTAAAAATACAAAATTAGCCAGGCGTGGTGGCACATGCCTATAGTCCCAGCTACTCGGGAGGCTGAGGCAAGAGAAACACTTGAACCCAGGAGGTGGAGGTTGTGGTGAGCCGAGATTGTGCCATTGCACTGTAGCCTGGGCAACAAGAGTGAAACTGTCTCACAGAAAAAAAAGAACCAGAATGATAGAGTTAAAAAAAGTAAATACATACAAAAAATACATGTAAATACATACCAAAAAAGTAAATACATACCATTATACAGATTGAAAAAAAAGACACCAATTACCACTATCAGGTATGACAGGGGATATCACTAGACTCCACAGACACGAAAAGGATAAGAGAATGCTATGAACAACTGTACACATGTAAATTTGGCAACTTAGAAAAACTATACCAATTCATAAAAAACCATAAAACTACCACCACTTACCCAAGGTGAAATAGATAACCTAAAAAGCCTTATAACTATTAAAGGAATTAATTCCTAGTTAATAACTTTCAAAAAAAGGAAATTTCCAGGTGTAGACTGTTTCACTGGTAAATACTACCAAACATGTGAAGAACAAATAACACCAATTCTACAAAATCTCTTCAGAAAAGAGAAGAGGAAGAAATACTACCTAATTCATTTTAGGGGCCAGCATCACCTGATATAACAACTAAAGACAGTATAAGAAAACTACAAACCATTATTGCTCATGACAACAGATGAAAAATCCTCAATATATTCAAATCCAACAACAGATAAAAAGAATAATAAACCACACCAAATGGAATTTATATTGTGAATTCATGATCTAACGTTAAATATCAGTCAATGCAATTCACCATATTAACAGCATAAAGAATAAAAAAAAAACTCACGTGGATCACAGATATAAATAGAAAATGTACACCTGTAAAACTTTTAGAAGAAAACAGGATAAAAATCTTTTATGACTTTGGGTTAAGGAAAGAGTTTTTAGTCATGACAACAAAAGCACAATCCATAAAGGAAGAAACTGACATGTTGGATTTCACCAGAATTAAAAACTTTTGCACTGCAAAAGACATTGTTAAGAGTGTGAAAATAAAAGCTACAGATGGAATAAAATATATATGCAAATCACATTTCCAACAAAGGACTTTTATCCAGAATATATAAAGAATTCTTAAATCTTAACAAGAAAACAATCCAGTTTTTAAATGGATAAAGCATTCAATAGATACTTTACCAAAGAGGATGTATAGATGGTAAATAAATCCATGAAAAAATGTCCAACATCACTAGCCATTAGGAAAATGCAAATTAAAGCCATAATTACACACCCATTACTAAGGCTAAAATAAAATTTAAAAAAAAAAATGAAATACCAAGTGGTAGCAAGAATGCTGAGCCACTGGGACTCTCAAACTTTCCTGGTGAGAATGTAAAATAATACAGGTACTCTGGAAAAAAGTTTGTCAACTTTTAAATGAAGTTCAACATATATCCGCCACCATATCCAGCAATCTTACCCCTTAGGTATTTAGCATAGAGAAATAAATAAGTTTACAAAATAACCCCTTATAGAGAAACGTTTATATAATAGCTCTATTAATAATTACCACAAACAAAACAACCCAAATTCCTTCAACTGGTGAATAAATTTAGTACATGTAAATAATGAAATACAATTCAACAATATAAAGAAACCAACTACTGAATCATGCAACAACTTGAGTGAATCTCAAAGGCATTAAGCTGAGTGTACTAGTCTATTCTCATGCTGCTAATAAAGACATACCTGAGACTGGGTAATTTATAAAGGAAAGAGATTTAATTGACTCACACTTCCACATGGCTGGGGAGGCCTCACAATCATGGCAGAAGGCAAATGAGGAGCAAAGTCACATCTTACACAGTTACAGGCAAGAGAACTTGTGCAGGGGAACACCCACTTATCAAACCATCAGATCTCATGAGACTTATTCACTACCATGAGAACAGTATGGGGGAATCCACCCCCATGATTCAATTATCTCCACCTGGCCCTGCCCTTGGCATGTGGGGATTACTACAATTCAAGGTGAGATTTGGGTAGGGACACAGCCAAACCATATCACTGAGTGAAAGGAAGCCAGTCTCAAAAGGTTACATACTACATGATTCCATTTATATTAAATTTTCTGAAAGACAAAACCATAGTGATAGACAACAGATCAATGATTCGTGATCTGTTAGGAATTAGGGGTAGGAGAGGAATGGAATGACAAAGGGATAACACGAGGGAGCTTTCTGGGGTGATTGAACTGTTCTGCATCTTGATTGTGATGGAATCACACATCAATTTATACATGAATTACACGTGAATTTACATGAATTTATACACGTGTCAAAATGTATAGAACTGGGCCAGGTGTGGTGGCTCATGCCCATAATCCCAGCACTTTGGGAGGCTGATGGGAGAGGATTGCTTGAGGCCAGGGGTTCAAGACCAGCCTGGGCTACATAGCAAGACCACATGTCTACTGGCAATAAAAAATTAGCTGGTGTGTTGGCACGCAGGTTGAGGAAGGAGGATTGCTTGAGCCTAAGAGGTCATGGCTAGAGTGAGCTATGATTGCACTGCTGCACTGTAGCCCAGGTAACAGAGTAAGACCATGTTCTGCACAACATCCCCACAACACCACAAAATTATAGAAATAAACGTACAGATAAGGTCAATTTTGCTGTATGTTAATTTTTTTTTTTTTTTTTTTGAGTTGGAGTCTCATTCTGTCACTGGGCTGGAATGCGGTGGCAAGATCTCGGCTCACTGCAACCTCTGCCTCCTGGGTTGAAGCAATTCTCCTGCCTCAGCCTTCTGAGTAGCTGAGATTACAGATGCACGCCACCAGGCCTGGCTAATTCTGGTATTTTTAGTAGAGGTGGGGTTTCACCATGTTGGCCAGGCTGGTCTCGAACTCCTGACCTCAGGTGATTCACCCACCTCGGCCTGCCAAAGTTCTGGGATTACAAGTGTGAGCCACCATGCCTAGCCTGTTAATTTTTTAAAATAAGACTAGAAAAACTAAAAGATTGCATAGATACTGTATATAAAACAGGCAAAAAAAGCATTGTTTTATTCAGTTTTTCTCTTACATTTATCTGGGGTAGAAAACAGTTTAGGCAATGTCCTTTCAGATTTAATAATCTACAGGTTTGTTCATTCCCAACTCCCATGAAAGCAGCCATGAAATTTGAGTCATCCAGTGTAGATGTGGATCAGATTGCTAAGGAAGAGGACGGGCTATCAGAAAGTTAATGACTTGGCCAGATGCCATCATTTAAAGGAACAAAGAGGACATTCAAAACTTAATGGAAGTATTCAGTCCATGAGACAAGAAGACATGCTTTCATTTTAATCAGCTTTTCCTGCATTATGTTCCATGAGTTTGGTACGCCAGCAAATTACCAACTTCAGGTTCTTAAGCTCACAGGAAAGAGAAACCATTACTTTTCCATGTTTTTCGAAACAGAACTGTCTGTACGCAACAGAATTGGGACTCCAAGACCAAAGTAAGACTATAAGTCTGCGGATTTATTTATTTATTTATTTATTTCTGGCTAGGTTGAGGCTTCCTCAAAACTTACCTGCCTTGAGCACAGTTGTTCCCAGCTCTTAGCACATAATAGATGCTTATTTTGAGCTTATCGGATTGAATTGAATATTAGGAGGTGGCTTTGACTTGCTGGGATTATTTTTAGGATCCTTAGTTCCAGACTGGGTTAGCAGTTGTAGTAAAAATAAGAGGACGATACCTGAGTAGAAAAAAAGAGGGTCTTGGTGAGATGCTTTTCATGGTTAGAATATGGTATCCCAGATCAGAAAAGAGAGAGGCATCAATTGGAATCCCATCAATGTAAGTCAGGAAAATTGGCCTTGACTTCAGACTGGGGACTGGCTTTCCAGCACTCACAGAGGACATGGCCACAGGGATAGCAGAGGCAGGTGTAGACTGGTGAGCCACCATGAGGAGCAGAGGGAGGTACCCTTTGAAAATATCAGAATTGGCCAGGTGCAGTGGCTCACGCTTATAATCCCAGCACTTTGGGAGGTCAAGGCGGGAGGATCGCTTGAGGCCAGAAGTTTGAGATCAGTCCGGCCAACATGGCAAAACCCCATCTCTACTAAAAATATAAAAATTAGCTGGGCTTGGTGACCCATGCCTGTAATCCCAGCTACTCAAGAGGCTGAGGCATGAGAATAGCTGGAACCCAGGAGGTGGAGTTTGCAGTGAGCTGACCACACTCCAGCCTGGGTGACAGAGCAAGACTCTGTCTCAAAAGAAAAAAAAATGCAAAAGAAAATATCAGAGTGACCTGGGAACTTGCTTTAGCTTGGCTTGGTCAGCTTTCCATGTTACCTCAGAAAAAGTAGGGGTATTGTAAGAATACACATGCATTTCTTCTGGAAACTGCTCAGGAACTGAAGCAACACCAGCTTAGACCTACACTGCCACACTTGGCTATTTGCTGCATTTTCTTCTCTCTACTCACCAGCCTCTTCTGCTTATATATTTGCTCCTGTTAACACTGCTAAGAGGCAGATCTCTTAGCATTTTCTAGTTCCAGTGGGTTGCAGAATCTTACTGAACCATTGTAATACGTCACTGCCTAACGAATTGAACGGTTGCCCTTGGGGTTCACCATGACTGTAGCTGGGATCACAAGGAACAAACCCAACCACAACAGATCAGGGGATAGGGATAGGGAAGTTCCCTTCACAAGGGGTGTGAGGGGCAGGAGCTGATATTTCAAGGAAGAATTCCTCTAGACTTGGGGGCTAAGGCTGATGTACTTCATGATACCCTTCTTATTCATTTATGTTACACTGGAGTTGAAGGGAGTGGTAAGGGCAGTGGCTTTCTTTAATCTAGAAAGACACACTCACAGAGAATTACTATAGAACATAGCTTGTGTTGTTGGCTGGGCACTCATAGGTCCCACACAGAGATGGCATGTTGCTTTCTTGGCATTTAAAGTGCCCTGGCATTTAAGGTGCTGCATATATCTTTTGGAGAGACAGCATGTGTTGGCTAAGAGCATGAGTTTAGGCTGCTTGAGTTTCAATTTCAGCATGGCCACTTGTTTTGTGATTCTGGTTTTTTCTTTTTTTTGAAACAGGATCTCCCTCAGTTACCCAGGCTGGAATACAGTGGCAACATAATCATTCACTGTAGCCTCAGAGCCTTGACCTCCCTGGCTCAAACGATCCTCCCACCTCAGCCTCCCAAGTAGCAGGGACTATAGGCATGTGCCACCATGCCCAGCTAATTTTTTTTTAATTGTCAGTAAAGACGGTTAGTAGAGATGCTGTCTCATTACGTTGTGCAGGCGAGTCTCTAACTCAGCTCAAGCGATCTTTCTGCCTCAGCTTCCTAAAGTCCTGGGATTACAAGCACAAGCCACTACGCCTGGCCTGCTTTGTGATTTTTGAATCAACAGCTTCACCCTCTGAACTTCCATTTTCTTAGTTATAAATTGGAGACAATTACTTTTTGTTGTTTAAAACAGAATTCCGATCATGTTGCTCTACTACCTAAAATCCTGCATGGCTTCTCATTGCTCAGAATAAAATCCCATTGAAACCTACACTTTGAATGATTACCTGAATTGCCCTCTTACCCTTTATTTTCATTTATTCATTTATTGATTTAACAATTATTTATGTGTATGTTCTAGACCAGGCACTGTTGATAGATCATTGAACCAAGCTAAGTTACTGCCACCTTACTTGACAGAAAAGTATGCAATAAATACGTAGACAAATTAAAATATACTACAATGTTAGGTGCCATGGTTCACTCATGAAAATATCAAGCAGATTGAGGTAGAGAGAGCTACTTTAGGCGGAGTGGCCAGGGAGGCGTCCCTATAGAACGCCTCAAATGTCAAAATGACATTTGAGGGGCATCTGCAGGAGGTAAGGAGGTGAGTGAGCCGTGTCACTATGAGAAACAGTGTTCCTGGCAAGAGAGCAGAAGATCAAAGGCCCAGCAGCAGAGGTATGGCTGGCATGTTGCCGTACTTACCCGACCAAACATCTGATGGTACAACCTGTCATTGTCGTCCCTACACCTGATCGCCTGATCAGCCCAATGCTATTAGAGGAACACATGCCACCAGGCCGACTGTGACACTGTAGCCTATTGTTTCATCTCCCAATTGGGTTCTCAGAACACCTTCTATTGTTCTTAGCTCCCTCTCTCACTTGCTTGGCGGTTGTTCCAAACATTCACACCTCACTTAAGCCAAAAATAAGAACAACAAAAGCCACAATGTTTTCTCATATTTTCTATGGTTCAGGCAATATGCTAAGTTGTTTTTCCCATACATTTATCATATTTAATCTTTACCTCAAACGTATAGGTTAAGTACTGTAATTTTATAGATGAGAAAACTGAAACTTAGAGAGGTGAAGCAACTTGACTGTAGATCCCACCAGTGACTGCTGGAGCTGAGGGTCACACCAGAGCAGGGGCTGTGCCGACCTAATCCGCATCCCAACCCCATCCCCATCAGCAAACTGTCTCATGTCATCCCCTACCCTCCTTGCTCAGAAAACCTGTCAGCATGAAAGCCTTTAGATTGCTTACATAGTTACCAAATTGAATCAACTCTGAGACTATTCATTTTAAGAAGCACCATTATTTCATGTAACACCAAGAGGTAAATGCTGCAGTTACACTATAAAACAATGCTAAGACCATTTCTATAAAACAGATGCTTCAAAGTGAAAATAAACTCTGTTCAACAATTGATGGACTTTAAATACAGTACATCCATAGCCATCAAGGCCTTTTTCTTCCTGTGTCAAAAGGTAGGATGTCCCTCCTCAAGACTAAAATCCTCTTCCTATGTTCTTTATTCTTTCTTTTCCTTGACCTGCTTTTCCTTGATTTTTTTCTTTCTCTCCATTTGTTTTCAACTCTACTTTCCTAAGAATGAAAACATCTTCAGGTCTCTTATCCTGAAAATCATGTGCTTGACTCATCCTACATCTCCTCTAGCAATTATTCTATTTTAAGTTTTCCCTTGTTATTCCTTCTTTCTTTCTGTCTGGTATTTATCTTGAGACCTATAAAGGATTTTACAAAGACAGCCTTGGTCCTAATTATATTAGATATTTTGGTCCCAATTATAAAGCCTAACATTTGTTTACAGCATCTTTGTTGAGGGCATATGTTGTATTTGTTTCTTCCCAGCAAACCTTTCATTGGAGAACAGTCTTCCCCCACACCATCCCATAGAAATACTGTTCACTATATCTGGTTCAGGAGGACTGACTCTCCCAACTCCTTTCTCCAGGAGTGGATACATGATCCAGGACTGGCCAGAATTCTACATCAAGGTGAGTTTTTGCTGCCTCATGGAAACGAGGCCAATCAAAATCCTGCCCTGAATTTTTCTCTAGGAGCTCTTGGGAAAGAGGTACAGTCATGTGCTGTGTAACCACACTTGAGTCAATGATAGACTGCATATATGACAGTGGTCCCATATCTGATTATATCATCATATTTTTACTATACCTTTTCTATGTGTAGATATGTTTAGACACACAAATACCATTGTGTTACAACTGCCTACCGTATTCAGCACGGTAACATGCTGTACAAGTTTGCAGCGCAAGAGCAATAGGCTATACTATATACACATCTATGATGTTTGCATGACAACGAAATCACCTACTGATGCATTTCTCAGAATGTGTCCCCATCATTAAGTGATGCATGACTGTATTCTTTCTACAAAGATTGCACTGCTGGTGGCCATCTTGTTGATCATGTGGAATAGCCTACGAGATAGAGGTGTGGATCTCTATTGTCATTACCTAGATCCAAAGACACCTAAGCCAGGATACTCCTAGACTTTTCAGGCACATAAGCTTTTGCTGTTTGATTGATGTCCTTGTCACTTGCAATTGAGAGTGCTAATACAGCCTTACAGTTTTCAAAGAGCTTTCAAGTGCATTGTTTTACATGAGCTTGTGGTTTTAGAGGACAAGGTATGTGTCTGTCTTGCTCATGACTAAATTTCTGGGACTAAGCACAGTGCTAGGCATATGAGAGTTACTAAAAAATGTTTGTTGAATGAAGTGGGCCACATAGGTGTTATTACTTACACTTGTTTCAAAAAGCCAGATACTGAAATCAGAGAGGTAGTCAGGTGGTAGAGCTGGGTGATCATGGACTAGGTGAAGAGGATATGGTGAAAGCCTAAACTGGGAGGAGGCATCATAAACAGGATGCATTTGAATTACCATATGGGGGTCATATTCATTTTAGTCTTTTTTCTAGAGTTCTACAGCAGCTCTTAACTATCTCTCCCATCAACTTTTGCTCCTCTACAATTCACTATCCACTCAATGGCCAGAAAAAGGTGTCACATCAGATCCTATTACTTTTTTTTTTTTTTTTTTTTTTTAAAGACAAGGTCTCACTCTGTCACCCAGGATGTAGTGCAGTGGCATGATCATGGTTCACTGTAGCCTAGACCTCCCAGGCTCAAGCAATCCTCCCGCCTTAGCTCCTGAGTAGCTGGGTCTACAGACACATGCCACTGCACCCAGCTAATTTTTATTTTTATTTTTAGAAATGGGATTTCACCATGTTTCCCAGGCTGTCTTCTTTAAAAAAAAATTTTTTTTTTAAATTCTATGAGTGCATGTCCCCAAGCTCAGCTAATTTTTACATTTTTGAAGAGACAGGGTCTCACTATGTTGCCTAGACTTGTCTGGAACTCCTGGGCTCAAGTAATCCTCCTGCCTTAGCCTCCCAAAGCATTGGGTTTACAGGTGTGAACTACCACTCCTAACCAGATCCTGTCACTCTTTTGCTTTAAACACTCCAGTGGTTTCCCTCTACTTTCAGGAATAAAAGCTCAAATTCTCAACATATCCTACAAGGTCCTTATAATCATGCTGGCTCCTGCTTATGCCTTAGCTTCATTTCCTCCTGCCCTTCACTGTATTCTCTCTGCTCCAGCCACAATAGCCTTCTTTCCATTGTAGAGAAATACAGTTATCCCTCAACTCAAGGTCTTTGCCTAAAACACGCCTCCTCCTCCACTCTTCATTTAGTTGTTTCTTCCTAAACATTGAGTTCTCAGCCCCCATCATTTCCTCCAGAGTCTTTTCTGAGTCTTCTTTCCCTACTCTCATTTTATTTTAGTTTTGAGATGGAGTCTCGCACTGAAATGCAGTGACATGATCTCGGCTCACTGCAATCTCTGCCTTCCAGGTTCAAGCAATTCTCCCACCTCAGTCTCCTGAGTAGCTGGAATTACAGGCACCCAACACCACGCTCGACTAATTTTTGTAGTTTCAGTAGAGACAGGGTTTCACCATGTTGACCAGCTGGTCTCAAACTCCTGAACTCAAATGATCCTCCTGCCTCAGTCTTCCAAATTGCTGGGATTACAGGTGTGAGCCACTGCGCCTGGCCCCTACTCTCATTTTAGATCAGACCCGTTTCTATCTACCCCATCCCTGTACTTTGATTGCATAGCACCTGGTGACCATCACTTTACCATGATTACTGACCATAGACTGTCCCAGAGACCACCAAAATATGCTGTTGATCAAGTAAAACTTATCAATGTTTCAGAAGGGAGAAGTCAGGAGCTGATATCTGTAGAGTTTCGAGGCCTAGACTCAAGTAGTTTAAGGAAATCTGATTGAAACTGGGCAAAGTATTTTATATAATAATTTAGAAATGGTGAAGAGAGTGAGGTAAGAGTCTTGAGACAAATCTTGATAAATAAACAGTTGTTTGATGTGCAAGCAGTTTGCAAGTTAAGTGATTTATTGTACTGAGAAATAGGCTGTATGAGAAGCTAAAGTTCAGATAAATTGATTTTTAGGAGTTCCTAAAGCAAAAAATAAACATATTTACTGGTGTATAGCCTTGCCTCGCTGGGCAAGAATTACTGGAACAAATAGTGAAGTCATGTTAATATAAGCGGTCTTAGTTCTTATTCCTGAGTTAAGGTATGTGGGTGCAGATTGTCTCAGTCCTCATGGTGTATCTGTGTTTATGTCACCATTTCCCCAGCAGCACTTGCAGCAATTGCAACTTTTCATTTGATTAATGTCCATTTCTGCCAGTGGACTGTGTGCTCTGTGAGGGAAGGAGTAACATCTGTTTTTCTCATCATTTTATTCTTTATACTGGGCGCAGCACCTGGTACTAATATTTGTTGAATGAATGAGATCATGAACAATAGCCTGGATGGGAGGATGGGAGGAGGAATCAGAGAATACTCTGCCTTCAGTCCTGTGTTAGAGCAGTTCCTGTAATGCCAAGGTGAGCACTGGGAGAACGTGTTTAGAAGAGAGAGGTGAGAAGTTCCACTTTGGGGGAGCTGAGTTTCATTTTCAACAGGAAACATACATCTGGAATTCAGGAAAGAGAAAATTGAGGGGAACAGATGCAAAATTTATAAATTTTATTTATTTAGAATGGCTTTCAAAAAGCAAAGCAATGTGGAGCTGTCAGGTGGTTATCATGTTCTATTAGTCTGCTAGGGCTGCCATAAAATACCACAGACTGGGTGGCTTAAACCATAAAAATTTATTTTCTCACAGTTCTGGGGACTGGAAGTCCAAGATCAAAGTGCTGGAAAATTCAGTTTCTGGTGAGGGCTCTCTTCTTGGTTTGCAGACAGCTGCCTTCTCGCTATGTTCTTATATGTCCTTTCCTCAACATGCACATGGAGAGAGAAAAGAACTGTCTGGTGTCATTTCCCCTTCTTATAAGGACACCAGTCCTATTGGATTACAGTCCCACCCTTATGATCTCATTTAACCTTATCTCCATAAAGGTCCTATCCCCAAATACAGTCACATTGGGGGTTAGGGGTTCAACATATGCATTTGAAAAGGACATAATTCAGTTCATAAGACATTGTTATGAATATAACTTTATCATAGAAAAGTCCTCCAAAAAAACCCATGCAGATTGATAGACCTTCTTAGTTTGGCTAGGGCAAGGCTTATTAAATGTACTATGTTGTAAAGACGATAATAAATACATACATAGCACTTTCTGTGGGCTAATCAGTCTCCTAAGTGCTTTGCCTCTATTAACTTATTAAATCTCATAATGACTCTATGAGTGAAGTGCTATAATCATATCCATTTACAGATAAGGGACATGAAGACTGAACAAAAACTGCTTGCAATCACATGAAACAGGACTGGCTACATTAACATAACTTTAGTATTCTGGGAAATTCTTGTCCAAGGAGATAAAGTTGCAAACTATTTGTTTTAAGAACATTCTGAAAATTCATTTATCTGAACAACAGACTGTACAACTGGCCATCCCAGATTGCTTATCAAAGAGCTGTTAACTCAAGAATCCCTTCAAAACCTATGCCTTGCTGGGTTTACCAATCCTAAATTATTAAATCATAAACTTGGCCTGGTCAAAGTCAAGTCCCCACATGGAAAAATCCCACCCTAAACCAGACTCCCTAAACCTTATAAATATCTACCTTTGAAGTCCTTCTTCTGAGATACAGCTAAGAGTCTGTCAAGGCAGTGCTGTCCCTTAATGCAATAAGCAATAAACTTGGCTTTGATTGACCAACAGGTTATTTTTCTGGTCTTTTCAGGGAGTGAGCAGTTAACAGAAACAAGAGATTAATGCCTTATGCCCAGTGCTTGGCTATGTGTTCACTAATTTTGTGCAAAAAGGAAATAAGGCCTGAATTTACTATCCAAATAGACAGGCACCCCTACTTGGGTGAAGAAAGTTAAGTTTTAGGAAAATTAAAGGCAGAATTCTCTGTGTCTGTTATAGACTCAGCATAGCACTGAGCTGAATTTTATATGAGCCTAGACTAAAGACAGAAGCCGGGTATTTAGTTGAGTATAGCCAAAAACATCATCAAAACTGGCCAGGTGAGACTGAAGATTAGAGTGGGGAAGCTCCCTGGGACTGTCAGGTACAGAGAAAAAGCACTGGATTTATTTGCAAGTGACACCTGCACCAAAAAATAAATAAAATTAAAAATTTTTTTTTTTTTTGAGAGGGAGTTTCACTCTGTCACCCAGGCTGGAGTGCAATGGCCCGATCTCAGCTCACCTCAACCTCTGCTTCCTGGGTTCAAGTGATTCTCCTGCCTCAGCCTCTCAAGTAGCTGGGATTACAGGCATGCGCCACCATGCTAATTTTTGTGTTTTTAGTAGAGACAGGGTTTCTCCATGTTGGTCAGACTGGTCTTGAACTCCTGACCTCAGGTGATCCACCTGCCTCGGCCTCCCAAAGTGCTGGGATTACAGGCGTGAGCCACTGCACCCGGCCTAAAATTTTTTTAAAGTATTGGTTTTGGATTCAAAAATGTGTTTATGTTCACCATTTACCAGTGATTTTACTGTGGGCAATTAACTTCCCCAAACCTCAGTAGCTCACCTGTAAAATGGAAATAATGTCGGTACCTACATCATAGAGTTAATATGACGGCCAAATGGGACAGTATATGCCAAGAGCTTGTCATGGTGTAATTGGTGGTATTAACTGTTATTATTATAATTCACTGCAGGATTGTAGGGCTTGGGAAGAGGAAAGATATGATCAGTGGTATACTTGAAGGGGATTGAATAATGCAAAAATAAGAGAGAAATGTATTCAAAGCTGGGAATTCAGGATATGGCTTTTCTGTAGTAGTTTGGCATTTTTCCACAAAGACTAGTTATCAAGGCCACAGGGGCTGTTTCCCTAGCTAAATTCTCTCCCTTGGATGTTAAAGTGCTATTTACCTGTCATGAAGGCTGCCTAGGCAGAGTTTGGAACTGTAGAAGAAGCTTGACCTTAAAAGGTCAAGAATTTAGAACTCAACAGAGATGAAATCTGTCAGTGAAACAACTAAGTGTTTTTGTGGGGATGTGTGGGAGGTGGGAACTGTTTTTTTTAAAGATGCTATCAGTGGTGATGCAAAAGAATATGAGCTAATGAGCCCAAGGCTGTTCCTTCTCAAACCTGCTTATTCACCAACCAAGCAAGTCCTGCCCAGGAGGGAGAGAAGGAGGTGATGTTAAGTGAGCTCAGTGCTTACTGTGTGCCATGCCAGTTTTATGTTTGGCCTCCAAAGACAAAGGGAAGAGAAAGAGAAAGGAGGGAAGCTACTCTTCTCATTATTTGTAGAACTACAAACCCAATATTTATTGTGTGCTTACCATGTGCCTCTAGGTACTATGCTTTGCACACATTACCTTGTTTAATCCTTCTCACAAACCTTTCCAGGTATTTTTATCCTCATCATTGAACTCCTCATTGATTTCCTCTTGTTTTCTTATTAAGTACTCACAACTTTGTGAAAGAACTCTGGTGTCAATAATTTGTAAGCAGACAGGAGAAATGTGACGTGGTGTTTGACTGAGTATGGCAGCAAAGAAGAGTATAGAGAATCAACAATAAAAGTTTAAAGAGCAACAGAATGGAAAGATGGCAGGTCGAACAAGGAAAAGGGCTCACAACCTCTATTTTAATGGTGTGGGCCTCAAGAGTAACCACATATCCATGGGAGGGCCTCTAAATATAAAGACAAAAGTCTTGATGGTGATCTTGTGATTATGAGACTGGAAAAGTTGGATCATTTTCTGTTCCTAATGTTACATTTGGAAAATTGAGCAGTTTTCTAGATCCCCAGAGATTCCTTAGAATAAGGTCAAAAGTTGTAAAATGAAATACTGTATATATACTATTAGTCACCTTCATTGTTATTTTATGTGATTTGATTTTTAAGTTAACATGGTGTCAAGATGCCATCCATATGAGTTTTAATAATTTTCATTTAGTCTTATCTGTTTATAAGAGATGCAGGAGTGATTCATTTTTGTACTAGTTAATATCAACTCTTTCTCAGAAGTAGTCAAAATATAAATAAAAGTTCTTCAAAAGTAACCCAGGAGCAACAGCTGAGCAGTGCCAGAGTTGTGAGGTAAACATCAATCATTTCACAAATGTTCTGACTTGTTGAGCAGTGTTCATTTCCAGGTTTCAAACTTAAAGTATCTATTAAGCAATCTTAAAAGAAAGAACACCGCCTTAGGAAAAAAGAGATTTGCCAAACTCTTCATACTTCCTTCAATAACTGCTTAGCAAACACTCTTGAGTGTCTTCTATGGGCAATGGTCTGTATCCATAGGGATACAGAGATGAATGAACATGAACTTGGAAAAAATTATTATACAACACAAAGTAGGAAAACGGTGCACAAAGCATAAAGAAATTAGCGGAGGGAGGGATTGTTTGATGGAAGGTCTTAGGGAGTAGGTGGGATTTGAATTTGGGTCTTGGATGGGTAAGTAAGGTAGGGCAGCAGGGTGGGCGGCAAAAAGTGGGAGGTTACAGTAAGTAGAATGGTCAATAGCCTATTTTGACTGAAGTAAGGGTTAAGGCTGTTGGAGCCTGATGATAGATGTGATGCTGTAAACTCACTGGATGTTTTCAAAAGAGAGCCATTAAAAACTGCGTAGAGGAGCTATTTCCTTTGCTGTTACTGAATAATGTGAAAAGATCCATACCAAATGATGCACTCTGTACCTTTCTCCCTCAGCCTCCTCCCTGGCAGGCAGGCCTGTAGCGGCTACCAGATAAAGGGTCTTTCTCACTCTCTAGTTTGGCCAATGGGTGACATTCTTGTAAGCGATCCAAGAGCAGGAGTTGGGTGATGTGAGGGAATTTATTTTCTAGGCTCCCGTCCTGGAGAGTCATCTTGGGCAGCTGCAGTTCACATAGGAATTTCACAACTTCTCTGAGTCTTTGGGTTCTGATGACTGTTCCTTCTCCTTTTCTGGTTGGGCCGACAGGTGGTAAAAGCCTGGCTTAGACCCTGCCCTATTTCTGTTCCCTACACTCTTCCGTTCTTGTTGTCCTTTTATTAAACCTTCCTATAATTGTCCTAAGGGGAGTGTGCTCTCTCTTTTCCCTGCTAAGACCTCAATCAGACCTGAGAGAAAGAAACATTGGCATCTGCTCACTTCAATCACCAAGGCAATGTTTATGCTAGGGGACTCCACATTCCAGGCTAAAATTTATAAGAAGAATGTTTGCACACCTGACCCAGATTAGCTAATCAGATATTGTTTTTGGGAGTCTGCATTAAGAAATTCTCCATATGGACTAGAGAGTAGGTGAACTCAGGAATTTTGATGTGCTGTTTGTCCACTGAGTAAACTGAGAAACAGAGGAAGTTGGTCCATAGAGAAATTCACTTACTGAAGTTGTCTGAATTCTGAATGGCTCTTCAGTCTTTGGTTCCATTCTCTTCTGAGGGCCAGGTAAATTCTTGTACTCAAATGCCATGAGATAACTCTGTTTTCTTACAATAAACACTACGCGCGCGCGCGCGCACACACACACACACACACACACACACACACACTTTTTTATTGGCTTAAGCACGTTTAAGTTATTTTCTGTTACTTGCAGCAGATGAGTCTTGACTAATAGAATATCCAACACATATAATCCCAGTTACTACTTATGGAGTACTTACTGTGTGCCAGACTTTACATGACTTATCTTCTTTAATCCTCTCAACTGCACTGAAAAGTAGTTTTTTTTTATGACTCAGATCTTTCTTGGCTTGAGAATTTCTTCCAATAAATCTAGGTGTCCCTCAGTTTTTTCTGGGTGTTCCCAAAGGGACGTCTCATAGTTTCTCATAAACCAGTGTCAGCCTCAATCACCACACAATCTGTTCTGTTCTTTTCCTTCATTGATGACTTCACTCACAGATGTCATTGCACACCATGAAAATGATAATATCTACATTCAAGATACCACCTGGAGATGCTGCAAAATGTTATGGTCCTCAGTGTGGTCAAGAGAGGAGCATGACTCCTCCCCCATTCCATGTCAACTCAGTTCTTTAGAAGCTCGTAATGTAGCCAGGGGCTTGCAAAGCCTTTTGATGAGGTCTATGAGCAGAGCTTCCCAAATGTGCATCATGGCATGCTAGTGTACCACAAGGGTTCAGGAGTGCCAGGATATTGACCTCCCTAGCCCTTGGGGCAGCCCGGGAGGGACTGGGCGACTAGAGCCCTAGCACCGTCATTTGGCTTTGAGCAGTTTTATTTCAACCCCAGTGTGGACTACAGATACTGTCTTTTTAAAAAATTTTTTTAATGTTTAAGTTCCAGATACATGTGCAGAATGTGCAGGTTGTTACATAGGTAAACGTGTGCCATAGTGGTTTACTGCACCTATCAACCAATCACCTAGGTAGTACGTCCCACATGCATTAGCTATTTATCCTGATGTTCTCCCTCCCCCTGCCCCGCTGACAGGTCCTTGTGTATGTTGTTTCCCTCTCTGTGTCCATGTGTTCTCATTGTTCAGGTGCCACTTATGAGTGAGAACATGTGATGTTTGGTTTTCTGTTCCTGTGTTAGTTTGCTGAGGATAATGGCTTCCAGTTTTATCCATGTCCCTGCAAAGGACATGATCTCCTTCCTTTTTATGGCTGCATGATACTATCATTTTCTATAAATACCATGTGATGAAAAAGAGCCCAGGGATCTAACAATCCACACAAGCCCCCAACCTTGGGCCAACCATAGAGGATACAAATCCAATCTGGACCAGATCAACAGGAGACATCATGCTATTATTTAGATGCTTGCCTTTTTCTACTTTCTGGTCTTCTTTGTGATTTACTTGTATGTAAATGAATGAAGGCAGATTATGATGTGTGTATGTGTCTGTGTGCACATATTATTAGGGAATAAGAATGGTGTTGTCTAGGTATTGTCTCACTAGCCAGCCAAAAATATCTTATTAAATATGTATTGTCCTACTCTTTCCTATGAGGATTCAGTCTGAGTTAGGTCACCTACCTGAGGTCACACACCAAATGACAGAGGTGTGATTCCAACACAGGCTCATCTGGTTTAAGAGCCGTGTGCCTGATTCTTCACTATTGCCACATCCCTTCTTTCCAATGTTTCATTGATTAGGTAGGGTAAGACCATCAAATCCACATTTAGGGAATGTCTGGGCAGCCACGAAATGCACCTGTCAGAACTTCCTTCAAAAGGGAACTGCTACAAGGAATGCTGCCAGGTGACAACCTCCCGCTGCAGCAACTTTGGGGGTCTGGTACAATGTTTGAGGCAAGGACATGCCCATGTTGGGTAGCTCTAGCCAAAGACTGAGCATGGCAGGGGTGCTAGGATCTGGTCACCCTGGTACGACTCTATAGGGAATCTGTGAGCTAGAGGTCTCCATTTGGCTTGCCAGGATGGTCTCAGAGCTGCACAGCAGTCTGAGGACTTATCTGCCCAATCCTCCATCTTTCTTCCTCTTACAGGTGTCAGACTTGCACTGTGTCTAAAGGCCCACCGAGCCTACTCCTTCTCTCATGTCTTTATCATTTATAGGCATTACCTCTAACAGAGCTCTTGCATTCCTAACTCATTGTCCTGGTGTCTGTTTCCTGACATAAGCCCCCTGAGAGAAAGTGCTATGCCACCTCATTGTTTATTCTCCACGGCACCTAGGACAATATTTTGCACATAAGTCTCTTGATTTTATTCAGATGAACATGCAGTTTTAGATGGTAGCAAATGAGCCATTGCTGTCTTCCTCTACCAGTTCTGGGGAAGCACTGGGCCCAAAGGCCAAGAATGATACAGGCCAAGGATGGCTTTAGAGAACCAGGATCACCCACAGATTTTATTTAAATGAAGATAATTGGGTTTCACTCTCACAGATTCTGACTCAGAGGGAGGGGGAGGGCCAGGACACTCCATTTCCAGTGAGCACACCCAGTAGATTCTGAGCCGGGTGGTCCTTAGGTCATACTGGAGAATATACAGAACATACAGCTTTTGAGGATGCCTACACAGGTACGAAGTCCTCCCATTGCTCCCACTGCTGTCACATTCAGTGGCCTCGGTGTTGCTATGAATTTGGGAGAATCTTGGCACATTCCAGTATCAGGATTTTTCTATTCGCTGGCTATGTTCCAGCCTGCATTTTGAAATGAATAGAGCCCCAGGGTAGAGTGTGAAGTTTGCCTTGAAGCTGGAAGAGACATAAGTTGGCAGTATTGCCAGCTGACATCTGGATGTGGTGTGGACTGGGATTATGAAAGTTAAGCATTTAGCCTCATTTTACAATATGGACCATTGACATGTGAGTCATTATGGAATGTAGTCATTCAGTTTAGTCCAACCCTGTCCCTTTGTTATTCTAGCAGAATGTCTTCTGTTCATCTTTTATCCATATTTCTTGTTTTTTTTTTTTTTTTGAGACAGGATCTTGTTCTGTCACCCAGGCTGGAGTGCAGTGGCACGATCTTGGCTCACTGCAGCCTCCACCTCTCAGGTTCCAGTGATTCTCATACCTCATCCTCCCAAGTAGCTGGGACTATAGGCACATGCCACCACGCCTAGCTTATTGTTTGTATTTTTAGTAGAGATGGGGTTTCACCATTTTGGCCAGGATGGTCTTAATCTCCTGACCTCATGATCCACCCGCCTCAGACTCCCAAAGTGCTGGGATTACAGGTGTGAGCCACGCGCTTAGCCTATCTCTTATCCATCTTTCAAGGGTAATCTTAAAGATCACCTCTGGCTCTTCCCAGTGCACACCTTCTTGCAGTCCTGTTGCCTCTTGAGCTTCCTTCCATGAGCATTCACTATATTTAAATTGTTTATATTATGTATCCGTTTTAAATAAATTGAAAATGCATTATGTATATGTTTTAAATAAATTGAAAATGTTTATGAGAACATTTGTAAGAACTAGAGTGAAAAGCTTTTTCTAGCCAAGTGCAAAAAATTTAAACTGTAGGAAGTAGTATAATGCAGTGGGTTTTGGAATCAGTCTGTGGTTCAACTCCTATTTTGTTATTCACTGGTTGTGTAGCATGTTTCTTCATCTGTAAAATGGGATCAATAATATTTACATCATAACATTTAGAAAAAGCCTAACCAAGTACTTGGCACATAGTAAGGCCTCAACGAATATTAATTATCTTCTTCCTCTCTGGCCAAAACTTAATTGAGTCCTATATTTGGAGATCAAACCCATGTTGTCATTTTAAAAAATTTCTAAATGCATAGACATAGATTAGATGCTTAGTAAGTACATGTTAGATGAATGAGAAAATTGTTTTATTGCTTCTGGCTTATTCCAAATTCTAATTTTAGTTCCCTTCAGTGTTAGGAAGTGAATTTAAAAGCATGGCAACATGACTCAAAAGATTAAGATTTCTATCCAGAAATCTTGATTTAAATCTTCAGCGTTTGACTTTTGAGAAGAGTGCAAATGTTGGCATTATCTTTTTTTATTAGCAATTTGTAAAGAACTGAGATCTTACACAGCTGTGTGCGGCTCAAAGATGTACCAAGCAAAGAATAAATTTCCTGCCCACGCAAACTCGAGGCAAAAAATCTCAAGCTGTCTTATATTATTCTGACAGCCCAAGGAAAGTTTTATTTTTCTCATAAGGAAACTTGACAAAAATCATAAGAATTATCTACTATGTAAAATGTCTACCTTATCAGATTCTTAAAGCTGATGATATATTTGTTTAAGCAGAGACTAAAGACTTAGAGTTACAAAATATTGCAGATTTAACTCCAGCAATTCAGCAAATAAGAATTCGTCTTTTAAGCATCAAGCTGACTAGTGGTATGATCTGGGTGAGGTTTGCTCACACCCCTCTCCAAGATGCATTCCAATAGATACAAGTAGCTCATGCTCAACAAATGTGACATACTCACAATTGAGGCTCAGGCCAAAGTGGACCAAGCCTTCTTGAAACCCTGCTGGAGCTCACCACTTATTTCAAATAAACAGCAATGGGGAAAGGGAAGTCAACAGAAGTAGTTTTGCTCATAGCTCCATTTATTGGAGCCCATCAGTGTAGAACACCAAGAGAGGGCTGCAGAAATCTAGCATTCCCAGTTAAACCAAGTACTAGGCAAAGACCAAGGGAATTTCTCTACTGGGTATTAATTTTGTGAGAGGCACTTAAACATTATTATGTATTTGTGTTTTTATTTATACTCTGACTCTTCCCCAAAGAAATATAAAGTTGCTTATAAGAAAACACATGGGCTAAGCGGGGACACTGTGCAGTAGGAAATAAAGGTGAAGTCAGAGGAAGGTGGTATATATTGTGCACGAATCCTAGTCTACTTACTAGCCGAGGGTTGTAAACGTAGTTTGGAAATTCTGACCAGCCAAGGAGTGATTCCTTTAGATGGTTCAGTGTCGAAGCGATAAAGCAAACATGCCATTCTGAGACACATAGTAATTCCTAGGACTGAAACCCAAGGGAGATATTTCCCCCCAATGAGTTTGTAGAGGGTAAGGAATTTTAGTGTATTATAAGTGATATACAATAACTCAGATATGCTTGAATATGCAAGACTGTCTCTGAGCTCATTCTTCAGGACCCCATATACAAAAAGAAAGATAGCAGAATGGGAATCAAATTACTACTTGATTAATAGATTCTCAACCACTTAATATCTCCCCAGTCCAAAGCTGCCTGGCTTTGAAAGTTAAATAACCAAACATGTATTTCCAATGAAAATTTAATGTCTGAATTGAGATATGCTGTAAGTGTAAAATAAACACCTGAGTTTGAAGACTCCGTTAAAAAAAGAATGCAAAAATATCTTGTTAAATTTCCTATTGATTGCATGTTGAAATTGCAATATTTTGGATATGATGGGTTAAAATATATTATTAATTTCATCTGTGTCTTTTTACTTTTTTAATGCAGTTACTAGAAAATTAAAAATTACTTTTGTGGCTCACATTATATTCCAATTGGACAGTTCAGGCATGGACCAGGGCCTGGCTCTCCTCTCAGGGCCTTTCTCCTGTCTAAATTTGGTGGGTGACCTCTGGCTGGAAAGAGGAAGTGAGGTGGTGGAAAGAGACAAGGTTTCTTCCTTCCCTGCAGGAGGCTGTGGCAAAAAGCCAGCATTCACAGTAAGTTCTTCGGTTTACAAACTATTTCTTCTGTGGTGGGTTATTTCCACTGCATTCCAAAGCAGGCTCTGCTTTTTGGAGAGGTAAAAAATATGTCAGCAGTCCGAAGTGAACTGCTCAAAGCTGGCTCTCATAAGAAGATACTCACTTTTCAAGAGTTAAGGGTCACAGCAAAGGGCCCTCTCAACTCCACCTCCTTGGTGACATTAAGGGGAGATAATTAAAACAGAATGGGCTCCTGCAAATGTGTTGCATTATCTCCTGGTTGACTCAGCAATTCCACAGGAGGCTGAAAGTTTAATGAAGAGCAGTAAGAAAGACATCTGCAAATCTGACAATAACCAAGAAGTTTGCAAAAAGAAGTATGCAGAAATGAAAGTTCATTTTCTCATGTCATAAATTACTTTATAGTATCCTTGCTTTCCCACTCTTGTTAAAAAAAAGGTTTTTTTATTTATTTTTATTTTTATTTTACTAACTCACTTAAATATTTACATGTAGAATCAGACCTGGCAGCAAATTCAAAGAAATCTGTTAAGGACGGCAAAAGTTGCTTCTGTATCAGAGGCTTTGAGACTCCAGGTCTCAATTAACCTTTCTAAATAGGAACTGACAGACTTGAATGTAAAATCAGAGTGGGTGAGGGGAGGGGAGACTAAAATGTTTTTGAAGAATGTTTGACTACAAAGTAAACAATTTGAACAGAAAATATTACATCAGATGCTGCCTCCACATTCCATAAAACTGTATATACAGTAAAATGTACTGTACAGTTGAAAGACATGGATAAAAGAAATCATAAAACATTTGAGTTTTGTGATGATCCAAACTTCATGGAATTAGTTGTGTTGGCATAAGACAGAGTTTTTTTTTGTTTTTTTTTTTCTGTTAGATCTTGACATGAAGTTTGTACAGATGGCATTGAAAGCATAACTTTAGAGATATTTATCTTTAAGCTTTCTTTTCCTTTCTGTCATCAAATTGACCCATGAGTACAAATTTACTAGGTATTATTATTTATTTCAGGTATGTTATTTCATTTTGCTAACCAAAATGTTATCAGTATTATTTTGCACAAAATAGCACACTACTTATTATTCATTTTCAGGATTTTGCTTTGAATGAAAGCAAAAGGAAAGTTAACTTAGCAAATTTACAGCATAATCAAGATTGTAAGGGGAAAGGTTTAAATGTTAGAAAACAACATGTCAAAAGCACCCATTTATAAGCCAATGTTTCATTGTCAGTTTCCAAATTAGTATCAAACACAGCTACTCTCTCCATTTAAATGATGTTTACATATCTAAAAGCAATACAATCCCTTATCTCCAAGAATCTGGTTAATCAGATAAGCCTTTCTCATTAGCTTGTGTTAGAGAGATTTTTACTGTATTTTAAACAGCTGTAATTCAATAAATCTGAAAGAGTAGGGAATTCAGCACTACTGCTTACCTTATGAGTTTGTAGATCATGAAGAAATATCATTATCTCTCCTGCTTCATTGTACCAGCTGTTTTCAGTATGGACTGTTCCTATTTTTCCCATATGGCAAAACCTCATCCATCTCTGTTCTTGCCCATGGACTTTGTTAGATATTCTTTAACCCTGGGTCCCCATGCTTGTTGAAGTTAACCCTCTAACATACCCTGTTTGACATCATTATTGCACGTAGTGTGGTATTATAATTGTTCATATGGGGGATTCTTTTTCATCTTGGTTTCCCTTCTGCCTAGCATAGTCCCTGCGTAGGGGAGATGTGCAATGGTTTCTGAAAGAGAATCCAAAGCATCACTTTGAGTTATTAGAGTAACAAGGCTGCTTGTTACTGCAACACTGCCTTGCCATTGCCACTCAACTTGGGTCTTCCACACTTGCCCCTTGGGACTATTGTCATTTGATGCACTTCCTATTTAGCCTACATCATCTCCCTCTCTCTGAGTGATGGAGAAATGGCTTCTCTGTTTATGTCCTTCTCTCCACTTTTGGGGGTCTCACAGAAGAATGGCTTGGGCCACTGCTTATTATGTTTCATTTTATAGCCCTTTTGGGGAGAAGGCAGACTTCCCATACAGTTGCTGAGGACATTAATCACACAGCATTTTCACTCTCACTTCTTTCTTTCTCAGGGACAGCCTCATTGTGAACCAAGATCCTTTGCTCTCTTCCTCTCAGCCAGCCTGGTCAGAGATTGATGGCCCATGCCTTATACCTTCATATATGCAAACTTTTTAAAAAAGTGTTTCTTGTCCCATCTTGCAATTTAAATTGCAGTGGCCCATTCCTAAATCCATCAACTGAATGTTATATATCTGAAACCCCAGCTGTGTACAGTTCCAATGGTTTGGCTAGATATGAATGATGGTATTCACACAGAGAACACAAGCTTCCAAATATATACACCAAAATTTTAAGTCTGTGTGATATGCTTAATGGTAGTTTTCTTTGTCATTATATACTTTGCCAACTTAATAGTGAGCACAGATTATTATTATAATCTGAAATAAAAACCAAAGATATTTATATTTGGGAATGTTTCATAAGAAATATAACACAAAATTTCCCATATAAAGTGGTTACCAATTCAATGCTGAAAGCAATGTTTCAAAAGAGAAAGCATAAAAAGCTAAGTTGTTTTTAAAGTAAAGCTATTAGCTATAATTCCTTTTGGGTCTATTTTCAAATGAATTCAATTAGTCTCATGGTAAATATCAAAAGAGCTTTATCTTATTTTATTTTATTTTATTTTATTTTATTTTTGAGACAGAGTCTCACTCTTTTGCCCAGGCTGGAGTGCAGTGGCGTGGTCTCGACTCACTGCAACCTTCGCCTCCTGGATTCAAGCGATTCTCCTGCCTCAGTCTCCTGAGTAGCTGGGATTACAGGCATGCACCACCACACCCAGCTAATTTTTGTATTTTTAGTAGAGGCGGGGTTCCTCCATGTTGATTGGGCTGATTTTGAACTCCTGACCTCAGGTGATCCGCCTGCTCCAGCCTCCCAAAGTGTTGGGATTACAGGCGTGAGCCACCGCGCCTGGACTCAAAAGAGCTTTACATTTTTATACATACTAATAACGACTTAATTAGTACAGATCCAATTGTCAATTACCCATGTTATCTGCTTTCCAACTTATTTGGGCTGTTTCCCTTTCCAGAAACCAGAGAGGGGAAGAAAAAAAGCACAAAAACAAAATAATTTGCTCATTTGTTATTTGCATTAAGTAATTTTGGAGAAGATTGAAATTATCTACAAAAGTGAATCTATTATTTGTGGGTTTTCCAGTTCCACAGGCAATCGAGAGCCACTGTGAAGTCTCTTCCTGATAGACCAAACCAAATTTATGACTTCCAGAAATCTCCAGATCCAAGGGTCAAGGTTGTGTCGCTTTCAATGGACAAGTTCTGCCCAGGTTCTTCAGTTTTGAGAAAAGGAAAACCAGTAACACAAAATTCAATACTTTTCCAATGGTCTCTTTAAATAAATTTGCTACAGACACTGTGGCAACACTAAAGCTTATTAAGCTAAAAAGTTTCTTGAAATTGTCAGAAAGTGCTAAAAATCTACTTTTAGAAAGCCATGAGTTACATATGTATTTTGTAGAGGGAAGAGTTGTTGGAAGGTTTGTTTACTCTAAAGAGAATTTACACTAATTTTCATTATTTAAAAATGAAGGTAAAAAAATAAAACTTCTAAATACCTAATATAAAGACAACACTCTACATTTAGATTCAGCCCTAACTTTATTTTTAACTAGGATCTTGGGCAAGTCATAATTTCTCAGAAATCTTAACTCACTCATCTATACCAGGGAAGGCATGATTAGTCTTAACTCATTCGTCTATACCAGGAAAAGTATGACTGTCTAGTCCAAAATGCTGGTTCCTTATGGCTCTAAAATTTTATAAGAGGTTACAATTTCCACATAAATGTCTATGGAGTCACGCAGGTAAAATATGAGTGAAGATGACCAGAGTGACAAGAATTTCTTTTTAAAGTAAATCCTTTTAAATGTTTCCTTATTTCATATTTGATAGCAACAAAAATATTTCACTTTCTTAGTTCTACCATTACAGAAACAATAATAAATGGCCATCAATACTGATAAATGACAGGGGCACAGAGACCAGAGGGAGTGCTGGGGACAGTGGCAAACTGGAGGGTAGGAAAAGCACTAGGTTATTGTTATCATACGGGAATGAAGGCCTAATGCTGCCAGATGCCAAAAAATGTGGATGTTTTTGGTGAAATCTAATTTTCAATGTAGCCAAACAATGAAAAACTTAAAAACAAACAAACAAAAACAACCTTGTGAGCCATTACCATTTCTGGCCAAGCCATTACTTTGCCTCCCTCATTGTACTAGGGCCAGCACATATTAAATAACTTGCTAGTAATATTTCATCAATGAAAGTTTTTTTTTTTTTTTTTGAGACAGTCTCTCACTCTGTTGCCCAGGCTGGAGTGCAGTGGCGCGATCTTGGCTCACTGCAACCTCTGCCTCCCAGGTTCAAGCGATTCTCCTGCCTCAGCCTCCCGAGTGGCTGGGATTACAGGTGTGTGCCATCATGCCTGGCTAATTTTTGTATTTTTAGTAGAGACGGGGTTTCGCCATGTTGTCCAGGCTGGTCTTGAACTCCTGACTTCAGGTGATCTGCCCGCCTCGGCCTCCCAAAGTGCTGGGAGGCATGAGCCACCGCACCCGGCCAAAAGTTCTTTTCTTTCTCACCACAGTATGTTTACTGAGTCTCTTTTACAGGCTATGCTCTTTGCCAGGATTTTCTGACTCTTCATCTCATTTGATCATCACAATAACACTGAGCTACCATAGAGATAAATTGTTAGCCTCATTTTACAGATGAAAGATAAGGTAAAGCTCAGGGACTGAATAACATGTCCTAACCCACACAACTAACGTTGTGCAGCATTACGTCTAGAATATTGACATGGAAATATTTATAGTATTATGCTGAATGAAGAGTAGGCTATAAAATGCATGATTTTTAAAGTTTTAAAAAGCATTTTTAATAACTGCATATTATTTCATCATGAAGATACACTAAAATACTCTTAAACGAGCTTCTATTATTACTTGTTTTTGCTATTAAAATCATGTAGGAAAGCATTTTTTAAAAGAACTTGATTTCATTCATTGATTTAAAATCATTAATTGATCACCTGTGTGCCAGTCATTTTATTAGACGCTGTCCTCAAAGGGATGTCTGACTCACAATGTATTTCTGGCGAGTAAATTTTATCCTTTAAAAAATGAAAGAAAAAAGCCACAGGGCTTCTTTGAAATTTAAGCAGGTACTCAGATTAGCTCTATACATTTTTAAGATACTTAAGCAATCACCTTTGAATCAATGATCATGTCCCCAGTTACATCCTCAGTCTCCTGAACTTCGGGCTGAAAAAAGGTAGGCTTCCCCCATACAGCTTAGTCTGGAGAATTGCACAAGGGATTGCAGCAGTTTTCTTTGCCAGAGACTTTAGGAGGCTTTATTGAGATTAACTTTTGAGAGCTACTCCTATTAGCAGGATATACTTGGGAGACTCCTTGTCACCTACACGATGACAAAAAGTGGCTCTGCGTCTTTTCTCAATTTTCCACTTGTCATAGCAGAATTCTAAATTTCACAATTTGAAAGTAACAGTTGCCAGGTTGCAGAGGGATACAGACACATTGGAGAAAAAGGATAGAAATGATGATGCAACTTGAAAACATTATTTTTTTTGGGACAAGAATCTCGCTCTGTTTCCCAGGCTAGAGTGCAGTGGTACACTCTCGACTCTCTGTAACCTCCGCTTCCCAGGTTCAAGCGATTCTTCTGGCTAATTTTTTGTATTTTAGTAGAGACGGGGTTTCACCATGTTGTCCAGGCTGCTCCTGAATTCCTGAGCTCACGCAGTCTGCCCACCTCAGCCTCCCAAAGTGCCAGGATTACAGGTGTGAGCCACTACGCCCGGCCCAGATCGCTCTTAATTACAGTGGGATGGCAGGCTTGCATACCAAGTCTACCCTGGTAAACTGGGACATATGGGCACCCCGCTAGGATGTTCTATGTTCTTGAAGAACAGTTGTAGAAACTGGAGATGTTGAGCAAGGAAGAGAAGATAGGAATGGAGTTTGGGGGCTGAGGGACTAGCAAGCTGCCTTTATATATCTGAAAATCTGGTTTGATAGGATTTTAAAGTTTTTTTTGTTTGTTTTTTTGAGACGAAGTCTTGCTCTTGTCCCCCAGCCTGGAGTGCAATGTCACAATCTCGGCTCACTGCAACCTCTGCCTCCCGGGTTCGATTCTCCTGCCTCAGCCTCCCGAGTAGCTGGGATTACAGGCGCCTGCCACCAGGCCTAGCTAACTTTTGTAGTTTTAGTGGAGACAGGGGTTTCACCATGTTGGCCAGGCTGGTCTCGAACTCCTGACCTCAGGTGATCCGTCCGCCTTGGCCTCACAAAGTGCTGGGATTACAGGTGTGAGAAACCGCACCCGGCCAGGATTTTAAAACTTAAGAGTGTCTGGACCAAGTCATTTCTGATATACCATTTCAGATACAGCAAAATGGTCATGAGTTTGGTTGTTGAACAATTTTGGATTCAAATCCCAGATGATACTAACTAGCTGTGTGGTCACAGGCAACTTTAACTTCTTTATTATAAGAGAGGGGTAGAGTTATAATGACTCACTGGAGTAAAATACAAAAGCAAGTGACCCAGAAGAGGGGCTCAATAAGTCAGTTTGTGCACTGTAACTATTGTTGGATATGGTACAGGCCAGTTGGGTATGCTATGGGATCTTTTAGGGGTTAAGTGAGCGTATGGTTGGAGCCAATATTTTTTGACCAATTTGACTTAGAAATTGTTCTTAGAGACAACAACAAAAAAATCAACTAGTAATTTTTCCCAGGCACAAGGTGATTTTATATAAACATCTAATTTTAAAGATGTATACTCTTAAATATAAATACTTTAAATATTCATCATAAAATCTGACATTTTCCTGCCAAGTGATACATGCTTCTTACTTTCAACTGTGCCAAGAAGTACAATATATTAGAAATAAACTTAAAAAAGGCATATTGCCTGATTTTGAAACTGTATATATAAATACAGACTAGATGGCTTTGGTCACAGGCCGGGGGCAAAAAATATACAGAGAGACTAGAAATTAAAAGTAAACTTTCATGACCTGATTTTGAAATCCTTTTATTGGCCGGGCGCGGTGGCTCACTCCTAAAATCCTAGCACTTTGGAAGGCCAAGGCGGGTGGGTCATGAGGTCAGGAGATGGAGACCATCCTGGCTAACACGGTGAAACCCTGTCTCTAGTAAAAATACAAAAAATTAGCCGGGCGTAGTGGTGGGCGCCTGTAGTCCTAGCTACTCAGGAGGCTGAGGCAGGAGAATGGCGTGAACCCGGGAGGCGGAGCTTGCAGTGAGCCGAGATCGCGCCACTGCACTCCAGCCTGGGCGACAGAGTGAGACTCCGTCTCAAAAAAAAAAAAAAAAAAAAGAAATCCTTTTATTTTGCTTTCATAAGACCCACTAGTTTAAATTTGTTCATAATTTTTTTCTAAAAAAATGAGATAAAGACGTTTTCAACCTGGTATAAGTAAACTTCCACCAAAAATTCAGGTTTTTAATAACAGTAAATGAAAACAAAAACAAAAACAAAAACAAAAAAACTAAGCTTGGCTGGGCATAGCAGCTCACTTGTAATCCCAGACTTCAGGAGGCTGAGATGAGAGGATTGTTTGAGGCCAGGAGTTTGAGAACAGCCTAGGCAACATAGTGAGACTCCCTCTCTACAAAAAGTTAAAAAAAAAGAAAAAAATGGCTGGGTGTGGTGGCATGCACCTGTAGTCCTAGCTAGTCAGGGAGGCTGAGGCAGGAGGATCACCTGAGCTCAGAAGTTCGAGGCTGCAGTGAGCTAGGACTGTAACCTGTCTCTAAAAAGAAGAACAAAAACCTAAGTTTAATATACTCACCTGTATACTTTCTCTTTTATGCTCATTAACTTCTTGCATTTCATCATTGTGGTTCTCAATGCTTCCCTCTGTTTTACTCAGTAGTTCCCAAAGTGTGGCTGCATATTAGAATCATTCGGGAATCAAATTTTAAGTGCCAGTGCTCCCTCAGGCCACACCATAAACTACAATGCCTGAGCTGGGAGCCTGGCACCAGTATGTTTTAAAGTTCTCCCAAGTGATGCCAATGTACAGCAAAGTTTGGGAAGTACTGATCTATCCCATGGTTTATTATGGGAATAAAGATATGACTGGGAACAGAAAGAGCAATTAAAACTTGGTAATGGTCTCAAACCACCAGAGCAGCTCTAGTGTAATAAAAATCTGTGTGACTGGATCACTAGCACCCTCATTTATTTACCACCCAGAGGAAAGCAAGCTGCTTCTTTTTAGAAGGGAAAATTGACTAAAAACAGAAAAAATGGAAATGGATGCAAACACTATTATTCTAATGAGATGAATCTCCTGGGTAACCTTCATAATGCATGGGTATTTATGACCCAGTTGGGACTTAAGGGTCTTTTTCAACTCTGAAATTTTTTATTTAAGCCAAATTTCTTAGAGGAGGCAGGAACAGTTCTTCACAGGTTTCAGTTGCTCAGTCAATAGGCTTACCTTATACTGTGCTTTGTAATTGTTAAAAGCGCTTTCACATTTTCAAGTTCATCTGAACTTCTAAAGCAGGGCAGAAATTGCAATACTCATATTCCTGTTGAGGAAACTGAGGGCTGAAGATATTAAAAGCTGGTATAAGAGTTGGAACCGTTTAGAACCCAGTTCTGGTGAACTGCTAGGAAAAAATACTGCCTCTTCGCACACCTCAGAGATTCACTCTTTGAGCCTCAACACCCTCTCCCAGAGAGGTGATTTTCCTTTGGCGGGGGGGGGGGGGGGGGGGAGGAGAAGCACCTTCTTTTACACATCTGTTGTGTTGAGGAAGGTGAGGCAAGGTGGTGCAAGCATTGAGAAGAGATACAAGTACAAAAGGGGCCTCGAGGAATTTACAGGAGCAGGAAGAACACATGAACATATAATGTGCTCATAGCAATGGAAAAAGAGAGGGAAGTGACAACTATCTGAGGTTAGAGTTGTTAAGGAGCAAATGAAGAGCCATTCATAGCTTCTTGGAGTTATTTGCTCGAGTTGGCCACCTCGCTCCTGCTGTGACTGACCTAGATGGCTTTGCTTTCTTTAGGTTATGTTACCTTGGTACCTAAACCTGAGCCACCTTCAACTTCATACCTGCTTTCAGTTTTAGTGTATCTGTCTTGCTGGTGAGCAAAATGTATACTCACGTCCTGGTTTTCCTCACTGATGCTCAAACTAGCTTTTGTCTCTTATTCTTTTCAGGAACATTCCTCATTGCATTTATTCCAAACCTTCCTATGTCCCTCAAGGCCAGGATTCAGGACTCTAGAACGCACCTTTTCCATTCTGTTAACCAAACCTATGGTTTTTCCACATTTTAGCAGACATCTGCCTCCTCTTGTCATTTTGTTTCTGACTTTAGGTCCCAAAGAGCAGGATTTTACATCTATCTATATCAAACTATTGTTTTAGTCATCTCATCACATATCAGTTTGACTCCTGATTTTGTCATCTAGTTTATTCTCAACCCTTCCCAGCTTAATGGTGCCCAAGACAGTGACAAGCTTTCCTTCTACTTCCTTATTGAAACAACTGTTTCACAGAAAATCTGAAAGACATGAACAAGATCTGCAAACAATGCTTTGAAACCACTACCAGACTGATATTTAATCCAATCATTCTGCCAATTAAGGGGTCACCTAATTAAATGTTCTTTCATTCTACACATAAGTAGCTAACAAATCCAAAAGTAGGTGATGCCTTGAAATGCCAACAACTAGGTTTCTTGTTTTGCTACAGATATTTCATCTATGCTTTCAAGTACTCTTTCTTTTCTATTCTCTCTACTTTTGCTGTTATTATCCTAGTCTATTCCCTCTGTACGCCAGACCTGTACAACTCAATGTTTTAACTGTTCTGTTTACATCTCTACCCTCAGTCTCTTCAATCACCAATCCATCCAACACATCCAAAACCTTCCCAAATCACCACTTTGCCCACCTCCCCTCCAGGACAATGTTTTAAGATACTTTTTCTTAACAAAGATATCTTTAAGATTATAAAACTCGGCACCTAATTTTTACAGACCAAGGGGAACCATTTACAAAGCAAATAACATTAATATAAAATGGTATCAAGACAGTAGTTTAAAAATGGCAATTTTCTTATTTTAAAAATGGATCATTTAAAATCCAATGTGCAATAGGACTAAATATTATAGCACTAAGAATTTTCATTGGCCAGGCGTGGTGGCTCACGCCTGTAATCCCAGTATTTTGGGAGGCCGAGGTGGAGAGGTCAGGAGATCGAGACCATCCTGGCCAACATGGTGAAACCCTGTCTCTACTAAAATACAAAAAATTAGCCGGGCATGGTGGTGTGCACCTGTAGTCCCAGCTACTTGGGAAACTGAGGTAGGGAAATCGCTTGAACCCAGGAGGAGGAGATTGCAGTGAGCTGAGATCATTCCACCGCACTCCAGCCTGGTGACAGTGAGACTCCATCTCAAAAAAAAAAAAAGAATTTTCATCAAGGAAAATACTGTTTAAGGACAAAATAATTCTTCACAAAATAAAAAGTTAATTGAAAGTAAAACATCCTATTCTTTAGTCTCACAAGCTTCAAAACCAAAAAATGCAGAGATGCAGAGTGTCTCACTGTTATACTTATTTTCATTCCAAACTATCTAGGAAACAAAGCAGCAGGTTAAATTATTGGGCTATCTATAAGACTTTGAATAAACACACCCATTTTAAAAGCACTAAATAATGAAATTCTCTATTCAAAATATGCTATTAAAAGCACCATTCTACCGAGTTTATCTTTGACTCTTCGGCTAGAGGAGGTCTGATCATGAGGAAAGCTTGGATTATACATCTTAATAGGTGATTCTGCCTCAGTCTTTTGAGCTATCCCAGGAAGGCTGTGAAGATTCTTAAGATCCTCTCAGAAGCGTTTGATACCAGAGAAGTGCAATGATGGAAACGCTTAAGAGTTAAGCAGAAATTTTTAACTGTTCAAAAATTTGGGCCCTGATTCAGGTTAACAAGATGCTAGTCAGGCAGAGATTTTTAACTGTTCAAATATTTGGGCCCTGATGCAGGTTAACAAGATGCTAGTCCTGCAGTAAAGACCAGTGGCTACTGGTTTGGCCTCTTGAAATGGTCTGCCTCAAGTGTGAATCCCAGCTCTACTACCTAGCCATGTGACCTAGAGTAAGTTACCTGAACTCTTTAAGCCTATTTCCCTGCTGTAAAATGGCAGAATGTTTACCAGGTTGCTTACATAATCCATGTAAAGTGCTTAGTATATACCCAGTACTCCGTAAATACTAATTTATGTTGTGACATGTCCCTTTTAATAATAGCTAACGACAGTATCAGTGCTTATAACTAATGATCTGAAAACGTTATTTGGAAAAAATGAATCCTTAATCCTAGGGATTCCCTGCACTGAACCCAAACCCAGACTATGTGTTACTGATTTGAGAACTTGTTTTTCTAGGATGTAGTGGTGGTTAAGGAAGTTGTGCCAGAGACTGATTCTGTATAAGCACATATGCACATTTTCTTAACTTTGATTCCCTACTTTGGAACAATTATTATACTGTTCAACAATACCTTGAAATAACAGAATACAGATTTAACATGTCTACTGAAATACTTTAGTAGGAAAAATGTTAAACAGTTCTTAGATGTAAAGCATAAAAGCAAACTCAATGGTGAGTTTAAGGGGTAAAACTATCAATCGGTTGAAAAAGAAACTATTTGCATAAAGGCAATTTCCTTTTTTTCTTTGAGACAGGGTCTCACTCTTTCCCAGGCTAGAGTGCAGTGGTGTGATCACAGCTCACTGCAGCCTTGAACTCGGGTTCAAGAGATCCTCTCACCTCAGCCACTCTGGTATCTACGACTACCTGCACCTTGCACCACCACTAGATATATATATATATTTTTTTGTTGTTGTTGTTGTTGTTGAGATGGGGATCTAGCTTTGTTGCTCAGGATGGTCTCAAATGATTGTCCAGCCTTGGCCTCCCCAATTGCTGGGATTACAGGCATGAGCCACAATGCCTGGCTTTTGTGACACATACTGATGAAGAAAAGTACAGAAACACAACTATCAACTTCCTGACCACATGAAACAGTCTTTATGGTATAAAAACACTTATTCTAAAAGAAAGATTATTTTTCAGATTTTTAGTGAGGTAGTATAATTATGCTATTAATAATATCTTTTATTTTGGTCTATAAATGAGTGTTAACAGACTAATTAAAAAAGATAAAAGTTGATGGGGGTTTGAGCATAAGAGTCTTAGAGTAGCACAGGTTAAAGAAAGAAGGCAGCTGCAATAAGACACAATCTTAAAGGCGCGGGGAAGGAACAATGTCAACATGCAAAGGCTTAAACTCCCCTTTCTTTCTCAGCTAATTTTTTACAAAGAGAACTTAATTCAAAATTCAATTCTAATACATAATATATATATAAAACCCAATTTGACAAAATGGAAAATATCTTTCATGTCACAAATATGGTACTTAAGTATACTCAATAATTTACTAATGATTTATACTAACTGAAAAATATGGTATTCATCATCATTTAAAGTTTACTCAGTATTTCAACAAAGTTGCTAGTTTATATTAATAACTTATTATAAAAAACAACTATGGATAATTTTATTAATTTTTACCATAGAGTTCAGATAACTGGTATTGACAAGTATGGATAATGAAATAAAAATAAGCTCTTACAGCTAATGTGAAAAACTAATCTGTACTAAAACCAGCAGATTACATTCCCATAGACTGCAGAAATGATCTATTGTGCTATAAGGGTTGAGGACAGTGGGTTGGAGAGTAGGGACAATGTACCCACTCTCATTTTAGAGGCAAGATCATGCATATTATTAGAAGAGTGATTCACTGTAACACAACCATAACATTTCAAGTACATTATAGAATTTTCAATTAGATTTCTAAAATTTCAAGTAGAAAAAATTCCAAAATATTTTCAAATCAATATCAATATCCAAAAAGTTCAGTCCCCATTCAGAAACAGATAAACAGTATATTTATTAAATGAGTTAAGACAAATAAACTTTACAAATAGACAAATAATAAAAGGCTCAGTGGCTAAAATAGATGGTAAGCATCATTGAAAGAAATCAACACCATCACGGTATCTCAGTTGGCTTACACGTGTAAAAAGAAATTTTCAAAGAGCAATTTCACAGAAATGAAGCCAGTTTTTTTCTTATAAACAAATCACCAATTCTTGGTTCAAAACTGACATCTGTTATGAAAATTACCATATCACATATTTGTAAGATGACAAGGAGTAACTCATCTTCAAAGTGCAAGTAAGTCTATTTACAACCACAAAAAAGGCAATGATGAGGAGAAAAGGATTTTTAAAAAATATACAAAGATTAAAAACATTTGGGATGCAAAATTAAACAATTTTTTGGTTAGAGGATAAAAGAGAAAAAGTGATTGAATTACAGATTTCAGCTATACATACTATATAATGGGATCCAAGATCTTTAACAGCTTGCTTGCATTTTTTTCTACCTACATAATGCTCTGGAAATTTCTGGTAGAAATTACAGTGTCTCAAAGAGAGAAATACACACTAAGCATGTCTTGCTACTACTTCATAGATGTCATAAGACCCGTTTATGGATTAGAGTTGGTGTAGAAAGCCATTGCCTTGAGTTGAAAAATGAATACTGTAAAAGCTCAATACAAATCCTCCAAAGCACATGCACTTCTAAATCTTTTGGTAATTACATTCATATTTAAGCATAACCAAAATAAAAAAGAAAACTGAAAACATTTCCCTTTTCTCTATTCCCTATGCCTTGTGGGCTCTCCAGTTGATAGGGTCAATTTTTAGAGTTGAAAGGGTTCTTCAAGATAGTCCACCACCCTTATTTAGGGTAAATGATTTTCCCAAGATCATGCAGCACATTAATGGCAAAACCAAGACTAGAAACCAGGTCT
The DNA here is from genome assembly GCF_000001405.40 of Homo sapiens. NCBI lineage: Eukaryota > Metazoa > Chordata > Mammalia > Primates > Hominidae > Homo > Homo sapiens. The sequence continues at coordinate 89,589,004 of NC_000012.12, forward strand.
TGACTCCTAGTCTAATATGCTTTCCAGCATATCATGCTACCTCTTTTTTACAGTATGATTCACTATAAATACCTGATGAATAAATGTACAATTACAAATGCTGACAGAGCCAATGTGTTTCTAAGACCTGCAGAGGATTACTGCAAAGATTTGATGGTGAGAAAAAGATTTCCCCCACCCACCAAAAATATCAAGCACCATCAACTAAATGTTTCTTTGCTTGGTCAGCACTCTCAGTTATAGTAGCAGTCCTCGTAAACTTTATGTCAGCCTGAGGATTGTGTATCTGGTGAAATCTGGGCCCTAACACATGCCAGTTTCTAAAGGGTAAAGACAGAGGCAAAAAAGAGAAGAAGGTAGATGAAGGAAAGAAAAAGAGAGCTAAAGAATCCAATTGGCTTAGAGGTGGGCATTCTAGCATATGGTTAATTATTGCATCTAAATATATCATTTTAGAACCTTTTCATGTAATCTCATTTTACCTAATCTGTTATTTGGCCACTTAAGAATTAAAATAAATGTATCAAAGACAATGGTGGTCATTGTTGTTATGTTTTTTACCTGTGAGACTATTTTAGACAAACTAAATTCAATGAAGAGTATGTCAAATGGTAAAATTGTGTTAATTTTCTTAATCTGATTCTATTAGATTACCAGCAAGGAATTAAAGCGGTACTTCATGGGGCTGTTACCATCTTGAAATGTATTCCAATTGTGGTCAAAGAGAACAGACTGATGCACTGTATATGCAGAACTGAGTAAAGAAGCTGAAATGTCTTTTAAAAAAACATTGCCATGAATTTATTTAATAAAAGGGCATATTTATTTATGTTTACAAACAAGTTTCAAAAACAAAAGGAAAACATGTATGCTTCTACTTATTAACCTTTTTCAAAATGCCAACAGCCCTCATGCTGTGTGAAGGTCTCTAAAGATTAGAAAAATCAATACAGTTCACTCACAGTTCACCAAGACATCACTAAACTAACATGTTTAGACAAAAACAAAAAAGACTAAGGTTCTCTTGTAGTTTGATAGTCTGATTTAATTTGATTTGCCTGAAATAACAAAAGCATTTCAAGCATCTTTCATTATGTAGTTGATGTCCTGCATTAAACAATCTACTAAATTCTGAACAAAAGGTTATTAGCAAGTTTTCAAAAATTTTAAAAATTAAACAGTTGCTTCAAAACCATTAAGTAGTAAATGTATTTAAGAAACTAATTAGGACAGATGTCATAACTTCATTAGAACACCACTGCTCATGTTTTTTTGTTTTGTTTTGTTTTTTTCGTTTTTTTAAACAAAGCATTAGTGTTATCTATTTGGCTATTAGTATTAGCAATTTATCTACAATATTTAACAAGGTAAATTGTAGGCAAAAATTTAGTACAGTTTCAATAGAAACACCCCTTTTTTTTTTTTTCCTGAAAATACAGCAGTATTTGAAGGACTAATTTTTCTCTGCATCAGTTATAAGGAAGCTTCCCATCTATGAACAGGAACAAAAAAAGTATCTACAAACCTTGTAAACAGATCTGTATCATTTATAAACATAAATAATCCAAATTATTAACAGCCAACAGCAGAAATTAAACTATCAATTCAACGATCCAGGGCTCTTTGTCTTGCCCAGTTTTACTCCTCCCTCTCTCTCCCATCCAGGACTGAGATAAACTAAAGCTCTGCTAATACACTGTTCAGGACCATGCTTGGGTACTACTGATGATCCACAGGTCACTTACGCTGAGTTACTGTTTATCTGTCAGTTCATTTCTCCCACCCCCCAAAAAGCACCCTCAGTCTGGCAGAAAGCTTTGCTTTTTTTTTTTTAAAAAAATAAATCTACATTCGTACAAGTGTGTCTTCTGTTGAAGTCCAAAGACAAGAATACTAGCTTGTCCATCACAATATGTGAAAAGACCCAGTTTCAATTTGTTTCTTTACAATGCAGCTAGTGTGTTAACATTCAGCTTACAATCAGAGTGATGTTTCCAAACTATGTAGTGGGCTTCCTGGGGATGAAGAGGTAGCAGACTTGTTCATTTCTATTGTAAGGTGAATTCCACTGTCAACAGCATTGTTATTTTTGTTGGGAGAGGGTGGAGGACTGGAGTTACGTTTTGTAGGAGCATCATCTTCGGCATCAGTGTCATCAATAAGGGGGATATGAGGCTCTGAATCTTCTATCCTAAACTCAGGATGTGTCATAAAGTTGTGAATCGAACTTCTTGATTCCGGTTTTTCTAACCCTTCATATAAAGAACTACGAAATGCATTCACCACTCGAATCTGTAAATATCAGAAAATACAGAAATATGTCAGTACACTATTAACAACTTAAAAATGGTTCATTTATGAGTTTGAATCCACAAACAGCTAGGTATGAGTGAATCATATTTGCATGTAATGCAGTGGAACTTGCAATACACTGTAAAAAAATGAATATTTTAGTAAGACACTACAGAACAACAAAACCACATACTCTAAGAATTAAGAGGTAAAGAATTCAAAGTAATATTAAGAAAATCTCATTGTCATTGGCTAAAAATTTAATAGCCATTTTATAGGATTTTTTCCCTAAAAGAACAAATCAAACACAAAACAAAACAAAAACTTAACCATACACAAGCTTAGCTGATTTTTTAAATTAAAAAGAATGTATTTTGAAAACAACTCAAATAAGTTAAACAAAATCAAGCACAAAGGGTTACTATTTATCATGCTAGGAATTAGGGTGTCACCGACCATGAAAAAGCCAAGCAAATATAAGCTGAATGCCACAATGAACTCACATCTACCCCACTACTCCCTTAATTAAAAACAAAAATAAGAACAAAACCCAAATAAATGTCTATAAAATGCCATTAAACAGCTATAAATATTTGAGTATATGCCATTTGTCTATCATTTGTCTATAAAGTTTTAGTGTTTTTCTCTGTAACAGATTAAAACTTAAATCAATTACTACAGTTATCTGGAAAGAATAGATCAAAAACAAAAACAAATCCTCTGGGATTCTTCTGTGAAAAATTTCCCAAGAAGACACAAAGTGTTAAAAGTTTTCTAGTATTTTCACCCCTAAGCAGATAGCTCAACAATTCATCTTCCTCTCAGTCTGCTGTATAAATGAAAAAGATTAGTGGGCAATCAAACTTAAAAACATCAGTGCACACACTGACATTAAGTGCTATTAACTCAAGCGTCATTCAGATTTAGAAAAAAAAGGACAAAATCCAACTAGTTGAGCATTTACTATGTATCAATTCAAATACAGTGTTTGCTTTTGCTTTGATTCTAATAAATCCTGTTTAGTAATAAAGACATCATTTACTCATTGTTAAGAGAAATAAATAACACTTTGACATTCTAGAAAAAAGATGCGGTCACCAAATTCATCTCTTTAGACAGCAATAATGAATAATACATTTCTTCAAATGAACATGTGAATGTGTTTAAAAAAATGTAATGTAGAGTTTAGGGCCATGCACCCACATCTCACCTTCAAGTTGTCTTTCCTTATTTGCCAAGCCCTATTTGTAAGCTGCTTTTAGTCCATATTCACTTAGCCCTTTATATAGAGAGTACAGCATAGTCAACTGAGAAATACAAAAGCAAAATGTCTGGGTGTAAATTCCAGCTCTGCCACTTACTACCTGAGGAACCTCGGTCAAACAGGTTTCTTCAACTATAAAATGGGAAATAGCAATGGTACTTGCCTTACGGGGTTGTTGTGGGAGATTAAATTCGTTAGCACACTACAAACTTAAAACAATGTTAGGTCACAAGTATCGAGGCCAGGGCTTCTCGAACTTTAATGTGCATACAAATTAGTTGGGGATCTTGTTAAAATGCAGATTCTGATTCAGCAGGGGCCTAAAGTCCTGCATTTCTAACAACCTCCAAGGTGATGCTAAAGCTGCTGGTCCATGATCCACACTTGGAGCAGCAAGCATCTATTCTATTAATGTCTTGCAGCTTTACCATCTTTTATAATTCCATTCTATTTGATTGCTTGTACTTCAGTTCCTTAATTTGACTGATGAATAGCAGCAAATATTTTTCAACTTCTTTTATTGCTCTTGTTCCTCTTCCCCTTTACTAAGATGTAAAGTGTTCTACATATGGAATGTAAACAATGTTTGCTAAATATAACGTTATAGTAATTCATTCAGTGTTTTATTGTGAAGTCTTAAAATTCACATTTTATACATGTGAACATTCAGCAAGTATCCTGACTGTCCTAATAACAAACTGTAAAGCTTAAAATGCAAAAAGATAACTTTCTAAAAAAAAATTTGTTGGTATCAGCAGCCCGTAGGCACGGAGGAGAATACAAATTAGAGGATCAGCCAGCAAACTTGATGGGTGATGAGAACTGTTCAAGACAACCCTGAAGATGTTGCTTATTTGATAAGGTTGCTGGTGCTGCTGCTACTGAAGATAGAACAACAGTTAAGCTTTCTGTGTATGTGTGTGTTTTCCATCTGTTTTTCTTTGTAATCAGTCGGTATAAAAGTGAGCAGTGAAGAATCGGGGGGAAATAAATGTACTTTTTAAACATGTTAAATTTGGAAAATATCTAGAGCTCAGAAGAAAAGTGTAAACTTAAGTTAGAGATTTGAGAGTTAGTGAAGCTCTAAGAGGGGCAGAGTGTAAAGGTGAGGGCAACAAGTATATGTGCACACACAATCACACACATACACCGGTGGCAGGCAAAGAAAGATTAAATCCCTTCTTAGCAAAACTTCAATTCTGAGAAGATTTTTCCTATCTGAATTTGTTGAACAATATTAGAGATTTTTTTTTTCTAACCACTTCATAAATAATAAAACTGAGCAACAGAGAGGATGGGTGGCTGACTTGTTAAGGAACTCCTAATTAGTGCTAAAGAGTCTTAAAACCTAGGTTTCTGGGCTCCCAATTCCAGGTTCCTTGGAAGTCAAGAGAAGACAAAAACATACGATCATTTACTTTATCCCTAACTTCACTTGAATAAAACATTCCATAAGATTAAGGTTAATGCTTCCTTTGTCTGACACATCTATTTAAGCCATATGTCTGGTTAGTTTCAGCACGTTACTAGGCCAGTTCAGCAATGCTCGAAAGCAATTCAATTTTCAAAGAACAGTTCTCGAGATACATACAATAAAGCTCAGATTAACCAGGAATCATCGAACCAGAGTTGTTTTACTTTCTACTTATAAAGAACATAAGAAAGCACTCTTGATCTAAGGCATGACACTGAGCTGGCTCACACCTGCTCTGATCTTTATTACTTTCTGTATGTAAAATTCTCACAGTACAGTAACTGTGAGGAAAATAATAATTTTGTGCACAATACTTTAGGTAGGAAGGAAACTATATTAATAATAATTCAATTTAAGTAGAAATATAAGTAAACTTAATTACAGGCTTTTGAAAATCCAAGCCTATTTATTTTATCCAGTTTTAAAATTCAATTCCTATTTATTAACTATTTAAACCTACTCTGTGGAGCATACTTATACCCCTCGAAATTATCAGAATTAAGAAAAATTCAGTAATTCCTGTGTCAAAAATATTCTGTAAAAGTAAACTGTTCAACAGAGAAAAAAAAAAACAAAAATACTGCATGAAGCACATATGGTAAACAAAAAAACTGAAGTGATTATCATAATCATGAATTTTAAGAAACTGAAAATGATTATCAAGGTAAACAATATATGAAATATAACAAATCCAAACAAGATCATGTACCTACAAAACCAATTTTTCTAAATACCATCCTAACTTTTAATAGCAGAAAATAACATTGTTTACTGCCTAAAACATTGTACAGAAGAGAGAGCTCTAAAATACTAATCACAAGCCAATAAATCTTACCTTCTACAACAAATTGCCCACTTCTGAAATTTGTTTTCATTACTACTTTTCTATGTGCACTAACTTAAAGAATTGCAATGGTACAGTAAAAGATACTTTGCAACTAGAAACAAAATTCTAGATTGTTTTCCAAAGTTGGGTACTTGCATATTAAATTTTCTCAAAAGGAGACCCACCTGTGTAATGTTCTTATCTATCTGGAACAGGGGTTGGTAAACTTTTTCTGTGAAGTGCCAGACAGTAAAATATTTTAGGTTTTGTGAATTATACAGTCTGTCATAATTATACAACTCTGCCCTTACAGTGAAAAATCTGCCACAGGTATTACTTAAATGAATGGGCAACGCTGCATTCCAGTAACAACTTATTTCCAAAAATAGACAACAGGCTAGATTTGGCCCATAAGCTGTAGTTTGCTGATCCTTCACCTAGAAAACCAAATTTTCTCTCAATTTCTCATTTCCAGGAATGTGTATTTATTTATTCAGGAAAAAAAAATCTACTAATGGTAAAAACTGGTGTTAGAATGATATACTTTATAAATAGAAAAAAACTACAGAATGTTTTCTCTAGAGACCTGTAAGAGTGAAGATCTGACTAATAAATGAAGGGAAAAAGGTCTCTTCAGAGATGTTTGAGTCTAGCATTTGACAAAGTCTAAATGGATTATTTCTTCTATTTTAGCTAAGCAAGGTCACCCAATAAGGGTTAAATAATTTTGACACCCATAGGTAGTTCTAAAACTATTCCATATTAGGGCAGAAACACAGTGATAAAATGAAATCTTTCATTAAATATATTAACATAGTTCTATATTTTGGCTGATGTTCTGTACCACCTAAGACAATGCTCCACCAACAAGGTTGAAAGACATTTATGGTAACAGCAACATAATTACTGCAACTCTTGGTGTATAATGACAACTGTATTAACGAGATATGATTTACTCCCTGGATAACTCCAAGAACATAGGACACAGAATAAAGAAGTAAACATCTCAAACCTTGATAAAGCAACAACTACAAACTTTCCTTTGCCACTCTCTTAAGTGCACCTTTACTTCCCTGAAGTATCTGCTCCCCTAGCCACATGGGCCCAGAAACTCAGAGGTTTCATATGTAACTGTGCATCAGAAAAAAGAGCCTGGGATGGAAAAAAAGATGCCTGGGTGCAGAGGTGTGTGCATATATGTGTCTGCCTGCCTGTCTTAAAAGTTTATGATTGCTTTGATATTTAATATAAAGCTTGGAACACAATCAGACTGAGAAATATAATAAGTATAGTACACCTAAAGCCATCTGATATCCCTCTAAATGAAAAAAACAATTATTTAAATATTGGTAAATAAAAACGAATAGGATACACATTACCCATGAGATAAACTTGTCGAAAAAGTTTAATATGAAGCTAATCAGTAGCAATCAATCAGACAAATCTGGAATGTAGAACCCTTCATAAGACAATTCACCTGGATTTTTCATAAGTCAATGTCATAAAAAATAAAGGCAGGGAATGAATACAGGTTGGAGACTAGACTCATAACACACATACTGTCAATAATTATTTCTTGGATTAAAAAAGCTATAAAGGAAATTTTGGGGGCAACCAGAGAAATCTGAATACTAACTGTCTGTTAGATAATATGGTATCAATGTTAAATTTCTTGGATAATAAAGTATGATTATATACGGGAATTCTTAGGTACATGCTGAAGTATTTAGGGATAAAACACTGGTATCTGCCATTTTCAAACGGCTCAGAAAAAAGTTTTATTAATATACAGATAAAGTAGTGTCATAAAATATTAAGTGGTAAATCCAGGTGAAAGATTTTCATGTATTAATTTTTCAACTTGTCTGTAGGTTTGAATTTTTCAAATTTAAAATTTTGAGGGAAGGGGGTTTATCAGGATAAAGTCTTAGTTTGGCTCCTTCTTGTGGGGTATAAACAGATACTTACTTTCCATTTCAGCTTCCCTTAGTTTATTACTCTTTCAGTACCAGACTATTATCAATCCCTTAGTTTATTCCTCTTTTAGTACCAGATTATAATCACTGAGGCCTCATTTGGTGAATTCTATCAAGGGTCATCTTGGGAGTCACCTCCTTCAGGCAATTTTTCTTGACTTTCCAGGGTAGGCTAAGGACCCTGTTAAGACAGTTTGTGTTTTACTACCATGTAGAAATTTCCAACTACTTTTTTTTGTCCTTTACTAGGCTGCAGGTTCTGGAGGTTCCAGCATAGTTCTGACACATGGTAGGCCTTCCATAAAGGCTTGTGGAACATTTACCATCTAGGGCTAGGTGGTAAGGAGCACCAGAGAGAGAGGCATAGTTTGAAATCCACAGATACAGGGAGGAAGAGGCATTTTTATTGTATCAGGCCTAAGGCTAGGCAATTTATGGTTACCATTTTATTCAGGTAGGTAATTTTTAAAAAGAAGAGTTCTAGCTGTCCCTCTATGTAAATTTAATATCTTAATGTTAGCGAGTCACTTGGAACACTTTGCTTTACATCATGCGGCCTCTGCTTATTAGTCGTAGAGAAGTTATTTAAACTCTAAGGCAGTTTTCACACCTGTAAAACAGGGACAGTTCTTACTGTGCCTGTTTCACCACATTTTAAAAAATATCAAATGAAAATATACTTAAGTAAATACGGAAAAAACAGGCATTAAGTGGAAAGTCTGCACTGTTTTCTCCCTTAATTCATCCTCTCTGCAGCTTCTCAAGGTTCCTCTAGTCCTTCGCTGGCTGGAGACCAAATGGAAAAGATAGGTCTCTGTCTACTTCAAGGCTAACCTTAGGTAGCTCTGTAAATTTTGGGGTTTACATCTTTAATGCCTCCAATATATTGAGAATGCGCCATGAATTCTCAGTAAGATTTATAGCTTATAAGGCTTTTAGAAAGTTTGCTATTTACTAAAAACCTGAAAGAAAATGTTATTTTAGTCAATTATTGAAAATTACAACATTTATTGGTTCAACGATTAATCAATAGTATACTTTTCCTACTTCTACTGAAACTTAACAGAACATTTCTTATCTATGATGCAATTTTTAACTAAATTGTCTATACAAATGGAAAAAAAAAACACCCCAAACCATAAATACCACAGAAACTTTTTAAATTTACACAGTGATTTCCCCTGAAACCACTGCACAACCAAGCAAAAAAAAAAAAAAAAAAAAAAAATCAAAGCAAGGCAAAGTTCAGGTTAAGAAGGCAAGCAACTGGCTATACATACTGAAAACTTGTCTTCAGGCTACTAACTTACTTTCCAAATTGGACAAAAGTCAAAATGCTAAATTTATTCTTAGCTTTGAAAATGCAATTTCCTGGTTCTGTTAGATGAGTTTCAAATCACATGCTTTTAGGAAACATGCAATATAAACATGTTTAAAGGCATATACTCAAAAATTTATAGTAGTTTCACAAGTTCTAAGCTACAATTTTATTCCCCATATTAACTATCAGAGTTAGCACAGAGACAAGCTCACAGATTGCATCTAATCTTTGGTTGCAATTGTTCCACCTGTTATCTAGCCCTCTAAGAAATAAAACAACAACGACAACACTTTGAGGTCTCAATCCACTTTACGAAAAGAAAGCTTTATGAAAAAGCCTGAACAATGAATTCAAACATTAAGGAGAAAATGAGAAACGTTAGGTGTGTGAAGTAGGAAATGTTAATTTCATGCACTTAGGAACACACACTCACACCCCACAGTAGTAGAAGCAGTAGAAGAGGAAAACACTACATGTGTAGGGGTAGAAATATTTGTTACATCATGATGCTGGCTGGCGATGGAGGGTTGCCGCCTTAGAGCCCCCTGAATGGAACTTCCACTCTGGAAAGCATTCACTACATCCATCTGCAAGGAATCAGAGATTGTGACAGCTTGCTCAGCAAGAGAGAGAGAGAACAAGAGAAAGGACCATTCCATCTATCAACATATAAAAAGAAAAAGGCACTTTTTACACAGCATATAGGCAAGAATAGCATTTTGAGATGAAGTGGGGGATGGGGGAGCTAGGAAAAAAGGAGCTTAGGGGCATATAGACACATTCTTTCATAATCAGTTAAAAGTCTCACTCATTCCAGGCACCAGTATTACTTTTCAAGAGAATACAATTTGTGGGTTGGGAAGGCTAGAGAGGAAGTTTAAGGAGCACACTCGAACCTCCTCCCCAGGTCAAAAAGCCCTGGCTCCCATCATCTCTCCTACCTCTCTACCAGGCCCATACCTGTGTTTGGATTCTGTTCAGACCTCTAAACCACAAGATTTGGCCACGCCGCAACTCCCTTTCAGCGTGATCAATCTCTTCAACATCCTCTGCTAATTCCTCCTCAGGTATTTCTTCCTTTTGTGTTCCATGACCAGCTTCTTTGAGGAATTTTAAACGGCTAGTTGGAATTGTTGAAATAAGCTACAACACAGGGGAATGAACTTAGAAATAAATCATATCAAGTAAAGGTAAGCTGATCAACTGTAATACTAAAGGTATTAAAAGTGGTGAGAGTATCCGACTATCTTTACCAATGAAGTAATGGGATCCTGTTGATTAGTCTTTCTCTCCCAGAGCAAAATACATTCTTCTCTTAGCTACACAAAAGATTTGAGTTTGAAGGATAAAAAGTTTTCCTAAATGGAAATTAACCTGATTACATTTTTCATATTTTCATCAGGACATTCAAGACAGTACATTGTAAAACCATGCTCTGATATATGTATTTACTTAAAAAGTCCTATTTATTTTGAATACAATGAAAATGGCAGGTGGTCTTACTAGATGCAAAACACGTTTACATTTCATTAATGCTGTCAGAGTTCAATGAGAAAAAATGTATAAAATTTTTAAAAAAATCATTAAGGTTACACTGAAAATAGTTTTGTTACATATTTTTTTTAAAATGCAACAGTTTAAAATTGGATTAGTACTGATTGATGACGCCAAACAAAAACAGATGCCCTAGAAAACACAAAGGATACAAGAAACACCAATACACGTATATTAGCTTATGTGTTAACATCCATTCTCTAAGGCAGCAGTTGGGTTTATCAGGGAGAAACAAGCATGTAGTCAGCTACAGAATTCTGCTTGGAGAACTTCTAGTACACCCACCTCATTTCACCAAGGTGAAATAGGCTTCAAGGCACATAAAGTGACTTGCTCATGGAGTGACTAGGAACCTAGGTCTCCTGACCACCAAAGGCAGTGCTTGTTCTACCATGGTACACTTAGTATGGGTCTTACTTAAAAGATGATCTCTATTAATGAGGTACTCAAAATAGATAAGAAACCTCAGAATCTAGAAACATAGTTAAGAAAAAGAAGAGACACAAAGATGTAAAGATTGGGCTACATTTAAGGAAAACCTGAAAGTCTGGTTTCACTGATTTGCAGAATGACAATAAATTAGCTCATGCAAATTATATGCCATAATATATATTAACCTTCATCTATGAAAATGTTAGATTTTCTATAAATTAGTTTTATAGTAATGGGCTTAAAATGAACAATGCATAAATCACTGTCACATTTAAAAAATAATGACATGCATTTGCAAGTAAGCTGCCTATAGTAAATATGAGGTATATCTCTTATTTCAGGCACTTTATTTCATATATACACTGTTAAAGCTATTCAATTCAAATCTAAAACATCATTTTGTGACCCCTTTTTCCAGGTAACATTATTTTTATAAAAACATTCTCTAAGGTCAGTTTTTCCTATGCTGCATATTGGATTAAATTACAGAACAAAATGACAATGTATTTTTTTTTTTTTTTTTGAGATGAAGTCTCGCTCTTCTCTCCCTGGCTAGAGTGCAATGGCGCGATCTTGGCTCACTGCAACCTCTGCCTCCTGGGTTCAAGCGATTCTCCTGCCTCAGCCTCCCAAGTAGCTGGGATTACAGGCGCCTGCCACCATGCCCAGCTAATTTTTATACTTTTAGTAGAGACGGGGTTTCACCATGTTGGCCAGGCTGGTCTCTAACTCCTTACCTCAGGTGATCCACCCGCCTCGGCCTCCCAAAGTGCTGGGATTACAGGCGTGAGCCACCGCACCCGGCCATGTATTTTTTACATTGTTGTAAAAAATTTTTTTCTGAAAATGTAAAAATAGGTTATAGAGTAAAAGATACAGATATTAGCATCCTAACCAGTTATAAATACATCATTTTTAAAAACCGCTACAAAACTTCTAAAAAACAAGTTAAAAAAACACATAAAAAGTTAGGATAGTATTTTATAGTACAGGCATAATCATAATGAACAAGTGACATACTGGAACTAATACGACATTAAAAAAACTTATCTTTGAATGCCCTCTCTTTACTCACCACATTAACCATTTAGAATCAAGTAATGAAACTGTTAAAGAAAATACACACTAGAAATTAAAAAAAAAAATCACTTTAGGTTTAAACAAAAACTGATGAAATTTTTACCTGGCCCCAGAGTAATGTTCCCATTCCTAGGAATATTGACCATAGCCACTGTTCTATTGAAAGTTCTGAACAACTGAAAGGTTTTCCACCAAACTGCACAATTATTATCTGGAGGAATAATCAAGAGTAAATTTACTTAAATCTTAAATTTTAAAATTCATATACTTAAAAAAATATCAAATTTATGTCCTCTAAAACAAGGTGAACAACCACTATTCTGATGAATTGTATTATATTAGTCACAACTGAAAATAAGACAACTGAAATAGACCTTTCCTCTTTCCCCTCCAGTCCACTTTGCCTCTTAGAAAAAAAGACAACTGAAATAAAGTAAAATCTCTGCCCAATATTTTTGATGCATGCGTATTTCATGTTTAAATTACGCTTACTAAAAAGTAAAATTCTTATGACCAAGAATAATAATTTTATACTGTTTCCAATATAACCCCAAGCAACTACATTCCCCTGTATTTAGTACAACTCTTCAAATAATCTGTGCCTTTCTCAAAATATAGTACTCTTTTGTAGAAAAGACTGTATGTTACTGGAAAAATGCACAATATTAAAAAAATTCCACATAGCTGTTTATTTCTAGTTAACATTTAGACATACTAAGATAAACACAGACTATATGAGAAGAAAGGCAACTTGGAAAGTTCTATGAAATATGGGCTAACTCAGGTGAGGTGATCTCAGATTTGCTCTCCTTTATGAAAAGAGTGAGGTCTGATGATGAATATAAATTCATAATACAGTGCTTATGTTTTGCTTGTTATTCTAAAAGGCCTAAAATAGTGTGCATGGAAATATTAAGAATTAACTGGGGTTGGGTGTGGTGACTCATACCTGTAATTCTAGCACTTTTGGAGGCTGAGGTGAGAGGACTGCTTGAGCCCAGGAGTTCAAGACCAGCCTAGGCAACATAGCAAGACCCTGTCTTAATTAAAAAATAAATAATTTTTTAAAAAAAGAATCAATTAACAATATTCACCCTCCTGTGAGTCTGACAGGCCTCTCTTTGATATGGCAGTTAACTAGTTCCCAAATATTAAAATCAAAAATAATTTTGGTAGTTAACATTTTAAAACCTTAAAGTTACAATTCCTTTCTTTTTAGCTCTACTTTATTCAAATTCAAGTCATTTTCACTTCTCGGTTCCACTATTTTTTAAGTTAATTTGTGCACTTGTACAGATAGATTTCCAACTGCTTTGTTAGTAGCCCAATTAGATTACAACTGATTTGACAATCAGGTCTGGATTTTAGTAGAGATATAAAACTGAAGTAATTTTCTTTTATAAATCAAGAAAATAATGAGCATGAAGAATTCAATATGTATTTGTACAAGTGATCTTAATTTTTTTTAAAATTTAAACCTGATCTTTTTTTTGGTATAATGTGGGATGTAAAAAGAATACTAAAATGCTGGGAAACAATTAATTGATTGGCTGACTTTGTTTCCTAAGAAATAATATCTTTCACTTTACAGTTGGAAGAAATAAAACTGTTTGTCTAGTTGGTTGTGGCATTTACTTCTAAGAACAGGAGATTCAGTTCCCATATTCTTTAACATATACCTTAAATCACCATGATATTATATATGTCACCAAGGCAACAGTTCCACACATGTTCCACACAAGTGATTGCTAGAACAAGCTGTTTACCTAATGTCTCCCATTTAACAGGCAAATTTGAAACTATCTTTTCCAATTACCCACCTGTACCACAAAAGTGCCTAAAACAATTGTGCAGAAGATGGCATTGTTAAAGATTCCTTCGAATACATTTCTTTCACCATGAATTTTCCGGGCATTTATTTCGTTGAAAAGTTGCATCAGCACAAAGGTATTAAAAACAATAGTATAATGTTCTGAAGGAGGAGCATGCAAAGGAGCATTTCTTCCACTATCAATGTCAAAAAACTTTTCTCCTGAAAGAATGAAAAATGACTATTTTGTAATTATCATACCAAATTAGATTTCAAGGAGGTATACAAATTACAACTTAGCTAGACCTTTTATTTGATCTGAAATGGCAGCATGGAAGGAGCTAGAGAAACCTGGGATTATCTAGTACAACTCTCTTGTTTTATAGGCAAGGAAACAGAAGCTCCCAAAACTATGGTGATAATCTCAGGATCACATATCTAAATTAGTGGAGAGCCAGGGTAAGACATCAGGACTGTTTATTCTCCTGTTTATTCTACTATCTAGCTTATTGTCCTCCCAAATTTACTAAGCACTCACTGATTAAGAAGAAATTAAAGATAAATGGGAAGTCAGGAGTAGAATTTAGGCTCTTGAAAATTTGTAACATTATAACATCTTGGATGATTAGCTTGGAAAAGAAACAATTAACTGAAGCTTTATTAGACACTGAATTCTTACCAGCAAATAAGAGTGTAAAGACTACTACAAGTTGATAGAATGCATGACCCAAAATATTCTTCATCATTGTACGTGAGATGAGAGGCTTATTTCTACCATAAGGTTTCCGAAGCAAGAGAGACTCAGTGGGTGGTTCCGTTGCCAGAGCCAGGGAAGCGAGTGTATCCATTATGAGGTTTACCCACAGCATCTGCACAGCCTTAAGCGGTGAGTCCTAGAAAAGATATGTTTCCTAATAGACATTCACAACTACTCAGGGGCTCAGCAATTCTCAGGAAACCTTTAGGGTTTAAAAACTTGAGAAACAGAACAGGATTATATTTTTATATTAACTAACCTAAAATATTAAGCTTCAGCTTAAATATTAAGTATTTTTTAAGAGGCATTTAATATACTTTTTAAATTTAAAGTAAACAAGTTTTGATAGACAAGTCATCACCTACTTGAGTAATGCAGGCGCCCGTAAAAGCAACAATCACTGCTACTACATTAACAGTAAGTTGGAACTGAAGGAATTTTGAGATGCTGTCATAGACATTTCGTCCCCACATAACTGCTTTAACAATGCTTGTAAAGTTGTCATCTGTGAGAATAATATCGGATGCTTCTTTAGCTACATCAGTTCCAGCAATACCCTGTTAAAAAAAATTTTGTGAATTAGACTAAATGTTTTAAGTATAACTTTCAAATAGTCAAAAAATACACACTTAATAAACAAAAAGTTTACCATTATACCTAATAAATATTACTTAAATTTACACTAAAAGAAGGTAACAGAGTTATTCTAAGATATTACTAGGAAAGACATTCTGGTTTAGCAGAAATCAAACAAAGAATGAAGTATTAAAAATAAGGTTCAAGTTGGGTTAAAAATGGAGGAATGAACAAAGACATTACCCAAGTTCCTTCCAAAAGCCACACAAAAAGGTATCTGTTAATAAAAAGCAAACAAACTCTATGAAGACAAAGTTAGAGGAAAAGGAGATTCTACCAAAAAACAAACAAACAAACAAAAAACCCATAAAACCTTAGAGGCTAGAAAGCAGACAGCCAAATGGTAAGTAACTCAGCAGACACAAGAAAGCTGAATCCTAATCCAAGTGTAGAGAAAGTAGAAGTAGCCCCCTTTCCCCCCAACAACAGAACCCCCCTGTCAGCTCCAGACTTGGCAGATTTACGTGGCACTGGAAGTAGGGGTGAAGGTAGGAATAAAAAAAGGAAGATCTCTTGAAAGTCTACTGAAGACGCATTTAGAAGCTTCAAACTAATAACAATGTCATCAACAGGAGAATGGGGTAATTAATAAATTGTGGATTAATAAAATGAGTGAACTACAACTATATTAACATAAATGATCTGACAAACATAATGCTGAATAAAGAAGATGAACTCAACACATAATGTATGACTCTTCTGTACAAAGTTCAAAAACAGGCAAAAGGAATAATCTTCAGGATACTGGTTATCTTTGCAGAGAGACAAGGCAGTAATTAGAAGGGAGTAGGATTCACTAAAAAATTATCAAAAAGCTTAACCTCACGAACCTTGCCACGAGCTGAAAGTGTTCCCCAAATTCATGTGTTGGAAACATAATCTCTAATCAACCAAGTGCAGACATGGAAACTCAGAGGTGATATGATGAAGGCTCTGCCCTCATGTATGGATTAATATCATTATTTTGGGAGTGGTTTCATTATCAAGAGTGACATCATTATAAAGGTGAGTTTGACCCCCTCTTGCTTTTGTGCTCACTTGCGGTGTTCTCTTGCCCTTCTCCCATGACATGACACAGCATGAAGGTCCTCACCAGATGCTGGCACCCTGGCTCTTGGATTTACTCACTTCCAGAACCTCAAGTCAAATAAACTTTTATTGTTCATGAATTATTAAGTCTTAGATATTCTGTTATCACAATACAAAATGGACAAAGACAAACCCTTTCTCAGGAAGCAGCTGGAGAAGATGACTCCACCAGATAAGGGAATAAACCAAAGAAGATGATGCCACTGAATTCATGAAGTACAAGATCCAACACAAAGGAGAATAAAGAAAATCCTCAGGTATGGAGACCAAGAAGACAGCTGTGCAGCAAGGCTAGCAAACAGCGAGTGCAGATTAAAGCATGTTGAAAGATGCTGAGAGACGTATCTCTTAGACACTAAAATTGGTAAGAGTGCTAAAGGTCTCTGATGTATGAAACAGAGAATTTGGGGATGAATTAGTTAAGTACATAGAAAAACTAAGCCAAAAAAATTCAAACAAACCAAATAAAAATTAAAAGAAAGCAAGTAAAAGACAACAAATTATAGGGAACATAAAAAGCTGTGTAAGGAAGGAAAAGTAATTACAGTAGACCACACAGATCAGGTTGAAACAGCATTTACAGTCACAGTAAGTCACAGTAAGGACTGAATATTGATCAAATCTAAATTATGATATAACTCTGCTGGCAGATGATGGGATAGGTAGTGAGCATGAAGGTATATGCGGTGAATGTGGTCTATATGCTTGTGAAAGCACTAAGTCCTCACCTTCATTAATGAAAGTCAGTAGTTAAAGCCTTATATTAAAAAAATCAAAAAGCACCAGAATTATGTGATTCAGAGATATAAAGGTACATAACTAAGTAAAAGAAGCAGCTAAAACAGTTTCCTTTGGGAGCCAAAAATTTGGTATGTGGCAGGGAACTTGCTATTAAGTCTTATAGAACTACTTGACCTTTTAAATGCTACGCATACATTGTTTTGATAAACATGAAGTTCAGATGAAACCTTTCTCAAAATACTCAATGAAGAAACAATCTTATTTTAGAATCTTAGTCTCCAGCTCCCAATGTGAATATTTTACTTTTAATGTCCCACTTTTTTTTTTTTTTTTTTTGAGATAGAGTCTCGCTCTGTTGCCCAGGCTGGAGTGCAGTGGTGCGATCTCAGCTCACTGCAAGCTCTGCCTTCCGGGTTCACGCCATTCTCCTGCCTCAGCCTCCGGAGTAGCTAAGATTACAGTCACACATCACCACACCCACTATTTTGTATTTTTAGTAGAGACAGGATTTTAATATACCATGTTGGCGAGACTGGTCTTGAATTCCTGACCTCAAGAGATCCACCCGCCTCGGCCTCCCAAAGTGCTGGGATTACAGGTGTGAGCCACCATGCCTGGCCAATGTCCCATATATTTAACACACTTAAACTCAATGGGATTTCTTGATTCTCATCATACCCATATTATACAAATGCAAATCTCACCATTCCCTTGCTCAAAATCCTTAACATTTCTAAAAGTAACTCTATGGTGTTAATTGGTATTCAAATAAAAACTAGTTCTATGATGAAACAAGTCTGGAAAACTTTCAATCACAAAACGTTAAACTGCTTTTTAAAAATGAGCTTCTAGGAGTCATATGATATCGCATAGTGTGTCTCTAAACTTACATCATCAGAAGTAGGCTTGGCAAATGTTCATCTACAGGATAAGAGAAAAAAAATTCCTTATCATGGCATTCAAGGCCTTTTTAATGTGGCCCCCTGTGAATTCTTCTAGCTTCGTATCTCATTACAGCACCGCAACCTCTTCTAGTTAGATTGAAAAACTTGTACATAATTCGCTGATGAATGAGGGCCTCTTGGTTCCTCTCCTTCCCTCAGCTAAACTGGCACCTCTTCCAGAAAACCCTTCCCAGTCTCTACAGGCAGAGTCAAGGACTTCTGCCTGAGACACTTGTCACTGTCCTGTAATTATTTCCATGTGCTGTGAATTTTTAGGAGACAGCAACTCTTCACTTCTAATGTTCCGGGACTGGAATACTGAACACAGTCTCAATATTTGGAGTCCCGCATTAATCCAAATAAAATTTAAATAAAAGTATTTTAATTACCTTAGGTTTTACTACCATAGATGTATTTGATTATTGGATTACACCATGAGATTCAGTCTTTGATGACAGCAGTATCTCTATACATGGTTAACTAATTTTTGGCAAGAATAATTTCATGTGACAAGGATTCTCTCCTTCGACCAAAACTTGCTATGTAGATAATTGTTACACTATATTATTTAGGGAATCATGACAAGAAAAAGTCTGCACATGTTCACTACAGATGCAACCATCCATATTTTTTGTCCCGAATATTTGCGATCCACAGTTGGTTGATTCTGCGGATGCAGAATCCATGGATACAAAGGGCCAAATGTACAAGCAGAACACACACTTTATCTATAGATCAACAAATCAAGAAAGTATGCTCTAAAATGCTATATCTGCCTGAAAATAGGAGATACATTTAGAAAGAAATTATCAACAGCGATTTCTTGTAACTAAAAAAAAAACTCTAAGACAATACGTTTGTCTAAGTTTTAACTGTACAAATGCAAAACCAAAGTAAATTCAAGCTTTAACAAGAGTAGTTTCAAGTCCAAGCTACCAAGCACTTACAGTTTCTCTATGTTTTTAAACTAAATTAATTTATTTATTTCAGACAGAGTCTCGCTCTGTCACCTAGGCTGGAGTGCAGTGGTGCCATCTTGGCTCACTGCAGCCTGCGCCTCCTGGGTTCAAGTGATTCTCATGCCTCAGACTTCCAAGTAGTTGGGATTACAGGCGCGACCACCACATCCAGCTAATTTTTGTATGTTTTTTTTTAAAGTAGAGATGGGGTTTTGCCATGTTGGCCAGGCTGTTCTTGAACACCTGACCTTATGTGATCCGCCCGCCTCAGCCTCCCAAAGTGCTGGGATTACAGGCGTGAGCCATCATGGCCAGCCTGTTTTTGAACTAAATTTAGACTTTTGATGTTATCATTTAAAAAAAAAAAAAGTGGTATAACTGGGCCTAAAACCATGAAGAGCTTAAAAAACACTAACCAACAAGCCATTGTATTGTGTATTTGTTTGATTATATTTACCTGTATTTATTTAAAGCCCATTGTATCTGTCTTACATTCAAGTTTTGGGAAGAAAGCTTTTTTTATTTTAAAATTCATTTTACATAACTGCCTTTCTGGTCAGCTGTCAGAATGTAAATAGCAATAAGAATCCTGCTAAATGCTCAAGAGCAGCAGTGAGTGATCCTATGTTCCTAAAGGGAATGAGCCTGTTTGCCTACAGCAAAAGGAAGAGCACTTAATTATTCCATAGACCTCTTCAGCTATGCTTCACATGTCTTCAGAAGCTCCTACCAATGCAGCTGCCAACCATTTAAATTTGGGATGGGGTAGGGCGGGGGATCTTTGGATTCCCTGCTTTTGATTGAGGGAAATTTACCCATAATTTCCTTTCCTCATCTCTCTCACTCCTGTTGAAAGGCTGCCACCATGGTAGATCTTCTAAATTTCCATTTTAGCAGCAAAATATCAGGGGGACAAATTATGCAAATAAACATTTGTACACAAAAACAATCTCTCATCTGAAAACCTTAGGGCCAGACTGTGATTCGGAATTCAGTCTCTCATAGTTTGGAAAGATAATGAGACACATAACCTTATATCTCAATTTTCCCAAAAGAGCTTAGCACCCCATAAAAATCACATTAAAATCTCCACAATGGCTATGAATATTCACACTAAGTAGGACAAATAACAGCCTCACATCAGTTCAGAACAAATTTTGCAATCAAATGAGTCTGCTGCAAAATTTAGGTTAAAAATTTCAGTTTCCTGATAGTTCTAGATTTGAGAATTGTGATTATGAACCAGTATTTTCCAAAAATAAAATGAAACTCAAAGAAAATAAAATACTTAAATTGAGGACTTTGGGGAAAACAAGTAGGTAGGATTTTTTTCAATAAAAAAAGATTATATATAAAATGATGGTATTCAATTACTTTTTAAATAACTGAAGAGTAACTGAGTAGATGAATGGAAGAGTTTCAATTATATTTTTAATTTAAATACACACAACTATTCTAAGCCTGTGTCCTGCATTAAAGGGTTATTAAAAGGTTCAGTTGAGTTGACAGACATTAAAAAATTAACAGAATACAAAGCCAACATACAATATTATTAAATTGCTCAAAAGAAACAATCTAGTCAGATTTCATGACATCAAATAAAGCTAATGCATAAACTAATTAGACTTATAAACCAATTTAAGCTTATTAATTATCCCTCGAACTAATCTTGAGGGACAGTGTTTAAAATCCATAGTAATTTAGTCAACAAACAAACAAACAAACAAACAAACCAGTCAGTAAATTACGTTTGGATATTTGAATGAGTAAATTCTTACCATTGCAAATCCAACATCTGCTTTCTTTAGTGCTGGGCCATCATTTGTACCATCACCAGTTACAGCTACAACCTGGCGTTGGTCTGAGACAGTGCTGTCAATTATACCTTAAATACAAGCAAATATTTGTGTTATAAAAACATTACTCTTTAATAAGATGATTCTGAAGAATATCCTGACGTCGGTTTTATAGACTCAAGGTTAAAAATAAATAAACAAATATAAAAATGGAAATTGCTTAGATGTTGGGTGAGAACCTACTTCAGAAACTATGGGTATATTCAGAGCAATATCCTGTTTTAAACACTTAAGATAATCACTTAACAACACAATTTACCTAAGGTATCAAAGGAAATGTATTTAGATTTTATTAAAACAGATGATATCCATGACTCAATCTAATATTCAGTATCTATTACTATTCTGGGAAGCAGAACACATTTCTGTATTAAGAAATTGTGAAATAACTGAAAAATCTACTTACCTTTAACCAGTGTATGCTTATCAGTAGGAGATGATCTTGCAAGTACTCGAAGTTTTGGCCAAATCTTGTCTATCCTCTCTTGCTCAATCTATAAGTGTTTATCAAAGTTAAAATATGCCCAAACATAGTTTCTTAAATCCTAATGAGCTATCTGGCATATTTATCAGTAGCTCTCAAAGTGTGGTCCACAGAACAATCAGAAACTCCTGGGAACTTGTTAGAAACGTGAATTCTTGGGCATGGACCCAGATCTATCTTAGCGAATACTGTGGGGCAGGCCCAGCAATCTGTGTTTTAATAATCTTGCTAGGTGACTTTGATGCATACTCAAGTTTAAAAGCCACTGTTTTTATATATCATTATGAGACCAAATTTAAAAAATCCCCCTACTGCCTATGAAAATAGAACTTCCTTAATTTAGCATAAGAAGTTCAGAGAGTTTGGGGCCCCCTAAAATATGCTCCATATCAGCCTTTCCAACTCATCTCCCATTACTCCCTTATACATACTGTACTTCTGAAATTGGCCTAGATTCACTGCTGCTACTTTTATATAGCATTCATAGCAAGAAATGCTTACTCCCTTTAGTACCAATTTATTACTTCTCTCTTTTATCCCTTAGAACACTAGTATTTTGCTTCCTAAGGTATAGACTGCATTTATTTCATGCATGGTGCCTAACACAGTGCATATTCAATATGTGTTTGTTGAGTTAAATTCCTAATATATTAAACATCTGTCAACCAAAAACAAAATAATAATAAATCTTTACCTCTCCTTTTTCATTTCGTATTCTTCTGTTAAAATCTTTACCTTCTAGGCACAGAAAATCTTCCCCAGGATGTAAAATACCACATTTGGTAGCAATGGCCCGAGCAGTATTAATATTATCACCAGTGACCATCCGCACAGTAATTCCAGCCCTCTGACACTTTTTAATTGCATCTGGCACCTGGTTTACATTAAAAAAAAAAATTACAAAGTTAATTTGGTATTTTTAGAAGGAAAAATATTTCACTGCACACGACTGCATTAATTTATAGTCCCCCAAATGATGACAATGATACAATGACTTAATAATGATTGATTTCATTTCCAATACTCAACATTTCTTGCACTATTTTCAATAATCTCTTTCCAATTCCACTGCCAGACTTAGCTCAGGCTTCGTTTTCAGTTGTCATCTACTAATTTGTTTGCAGTATTTATTTACAGAAGGCTTTTTAAAGCACCATTTCCCCAGGCAACCATTAGGCAATTCTTTTCTGGTTGGCTTTCTACCCTTCTGGTTTTACTACCCAGATTACATGAGTAAAATGTTGGTATTCTTTTGTTTAGGGTTAAGGGTGGCTCACAATCCATATCTTTTAAGTGTTACCTTACCTATTCCCATACCTTCAATTTCCATCTAATTCCATCATATTCTAATGACTTTAGAATCCACATCCTGCCCCTACCTCACTGTAAGAGGAGAGTCATAGTTCCACCTGTAAAGTGGGTATCGATTCAGGTGTCTAAAAGTGAAACCATGTTTCCTTTACCTGTCTAGCAGAAACCTAAGAGTCACCTGTACCTCTTCTTTCAGCTCTCTTATCCTACATCCTTAGAAGCCAGTAAGTCCTGTGGATTCTACCTCAAACTTGCCCTGCATCATGTCTCTGTTGCTTGTTGCCCAACCTACTGCAATGGCTTTTTATAAGGTACCCTGCCTTTAAGTTTGTTCCTCCTTTAAAACATATGATATACTTGATGGTAGAGTTTTTTATTTTTTAAGCAGAAATACACTTTCTTAAAATATACGATGATTCCTCAGCTGTTATACACAAACCACAAAGTTCTCAGTATAACACAATCAGTGTTTGTGCCTGTGCTACTACAGTTCCTTTCACCTAGAAAATCTTTTCCTGCTTTTCTGTAACCAGAAAATCCACACGGATCCTACTGGAGCAGGGGTTGCAAATTAAAATGCCTAAAGGATCACGGAGGTAACATACATGAAGAAAATATGCTGAAAATGACAAACCCCCGAGACAAATGCCTAATGAAAGAGCTATTTAGCTCTAGCCTATTTCTGCCATGATGGAATGAGACCCCAGTGTTAACAGAACCTGTAACTGCAAAAGAAAGAAACAGAGATTTGTGCGTAATCTCTTCATACTTAATGTTTCTAACTCCCCCCGCCCAACAAAGATAACTTGACTGAAGGCTAACTTTGAACTGCAGCCTAGCTGTTTGTGAAGTCTATCCTAAATCCAGTGTAAATCTAACTTATCTGGAGCTTTCTTGGTCTACCTAGACAAAACTGCACCTTCATCTTATACATACCTCTATTACAGATCATTAAGTCATACTATAGTTATTGTTTACCTGAATCTTCAATGAGCTTCTTGAAGGTAGGACCTTTACCTTATCTTTGCATCACCAACACCTAGTATACCTTTTGTTCATTTAACAAATAAGCACCAGGCATGTAACTGGAGCTAAGTATTTACTGAACTGCTGAATTAAATATCTTTGGGATAATAGCAAGGTACATTTTTTAAGGGGTGCACATTCCAGACAAGGTACTTTTTTTTTTAAGATGGGTCTCACTCCATCACCCAGGATAAAGTGCAGGGGTATAATGTTGATTCACTGCAACCTCTGCCTCCCAGGCTCAAGTGATCCTCCCACCTCAGCCTCCTGAGTAGCTGGGATCACAGGTACACGCCACCATGCACAGCTAATTTTTTGTATTTTTGGTAGAGATGGGGTTTCACCATGTTGCCCAGACTGGTCTTGAACTCCTGAGCTCAGGCGATCCGTCTGCCTCAGCCTCCCAAAGTAATGGGATTATAGGTGTGAGCCACCATGCCCGGCCCAGGGTACCATGTTTTAAAACATGTATGCAATGTAATTAATTGCAATTTAAATACATATTTATCTATAAGTTTTAAGATTTACATCATAAAAGTTATTTCCCTCTACCCAGTCAACTCTTAGTGATTCAAATCATTGGAGGGGGACATCACGTGCATTTACTCAAACTAATATTTACTGAATGCCAGGCACTGTGCTTAGGTCCTAGTGCCAGAGTGATGAGCAAAAGGACAGGGCCTGCTTAGATTATTTTTTCAAAAAAATCAATATTTGACACTAAAAACACTTGTCTGTTTTATAAATGTATATATCTCCTGTTATCTCATTTGAGATAAAATCTATCTTAAATTTTTGTATCTAAGCAGTCCTTGATTAGGTAGTATCCCAGGATCATCTGGACAGGGAAACAATGAGTAAAAGGGAGAAATTGGTCTCAGGTTAAAACTATGTGGCAAATAATACATAAGAAAGGCACACTAACATTTATTAACTGCCTACTAGTCACCAGATGCTTTCAGCTTAAAACTTACAAACTATCTCTACTTTTACATATAAGAAACTAAAGCAAGGCCAAGTACTTATACATATGTAATAAAAACTGGATTTGTTCTAGACATCTAATTATTCAAGAATCCCTCCACCAGAATTGCACTGTACAAAATAAACTCAGAGAAAACTGTTTCATATTACATCGTCTCAATTTAGTATATAAATACCCATCTCATTTTGTGATACTGAAAAACAAGTGCCATTTACATGCTTTAAAAAAGATAAAACTCTCCATCAACTGCAATGCCAAGAGCATGATAATAGACTGATGTCTTCCAAAGAATGAAAGTTGCAGATACCCTGATTTCATGTTAAAGTTTAAACCGTAAGTCAATGTATAGAACTTTGAAAAGCCAGGCACAGTGGTGCATGCCTGTAATTACAGCTATTCAGGAGGCTGAGGTGGGAGGCTGCTTGAGGCCAGGAGTTTGAGGCTGCAGTGCACCATGATCTCCTGCCTGTGAAAAGCCACTGTACTCCAGCCTGGGCAACATAGGAAGACTCCTTCCTTAAAGAAAACAAAAACAAGACAAAATAAAAAAACAACCTTTGAATGATTCTCCTGTGACCACATGGCAAACATTACCCACCTGGCTATTTTATAAGCATTTGAAATTACAAAACCCCAAACCAAATTTATCTTAATCTCTCAACAGGCTGCTGTTTCTGGTTCTCTTATTACATTGGTAACCCTCTATCAGCCACCAAGTTACAGACTGGTTCTCTAACTTGTACAGAGATGGTTAGCGACCATCTCCTTTATAAGACTTCTAATTGTGGCAACCTCTTAGTCATAAAAGCCTTCTTCCCTAGCTACACACTTTCTCTAAATATCTTTAGTTTCATCAGTGATTTCTTCAGACTAGCCCACTTTCAGGCTCTGAGGTCCAAATGCTTGACATACATTTGGATGTCTCAGACACCTCAACAATGTCAAAAACAGCGTATCCAAACCCAACATATTACTTCCTACTGGTTCTATCTCCACTTACTTTGAAATCATTCTTTTCTTTCCATCTCCTATGCCACAACTGTGGGCCAAGCCATGATCATCTCTTGCCTGGGATCACTGCAATAATCTCATTAGCTTCCCTGCTTCTACTCTTCTTCATCTCTAATCCCTGTCTTACACGTACCCAAAATAGTATTTTAACAACATAAATCATGTCACTTCCCAGCCTGAATTTCAGAAAATTCAGAGTCCTCACAGCCCAGTAAGGCCAGAGATCATCTCGTCTCCCCTTTCTTCTTTACATTTATAGCCACACTGGCCTCTTTTCCACCTTTAAAATAGCTACTTTTCTCACTTTCACTTGCATTTCTCGTTTTGCTTGGAATGCTCTTCTTGCAGCTATTTACATGGCAGACCCACTATGAACCATCAGATTGCAACTCAAATGCCACATCCTCAGAAATTCTTAATGCAGTCTCTCTCCATTACTTTATTTCATTACACCGTGCATATCTTATATAGCCCTTCTGCACTTGTAATTGTCTTATTTAATATCATCCCCCCTGATATGCCACCCTGCCACCCAGAATATCTTAAGGCCTATGAGAACAGGGACCAAGTCTTATTCCTCCCAGAATTCATTTTTCACTTGACATGGTGTCCATGTATCTATCATTCTACCTACTTAGCTGTCTTCTTCCTCTAGAATATAAATCTCAAGCCTATTCTGGTCACTGCAGTATTTCCAGCTCCTAAAAGAGTGCTACACATTAGGTTTTGAATCAATTAGCTGATAAAGTCACTGAACAAAAGTGGTTTTCTGTTAGTGCTTTTATTTATGTTGCTTCTTTGCTCAGAATATACCTAACTGCTCGCTCTCTTTCTTGGTTTAGATAATACTTCCTCCTTCTTTAAGAATCAGATCAGGTAATTAACCTCTAGGAAGTCTTACCTGACCCCTCCAGTGGTCAATACAGTACAGTAGTCTTTTAAGCACATGTGTTTTAGACAAAGCTGGTATTTTAACACACTAGGTCTATGCTCTATACATTCTCGATTTTTTAAAAATGTATTTTTAAACATGTCTAACGCTCTATACATTTTTGATTCTTAAAAATCTGCCAAATAAGAGTAATAATATGCATACCTCATAAAGGTAGACATTTAAAAAAATTACTTGTAAAACACATGGCTTAAGTATATGGCACACAGTGAGAACTCAATAAAAAGATGCTATTAGGCTAGGTTGGGAACTCGTGTTCTCTGCTCATATAACATGCTCTGTATATACCCAGCAAGGTAGTAATATCTTGGGTTGCAATAATCACGTGTTTGGTTCGTCCCACATAAGACAGTAACTTCTTTGAGGCCGGTGATCAGATCTCAAAACTCTTAAGTCTCTAGTACCTTAGGATAGTGCCTGGCACACAGTAGTTGTTCAACAAACTTAAAAAAGGTGAAAAACCAAATAGCAAAAAAAAATTAAAGAGGGAAATCAGTCTAGAGCTGCATGCCATCCAATATGACAACTACTAGCAAGATATTTTAATTTGAATTAAATAAAATTTAAAAATCCTGTCTTTTAGTTGCACTAGCCACTGAAAACTAGAAGTCAGTATTCACACATGGCTAGTGGCTACTGTACTAAACAATATACAGAACATTCCTATTATCACAGAAAGCTCTACTAGACAATGCTAGTCTAGAGACTGTGAAAACAAATAATGGCACCTATTATTTAATTTAAGATAAATAATAACTGAAAATTCTACCCACTTCAAGGCACTGTGCTAGGTTATGGTGCTATGAACACATAGGATCCCAAAGAGACACTGTCTTTAAAAACCATAAAAGCTAGCATATGCACTGTAGGTACTATTATTTCATTTATCTTGGGTTCACACAGAAAAAAAAAAAATCACAAACACCAAGAATTTTACTAGAAAACTGGTTACAATTAAGGCCTAGGTCCTCTATAGTTATGAGATTCTGCACATGCAGAACACAGAATGTTTCACCACCTCAGGTCTCACAGGATCTTCAATCCCCACAACAGCAATGCATGTAAGGCCGGTGACAATATCATTTTCATTATCCCACTCTGGTTCTGGTTCTCCTGCTGGAAAATCTCTGAATGCAAGACATATGGTTCTCAAGCCTTCTGATGCCATCGGTTCAATCACAGTTTTTACAATATCATCACGGTCCCTTGGTCTGAATACTTTTGCCTCACCATTAGCACTCAAGATTTTGAAACACCTAAAAGGAAATGTTGAATCCAAACATCAATAATTTAAAAAAATAATGGTTAATGCCATTTAAGTGAACTGGCAGGCCTAGAAATCATGGGATCTGATATCTGGAATTTAGAGAATTACATATAATTCATTTTTATAGACTTAAATTCACTTTTCACCCTCCCTTTTACAAAACAGAACTAATATGTATGGTTCTCATTTGACAGTTCTCCATTTATCAATTACTCTAGAACTTCTCTAAACCTTGTCTTTTGGAAATGCAGTGCTTTCAAACTTTCATAAAGAATCCCTGGGTGGCAAAGGAGAATAAACTATATACTTCACCATTTTGGTACAGAATCAGACATTAGTTTGAAATAATACCAAAATCACAAATGTTTTCTTCTTTTAAGGTAAAAAGCCAAGCGTAGTCAACCCCTTACCTGAGATGTTGTTTCATCACCTATATTGTTTTAACCATGAAAGAAAAAAAATAACTTATTGTTAAAATAAGCATTCTATCAGAATGAGAGTTAATGCCAAAAGTTATTTTCAGTGACACTACTACCTTTTCTTTCATTACATAATGAATAAAAATCATACTATATACCTATTTAAAGTTTGTTTTTCATAATGCCTCTCTATACTCCTCTCCCTTGATGATGCCATCTCTTCCTGCTTCTAGGGAGGTAATTCCCAAATCCACATCTTCTGTTTTGTTTTTCAAAGCTTTCCATCACTGCTGAAAAATTCTACCCAGATGTTTTATCAGTACCTAAACCTTAATGGATGAAAGACTGGAAGCTGCCTCTTCACTGCCCATGTAATGTGCATCAACATTACCCTAATCATTTTGATGTAAGTCTAAAATTTCACCTTAATACTTATTTTTCCTGATCATCTCTCTACTATTAGCTCCTAAGTCCTATACATTTCTCCTCTGAACAGCCTCCTCAATGTGTCCACTCCTTTTTATTTCTCCTGCTACTACTTTCTTCTGGTTCTTACTTCAAGCTACAAAGCTACAGCTATTGTAATAGCAATAGCCTTTTAACTGATATGTCTCTAGTTGATTTTTTTTTTCCCTCTAACCCACCTTGTTCCCTGATGCAAGAATTATCTTTAATCACAGCTTTGATGATTCTACTACTTGAAGAAAAAAATACCTCATTTGCATTATCTGGCTTACTTCAATTTTAACTGCTCAGCCCAACATTTAAAAAGTCTCCACAACAAAATGCAAATATTACTGTGGGAACACTTGCTGTATGTTTACTGTCCACCAGGCTTCACACTAGACAGTTGGTATGCATTACTTCATTTAAGTGCCACAGAGTTGGTGGTCATCACCCGCTTTCTCAGATGAGAAAAATGGAAGTAAGGGAAAAATCTGCCCCATATCCAGAAGCTAGTTAGTTGCAGAGAAAGAGTCAATGCCTGATCAGTTTTGACTAAAAAAAATTCTCTCCTAAACCATCTATCTACTACCCAGCAAGCCAGGGTTGAAACAGATTTCTAACCTTTTCAATGAAATCAGGTAACTGAGTGTACTGTGGCAAGAAGAAAGCTGTATATGGCCTGTGTGCCACAAAAGCCCATCACTATTCAGCTGAACTATACAACCAGATATTCCCCTCCCCAGTATGACCTGCATATTCTCATCTCCTTTCCTCTGCTGTGGTTTCCCCACCTCGAAGTTCTCATTTCATACCAAAATCTATCTTAAATGCCACATCCCTACAGTGTGATCTCTCACCCAAAAACTTTGTACCAATTTATTATATGCTGCCTTCAGTTATTTATTTATATATTTGTCTCTTAAACTAATTGTAAAGTGTTCATTAATACTGGCTTATAATCCACATGTAAGCAAATTAAAAGTATATCTTAAACATTTACTTTAATATTTTAAATATTATAATTTCAAATGAGTTCCAATTTTCCCAACTTGCTCTTAACCAGTATTTTTTTTTAACCAGTTCTCTACTTCTTTAATGAAATTAAAGAAACTAAAATAATTTCACCACCTTTAATAACAAATAAACATCAGGGAAATTATATGTGAACATGTAATAACAAAATTAAAGCTACTGATCTGTAAAAGGACAGTAAGAAAAATTAGTATTCAAAATGACAGGAGATATTTAAATACGACACTGCAGCAGCATAAACATGATAAATCTCATTTTGATATAAATGGGGAATTTCCAAGATCCAGCTTTTATGCTTTGCTATTCTAAAAATTACTTCATAATTCTCTTATCACATTCAGAGTCCAGTAACCACAATGAGCGTTGAAGATCTAAACTTGAGGCCAGGTGCAGTGACTCACGTCTGTAATCCCAGCACTTTGGGAGGCCGACACAGGCAGATTACTTGAGGTCAGGAGTTCAAGACCAGCCTGGCCAACATGGTGAAACCCTGACTCTACTAAAAATACAAAAATTAGCCAGGCGTGGTGGCAGGTGCCTGTAATCCCAGTTACTTGGGAGGCTGAGGCAGGAGAATCCCTTGAACCCAGGGGCGGAGGGTGAAGTGAGCTGAGATCGCGCCACTGCACTCCAGCCTGGGTGATACAGGGAAACTCCACCTTAAACAAATAAAAAAAAAAAAAAAAAGAAAGAAAGAAAGACATAAACTTGATTTTCTTCCCAGGAGGCTTTTCAAGATTCTGCATATTAAATAACAAGTAAATCGACTTCTAAAAATAAACATCAAAGTATACTTCATTAAACATACCAGATTGAATGTAATGAGCTTATTTTCCCTATAACAAAATGCTAAGAAATAAGAGAAGCTAGAGTGTGAAAATGGCAGAATAGCAGGGGCAAATATCTGGATACCATAAAATATGCTAAAAAACTCTGAGGTCCTATCAAATGCCTGATGTTCACAAAAAGACAACAACAATAACAACACAGTAGATACTCCATAAAGCAACTATAGTCAGCAATTTATTCATCCAAGCATTTTACTCTTACTTTTTCAGAATTATCTCAGATGCACCCTTGCTGAATATTCGATAACTTCCATCTGAATTTTTCAGGACAGTACTCATGGACTTCCTAACAGAATTGAAGGTGTAGACTTTGTACAGTGCTTCTTCTGGTATTTCATTTCTAACATCCTGATAATCCCGTTTTAAATCCAAAAGAAGTCCCAACAAGGCACATTCAGTTTTATTACCAACGTGACGAGGTAATCCACCCTCTTTCTCTGGTGGCTATAAGAGAAAAACATTTAGTAGCTAGTATCTCGTTTCTCTAAGAACGTTTAATTTATAATGTAAAACAGACTGCGATATTCTAAAATAAAATTACAAAGCAATTGTCTAATATCAACATTTTAAAGAAGGATATAGAAAAGTAAGGTAGAAAGGAGCCTGGGGTGAGAATGACATGGATTCTAATCTCAGTCCTGCCAGTTACTAGCTACGTGAAATTTGACAATTACCCAACTGCTTTGGTCCTTGGCTTCAGCATCTGTAAAATAGGAGCACTTATGACCCCAAAATTAAGTGATATAAGATGTATGAAGTTTATAGTTGGTTCCTAATACAGAGTGGAACTTAATTTTAATTTCCTTTTCCTGTTTTCACTTAACTTTTATACTAAATCATTCAAAATTAAATCTACCAATTTTTATGGCTTAAAAGTACATTCATTAAAATACTGTTCTCTTAAATGCAGTGAGAAGCTTCAATTCCTTCATAGTGCCTTCAGAAATACCACTTTACATAATTATCACAATGGTATTAAGGGCAGATGTGATCATCTTTACTCAGTAATTAAAGAAGGTAGCTCAGACTTTCAGCTAGTAAAAGGCAAAGCTAGATCTAGAACCAAGATCCCATAACTTTCCAATGTAATCATCCAATTCATGTATGTTTTCCCTAATGAACAGCTTGCAATATTATTTTTGTTAATGATTTTCATCCATAAATCACTAGAAGAGATTAAGTCAAACATAACATCGCATTCTTTCTGTTATAAATAAGATTTTTAAAACTTGTAAGTTGAAAATTTTTTATTATATGGTGGCACAAGTCTAGAATTACTTTACTGCATTAGTTCTAAAAAGGTCTAAGGACCACCTTTTAGGTAGGAACTACTGAGAAACCAAACAGAACACATGGCAACCATATATAAAACATGTTATTTTAAGTTGAAATCGGCTTAAAAATTTTCTGTAAGTTGAGAGCTGACCTCCTATAGTAAGACAGTTTGATCTTTCTCAAAAATGAGCTTAACAAGAATTTAAAATTAAATACATGCTCTGGTTATAAGGCTGGAGAGTTTCTGAACACAGGAAATTCAAAATATAGGAGAAAAATGTAAGCAAACAATGTTTATGTTGATCAGCAGACCTCACTCATAACACAAATTTAAAAACCATTATATAAATAAATATATGCCTTTTAAAAACTTAACAGTTCAGTTTACATACAGTAATGGTGGTCTGAAGACTTACATATAGTCTGATCATTATAGATTTAAAAATTAATTTTCATAAATTATTTCAAAAACCTTACCAATATTTTTGATGTATAAGCACAATTCACAGAAATTCCTGTTACAAGATAGGACAAAATATTTGGTGGAATAGCTTCTGGTTCAGGAACCTTTTTATAATGTTTTTCATTTATGTAAGCTTGAACGACTGTCATTCTGTTCATTGTCAAAGTTCCTGTTTTATCTGAACAAATAGCTGTAGCATTTCCCATGGTTTCACAAGCATCCAGATGCCTTACTAAGTTATTATCTTTCATCATTTTCTACAGTGACCAAAAAAAAAAAACTAGTTAAGCTGCATATAAAACCAATCACCTCATTACATTAAAATGATTATAAATTGTTTTAAAATTAGAAAACTCCCAGCTTTCTATAAATACAATGTATAAAGTACCAATGTAATACTGAAATTTTTTTTTTTTTAGCATATTTGACCTATTAAAATAAGCTAAACACAGTACCAGAGCTTTCTGGGGTTTCAATCATTTTATTGCTGCATAACATAACCTAGTGAATCAATTCAGGTACCTACATCCGTACACAAATAATACTGAATATATGTCTCCAACGGTTTTTGCAAAATGTCCTCACATTGCAAGAGCAATGACAATCTGTACTGTTAAGTACAGTGGTACTTATAGTAGTGTAAGAGTATATTAAAGGATTAAGCCTCCTTATTAAGTGGAAAACAAAAGATTCTTACATCAGTGCCAAGGAAAAAATAGCCTTTAGCAGCTAAAATAAAGAGCTTGTGGGTATGTAGTTGCTTGATTTTTTTTTATTATTAACTCTGATAGAGTTAACATATCAAAACTAGAATGAGTCATTTTTTAGCTATTCTATATGCTGGCAGACTTGGCATTTTCATCCTTAGCATCAAACTGCATCTCACTTCTTTCTCTCATTTACAACAGAAAAAATCATTTCTAAAAAACCAACAGTTTTCACAGTAGTCTCACAGGGCATTTAAGTTAAAATACCTTATAATTAGTTCTCAGCACTTAATGTGGAATGGGTTAAAAACTATATGGAGTTATTTTACAAAGTGTTTTTTGTGATGACTAATTTGCAAGATACTGCAAAAAAACTGGTTCCTTGAAAAAATATGTGAAAAACGGATGTGTATTTCCTAAATTACTTGTGATTTACATATTAAAGATTAGAAAAATGAAGTTCTGCAGTAAAGAAACCATGTTCAGTTTTGTGAAACACTAACAGAGAATCCATAAAGACTATACCTCTGTGAAAAGAACAGTAATTGGTAACAGAGCTAGATAAACATCTAATAAAGGCTTAAAAAAGTAGTTAACTTGTTCTTATTAATTTTCTATTCAAAAAGCATAAGTCAATCCTACCAGTATCTTTCTAATCAATTGAAAAATTAGTATCATTAATGACTACTCAAAATGAACTAATGGCAGTTCGGTAAAATGACTGTTCTATGTGTCCAAAACTTGTATTTACCCCAAATATTTCAAATTACTTTAAAATATCAAAAAAGGACAGATAGATGATTATACTGTATCTTATCACTTTGATACATTTACTTTATTTTTGAAATGAAAGTTGTTAAATGCCTGAAAAGAAAATAAACTCAAACAGTAAGCAAAAAAAATTCTTATCAAGACAGGTCTAATAATGAAGAGTGCAAAGGTAGAAACGATGACTAATTAATTAATATTGCTCACTGTCAGCAGTGTTTCTTAAAGAGAACTAGTAATTAACATTTGAAAATTTACAAAAGCAGCATTCTTTGTTTGGTTATAATTTTTTACCTGCAAGATCATTTTGAAAAAAAAAAAGTTCAAAATTGTCCAAGCTACATCTTTTTTTTTTTTATTTCCAATCCACCTTTTCCGTAAGATAGAAAATTGATAAAAATAAATTAATAATCTTCAAAAGGATTATTACTTTAAGGTAAACAGCAGTAAGCAAAGCCATCAAAGCTCATTTCTTAGCATTCTACTTGGAAAACAAGAAGGACTGAGCTACTGTAAATCAAGTGGTCAGAGGAAGGTGACATTTGAAGAGACCTGAATAAAGAAAGAGAGCAGGTTACTCAAAGGAAGGAACAAGTGGGCTCTGAAGTAAGAATACAGTTGAGATGTTTGAAAATCATCAGGAAGGCTGGTGAGACTGGGCCAAAGGAGAAGGGAATTGAGCACTGAGAGGTAAGCAAAGGCCAGACTGGCAGGGCCCTGCAGGCCATGGTAAGGAGTTTGCATTTTACTCTAATTGTCATGAGAACTGACTGAAAGGTTTTACACATGGAAATCATAATTTTTAACTTTTTTTTTAATTTTTAGAAACATTAGCCTAACACGCTCACCTTAATTTTACAGACGGGAAAGAGGAGGTGACATGACTTGACAATATAACTATCACGTAGAGAAAATTATGCTAGAACTTTGCCCAGCAGAGTCGTGCTTAGTATTGTGTCAAGGCTGCCCTATGTGGAATGCACAGGTCTCCTTCAGAGATATTCAACTGGTGGGAGGTACAGGGCATCAATGACAACATTTCTAGAGAAAATAGTGTACATTTATATGAAAGTCCTCACTTTCAGAAGCAGAAAAGGAGTAACTAGATGGGCATTTTCTATACCAGCTAAGGCTTTAAACATAACAACGTCTACTGAACTATTTTCTACTTACTTTGACTGAATAAGCCAGTGAGATCGTGACTGCAAGTGGAAGACCTTCTGGCACTGCGACCACTAAAACTGTAACTCCAATAATGAAGAACTTCACAAAGTATTGTATATAAATTGGTGTGCACTCAGCAAGCCATGGTCTTTTCTGAACCCAGAAGGTGTCAATGACAAAATATAATACTAGAATGATAACTGTGATGGCAGACATCAACAGACCTTTCAGAATAGAAATGAAAGAAAAATGTGATTATTAAATTTCCAGACACTAACCCTTGCCAGATATAAATTAAACACTGTAAAGAGTTATAACTTGCTTGATAGTATTGAATTTCTCTGAGAAATTACTTCTTTCTTGCACCTTATAACTTGACATTGTCAGATTTAATTTTTTGCTTCCAAGTACAGTCTTGTCCCCAGGAGAACTGGGAGAAAAACACTTAGGATTCTTTCTTAGACTTAATTATATCTTTGGCCTTGTACTGAAACTAAGACAAAATAATACGCAATGATAAGGAAGTATCCAAAGCTTAGAATAAACTGGTGCTTTATATGTTCAAGAGGCAAGCTCCCTGATGCTTAAAGAGAAACTGGTAAAAATCTCATCAATGGGGAGACCTCGAATTAAATACTCAACCCATGTTTTAAAAAAATAACATTATAATAAATAAAATTATATAACACAAAGTATTATTTCTTCAATTTTTTTGCTCTATCCTTACTGTTTCATTAACTTAGTAAACCAAGAGTTAACCATGTATCTTGTGGGATACTCTGCTCTTTGACATATGTATTAAAAAATAGGGCAGCTGGCTGGGCGCAGTGGCTCACGCCTGTAATCCCCAGCACTTTGGGAAGTCGAGGTGGGTGGATCACCTGAGGTCAGGAATTCGAGACCAGCCAAACATGGTGAAACCCCATCTCTACCAAAAATACAAAAATTAGCTGGGCATGGTGGTGCGTGCCTGTAATACCAGCTACTCAGGCTGAGGCAGGAGAATCGCCTGAACCCAGGAGGCAGAGGTTGCAGTGAGCCGAGATCGCACCACTGCACTCCAGCCTGGGTGACAGAGCAAGACTCTGTCTCCCACCCTCAACACCCCCCGCCCCCAAAAATAGAGGCAGCTGGGCGCAGTGGCTCACGCCTGTAATCCCAGCACTTTGGGAAGCTAAGGTGGGAGGATCACTTGAGCCTAGGCATTTGAGACCAGCCTGGCCAACACGGTGAAACCCCGTCTCTACTAAAAATACAAAAATCAGCCGGGTGTAGTGGCGTGCATCTGTAGTCCCAGCTACTTCGGGGGTGGAGGCAGGAGGATAACCTGAGCCTTGGGATGTGGAGGGTTCAGTGAGCTGTGATCATGCCACTGTATTCCAGCCTGGCTGACAGAGTGAGACCCTGTCTCAAAAAAAAAAAAAAAAAAAAGAAAAGAAAAGAAAAAAAGAAAAAAAAAGGTGTAAGTCCACATATCTGGTTCTAACATCCCAATCTAATGTCTACTAAGTGGATTTACCACCTCAAATCCACCTTTTCCCCCAACACTACATGAGTCAGCATTACCACTTGGCTACATATTACAAAGAGCAAATATTTGCTATTAGATAATAAGTGTACTGAGGACAGAAGCAAAAACGTCACTTTTTCCATCATACTCCTAGAGAGCAGTAAAATGATGCAATTTAAGCAATTTTAATAATATATGCTTATTTATCCACACAGTGTTCTTCCAAAAAGATGCTACCGCTGGAGGTCATGCTGTTTCTAACCTCAGAGCTCTGCTTTTTCCCTTAAAGAATGGCTGTATTAACAGGTATTTTCTAGTGATGGCAGTAATATAGAAACTTCAGCCGCACTACAACGACTCCATTCAGTGCAGAACTTTAACATTAGAGACATAACTAAAAATTCCCATAACCAGTAAAAAGATGAGCAAAATGTGTGATGAAATTTTATTAAAATATAATTAGTTCATCTTTACTAAATAACCTCACAGGTTGCCTTTTCTCCACTTAATGCAGAAATTCAGAGATGAGTGCACAGGCTTGTAACTGGACAGACTTAGGCACTAATCCTAACCCGACCACTTATTAGCAAATTATAAGTACCTATAGTAACTCAAAGGGCCTGGTGCATTGTAGCTAGAACTGAAAATATTTCAAACTCCCCTTCTATTCACAAAGCAACAATTTCCAGCCTTAAGTGTGTCAAAAGACAATTTTTAAGCAGAAAGCATACTTAAAAATAAAACACTTTATTTTCTTCTCTATATCATACCTGCTTTGCCAATCTGAACAGCCAGTTTTGTAAGTTTCCCTTGTAAAACAGATTTTTCCTTTTTTGGCAAATTTGCTTTCTTTTTATCTTTTTCATCACCATCTCCACCTTCTTCACTCTTCAATGGCTGCATTTCCATGGCTGCACCATCCTGGGCTTTTGCTACATTTAAGAGCAAATAGAACTTCACTATACTTTAAAGGCACATATCACTATTAACATTTTAAAGAAATTTTAAAAATCAGTTTCTTACAGAAACCAGTAAAGGTATAAGCATTCAGCTTTGTGAGTGTGTGTGTGTGTCTACACAGAGAAAATAAGACAATAGTGACGTTAGGTTGTGAAACTTTGTACCATATTTGAAAATGTTGTGCTAGGTAATGAGGATGAGGCATACAGGGTCCTTAAACTGAGAACTAAAGAATACTAAATTTCTTTTCCTGTGTGTTATGTTAGGTAACATCTAAACAACATAATCCCTCCCCTATAATTTATGACCATAATGTAGAGATTATGTATAACCATATGCATATAGAAATATGCATATATGACTCTTAAATAAATGCAGTAACATTTATGCTATATATTTTGTTTCTTATGCATTTTTGCTACTAACTATATAATAACCAGCGTTCAAATACTTGAAATACTTAAGTTGAGTCAATCTACATAAATTTACCCTAATCCGAAAATCTAAAATACCTCAAAATCTGAAACTTTTTGAGCACTGACATGACACAAGTGGAAAATTCCACACCTGATCTCCTGTGATGCGGAATAGTCAAAACTGTTTCATGCACAAAATTATTAAAAATATTGTACAAAATTACCATCAGGCAATGTGTAGAAGGTGTATATGGCAATGTATAAATAAATTTCGTGTTTGGAGTTGGGTCTCTTCCCCAAGATATCTCATTATGTACATGCAAATATTCCAAAATCCAAAAAAAAAAAAAAAAAAAATCTGAAATCTGAAACACTTCTGGTCCCAAGCATTTCGGATAAGGGATACTCAACCTGTACCACAAATCATACTTAAAATCTTATTAACATTGCAGTGACGACATGACTAAGACACCGGCAGGAAGAAAGGTTAACCCAAGCTAACGTATATTGTTGATTTTCCCTGCCACATGTATCTTACTTTTGAATAAATATGGTATACAGTAGATTTTTGGATATAATGAAAACAAGCTCACTGTACTTTTGTCCTCCTAAATTTACCTTTGTTGCGATTCTCAATAGCTCCATCTTGTTTCTTATCTGTAGGAACAAAATGGGAATTAAAGCTTTCCAAAAGAAATGAATACAGCCATGCTAAATTATGCAGAAGTAGTTCACATTTCTATAACAGTTGTTACACAATGGTGTGTGTGTCTACAGATTAGAAAACATTTGACTTGTGATGACCTGCTGGGTCAATCACTCCCTAAGTCTTACCTACGGGAGAATACCGCAAAATAATTTAGGGTGTCTATATTTGTTTTATTTTTCCATAGGACTTCATTATTTTATAAGCTGTAATAAACCTAAATATGATACAAAAAGTTTTAAAACTAAATACAAATATAACCCCAAGAAAGCAGAAAAGGGCAGAGGTGGAGAGGGAGGAGGAAGAGCAGGGGTAGAGAGGGAGGAGGAAGGGATGTTATAAAACGACAACGGGCAGTCGGGTGTGGTGGCTCATGCCTGTAATCCCAGCATTTTGGGAGGCCAAGGTGGGTGGATCATCTGAGGTCGGGAGTTCAAGACCAGCCTGGCCAACATGGTGAAACCCTGTCTCTACTAAAAATAAAAAATTAGCCGGGTGTGGTGGCATGCACCTGTAGTCCCAGCTAGTCAGGAGGTTGAGGCGGGAGAGTTGCTTGAACCCGGAAGGCGGAGGTTGCAGTGAGCCAAGATCACGCCATTGCACTCCAGCCTGGGGGATAGAGTGAGACTCCGTCTCAAAAAAAAAAAAAAAAAAAAAAAAAAAAAAAAAGACAACTGGCACACAGGAGAGTGTTGATGAGAGTGAGGACAAAATATGTACAAAAGATAGGAGAGGTAACTTAGTAAAACTAGAATACGAATGTATAGAATAAGCCAGTAAGACTACCAGGTAAGGCAGCTCTCCAAATCAGCTTATATTTGGAAAACACAGAAAGATGAGCATATCTGAAGCAATAAAGTAATGAAGGGACAGGCCTATTGTCTGGAGTAGGCACTACAATATTAAAAATGCCAAAGAGCAGGAGAACCATTCATCCTATATTCTTCTAGCTTCTTTATCGAGGAGAACTATCTTCAAACGGAAAACATGGAACAAACATGGTCAAGAAGGAATAGAAGCTCAAGATTGATGAGGAGATAGTAAGATAATACCTAGCTACTTTTAATGAGCTCAAGTTTGGAGAGACCAGACGGCCACAGTCCAGGCCACTGAGGGAACTGAGACACATTACCCCGGACTGCTTCTGAGTAATCGCTAAGGCAGTCAAGGGAATGGGAGAAGGGCTGGAGGCCCACAGAAGAAAAAATGTTGCCCTGTTCTTTAAAAAAAAAACAACAACAACAAAAAAAGGGAGTCAACAAATTAGATGTTAATTTCTGGGGAATGTTCTAGACTAGATTAATAAAACCAGTGTATAAGACTCAGGGGGAAAAGAAGCTTACTGGAAAAGACACTGTGGAATACAGTGAGGATGCAAACTTCCCTTCAGCGTTCAATGACTTTCAACTCTTGTGGATTAGGATGGAGCACAGCATAAAAGGGTAGACTCTTGAGCCAGAGAAGAGGGTGTGACCTGTCACTTACTAGCACTTTGATCTAGAGCAAATTATATAATCTCCGTAAGCCTCAGTTTACTTATCAGTAAAAAAATAATAAGTCTTTACTTTGTACAGTTGTGAGGATTAATGAGATAGTGCATGTAAAACATTCAATAAATGGAATCATTACTGTGCTGGTTTTCAAACTGCGTTCTACTCAGCCTTAAGAAACGTATGGAAGCACATTGAGAACTGCTTCAAGGAGGACATAGAAAAAAAACCTAGAATGGGGGGCTTGCCACCTGGATCTGCGTCCAGAATTTTTCACATACATTTTTGTTTCGAAATAGAGATTTTATAGCTAACAGCAAAACTCAAAGAACAAAACAAACCACTCAAATATTAAAAACACTGCTGTAGTTATAGCAAACCAGGATTTTAGCCAGGCAGTTATTTTAGAATGTTTCAAAATATTCATGTGAGAAACAACAATATGGGTTTACTATCCTAAATAACATCAAATAAATCTAAGTGGCTAAACCACCGTAAAATGTTGTCAACCTAAAGGGAAAAGACTCCAGAGGGGTAATCCTGAGTGTGAAGGAAGGGTGGTATAGCAGACACTTAGAAGCAGGGTGGGGAGGGCTTTTTAAAAGTGGCATGCCCCTAACTAGGAGATTCTGAGATGTCTCTTGTGTATAACAGTTTCTTGTAAGATCCTTGCAGATAAATGGTATGTATGATTATCAAGTTTTCTGATAACAGAACACTTGGAGGGACAGTAGATACAATGGATCAACATTTTAAAAAGATTTTGATATCTAATGATGGGCTGAATATAACAAGAGAAATGTAAGGTGTCAAAGTGAAGTCCTAGTCTTGTGTTCAAAAACCAAGCACATTAAGTATAGTAGAATAGAAATGTGAAGAAGATTAAAAGAAAGCTCAGTGAAACCAAAATATAATATGGCTGATAAAGAAAGCCACTGCTAAAGTAGCAGAAAAAATCCGCCGTGAGAGTTCAATTCATTTTGCTGATCAGATGATGGGAGATTCTACACCTAGAGAATAAATGCAAGAATGCCAATGGAAGTATTCAAGTAGATGCTGAATTTCTCTGGCCATGGTAAAGGGGACTGATGTATTCTCTAAAGGCCCATGCTATTAAGTCTAATAGAAAAATCTTCTTTTAACTTTTTGTAGAATTTTTCATACCAGAATCTCTTGAAAGAAGGTACTAGTTCTTACAAATTATTTGCCCTATTTCCAAATACCAATTATAGAAAATTGTTATTCTTACTTTTCTTTTCCTTTTTCTTCTCATCTTTCTTCTCTTCCTCTTCACCTCCAGCTCCAAGTAAGGTAAAGATAATTCCAGTTTGAGAATTTACACCTACAGCTGTAACTACCATTCTTCCAGAGCCTTCCATTACATGAGTACCTATAACCAAAAACATAGTTTGTTTTTAAAAATACTGATAGATCTCCTTGCTACCACCAAATTTCAAACTTCAGTAATATTGTTTTTAACAGCCTCAACATTTAGGAAAAAATATATATAAATATAAATATATAAATATATATATATATTTTTAAGTCAGGGTCTTGGTCTGTCACCCAGGCTGGAGTGCAATGGTGTGAACATGGCTTACTACAGCCTGGATCTCCTGGGCTGAAGTAACCCTCCCG
Organism: Homo sapiens; assembly: GCF_000001405.40. Taxonomy (NCBI): domain Eukaryota; kingdom Metazoa; phylum Chordata; class Mammalia; order Primates; family Hominidae; genus Homo; species Homo sapiens. The sequence continues at coordinate 89,630,894 of NC_000012.12, forward strand.
AGTAGCTGGGACCACAGATACACGCCACTACACTCTGCTAATTTTTTTAAAAAAATTTTGTAGAGACAGGGTCTCACTATATTGCTCAGGCTGGTCTCAAACTCCTGGGCTCAAGCAATCCTCCTGTCTTGGCCACCCAAAGTGCTGGGATTACAGATGTGAGCCACCATGTCTTGATCAATAAAATACATTTAGTAAGACATTAAATAAAACTTATTTCTTGTGCTTAAGGTTTTAACTCTAATCAGTCATATCCAAGTTCAAAGCTCAATCTACTACTCACTTACCATGTAATATTAGGTAAATTTTAACAACTCAGTTCCCTGTCTGTACACTTCATAGAAATATGAGATTTACATTTCTCATATAAACCTATAAATGTAAAGTGCTTAGCATACTGCCTAGAATTTGTAGGGGTTCAATGAATGCTCATTAATTGTAACCTAAGGTATGAGGGACACTTCTCTGAGAAAAACACTGCTTATAAAGAAACAACGTATGTATCAATGACAACCAATGTCACATTTCCCACACCCAACCTCATAACCTCTACCTAACACAAGCTTTCATTCCAGCACGCCTTTGTAACTGCAATAGCCCCCTACCTAGTCTCTGTGTCTTCCCAGTTCATCCTGAAATCCATTTTAATCTTCCTAAAATTGTGATTTCATCATATACTTCTCATGGCTCAAAAATTTCTGATTCTTCGTTGCCTACTGGATTGAGTCCAAAGTCCTCACCTTGAGACCGACCCAATCTTACAAACTTACTCATCCACTACTCTAACATAAAATTTCATTACAGAAAACTAGGAATCAGAGATGGGAACATGGATTAAATTCTATGTCCCGCAAAACAATTTTGGAAGTTGGCAGGCATTACTATTCTCATTTTCTAGAAACTTGCCCAAGGTTATACAACTTTTTTTTTTTTTTTGTAGAGACAGAGTATGTGTTGCCCAGGCTGGTCTCCATAATTGTCTCCCGTCTTAGCCCCCAAAGTGCTGGAATTACAGGTGCGAGTCACCGTGCTCGGCCTGAAGGTTATACAACTATTAAATGTCAAGGCAAAGATTCAGTCCAGCTCTGTCAGAGGATAAAGAGTATATTCTTCTTCAGTTATAATGCTGATAAGTCTGCTTACGGTTCTCCGACTTGTACATCCACATCTCTATATCTTTTCTTATTCACTAAAAGGCTTCTAATCCGTCTAATCTTTTTGTTAGTTTTAAGCAGGCTTTAAAGCAACTTTTTTTTTTTTACACGTTATCATTGATTTGTATTTTATTTCCTTGTTTACAATCTTCTGGAGCACAGTGAACATAGCATCTACCATAATCTTATGAACCAAGTTGATGCTCAAGGATTATTTGCTAAGTACGCTCATAAAATATATGTACTTACTCAAGTATTTAAGAATCCATATTTGGCTATTAATTACTGAGTAACTTATCCAATATTGTTTTTTAGGCCTTTGCTTCCTTGCTTTTAAAAATCCATATTGATTATTTCACTAGTTATTAGCTTCTTTGCCAGTGAAAGTGCAGGGAAAACAAGAAATATAATTCAAGATAGTGAAAAAGTAGATAATTTATTTCTTTTAACAATTCTGGTTTTCTCCAGACTCCAATTGTTTAGGTTCTATTTTGCCTTACCACAGGTAATCAGATGTTGGCAGTGAATGTGCTCAGGCAAAGTAAACAGTTTTAAGTCTTGGTCATATCCCCACCACTAACTGAATACTGCTTTTAAAAATCTAAACTTAAGAAGCCAAGAACAGCAGTCAGAGATGGCATCATGAGAGTAAATTTAAAAATAAATGCATGTCATGTTTTTTAGTACATTTTTGGAATAGGGAAATAAATGCAGAAAAACTTTCCCACCCATACTGCGATAAGGGACTCTACAAAGTTATTTCAGTCTTTTCTTAAATGTGGAAAATTTATAGAGTTCTCCTGGTATACTTGGTGTGTTAGGAACCTGAGTCTACATAAAGCTTACCAGTCATCTCTGTTAAAACAGAAAGGACCAAAGTTCAGTTAAAGGAAATCAACCTGAAGAGCTAAGCACTATGTAAATAAGTGAGATGTACATAAAAGTCCATGCAGTATACATAGCAAACAGGAGACTATCTTAGTTTGTTACACATTGTGGTCTGGTTAATCTGTGATGGTAAGGTATGATTAGATAGCTTCCCTCTCCTTTGGAAAGGTTATAGATTTTATTTGGTTAACATTAACTACAGTTCCTTAGAAGCATGGCAAGGTAAGTAGAATGAGTTAACACATTATACTTAAATACATTATATTTATATATCCAAGCTCTTTCTGGCTATTTGGTATAAATGACAACCACACCAATACAAAGAAAAATCCAAACAGGGTGTGAATGTTCTTTTTTCTTTTTTTTAAATTTTATTATTATTATATTTTAAGTTTTAGGGTACATGTGCACAATGTGTAGGTTTGTTACATATGTATACATGTGCCATGTTGGTGTGCTGCACCCATTAACTCGTCATTTAGCATTACGTATATCTCCTAATGTTCTAAGTGGCACAGGATACTGAAGGTATACACATCTCAAGATTTTTTTTTTTTTTTGATGAAACGTTAAGTCTATATTAGAATTGGAACTTTTATCCTATTTATAATGGTGTTTATAAATGTAATTACTCTGATTTTTTTGCAATAGGATTTTCTGGCCAATATAAATGTGTCTGGTTCTTTGCAATAAGCTTCTTTTGGCATGCATTTATAAATCTTAAAAAGTTATGGTTAAACTTAGGTTTTGCTCTAAAGTTGTGATTCTAACTTAACTGACCCTTGTGGATATCACAGGTTTGACTCTGGTTTCAGCAGCAATCATCTGACAATGTATAAAATGTTGGCAATCTATCAACACCTGACAATGACAGAAGACTACATGTAGAAGGCTACATTTGGCTTTCCCAAAACTCTAGTATAAATTCAATCTGACAAGTACAGTTCTGATAGACAATTTCATAAATTCCATATAGAATACTGGGAAAATAAGAATAGGAACCCCAGAACCTAAAAGTTAGAATAATTAATATGACTTGGGGGTCAATTTGTGATACTATAGCTTTCTCTCATTCAGTGTTTTGGAAGCGAACTTGTAATTTTTCCCACCACCCCTTCCATTTCATATTTACTTAGTTCAACTTAGTTCAAGCTATCACAATGAGGTTACTACAAGAGCCTCCCAAGCTGTCACCCTCCATTTCAAACAGTATCCTCACCTATCCTTCCCTTCTCCAATCCCAGAACATATCTTAACCATTTGCAAATTCAATTCTGACTAGATGGAGGTGTGACTGCTAGACCTACTCTTGGTTAATCATATAATACTAAATAGTTTATATCTCAAACTCATTCTTCAGCAGTTAAAGGAGTTGGATTAGGTAAACTTTAAGGATTTTACCAGTTCTTAAGAAAAAACAACCTGTCCTTTGTAGAGCATCACAGAGAATTCATTAATTTGCTTTAAACATATATTCATTCTTTAATTTTATACTTCAATAGGCATTAAAAATAGTCATGATACAGAATAACAGACCAACTCAAGAGATATCATTAGGCCTATATTTCAGTTTTATCATTACACTAGCATGAATGCTGAATCTCAAATCTCTTGATTTTTTGGACTCTGGTCCCTCATTTGTAAAATATAGCTCTGCATTCAAAGTTTTCTAATGTTTTTGTCAGCTTACCAAAAAAAGTCTGCAAGGATTACAACAGTAGAAGGTAGCATAAAATACAGATTCCTCTTTATATTATTGACTCTTAGGAAAATGGTGTTTGCTGACAATGGTACATAGTTGCGAAAGAGGAAAGTGTTCAAAGATATAAATGAAATTTTTACCTGATAGAAGTAAGGGATCCTTATCTAAAGACTTTTTAACATGATCTGATTCACCAGTCAATGAGCTTTCATCAATTTTAAGATCGTTGCCTTGAATAAGTATGCCGTCAGCTGGAAGAAGATCACCTAAAATAAAAAGCATGATATACTAAACTTATAAACAAGATTACAGTAATTTTATGTTTAGTGTCAGATGTACTGCTCTTTTTACTTACTTACCATATTTCACTTGAGCAATATCTCCAACAGTAATGTCAGCTACAGGTATCTGAATGACCTGACCACCCCTGATGACAGTGAACTTCTGTTCTTGTTCAATTCGGCTCTGCAAACCTCTAAACTGTTTTTCCTTACTCCAGTCATTGAAAGCTGTTACTAACACCACACACACTACAGACAAGAGGATTGCAGCTCCTTCAATCCAACCAGTTTCACCTTCACCTTCTTCCTCCCCAACAGAAACTTCTCCACAAACTATTTGGAAAGAAAGAAAATGCTTATCAAAAAGATTCTGAATTGATGACAACATACATATAGTACGTCTAAATCATATTTTTGTGTTAATTATGTTTATCAATTTTACTTATAGCAATAAATACTTTATTAAATTCAAAGTATTCCATAAGAACTCTATGTCACTTTCAAGTTCCCTGCTTCTGTAATTCTTAATCTCAGTAGAGGGAGGCAGTCTAGGTAGGGTACTAGTTAAGAGTAAGGACACTGAAGGAGATGAAATATCAGTCCTAAGGCAAGTTACTTAATTTTTGAGACTTGGTTTCTTCATCGTCAAATTATGATACCACCAGCTATTCCAGAGTTATTGTGAGGATTAAATGTGAGGATACTGGTAAAGTAGGTACAGCAGTGGCTAAGGCTTTCTTCGCACTCAACCAAGAGCTAACCATATTAATTATTACATATGATAGACAAGATATACATGAGAAGTTAGTATTACGTGAAACCCATGAATCATGCTTATTTACTATGTCATTTTTACTGAAATGTGATTAAAACTTGGCTTTTATAACATGAAAAGTTAAGCAAACTGCTACTTGTTATTCCAACCATTTGAGCACAGGCTAGGTGCCAGACACTATTTTAGGGGCTAGAAATACAGTAGTGAGTAAGACACACAAGCTCTCTCTCCTCATGGAATCCATACTCAGACTGGGGACGGTATATGAAGAATTCAGATAATAATACACAAATAATTAATTTCACATATCGACAAGTGCCATGAAGAAAAACATAGTGATGTGCTATTAAATGAAAAAAGAGGGATAACTGAGGTTCAGTGAGCAGAGAAGGCCCCATTGAGGTATGCATGACATTTGAGCTACCAAATATTGGTAGAGAACCAGCCATCTAAGAAAAAAAAAATCCAGGGAGAGATTAAAATCAGTACAAATGGCAGAATAGAGATCAGAAAAGGATGTGGGGTGGGAGGTGGGGAGGGGGGAGAGAATGAGCCAAAACTCTATAGTCAATAATGGTGAAGAATAACAGAACAGTGCTTTTTGACTTCGGGCTGTAATCTAGTTGTGAGTCCAAAATCAATTCAGTGGCTCATGACCAGCATTCTGAAAAATGGAACAAAACAAAATAGAAAGGATATGTATGTAGTAAGGATAAGTATTATTTCCTGAAACGCTGATTACTTATAAATTCGCATGAAGGAATACAGGCTTCTGGGTTGCTATGTGAAGTTATTTCTTTTTAAATTGAATTGAAATGTCTGAAAGCCATTGGTTCTCTCAAACAGACAAAGCAGGAGGATTATTCAGAAGAAAAGAATGAGTAAATAAATGACACTAGAAATGACTAAAGCGTGTTCTAGCATGGTGAGTACAGACTGAAGAAAAAATCTGAGGTGTGAGGGTGCTGACTAAAAAGCAATCTGGGAGGGAAGACAGGGAATGAAGTAAAATCAATTGGGGATGAAATGGAAGACTTGACGTGAACAGTTACAAAAAATATCCTGAGAACCACCAGCAGGATTCAACTGTGAGGTACAAGCAGGATAATCCAACAGAACCCCCTCCAACACAAATACCAGAATTTCTATTTTAATTATTTTCAAGCTCAAGAAATCACCATGTGTCATTGTGTATAATAACCAGTTAAAGTGATTTTATGATTTACATTCTGTTTAACAGTCAAGGCTGTAAGAATGACTCTCCCCGCTCCATTCCTCCCTCTAGCCAGAAGACAGGAGATTAACTCTGAATTAGAGCAACTCTGGACTCAGAATCAGATGATAGAACACCATGCTGACCACTTTCACCAACTTGGAAACACAGCTAACATATTATCCAAGTGAAGCATTTTACTGGGTTTTGATGTCATTTATTACACAAAAAATGCAATACTTTATAACAGCATATAAAAACAACAGATTGACATCAGACAATGGAATTTACCAGTCATATTTTAACAAATACCTTTGCATAACTGGTGGGTAGGTATCATGAAAATGAGTATGATTTAGTAACTACACTTTTCCCACTTGGATTTATATAATGTTGTGTTTCTTTTAGCTGCGAGACATTAAAGCCAACTTCTGAAATTAAACTTAGACCTAAATCAGGTTAACAATAATGTTTTATGGCTACAAGAAGAAAGCAAACATTAAATTTTAATTTTTTCTTTTTTGAGACAGAGTCTCACTTTGTTGCTCAGGCTGGAGTGCAGTGGTGCCAATGTGGCTCACTGCATGCTCAAGCAATCTTCCTACCTCAGCCTCCCAAGTAGCTTAGACCACAAGGCGCATGCCACCACGCCCAGCTCATTTTAAAATTTTCTGTAGAGATGGGATCTCGCCACATTGCCCAGATTGGCCTCGAACTCCTGGCCTCAAGCAATCCTCCCACCTCAGCCTCCCAAAGTGCTGGGATTACAGGCATGAGCCACTGTGCCCAGCTTTATCTTTTACTTTCAATTTCTATTTTTTCTATATGCTGAAAATATACAAATTATATAGTTATAAATATAATTAATAAATGCATCATTTGGAGGTATGTGCTCATTTTTTTCCTGATAGAGTAAATAACCAAAAAAGTTTAAAGACCAACACAACAGAGGTTAAGGAGGGGAAAGAATTACGGACAATTATACAATTTTCAGCTCTGAATCTGACATGGATATCCATCACTAAACTACTGAATATTTCAAAAGAGAACTTGAAGCAAATTAATGACATATATCATTTCATATATAGTTCTACTCTACATCATACAGATAAGACCAAAATAATCTTGAAATAGTACAAAATATAAATCCTTTCCTACTGACAATGATTACAAATTTTTAGAGAAGTTATAGGGGAAAAAGGATCAAAGTTACAAAATGACTACAGCTTACAGTTATATATATGTATAAATATATAAAGAATTTTAACAATGTTTTCAGTAAAGTCCAAGCTCAAATATAATAATAAAAACCTGTATTATCAAAGGTATTCTCTTGTAAATATATTCAACTGAGAGACATGCACAATCTAAATTCAGTCAATACTCTCTACCACAAGGCAAATATTCCATTTTAAAACCTCCTAGTTGAGCTATTCATTGGGTGATGTACCAAGTTTGTACATTAACAGTACAGAGAAGTAGTTCTCAAAGTGCTGTCGTGAAACCTGAGAGGGATTCCTATTTTCATAATTTGAAGACATAATTATTGGTCTCATATTTCATTAATGTGTAACATAATTTTCCAAAGATTACACTGCATGTGATAATGTGACATAATAAATACAGAAGCAGACAGGAGAACCGAGCTATCTTCAATAAAGCTGGGCATTAAAGAGATATGACACCACTCTTTACATTATTTCATTTAAAAATTCATTATTGAGGGAACATTTTTCATCAAAATGCTATCTATGTGAATATACAATAGATTATTATTTAAAAATGCACTGATAAATATTTTGTCCAGCTTTACTGCAGTATGATTGATAAAACTGCATATAGTTAGGATATACAGCAAAATATTTTGATATATGTATATGCTGTGAAAAGATTGCCACAATCAGTTAATATATCCATCACCTCATATAGTTACTTTTGTGGTGAGAACACATTAATATTCAAAAATTTTTCCATTTTTATTTAGAATATACTAAATATTTATAGGAATAATTCACATAATCAAAAGCTCTTTGGAGTCCTCAATACTTGAAGAGTTTAAAGAGGTCTCGAGACCAAAAAGTTTGAGAACTCCTGTTAAGTGCAGATACCAGTAACTATAGATTTATTTATGGTTTGGGCTATAGCATATATTTTCACATCAAGTAATATTAGGAAGACATTTTGATCATTTAGATTTCTATGACTGTAGATTTACAAATAGATTCCTTTTAAGCAAGTTACCACACCTCAGTGTTGAGATGTAACGAGACAAAAAGATACATGTAGTGTACTAATAATGATTTTAAAAAATGCAAGGCTGGGCACGGTGGCTCATGCCTGTAATCTGAGCACTTTGGGAGGCCGAGGCGGGCAGATAACCTGAGGTCAGGGGTTTGAGACCAGCCTGGCCAACATGGTGAAACCCCGTGTCTACTAAAAATACAAAAATTAGCCAGGCATGGTGGCACATGCCTATAGTCCCAGCTACTCAGGAGGCTGAGGCAGCAGAATCGCTTGAACCTTGGAGATGGAGGTTGCAGTGAGCCGAGATAGTGCCACTGCACTCCAGCCTGGGCGACACAGTGAGACTCTGTCTCAATATATATATAGTCTCTCTCTATATATTTTATATATATATCTGTCTCAATATACATATTTTATTTTATATATATAATAAAAATAAAAAATAAAAAATGCAAATACTAAATAACTTTTCACCATGGAGCAAAAAAATCTTTATATGTTTCATTAAGAACTTCTAGTGAACTCTGACTCTTTTAAAAGGGCCTTAGAACACCGACAGCTCTAGATTATCTTCTCAGTTGGATTTTAATACCTGTATCTCCTTTAACAAATTTAGGAAAGGACCTGTCACTACATCTTACAAAGGAAGCAGTTTGAATTCCAAAAAGATTTGTCCTGGACCTTGCTGGTAATAAACTCCACTTCTTGAAAGTATTTTTTCTTTTGTTTTCTAAGAAAACTAAAATGTTCAAAGTAAAAAGCTTTTATTAATCTGCTAACTCAATTCTAGAAAACCAATACCCAATATTTGATAGTGACAGCTAGACAGGTGGAAAACTGACAAAAATTCAGCTGTATGTTGCTGAAGATGATATGACTCCCCTTTTCAGATAAACACATGTATCTATGCACCATCATACCTTTACATATATTAGTGCTCATAGACACATAGACCACGGATACATATTTAAAATCTTAAAGGATATATACATAAAAGGGTATAGCAGGAATCTCTAAGAAATGGGATTTCCAGTGAATATTATTTCCTTTGGACTGTCTTCCCCCACCCCCATTATTTTTTTTAAACAGTAAAATAGGTACTACTTATTTAGCAAAAATAAATAAAAGTTTAAAAAATAATTTAGCTCAACAGTGACAAGAATATTGTCTAAGCCTCTCCTTATCTATAGTGATTTTCAACCAGAGGCAACTTTGCCCCCTATGGGACACACAGCAAAATCTGGAGACGTTTTTGGTTGCCTCACTGGGGGTGGGGTGCAGAATGAATATTGTGACAAATAATTTTGCCGCTCAATATGTCAGTCGTGCTGCTTCTAAGAAACCTTAATCTATACCAATCTCAGAAAAACTGATTTATGCTGTGTCCAAATTTCTTTAAAGAGAAAGAATACAGTCTTACGTGAGCCTAGGTACATCTTATAAATAATTACATAATTATTGATAGAGTTTGGATGTTTTTCCCCTCCAAATCTCATGCTGAAATATGATCCCTAGTGTTGAAAGCAGGGCCTAAGGGGAGGTGTTTGGATCATGGGGGTGGAACCCTCATGAATGGCTTGGTGCCCTCCCCATGGTGACTACTTCACACAAGAGCAGGTCCTTGAAAAATCCTGGCCCCTCAAGGCCACCTCTTGCTCCCTCTCTCTCCATGTGTTCTGCCTGCTCCTGCTTCGCCTTCTGCCATGACTATAAGCTTTCTGAGGCCCTCACCAGAAGCAGATGCTGGCACCACGTTTCCTGTACAGCCTGCAGAACCTTTTCTTATAAGTTAGCCAGTCTCAGGTATTCTTATACAGCAATGCAAACAGACTAACATAATTACCTTACCCAACTTTTAGAGTTAGCAAGTATCTCTTCACAACTCGAAAGGGTATAGGAATGAAGCTTTCACAAAAATATTTTGGTGAATCAGCCTTTTGATACATAAAATACTACTGGTTTGTTTTATATTACAGCTACTTAAATATAGTAACCAAAATGCATGCTAGATTTCCTACCAGTTACAGAATCTACCAGCAGAACTATTAATTTTAAACAAATTTTTTAAAAGGCAGATAAAGAAATTTAAAAGAGAAAGGGAAAGATAGGAGAAAAAAACATTTGTAGCCACAAGTTAAAGCAAATCTACCACGCTATAATGTATTTCTCTATTGGTTAGGATACTCTGTACAGGTTGAGTATCCCTTTTCTGAAATGCTTGGGGCCAAAAATGTTTTAATTTTTTCAGATTTGGGAATATGTGCATATATATAAAATCAGATATCTTGGGGATGGGACCCAAGTCCAAACATCAATTTATGTTTCATATACACCTTATACACATAGCCTAAAAGTAATTTTATACAATATTTAAAAAATAATCTTGTATATGAGACAAAATTTGTGGTAAGTACTTATGTGTGGAATTTTTCCACTTGTGGCATCATGTCGGCACTCAAAAATTTTGAATTTCAAAGTATTTCGGATTTTCATATTAGGGATGTTCAACCTATAGTATAATGGCAAGGACATTTTCCATAATGGCAAGGAAATTATCCAAATGGTGTACATAGCAAAACACTTTAAGAACTTGACAAGTAATGAATTTGGGAAGAGAACAGAATTTTGCTTTCATAATGACATTTTCCAAAAGAAACCAAAAACTAAAAACTGAAATTGTTTCACAGTATAGTGTTCTAAAAAAACTTAAAAACTGTGATAGCAAAGACCATGTCATATACATGGCATAGGTCTGTGCCAGACACATAGTAAGCATATATGGATAGGTTATTTAACCTCTGTGCCTCATTGTAAAAGGGAGGTAACACAATCTAATTCATAGGGTTACTGTGAAAGTTATCTGAGATAATATATTTAAGGTACTTAGAACAGTGCCTAGCACATAGCAAACATCAATAAATGCTGGCCAGCTATTATTATTGTGCATTAACTAAATGAATTAGCTGAACTAGCATCAGACATGTCTTTTTTCCCCCCATTTACTTACGTGCATTATCCCCTTCTGGAGGCTGATAAAAAGAAAGGCCCAATGATACTATGGCTGCAATTTCTAATATAATTAAAGTGACATCTTGTAATGCTTCCCATACTAATTGAAGAAAGGTTTTTGGCTTTTTAGGAGGTATAAAATTCTTTCCAAACACTGCTTCTCTTCTTTCTAAATCTGCAGGGTTTCCACTTAAACCTAATAAAAAGAAACAAATTTCAGTGAACAGTTTTACTTCTTACAAATGAAAATATATAGTTTTATTCAAAATACCTCAACTCATCACTCTAGACCCTACCAAAATGTTTACTTTCATGCTTTAAGTGTACAGAATTTAAATCACTGAAAAACATGTGCAGGTCTTTAAAAGAACACTTTAAGTAGATCAGTTAGGACTGCACTAAGAATTTTCACTTTCCCAACTGCTTAGTTTTGTTTTTTGTTTTTTATTTTGCTTGTTTTTTTGAGACAGAGTCTTGCTCTGTCACCCAGGCTGGCGTGCAGTGGCACAATCTCGGCTCACTGCAACCTCTGCCTCCCAGGTTCAAGTGATTCTCCTACCTCACCTTCTCGAGTAGCTGGGACTATAGGTGCATGCCACCACACCCGGCTAATTTTTGTATCTTTAGTAGTGACAGGGTTTCACCATGTTGGTCAGGCTGGTCTTGAACTCCTGACCTAAGGTGATGCACCTGCCTCAGCCTCCCAAAGTGCTGGGATTACAAATGTGAGCCACCATGCCTGGCCAGAACTGCTTATTTCTGATCGTACTATCCTATACCATCTTGTAGATGTTAGCAATCAGAACTGTTGTGACAGTCTGATGGTTTTCATATTGGAGTTAAACATTTCCCTGACCTGAGGATATTGCCCCCACAAAACTGGGAAGTTTATATATAAAGATACATACACACACACACACACACACACACACATATATACATACGTATATATATACGTATATACACGTATATATGTATATACACGTGTATATGTATATATGTATGTATGTATATATGTATATGTATGTATATATGTATATATGTGTGTATATGTGTATATATGTATATACGTATATATATGTATATATACACACACATATACACATATATATATATTTGGTTCAGTTATATAGATATAGATACAGATTTGGTTTAGTTATTGCACCCTGGACAACTGTGAAAGTCTGATTTTTTACTCTCATTTGCTGAGTAACAGTGAAAAGTTAATCTATCACAAACTCTAAAAGCTTCTCTACTAAAATGTCTCTGTTATACTTCGATTGATATAACAGGAAACTTAGGATGATCTTTCTTAGAAGTAATAGGTGGTGCTATTGAATGTACCTATTGTCACTTAAGGTAAAAGGTATACTGTAGGAGGTATACTGTAGGATGTAACATTTATCGTCTGGAGTATGGAATTAGAAAGATATGAGGAGGTTAAGACAGAGCTAGTTGGATGAACATCCATTTTGCCATTCCTTCACCCTACCAAGTAAGTCTTTAACCTTGTTGATCCTGTCAAACCCAGATATATCCCAATTAGTTAATGCAAAGTGTGTACACATGTACATTATTGTGGGAATGTAACAGTACAGACAGCAGTGACAAATGATATTTTTCCTTGTCTGTTTAAGAATGCTAGAGAAGCCAGGCACAGTGGCTCATGCCTATAATCCCAACACTTTGGGAGGCCAAGGCAGGCAGATCACCTGAGGTTGGGAGGCCGAGGCAGGCAGATCACCTGAGGTCGGGAGTTCAAGACCAGCCTGCCCAACATGGTAAAATCTCATTTCTACTAGAAACACAAAAATTAACCGGGTATGGTGGTGGGTTCCTGTAATCCCAGCTACTCAGGAGGCTGAGGCATGAGAATCACTTGAACCCAGGAGGCTGAGGTTGCAGTGAGCCACGATCACACCACTGAACTCCAGCCTGGGGGATAGAGCAAGACTCTGTTTCCGAAAAAAAAGAAAGAAAGAAAGAAAAAGAATGCTAGAGAAGAAGGCAGAGATAACCAGGATAACATCATTTTTGACTTCTCATATTAAACCTAACTTCAATTTGTTTTTTTGGCAAGAGCCTATTCCAAGAGAACATCAAAGGAGGAAGACAGGAAAACAGTAGATTACTGTTAAGGCTCTCAGCTTTAAGTGCTTTAACTATTAATCTCACTGCTCAGGCAGGCAAAGAGTAGAAGAGGGAATATAAATACATTAGAATAAATAATGAGAAATGAACATATAGCTTTAAAGTAATTATTTACTTCATTGAAGGATTCAACAAGATTCAAAGATTTCAGAAAATGATCTCACTTGCAACTATAACAGGGTCCATACTGGGCAATACGGAAAGTATTTTAGATTTCTCAGTTGAAAAAAAAAAAGAAAAAAAAAAGACTTATCAGTTGAAAGCTTCCAAAGAGCTCTAATCTTTAAGACAGAGTCAATAGAAAGCAAGGCAGCAATGGACTGCAGTAATAAGGATGAGATTAGTCTATGCGTAGGTTTGTCTTGTCTTGTGTTTGAATGCTCTTACCAGCAAAAAGAAAAAAAAATGGAGATAGTGGTTATATGAGCCTAACTCACACTGTATAAAGACTACCATTAATTGCATATATATGACATACCTGTAACACCTGATAATTATCACCACTAAAAAATAATTGGCCAAATCTTAACATATTGGTTATAACAGGGACCAATATTTTATGTTACCACTGAAAAGAACAGCCACAGAGCTAAAGATAGCTTTAAAACGTATCTTGGAGAGTATATGGGAAGTAAAGGTCTTAAATGCTATTATAATTCCTCTAAACTACTAACACACACAAAAGCACACACCTAGGACACTATACCAATAAAACTATCTGGTATAGGAAGTAGAAGACCTAGGTTCCGGTTCACCTACTGAAATCTTGTGCAAGTCACTTAACTCTTTGGGGGTCAAGGGAGGGCACTAATATCAGTTGGCCAAACTTACAAGGTTGTTTTGAAGAACCAAAAGAGAAGGTATACACAGTTCATAAATCATAAACAGGGCAACTCTTAAGTTAAATAAGTGGAACACAAATTATAAACTGACTGAACACTATAGTTATTAATTCAATTTTGGGGACAATTAATTTCTATTAATAAACTTACACAATCTAAATATAATAAAACGAACAGTTTTGTAACAATAGTCTGTTTCCCAATACATATTTACTGAATATTTACTACTTCTAGGGACTGTTCTACATGCTGAGGAGTCAGTGTGAACAAGAACATTCAATAAGTTTATACTATCCTGGAGGTAGACAGTAGACAATTAAAATAACTACAGACAAGTACAATGAAGACAATAAAAAAGGGCCAATAGAACTCTCTTAGTGGGCTACATTAGCCTTTCTAAGGAGCTAACATTTGGCTTCTGTCTGAACTTCCAGGGGTCAAGGGTGAGAAGACTTTCGAGCAGAACATTCCCAGCAGCAAAAGCAAATACAAAGGCCCAGAGATCAAAACAAGATTAGAAGATTTACTAGCCAGAAGCAAAGCCACTGTAGTAAAACCCAGTGACCCTGGAGGAAAGAAGAGAGGGTCAAAATGGAAAAAGTGGCCAAAGGTAAGAACATGGGGGCTAGGGAGAGGAGAATGGCATTCTCACCTTAAAGTGCAATGAAAACAATTAAAGCAGAGTAGTGGTAACTAACCTGCATTTTAGAAAAATCACATAAATTGCTATCTGAAGGAAATTGAAGAGAGCAAGATTGAAGGAAAAAGACCAGTTGGGAGGTTGCTGCTTATAAAGTATAGATGATGGTGCTTGTATTTGGGTTTTAGAAGTGGAGGCAGAAGGGGATAAGTGGATTTGCCAGGTATTTTGGAAGGAGATCAGACAACGTACTTAAGGACTGGATGTAGGATGAAAGGGAAAGAATGTTTTTGTTTTTGTTTTTTTTTGCGAGGGGGAGGGGTCTTCAAGCACTTAAGTGGGTGGATGGTAGTCATATTCCAAGACAGGCAATTTTGAGAATTGAAGAATTAGGAGGAAAGGGGAGGGAGGAGTTAATGGTTCTGTTTCATAGATTTAAACAAAACAAGTGTAGGTGTCTAGTAGACAGCTGGCTATCCATATTGAGAACTCAAGGAGAAGTCTGAGCCAGAGTCATCAATATACAGATGATTCTGGAGCCACAAGCCCAATGAGAGCTCTCAGAAAGTTAAAGTAGACAAGAAGGGAGCTAGGCTGAGGCTACAGCGTTGGAGCACCCAACACTGATGTTCAAATAGGGCAAGAGGAGCCCAAGGCACCTAAGAAGAAACAGCCAGTGAGGGAGGCAAGGAAGGCAGGGGAGTGGGGAACAAAACAAAACATGTTCAGGTAGTACCACAGAAGCCCAGAGACGAAAAGAGGTTTTAAAAAGGTGATGTGGCTGACCATGACAAATGATGTTAAAAGGATGAGTGACAGACCAGAGAATGGAACACTTTCTTTCACTAGATAGAGGCTGATGACCTTGTAAGGAATATTCCAGTGCAACGGTGTGGAAGAAAGTCTGATTAGAAAAGAGCTGAACGGACAGTGGGAATGAGCAAGTGGCAACAGTAAGCATAGCTAACTTTTTCCAAGAGTGTGATCCAGTGGGCAGAAATAAATCAGTGAAGATGAGTTCAAATGGGTTTTATTTGCATTTTTTTTTTTAAAAGTAGGTGACAGACATTAAGACAAGTGACTTAATGACAATGATCAAGTGGAGAAGACAACACTGATGATACAGGAGATGAAGGGTAATACCACAGGTAAGCCTTCGAAGGGGCCAGAGGCCATGCAATTCAGGGCTGCAATGTTTGTCTAATACAGATGCAGGAGGAGGCTTCTACTGTAAGGAGGGAGAAAGTAAAGTATGAGATATAGCTAAGCTGGTGGAACTGGCAAAGAAATTACTGGTCCTAGTTTTAAAAATATAAATAATGATATCAAATTACTAGGAATAACTTATAAGAAAATATAATGAGAACTCTTCTGCCTAATTGGCTCAGTTAATTGTAGTGTAGTGGCAATGAGGCCAAGGTCATGCATGGAATTGATCTTCTTATGGCCCAGTTAACTTCACAAAGAGAAAATATAACCAAAACACATCAAAAGTAGCCTCAGAATTACATGCTTTTGGGGTCTGACTCCATCATTGTTTGGAGAAATAAAAGTCTATATTTGATCTATGAGTAGATAACAGCTCAGAAGTACTGTCTTTATATTTGAAAAGAACATACAATGAAATAAAATGTCACTTATATTAAGACCTTAATATTTTACAAGAAAATGTAGCATCCCAATTGCAGGCACTAATAAAATTATGTCCCAATTTAGGAATAAAGTGGGGGGAATTTACTGGAATGTTGGATGTAGATTTAACCGACAATCACAGCTAACACACAGCACATACTACAGTCTTATCAAATTCTGTACTAGAAATTTTGTATTTGTGTATATATCATATGTATATGTGTGTCTGTATGTGTTTATATTACATGTACATGTATGTATGTCTGTGATATAGTAAGGATGTTTATCCCTTCCAAATCTCACGTTGAAATGTGATTACAAATGTTGGAGGTGGGGTCTAGTGGGGTAATTGGATCATGGGGGCGAATCCTTCATGAATGGTTCAGCATCATCCCCTTGGTAATAAGAGAGTTCTTGCTCAGTAGTTCATGCCAGATCTGGTTAAGAGTCTGGGAACTCCTCCTTCTCTCACTCTCACTCTCATCATGTAACGTGCCTGCTCCTGCTTCACCTTCTGCCATGAGTAAAAGCACTCTGAGACATCCCTAGAAGCCAGGCAGATGCCAGTGCCATGCTACCTGTATAGCCCGCAGAATTGTGAGCCCATTAAATCTCTTTTCTTTATAAATTACCCAGTCTCAAGTATTTCTTTATAACAACACAAAAATGAACACACACAGAAAATTGGTACTGAGGTGTGGGGCACTGCTATAAAGATACCTTAAAAAGTGGAAGCGGCTTTGTAGCTGGGTAACAGGCAGAGGCTGGAAGAGTTTGGAGGGCTTAGAAGAAGACAGGGAAATGAGGGAAAGTCTGGAAACTTCTTAAAGACTGGTTAAACGGTTCTGACCAAAATGCTGATAGAGATATAAACACTGAAGTCCAAGCTGACAAGTTCTCAGATGGAAATGAGAAACTTACTGGGAACTGGAACAAGGGTCACCCTTGTTAGGCCTTAGCAAAGAACTTGGCTGTATTGTGTCCATGCCTGAGGGATCTGTGGAAGTTTGAACTTAAGAGTAATGACCTAGGGTATCTAGCACAAGACGGTTCTCAGC
The DNA here is from genome assembly GCF_000001405.40 of Homo sapiens. Classification (NCBI taxonomy): domain Eukaryota; kingdom Metazoa; phylum Chordata; class Mammalia; order Primates; family Hominidae; genus Homo; species Homo sapiens. The sequence continues at coordinate 89,648,483 of NC_000012.12, forward strand.
AGCAAAACATTCAAGAACAGGCATGGCTGATTCAACAGCCTACTATTAGCAGGAGCAAAGGAATGACCTGAAGTTGGAACTTATAATTAAAAGCAAAGCAGAGGGTAAAGTCTGGAAAATGTGCAGCCTGGACCTGTGGTAGAGAAGGAAAACAAGTGGGCTGTGGTGCAATCACTTTCTAGAGAGATTAGCATGACTAAAAGAGAGCTGAGTGCTAATAGATAAGGCAATGAGAAAAAGGCCTCGAAGGCATTTCAGAGATCTTTGGGATAGCCCCTCCCATCACAGGCCCAGCAGCCTAGGCGGAAAGAATGCTTTCAAGGGCTAGGCCCAGGGTGCAGCTGTCCTGCTCAGCTTCAGGAGACTGCTCCCTGCATCCTGGCTGCTCTGGCTCCAGCCTCTGCTCAAAGGGGCCCAGGAACAGCTTGGGCCACAGCTCTGGAGGGTGCAAGCCGTAAGCCTTGGTAGTTCCTATGTGGTATTAAATTTGCAGATACTCAGAATTCAAGTGTGGAGGAGGCTTGGCAGTTTTCCCCTAGATTTCAAAGGAAATATCAGAAAGGCTTGGTGCCACAAGAGAAGCCCGCCTAGGGGCAGAGCCCCCATAGTGAAACTCCACTAGGGCAGTGCCAAGGGGAATTGTAGGGTTGGAGCACCCACAAAGTCCCCCCACTAGGGCACTGCTTAGTGGAGCTGTGGGAAGGGGGCCATTGTTTTCTAGATCCTAGAACAGTAGAGCCACTGGCAGTTTGCATCCTAAGCCTAGAAAGCCTCAATCACTCAACTACAACCTAAGAGTAGCCACAGGGGCTGCACCTACCTTATAAAGCCACAGAGGCGGAGCTGCCCAAGGTCTTGGGACATCGCCCTTTGTATCAGTGTGCCCTAGATGCAGAATATGCAGTCAAAGAAGATTGTTTTGGAACTCTAATGACTGTCCTGTTGGGTTTCAGACTTGTGTGGTCTACCACTCCTTTCTTTTGGCTGATTTTTCCCTTTTGAAATGGGAAGGTAAAACCAATGCCTGTACCACAACTGCATCTTGGAGTAAATAGCTTGTTTTTGATCTCACAGGCTCATAAATGGAAGGAACTCATCTCCAGATGAGATTTTGGACTTTGAACTTTTGAATTAATACTGGTATTAGTTAAAACTTTGGGACACTGTTGAGAAAGCATGATTGTATTTTGAAATGTGAGAAAGACACGAGATTTGGTGGGGGCAGGGGTGGAATAATATGGTTTGGATGTCTGTTCCCTCCAAATTTCATGCTGAAATGTGATTCCAAATGTTGGAGGTGGGGTCTAGTGGGAGGTGATTAGATCATGGGGGAAGATTTCTCATGGACAGTTTAGCACCATCCCCTTGGTGATAAGTGAGTTCTTGCTCAGTTAGTTCACATGAGATCTGGCTGTTTAAAAGAGTCTGGGACCTCCCCCTTGTTTCTCTTGCTCCCTCTCTCACCATATGATGTGCCTGCTTCCACTTTACCTTCTGCCATGAGTAAAATCTCCCTGAGGACTCACCAGAAGCCAAGCAGATGCTGATGCCATGCTTCCTGTACAGCCTTGCAGAACCATGAGGCCAATTAAACCTCTTTTCTTTATAAATTACCCTGCCTCAGGTATTTCTTTATAGCAGTGCGCAAACGGAGTAACACAGTCTGTATCATGGTGGACCTATAGCAGCAGCCAAACTGACTTTTCTAAGTGAGGGACACCGGAAAATGTGCAGACCAAGAAAGTACATAAAAATTTATGTTTATGTTTATTCTTCTTGGGAAACAATCTAATATTCTCATGATTTTCTCAATTTCAAAAGAGGAGGCAATCCCGTCCCTAACTGCAAATTTAAGAGACACTGTTCTAAAGTCAAACTTACACATTCTTTCCCAAATGCCTACTACGTCACTGTGCACTAGACATACAAAGGGAAATGACTCAGGATGCCTTTCCCTACCACTTGCCCTCAAAGAGCTCATAGTTTGGTGGGGGAGACTGACAAGCAACCAGTTAAACACTGTGGGTTTTGTGTGTTTTGGGCTTTCAAACCTAAAGCTCAGGAGAAACTCCTGGACCTAATTTCAGCAACCACCACTTAAAAGCTTAGTGTCTCATTTGCTTTCTTGCCCTTTACAAGTCCATGAAGCCATGCCTCTTACAGAATACCACTTGGCACCTGCCTTTAATTTTTATGAATTCATTTATAAAAATGAATTCCTTTTTTAATGTAGAACTCTGAATAACAAACATGATCCTAGGGCTGGAGGCCTGTATACCAGAAACCCTACCATCCAGTATAAAATATAACATAGGACCACAATGAGATGAAAGATATACCAAAAGCTAGTGTAAAAATATAAGGATCAAGGAATGTGATTCAGAATATGAATAAGAAAGTCAATGCAGGAAAACAACAAAGATACAGAAGAAAAAAAAACTGTGAAGGTAATTTTATGCAGTTAGGATGTTATAAGCAGGTTATTTTGGTATAAAAGTGCATTCTTGGATTCTGAGGACTGTAAGACAGATGCTTTCTCTAACGGAGCCAAAAATATGAAGTTACAAGCCTCAATTCCAGTTCACTTTGAAATTTACAGTTCCAATTTCTTTAGGAGTTAGGATGGTTAATCAGAACCACTGGGAAGTTTTTAATATGAAAATTATATCTGGTCAAAACACTTCCTATTGACCAGTATGCATATGATATTCTTCAAAACATATTGTTAGAAAACAAGTGATAAATGGGCAAGACAAACAGGAATCACATAAATACAATTTCTTGAATAGGGCACTCTTTTTGTTCTTGAGACAGGGTCTCACTCTTTTGTGGGATCACACATGGATCACTGCCAGCCTTGACTCAGGCGATCCTCCCACACTCAAGCGATCCTCCCACACTCAAGCGATCCTCCCACCTCAGCCTCCTGAGTAGCTGGAACCACAGGCATGTGCCACCACTCCTGGCTCATTTTTTTCTTTTTTAATGTTGCCCAGGCTGGTCTCAAATTCCTGGGTTCAAACGATCCTCCCACCTCAGCCTCCCAAAATGCTAGGATTACAGGTGTGAGCCACCATACCTGGCCAGGGTATGTTTTTTAAATAAAGAACAAATTGATAAGCAGAACCTTAAACCAAAATTTTTTTCACCATGTAATTCCAAAAATTTTTTCCCCTATCAAAAATTACTATAGAGAAGAGGGAACACAGCTACCTCTTTCTTCATAGTGCAACTCTTTTACAAGCTATGTGAACTGAACTTTTGTAACAGGTAACATACAATGCAGTGGTTAAAGCATGGTCTCTGAAGCCAGAATAAGACTGGAGCCAGAGTGAGACTCTGGGTAAACTGCTTAACTTTTTTGTCCTGAGGGTTCTTTGGCTGTAAAATAGGATAAACTTGTTAAAATATTAACTTATTTTAATATTTTCAAGTGCTAATAGCCAATATGGCACAAAAAGTGTTACCCATCATAAGGATAGCCTATCATTTTTGTGGTTTTGCTTAAGAAATGTCTTGGGTTGCTCCTCCATACTTGACAGAAATCCAATATCGACACCCCCAATATTTCTGATTTCCCTTCTCCACTCATTTTTTTTAAACATGTATCGCCAACACACTACTAGTTGTCTTGTGAACTGTCTCCCCATGTGAACATGTGAAAATTAGGCAGAGATATTTGTTTTATTCATGGCTGTATACCCAGGGCCTAGAAAAATGCCTACTGCGTGGCAGATACTAATAAATACTACAAAATTTCAGCAATTCTAAGATGCACATATTCTTACATAAAGTCTCTAAAATTGTGATGATTTAATTATACACCAACAACTGCCTTCCCAGTAACTGCCAGGCCCCACCACCTTTTTTAGAGGAAGTATATAAAACACAGGACAATCAATATCCCATGTCTGAAGAAAGTATATGTCAATGAATGAATCAATAAATGAATGAACTAAAGGGACAGGTAAGACAACTTCAGTTTTACCTAACTGAAATTCATGTACTTTGAAGAATCAGTTTAATTCTCACTTTCCCTGACTATAAACAGGGTATTCTAACGAAAGAGTACTTGCTGTCTAGTTCATTTCCTTGGACGTACAAACTCCTAATTGCTTACTCCTGGTCATGTTTCATTTATTACCATTTGTATGCTTGATCAGTGACAAAATGCTTCCGAGTGAATTATTTCCACTAAGTTAAACTAAAACTATGAATATTCCTTTGGAAATAACATTCTTGTGAAGGCTGCTGCTGTGTTTTTTTTATTTTTGAGACAGGGTCTCCCTCTGTTACCCAGGCTGAGGTGCAGTGGTGCAATCATAGCTCACTGCAGCCTCAAACTCCTGGACTCAAGTGATTCTCCTGCCTCAGCCTCCTGAATAGCAGAGATGCATGTGCCACCACAGTGGTTAATCTTTTTATTTGCAGAGATGGGGTTTTGCTATATTGCCTAGGCTGGTCCTAAACTCCTAGGTTCAAGAAAACCTCCCGCCTTGGCCTTTCAAAGTGTTGGGATTACAGGTGCGAGCCACTGCACTGCTGTTTTCATTTGTATTTTCAACTGTAAATATAAGTATAATGCTTAAAATGGCTTGCTTCACATTCTTTTTAAAATATTTCAAAAAAACAAATTGTGTATATATAAACAGTGAGGACAAGTTTATACAAATTTTAGTAAATATTAAATTCACAATACTAGGAAGAACATGAGCAAAAACTGTCTACGAATTAGAGAGGGGATAATGCATGAATTTATCTAATAGCCCAAAGCAGCAACAATTCACATAGAATTTTTTTCTTTTTTTTTTTTTTTTTTTTTTTTGAGACGGAGTCTCGCTCTGTCGCCCAGGCCGGACTGCGGACTGCAGTGGCGCAATCTCGGCTCACTGCAAGCTCCGCTTCCCGGGTTCACGCTATTCTCCTGCCTCAGCCTCCCGAGTAGCTGGGACTACAGGCGCCCGCCACCGCGCCCGGCTAATTTTTTTGTATTTTTAGTAGAGACGGGGTTTCACCTTGTTAGCCAGGATGGTCTCGATCTCCTGACCTCATGATCCACCCGCCTCGGCCTCCCAAAGTGCTGGGATTACAGGCGTGAGCCACCGCGCCCGGCCTCACATAGAATTTTGAGTGCTAAGTGGATATTTCTAGAGATTATCCATAGCTTCCAACATACTGTCAAAAGGGTACATAACTATCCCCTTCTCAAATTTTAAAAACCACTGTACTAGAGGTAAAATTTTCAGTTAACTTAACTTCACTAATTAAGCCAATTTAAAAGGCACCGCTCCAAATAATACCGTGAAAGAAACTGTAGTGCAAACTCATGAGAAATCATGTCTATAAAAATGAGAAGCCATTCTCATTCTCAAATGGTGGGGTATTCAGTTATCAGAAGACAAGAACTTTGATTAATAGAGAAATGCAAGGACCTGGTTAGGGGAAGTACAGTTGAGTGAAGATTTGAAACTAAAGTTCAATATTGCTTTTATGAACAAACTATGTTGTTATATTGAGGGCTCCTTAATGTTAGTGTCCCCTATCAATTTGATGATGATAAAACAATGAGATTTTTTAATGATTAAGCTGAATTAATAGATCTACCAGCTGAGAATAGCATACTAATGTACAAATCTCTAAGATGCTATATAACATCTCAAAGTCGGTTTGCATAATGAACAAGCTTCAAATTTTGTCAAATTACTGTCTATTAAAGTCCATGGGAACTGTTCCCGATACTCTTAGTTATACCTTAAGTATGCAACCAATTTTGTCAAATTACTGTCTATTCAAGTCCATGGGAACTGTTCCTGATACTCTTAGTTATACCTTAGATATGCAATACCATTTTAATGTATTAATAGTTGGGATCAATCTTGTAGTAATCAAACCCAACTACATCAAAATGGTGTAGCATATCTAAGGTATAACTAAGAAGCTGGTGTTTCTAGTGGTTCCAATTTGAAAAGATACAGAAAACCTTGAAGAGTTAACAGGTCTTGCAGGCAAAGAATATATTCCAAATAGTCTAAAGAAGCCCTGTTGGGACATGTGTGAATACTGACTCTGGCTTCCTCAAGATCATGCTACTTCAGAGAAATCAAAGTAACTACCTATCATTAAAATAATTAACAATTCACAATGAATTACATAGGTTACAAAGGTTTTAAAGAATTTTTAAATATAATTTAAAGTTATTTAATTTTGGAAAAGACTTTTTGCTATTACATTATATATTATCTAAGCAATAGCATGGCATAAAATGTTTCAGGAAAAATATTAAGAAAAATACTTTTGCTTAATTTCTCTAGAATTAGCTTTGGAATATATACTAATATACTTTAAAATTTTACATTAATAATTTCTCATCCTTAATAAAATAAATTGTAATCCCCATTCATCCTCATATGTGTCCCTTCCCATCCCTGCCTTTACAATTTGGAAATGCTTTCCTGGAATGTCCTAACCTTTATTTTATGTTTAATCTGATTAATTTATGAAAGGCAATCTTCTGAAATCATTTCAAAGACCATAATGCCAGAAAGTTATAATGAATTCTCCTTTTTGATTCTCAAAAGGAAAACCTGCCACAAATACAAATTTATGAAACCAAAGGCTTCTGTGAACACAGGAATATTCAACATAATTCAAAGACTAAAAACTAGTTTCATTAAAGGAAATGTCTGTTAGGTGAAAAACTAACTTCCATCTCTTCTATTTCATTTGCTTTAGGAACTCCTGAGCTAATTATTAAAGGTTAGGTTAAGCCTCATATGCTAAAACCAACTCAATCAACTACTGAGAGTGACAACTATTTTAAGCCACCCAGCAAAATGAAGGATAGTGATCTGAGAGTTTATTTCCACCAAATCCCTGGGAGGCATCCAAGCCTGGTTCCATCCTCTATAGCTCAAAGGGAAGACAATCTTTTTATCATAAACAGGAAGCAGTAGTATATATAATGGAACAAAATATTTCATCCCGCCAATCTAAAACATATAAATTAATTTGCAACATTTATGTGTTAATATAAAAATACTTTAACTGTATTAATCTGATAACTAACCCATTTTTAATGTCACTATAATTATGTCATAATCATACAATCGCCAAGATAATATAAGCATGCTCATTTATAAGCCAAATATATAGAACTCTTTGCACAAAGAACCAAAAACAAGCATAATAAAACTCACCTTCATTGGGAGATGTTTTCAATTTGGTGCAAATTCCATAGACATCTCCATAGCTTTCCTGTATTTTTCGTAATGCATCTGTGGACCTGAGCTCCATGAGAGCCCGCAGCTCTGCGAGCGTAATTCCAAAGTCTCCATCATGATTAGCTTCCTTCAAAGAGTTTTTCACACCACTGTAAGCAACTGAGTTGTTTGCCATGTCGCCCATTACAAGTATAATATATCAGAAGGAAAATGTTTCCCAAAAGAATTTAATTTTCACTTGATGTATTTCCAAGATGAAAATCTTTTAAGTATGAAAATCTTTCTTAAACCAAACACTCATTGTATGACTTTGTAAAGCAGCATCAGCAGCAACATTTCCCAGAGAAGTATCTTGACCTTTGGCCCATGACTAGTTTCTCCATATCAATCATGAGATATACACATCTGTAAGAAGAAAATATTTAAAAGTTAATAAAATCTATCTTAAGAGTATTATGCATGTAAGCATATTTTCTAAATGTCACCAGGTAGCTAAAGTAGATAATTTAATAATATAAATATTTTTGAACTCCAGTCTTGTGCTTTTAAAGTGCTTTGCATGATAAAAGATCAAAGTACAACTTTTAAATAAAACTGTACATCAGAAGACATTAGATTACATTATTAAATAAAACTGCACTTCACATGACTGAATTTTATGATCCACTCAGTATTACTGTTATTGTTCCAAGCACTATGCTAGTTGTTTTAAATTCATTCTCTCACTTAATCATTACAATTTAATCCCATGAGGTGTTACTCCTTCTTCTTCTAGTGATAAGAGCAGACTTCAAGAAAGTGAGTTTTCTGCCCAGCTAACAAATGGCTGAAATGTCTGAGGTGGACTGTCTCCAAGCCCAAGTTCCTTTTAACATTATACTTGGATCTCTCTCTCCAAGTCTTTCATATGGAATAGCCCCTGAAAGGACAAAAAGCATAACAGATCCTTTAATATTATTTCCTGTAATTCTCATTGGCCACTCTGTGACTCTAAAATCTTTTGGCCGGCAAAAACTATACTCTATATGATTTGTCACATGTTACCACCTCAGGTCTTCCTTTGACCCCCTATCTAAAGAAATTCTCTACTCTTTTGTTGTCCTTGCCCAGTCTTCTTATTACCTGAATTTATCTTGTTCATTTGTTTATATGTTATTTTTTTCCCTCCATCTACAGTATTAGTTCTGAGGGCAGAGTTTGCCCATTACTACATCTTGAGAACCTAGAACTGTACCAGACACATGGTAGACACTCAGTAAAAGTTTGAGGAATGAATACATGCATTACATTTATTTCTTCATCATACTTTCAAGTCCTCCTATTATACTAATCTGCCTAAAGATAAGCTCTCCTCTCCATACAATCACCTCAAAGTTAACATGCCCAACAATGGACTCATCTCATTCACTCATTAAATAGCTCTGCCACCACCATTATCCTTACCACCTCGGCTAGGAATCTTAAATCATCTTTGATTCCATCCTTTCCGGCTTCAGTCAGTTACTAAGTTAATTCTACCTTTGAAAAGTCTCTTCTGTATATAACCCCTTTTCTTCCTGATCTTCAAGTTCCTCTATGCAAATTATAATCATTAACCCCTTGGTTCTTCCTCATTCTAATGTCTCACACATACAATGCCCTAAGCATTTTGCTGCTACATTTAGTTTTTGAAATAGGCATCATGCCACTAAATCTAAACCTACAAGATGAAAATGCAGTCCCACTGCTGCTCATGACTGTCTGGCTCCATTTTACAGATTTAACGTCTTCCCACCTCAAGCAATCTACCTGCACTCCAAAATATTTTTAAAATGTTTGATGATTAGAACTAGAAAAGATTAGAATGGCAAATGCAATAAATCTTCAGCTATGAAACTGCTATGAAGATGTCTGTACATCATGGTGTATGGTCCTCATACTTCAGCATATATCAGAATCACCCAGAGAATCAGTTAGATTGCTGGGCCCCACACCTCAAGCATCTTTAGATTCAGGCAGATTAAGGTGGGGCTCAATAATCTGCATTTCTAATAATTTTTGGGGTGATGCTGATGCTATCAGTCTAGGGAGCACACTTGTGAGAATGACTGAACTGGAGAATGGGCTAAAAACTTAGAATTCATATGAGTGAGTTGAGGATGGCTGGGTGAGAAAAGTTTGCTTGCCTTAGGTTAAACTTGCAAAGATGTGACAGTTACAGATTCTGCAAGACATTTTCTTGCATTGCCTCCTTCCTCCCACTTCACAAATCCTTATGCTTGTCTAATTATTACCAATTTTACTCATCTCCCAGGCAAAGTGGGTTCCCTCCTACGCACACATCAATTATAATAATAATCCAACTTGAAAAACTGGAGAGGGTGGTTATTTGATAATCTCCTTAGGTTTCTATATCCAGAATTTGTTGGCCTGAACATCACACTAACCTTAAAATAGATTATTATTTAACAAATAAAATAATTAAGATAAGTCTGTGTGTTGAGGGCATGTTTGTTCATCCGTCCTCTGGTTTCCACAAAGAGGAATTTTCCTCAACAACTCCTGGCCTGCTATCCCATCAATCACCATGGACGTGAAATGACCTGCCTGATAGGAGATTTTCCTAGAGAAACTAGACATATGTAGCTTCTTCACCTCTGCCTTCTTTGGGGAGCCAGATAACTGGAGGACTCATGTATTCTGGTTTGAATTTTTAGGGGCAGACCCCAAGGTTTAAAAGCCTACTGGAGTAGAGGTAAATAATTGCTTAGTTCTGGGTTCAATACTAGAGCGTTGTTGTCACACAAAAACCAAGTCATCCATTCCAGCTTTTATCAGTAATAAAACTGTTTTTTTTTATTCCTATGTGCCAATCTGTCTTTTCTCTTCACAGAATTCAAACAGAGAATTCAAACAGGAGAGAGAGAGAGAGAGAGAGAGAGAGAGAGAGAGAGAGAGAGAGAGAGATAGAGATAGCATGTGGCTGTCAATCCTGGACATCAATTGAGCCCCTGGGTCAATCAGTGACTAAAGTTTGTCCCATCACTGATCTTTTCCGTAATCTGTCAATAAATGCCCTTCAGGGGTTGAGTTTTCTATTACTTTGCAAGCCACAGAGCTTTGATAAGCACATGAATATTAATCATGCTCAATTCCCTCACTGTTTAAAGAAATTTAAAGAAAAGGAAGCCCAGACAAAAGCACCAAATGCAAATGAGCCACTTTCCCAAAGTGGACCTATTTGAATTACCAATCACCTACAAATTATGCAGCAGGTTGTTGTCTATTTCTAGATCACCCATAGCTCCTTTTACTATTTTCTTCTTTACCCACTCTTCCATTCATCTAACTGGCTGGTTGACAAAAATACGAAGGACAATAAAAAAGTTTTGCTTTTCACTTGTTAGCTACAACATGACAATCAAGTTGAGACACAGGCTATTTGGGACTGATATACAACAGAAAGCAGAACATCTATTTTGCTTCTCTTTGTTTTCTAATAGAATTTTATCTTCTACTTGAAAAGTCTAAGAAAAAATGTTAAGTGCAAGCTGAGGCCCAAGAAGAGGGAGATTTTAAAGAAAGCACATGTAGGCCTCCTGGCTTACAAAATTTATCCCAGAATAAATGTTGTCTCTGAACAAACCACTGTTGGTAGTCTTTGAGGTATTACAAAACACACACACACACACACACACACACGCACAAGCACACGTAGCGGAAGACTGGAGGTGGGCAAAAAAGGTTACAGTATTCAAAAAGAACAATAAGGTGGATTTTTACTGACATATAATCTTTACTGTGAATGGGTAGGGCCTTAGAAAAAGACAAAAGGATGATTATATCCTAGTAGTTACTAGAGCTCATAAAGAGGTTGGTTAATAATACAATTTCAATTCCTTCTTTCATAAGGTTACTTTACAGAGCAAGGAAACGTTGTGTGAAAGTTAACCAGACTTGGTCAGGCGCAGTGGCTCATGCCTGTAATCCCAGCACTTTGGGAGGCCGAGGCGGGCGGATCACGAGGTCAGGAGATCAAGACCATTCTGGCTAACACGGTGAAACCCCGTCTCTACTAAAAAATACAAAAAATTAGCTGGGTCTGGTGGCAGGCGCCTGTAGTCCCAGCTACTCGGGAGGCTGAGGCAGGAGAATGGTGTGAACCCAGGAGGCAGAGCTTGCAGTGAGCGGAGATCGCGCCACTGCACTGCAGCCTGGGGACAAAGCGAGACTCAAAAAAAAAAAAAAACAAAAAAAAACAAAAAAGAAGAGAAAAGTTATCCAGACTCAACAATAAAAAATCAATTATTAGAAAAACTAAATAAATATAAGAAAATAGCAAAGTAAATTAACAGGTAAGACATGGAGTGCTAAAAATGATTATTAATATTGTACATCAGCATGAGATTTTTGCAGGCAAGACAGAAATATATGCTAATACAACTAAATATATTAGATAGAAAAGGACCAATCTAGAAAGAGGTGTTTTCTTAACGCACTGTTGGGTTCCTAATTCCTGAATGATTCGAAATTTTTGTTAGAAATTTGAAGACCTAGAAGTTGTATTTACCCAATCTATAAGCAACTCAAAGCTAGGTAAAAATCGGCAATACGTTACATGACAGAATTGGGATCTGGACAAATGGGAATGAGAGGTTAAATTTAATTGGTATAGAAGTATGGCCTCTTACATTTAATTCCCAAAACATAACTGTACAAATATGGCATATAAGAAATGCAACACCATATATGCAAAGACAAAAGTTCAGTTTACTCAAAGCTAAAAAATGCATTAATTTGGTGTTAATTAGCATGACTGATGTAAGTGCCTTCCCTCACTCCCAAAGCATGTGTGTTCTCAGGCAGTAGGGCCAGGAACGTAATATCTAACAAAGGGAGGTAACAGATCTATTTTACTTTGCCTTGGACATACACACCTATTATGTAACAGGCTCATCTGTAAAATAAAGATACAAAAACAGTACACATCTTATTAAATGTGTAAATACATGTAAACCCTTTGAACTTACCTTGACACACAGTAAATGACAAATACATTTTAGCTATTTTTACTGTTCTTTAAGAATATTTGCAGATCCATTCTGCAGAGAATAGCCTTCTCCCACCCCAGATGAGGAAGACCTCAAACCATTTCAGATATGGAAGGTTTAATAAGATTTTTAAAACAAGAGGAAAAGAGAATCAGTATATGATTTGATATACTGAAATAATTTAAATGTTAAGTCAAATTTTGATTAGTTTTAATACATGTCTCAGAAAATTTTTAAATCCAAAACTAGTATTTACAAAGGGTCTTAATCCATGACTGGTTCTATATGAGCACAAATTATTGATTTAGGGTTTAAAAAAAAATCTTCTAAAGATAAAGACACTTTATTTTCATTCATTTAATGAGAATACAAAGTTTTAAGTTTCAAATTTTTAGTTCTTTGGTGTTTAGAAGTCAATGTGTACCATCTCATAAATTAATATCAACTTTGACATAACTGTACACAATTAGAGCTTATTCCCCGGACCCAAATATACTAATATGATACCTTAATCAGAGTAATTACTGATTTTTTGGAGTGATTAAGCAAGTATTACTTTTTATAAAAGTTACTAAATCAAAATAAAACACTATTTTAAAAAGACTTTTCTGTTAAATCATGGTTACAAAGCAAAGAATTCTAGAATTTAACAGCTAAAGGGATGTTGGAGATCAAATCCAATAGTTCATTTTATGGCCATTAAAACCAAACACTCATAATTGTCTACTTCCAAAATGGATAAAGATACTTATAAAATAAAGCAAGTATTAAATACTCACAAAATCATTAAAAATGAGAGTAAATAGCTGAAATTTAAATCGCAGGATAAACAATATCCAAGTTTTAAGGAGGCTACTACCATCAGGGAAATAACTGGCACTGTACTTCGAAACTGGTACTGACACCCTGACCATTAGATGCACCATTTGACTAACAAAGAACTAAAAAATAATTTTTGACTACGGGCTTTCAAAAAAGAACTCAAGAGATCTCCATTTTCATTGTGTGTTTTTTTCTTTGTGTGTGTTTTTTTCTGTAACACAAAATCAATTCCACTTCCTTTGCACACAGACATAGTTACACCAAGAGCGAGAGCTAGCCTACATAGCTGTTTCTCACTGTGGTTGCTATTGGCATTTTATTGACAGTGACAGCTACCTCGTGAGTTTAAAAATCCAGCCCTACCCCACCCAGTCCTCTTAGATATCAGCAGTGATTCTCAATCAGTGTGGACAAGCTGAAACTTAGCACTGCAAATGTCCTATAGAAGGTTTGGATAGTATACCACATAATTGAGCCTAAATTTATGGCCCATTACACTGAAAAGTTATTTAAAGGCAACAAACCATGCTTTATCCATCTTTGATCTCCATATCTTATCAAGAGAGACTATGATCTTTCTTTCTTTTTTTTTTTTTTTAACACGAGACTGGAGTTTTATTATTACTCAGTCTTCCAAAAAGACTATGATCTTTCAACCTTCTTACATAGTCACTTTCTGCAGAAAGACAATAACCTTTTACCCGATTCACACCCTAAAAATCTGAAGTCCTTCAACCATGATAATTTACTGTAAACTTAAATATAAGTGCTTGCATGTAATATCTCACTCTCATAGTGAAAAGAGCAGATGGTCTATTATTATACATATCAAACAGATACTACAAGATTAAGAATGGTAAAGAGTTTATTCTACAAAGTTTTGGTACATTCAAATTATTTCATTAAAATGCTTTAAAGAAATCAAGGAATGACTCAAATTTAAATTTACTCAAGTCACATTTTTCACTTCTTAAGGGGCTTAAAGAAAACATACACACTCACATAAAAGATCATTAAACCTATACTGCTTGTTTAGAAAAGTAATTTATATTAGATGAGTAAAGAATAACATATAAACAAGAGTAAATTCACCAAAGGATTTTAGTTTTATAGAGCTGATAAAGCAGAAAATAAGCATTATCTAAAATGCCTGATTTATTAGTCTCAAAGGATTCCTAAATACCATCCCTGTGTCTGTGTTGACTAAAATTAGTCCTACTCCCCTAAGTAACTTACTTATCTAGTAGACTCTTCCAGAGGCAGAGACTAAGTACAGTACTTTAAAGGGCAAGTTACAGCTGCTGTCAGTTATAAACTTGGCATGAACACTTTAGCAAATCTCTCAGGGTGGGAAACAACTAGATTAGAATAAGGAAGGCATTAATTTGTTCTTCTATTATAGCCTTTATCACACAGCTGCAATGATTTGTTTACCTCTCTGTCCTTCCCAGTGAACTGTAACTCATGGGAGAATCTGTGCCATTCATTTTTAACCCCAGCACTGTCTGGAACATAGTAGGTACTCTTGAACCATAAGCTAAAATAAATTTGAAAAACAGATTTTACAATGGAAGCAACCACAATTTAAATAGCAGAGCTAAACAAAACTTCCTAACACTGTTTAAAAGAATATGTTAGGTGTTAGATGAGTTAAGAGAAAGTCACAGCTTTCAAGGAGTTTTCAAACCATCTTGGTATGCCAGATATATTATAGCTTTCCTTTAAATCCTTTTAGACAACAGAATAAGTTAAAGGATATTTCAGATTTTAAAAGGAATTACACGCCTGCTACATGGCAAAGTTTTTTAACCAGGGTCTTAGATTCTTGAGGGTATGCAAAGAAATAATACTGAATTATAATATTTCATACAGCCTGAAAGAAACAATACATTTATTTGAAAAATAATTTGTTAGGGTTACCCATGCTAAATAAAAATCTGCCAAATCAACATGGTAATAAAGTTGGCAAGGTCTAAATAATAATGAATACAATCTTACCCAGTAAATACCATTTGGTAAAAAAAACACTTAACTCCACATCTAACTAACATCTGCTCCAAAATTTGCTGTTTCTACACTATCTCCCACTCATAAATCAACCCATGACAATCTAGCTTCCTCTTTTATGCTGCGTTGAAACTACTCTTCCAGGTGACCATTGATCCTGTTCTTAAATCTAATGGACACATTTAGCCCTAATCTAACCTACTAGCAACCTTTGCTACTGTTAACCACTCCCTATTGAAATGTTCTTCTGCCTTCATTTCTCTGATGTCTGACTCTTATTCTCACTACACTGTCATCTCTAGCTGCTTGTTTTCACTTTCCACTGTCCTTTTTTTCGAAGAAGTCAAAGCAGTCAGTAGGGAGGGGCTGGATGGCACAGCAGCCTTTATAATTGCTTTCATCTGTTTTTAGTCAGAGTAAACGAGATTCGTTTATTGATAATAATAAAAATTTATTTGCATGTGCATTTACAGGGCCTATTTATTTTGTTTCTCTCATATTTCAGAATTCCACAATTCAATTAAAATGATGAAACCACAATGTAACAGTCTGGCTCAGTGAAAGTGTAAAAAAGAAAAAACCACCCAGGTTTTCTTATCCTAAAGGCCCAAGCACAGCTCCTGTTTCCCACACCCTTTAGTCTATAAAGAAATATGCCAGCCCAAAGCAGAATAGGTGACTCACCTCCCTCCCTGGGGCTGTTAGATAACTATTTTGGCTTTTGATAGCTGTCATTTTCAGTACAGATTATTCATTCATGCCAACAAAGTACTTAATTAAGCAGAGTATATGATAAAATTTTAATGTGAATGATCTCAAACACAGGTATCTTGAACTATAGAAATTTTTGGTCTACGGTCAAGTCAGTTGGTATCATCTTATCCCAAACATTTATGATAGCTGTCTCTTGGGAGGTTGGTCTAATTTTGCAAGGTTATACTTACAAAACCAAAAACAATCCCTCTGAATTTACCAAAACCAGAACAAACTTAAAAGTTAACACACTACAGATTAGTGGTTCTTAAACTTCAGCATGCATCAGAATCACCTCAATCACCTGTGAAAACACAGATTCCTGAGCCTCACTCAGTTGATCGAACACTTCATGAGACTGTCTAACAACTTCTCAGATAACAGTGATGCCAATGCTACTGGTCTGGAGAGCCACTACTGACAGAAAGTGTAGCCTCAACCTTGACTAGGGAACAAACTGCTGGATTGTCACCTTGATCCAAAAGTTTCCTCAAACAAATATAAGCAAATTACTTATGGTTCTTTATTATGCTATTCTTTTTTTTTTTTTTTGAGACAGTGTCTCGCTCTGTTGCCAGGCTGGAGTGCAGTGCACTCAGCTCACTGCAACCTCCGCCTCCTGGGTTCAAGCGATTCTCATGCCTCAGCTGGGATTACAGGCATGCACCACCATATCCAGCTAATTTTTGTATTTTTAGTAGAGATGGGGTTTCACCATGTTGGTCAGGATAGTCTCGATCTCCTGACTCCGTGATCTGCCCGCCTCGGCCTCCCAAAGTGCTGGGAGTACAGGCGTGAGCCACCACACCCGGCCTATTATGCTATTCTTGATGTGCATGGATAACTGAAAGCAGACTACTTTCTAAAAATATTACTTGAGTTGATTTTTTTGTGTGTTTTGATTTTTAGTACCAAGTATACTAATATTTTTCCATTTAAGCCTTATAATACACAAATATACATAAACACTGCAAATAATTTCTTTTATTCAAAAAATGTGGAGACTCATATTGATACATTCTGAACATATGTTAAATTACTTTAAACACCTAAAAAAATTAAATTTTTAAAAGTTTAACAGAGAATCTTAGGTACCTACTTTCTTTTGCTCTCCCAGAAAATAAACTACTTTGTTTTCTCCTATTCTATTGTTCTATTTAGGCATTTTAGAAACCTTTCATCTTTACAGTAAGTTTCCTAGTAAAATAAGCTTTTGAAAAGCTCAAAAAATAAAGTTAATTTTATATAATCCTGTGCAGTTTACCAAATATAAGAACATACTATATCTCCAGTTAAATATGAGAACCAAATGTTCTATCATTTTCCAGTCTCACTGGTGTTGAAATTTTCAGCTATAGTCAAAGAAGAGATTTCTAAATTAAAACTGTGTTTTTCCTTCTGTTCAGGAGCTAGAAGGCAACATGAACACTTGAATGTCACACCAGCTGCTCTGTCGGCCTACTCAGTTCTTAAGAGCTTCTATCCTGTCAATTCACAAGAACCTACACTTACATGCTTAAGGAAACAGGATGCTCATTATGTCACTGAAAAGAGCTCACAAAAATAAAGTTGGCAATATTGAGGGAGGCATAACTCTTATCTGTAAATTTAACATGAGCTTTCTGTTTTCTTAATTAAAAACTCTAGATTTCAATAAGATTTATTACAGTTCTTCACCAACTGAATAGAGAACTAAGGGAAGAAGGCACTTTCCCATTTCTTTATCTCGTTCTATTTATATAGTTTCATAGTTGATGATCTTTTGCAATTTCCAGCTGTGATTATTAAAGAACAGTTCAGTAAATCAATACTCACTTCTGCAAAACATTTAAATAATCTGGTTGGAAAATAAGGTAAATTCTATTTTAAGAGGATATCAGACAAGAATTTATTTATGGTTAACTCACCAAAGTGCAAAGAATATGGGCAACAGGGATGTGTTGAACTGTAGCCCACTCCATCACAACATGTTGGTGATCCTTCAAACTCTCTGGTTTCACACACTCTTGACCTTCATTCTAAGACTTTGATCTGTATTCTCTACCTGCTATTCAAGCGGAGGGCCACAAGGTAAACTTATCATCCCTTGGAATTGTTCTATTTTCAAAATTTGCTCTCCAGTGAACAACTTATCTCACTTTATTTCTCTTCACTTCTACTGAGTCTTGTGTAAACATTCTGACCTTCAAGTTCAAAGGTAGTCAAGATCCTTTCTGATCAACACTTGCCTCCCTAAAAATGCTTACTTCTCAATGGTCAGCGACTCCAGTTTTGCTCTTATGTCTCACTTGCTCTTTATCCTCCTACCACCCATCTGGTTAATTAGCTACCCCTGAATAGACATACCATCTGGCTGAGCAATGTTGGTAAAAGTTTAAAAACTGAGTTCTTAGTTCCATCAGAATTTTTTCTCAGTCATATATGATCCACGGACATATCTCTAACTTCCTGTCATGTTCCTCTTTCAATTCCAAGACCTTCTTAAATTACTCCAGCTCTTTCCAGGGTCCTCAAGTCTGCTCCAAGACCTTGCTTCCTTGATTGCCACTGCAAGCTACCACCACTTCCATCCCCTTTCTCTTGGTTTCCTCAGACTAGCCAATATTCAGATACATTCTACTACATAAAAGACCATTTTTCTCCACCCACCTCCCTGCCACAAAAAACAAACAAACAAAAACAAAAAAAACAAAAAACATGTCTCTCCTGGATTTTGATAACCCATCAGGCTATTCTTTTTCTCCCCCTCCTTTTATCCCACTTTTTAAAAAGATCTATTCACAATGCTTCCTCCTAATGGCCCACTCTCACCTTGACCCTGACAAACTGAATCCATTCTTCTGTCCACACACTACTAAGATGGCTCTCTATGAAGAGCCATCTTCTATTAATGCTTCTATTAGCCATCATCTATTAATGATCTCAGGCTTTTTATCAGTCCTCATCCTCCTCTTAATTCTGTGTCACTTGACAGTACTGTTCCCTCCTGTCCATTGTATCACTTACTTATTCTCACAGGTCTCTAACCCATCCTCCTCTGCTCACATTTACCCCCTTTTAAAATCTTTACCACATCTTAAATGAGGGTATTACCCAGGGATCTATCCACAGGCCTCTTGGCAACTCATACCATATTATGGCCTACATCTACCACCTTAATCAAGTGCCAGGCCATGTTCTGTTAACAGACATTTCTATCTGAGTATCTTGCTGTACTTCAAATGCAGTCACCAATATTAAACTTATCACTGTCCCCCAACACCTGTTGTTGTTCTCCAAAGTTCTTACCAGTCCCAAAGGTATCTGAGTAAACTCTATGTCCAAGGCTCTGTCTTCAAGGAGTTTACAGTCTAAATGAGGGAGAAAGACAAGCATACTAGAAAGTAAAATTAAGTGTTGTACACTGCTAAAAGAAATCACAGATGATACAAACAAATGGAAAAACATTCCATGCTCATGGATTGGAAGAATCAGGATCGTTAAAATGGCCATACTGCTGAAAGCAATCTACAGATTCGGTGCTATTCCTATCAAACTACCAACACCATTTTTCACAGAATTAGAAAAAATCATTCTAAAATTCATATGGAACCAAAAAAGAATCTGAATAGCCAAAACAAGCAAACAATTAAGTGCTACAGAGAACATCACAAAAGATACAATGAACACAAAGTGTTAGCCAGGTACGTGACTTCAAGAAGAGCTTCACTGTCTAGGATACACCTAAATTGAGGCAGAGTAGTGCACAGCTGGGGAAGGGGCTAAAAACTGCAGTGTGAATGATAGTTTAATATAGCTGAACACAGGAAAACAAGAAGGCAACACAGAAAAAAGCTGCTACCGTGATAAAAACACATTACCTATTTGTACCTCCGGAGGTTTTCTTAAAATTTCATCTTCTCAAATACAACTTAAGCTTCCTGAGGGCAGAGCAGTAGCCACAACTCATGTTCTTTTATAGCCCCTACAGAGGCTAACAGATTGCTTCACTGTTTATTAGAATAAAATTTACATTGCAAAAGATTAATGCTATTAAAATCCTCAAGCTCTCCTAACAGAAAACTAAAATAAGATAACCAGCACACACATAAAAAAGAAATGTAACCAAAACTGTGGGTTATTTTTGGACTGAGGGAGAAAAAACATACAGTTTTCAAAAGCTCCTGACTTCCTAATTCTTTCTGGTAACTTTTTAATATAGGCAATTGAAATTATTTTATAAGCCTAAAGAGAGATTTGCACCATCTTTTGAGAAGATGCTTCCATTCTTACCAACTGCAAAAGGTAAAATGAATGAACCAGGGAGATAATAAGGAGGGATTACTTTCAAGATGGTGATGGAAGCTGCACAGCATCTAGCCTATAAACATTTCCCTTCTCACGAGGTTTTCAACAGATCATACATGTAGTAGACCAACAGAGGAGGTACTGATACTGACAGCTTCAGTATGGGTGTCATGTCCCAAATCAGCATCCCTTCTCTCATCCATTTGTTCCAATATAGCTCTTAGATTTCCCATCTCCTTTTTTCTCTCTTTGGACAAGTTCCAAGTAACAGTCTCCTACTGTCATACTAAAGAGTTTTCCCTAATGAAAGCTAGTCAATTCCCTTTGCCTTTCTATTAACTTCATCAAGGAACAATTAAAATGCTCTCTACTCTGACTCCATGGCATGGAATTAAAATATGTATCTGTGCTTCTATAATCTTTTTGAGCTTCTACAACACACTCAGTATGTACTGCATTTTCTTGTGCACACACTCAGTATGTACTGCATTTTCTTGTGTACTGCATTTTCTTTTGTGCATTTTCTTGTGTACATTTCTTGTGTACATTTTCAGCTTACAGTTTAATCTTTCTTCCTGATTAAACTGTAAGCTGAGGGCAGGATGGTCTTGTTCATTTCTGTATCTCCTAGTGACCACTCCAGCAACAGTACCTTGCCCACAGAAACTGCTCAACACAGGGTCACTTAACGGAACTGCAGAACGTGGCAATGATATTGAAGACAAACAGATGTCCTTTAGCAAGGCCCATCTCAGGTGCCAGCAAAAAAGACTGTCAATCCCAAAGAAGCAAAGATTTTTTTCAGCACTCAAGAGGATGCCTGACCTGACACTAAATCATAACTAGGATGATGACAGGTCCACAGCTTCTTAGATTTCCTCCCAGCACTTTCTCGTACTAGCTGCGTGACCCTGAACAACTTACGTAGTGCTTCAGCTTCCTCGTTTGTAGAATATGGATATCACCTCCATCTCATAATTTCTGAGCAGATTAAATGAATTACCATATGAACTATCTTAGAATCATCCCAATGTCTTAGAGCTAGGGCCTGGCACTTAATAAAAAACAGTCATGAACTGTATAGTGTATATTATTAAGTGTAATAACTATGGTGATAATTAATAGTAATATTTTTAATTTGTCTCTAATAAACTCTCCTATTTTGCATACATTACATAATGCTTAAGTTAGCTGGGTGATATAGAAGGCACACAATATATATTTGTTAAATAAACAAAAATATTCAGTTCAGTATATGAATGTGATGTCCTTATATATGACATCAAATAGTATTTAAGAATTAAAAAGCAAGAGGGAGGTATTACGTATCTATAATTTTATAACTGCTGATCTCCAAACCAGAATGGTCAACTTTAAGAAGAAAAGGAGAGTGACACACCAGTGGGAGAAAAAAGTTTTCTTCTCACAATTAAAATCAGATGATTAACTGTTTAAGATTCTTAGAGATTTAAAAATAATGACTAGGAAATTAAATGCCAAATTGGAAAACTCTTTGTGACACAATATTCAGGGGGAAAGCACAGAAATGTATCTACCCAAAGATAGATATAATCATGTAGAACTGACATACTGTAAATGGACAAGAACCAGAAACAGGAGGGGAAAGGAGCTAATCTGTCAGAGGAGCAATCCAACAGATTCTTTTCTAAATAATAATAAAAATAATAAATACGTTTAACAATAAATAAAAAATAAATACAGATTATTTCCTAAATGCAATGGATGTTATGTGCACAAAATAAAACCGAATTTTTTTTTTTTTCAATTGTTACGCATTCTGACTTTTTGTAGTTGTTGTTGTTTTGGTTTGTTTTTTTCAACTTTTATTTTAGATTCAGTGAGTACATGTGCAGGCTTATTACCTGGGTATACTGCCAGATGCTGAGGTTTGGAGTATGAAAGATCCCGTCGTGCAAGTATTGAACAGAGTATCCAACAGGCATTCTGACTTTGATCTATCAGCATTACACTGAAATTCTAGTATAACAGAAGAAATCTACCAATCCTGGTACTAATCCACAATATCCTTACCAAAGCTGTGACGGTTTTAAAATTAATGCTTATGTCCTAGAATATAATAAACAGAATGTATACTGAGCAGCAAACTTTGGCTTAACAATCAAAAAAATTAATAATAAATGCAAAACGTAAACTATCAGTTAAGGAAGTACAAGTAATCATTCGCCTGGTTAATGCTGGTCTGATCTAAATGTAAAGAGAAAAGGAAAAATGATACACTATACAAAAGACACATGCCCACATACAACAGAAGAACCTTCTTGGAACCTGATCACAGGGAAAGAAGTATAACAGTTCAGGCCTTATACATTAAAAAAAAAAAAAAGGGGTGGGGGGGCTCAGACCTCATCAACTGACTTGGAATAGGAACTGCTAGGATCATCTGAAAGGAATTAAAATTTAAAATCATTATACATTATATCAGGTTAAACCATATGACACTGCCATTTTTGTGGATGAAAACCAGGAGAATATCAGCAATTTCATAGAGCTCAACCTAATAAAATGGATTGAGCAGAACATTCAAAATGGGCAACCTAAAAAGAGCAAAATGGAGCCCAGGACTCAAGATCTGACATTAGGTAGACTGAATGAGTCAGTTTAACTCAATGGGAGAAAAAAAGCATTTAACAGTCAGAAATGGGTTGGTCAAACATCGTCTTCTAAGGACGATCATTAGAAGAGGAAAAGAAAATCTGGCCTTTCTCATTCAAGCAGTATTTAGAAGGAAGAGTTTTCTACGTTCACAATGAGGTTACAGTAGTATTTGTATCCTAACTGAGGGATTAAAATGTTGACTACTTACCAGAGTTAAGAGGAGGACACCTGTGCCAGACACTGTGTTTAGCAATTTGCAGTATACACTCTACATGGATCCTTTCGCCTAATCTTCCCAATGCCCTATGCAATGTAGTATTTAATATTATTACCCCCAATTGCCAGATGAGGTAACTAACCGGTCTTTGAGAAGTTAAGAAAAGCCTGAGTCCATCACACATTCCAAACATACCGCTTGTTCTGCCTACATACTCACTAAGCAACCTCCTAATTATAACGTGGTTTCCCATGTGGTAAATCTACAGGGAAGAGAATGTGCTAGCCAAGACCTGAGAGTCTGTTTCCCAAGGCAGTTTTTTTTTTTTTTTTTACTGTAAATTAATGGACATTCTGATTTTTATATCAAGCTCATGAACTCTGTAAATATGAACCTGAGACAAAAATTAGGTAACTGTAGAAATACTAGGCTACAGGGTCTATAAGTTTCAGACTCTTTACTATGGTAAACTACTAAGAAATGCAATCTCTATCCTGAGAGGTCCCTTTAGAGACAGCAAGTCTCCTTTACCCCAAGAGAGGAGATACCTCAGTATCATCATTAGCAATCTCTTCCTTTTTGAAATCTCTAGAGTAGAAAGAAGCAACAACGAAATGACAAAATTCTAATTCTGACTCTGCTGTGCTAGCACTTAATCCTAAGCAAATTGCTCTATCTCCCTTGGTTTCATTTTTCTTATGTGTAAAATAGAGAAACTGGCTGGTGCAGTGGCTCACGCCTGTAATCCCAGCACTTTGGGAGGCTGAGGCAGGCAGATCACCTGAGGCCAGGAGTTCAAGGGCAGCCTGGTCAACATGGTGAAACCCCGTCTCTATTAAAATACCCAAATTAGCTGGGCATAGTGGCGGGTGCCTGTAATCCCAGCTATACAAGAGGCTGAGGTAGAAGGATTGCTTGAATCTGGGAGGGAGAGGCTGCAGTGAGCTGATATCACGCTACTGCACTCCAGCATGGGTGACAGAACGAGACTCCCTCTCAAAAAATAAAAACAATTTTAAAAAGGAAGAAAAAGAAACTGGGCCCTCTGATGTATGTATATTCCTTTCTATTCCTTTCTTATCTAGCACATATGGCTGCCTATCGCGCGAAATCCTCTTGCCTTGTACACGTCTCTTGCCTTCCGTGTACAATTCTAATTTTATATCTATTTATCTGACCCTTCCTTCTCTGTGTCTCTGACTGGCTCCCCTATGTACTTTCTGCCTCTCTCCCACCCAACCACTATCTCCACACCCACCACAGTAGAGTCTGGAGTCTTCTATTTTCATCTCACTGGCACTCAAACTTATGACTATAGATTTATATTTATAAACACTACCTGTACCCTTCATTACCCAACTACTGTGAATCATATTAAGTCTAGTGCGGTTATCTGTATACACTTGAGGTACTGAAATACTGTACCTTGTCTGAAAGACCCACATGCAATTCAGGATTACAACTGGATATTTGTATTTTCCTTTCCAAGTTTAGCCTCTTGTTTCCACTTAGCTGAATTTACAAAACTATAATTCTAAGCTTCATTTATCTTTCATCTCCAAAATCTTGACAGTAATCTTATTCCTATCCTCAAACTCAAACACAAAAACTCTATTCCTATTAAGAACTTCCAAATTCCTCTAGACTAGACTTCCAAACTGGTGAGCTGGAGAAGCTATCTCATAGTATGTTAATAGTTGTGCTGTGAAAAAAGGTGTTTTGTGTTCAGTACAGTTAAATAGGTTTTCTTCAGCCAGATACTTTTCATAGCCTTGCATATTTGTGAACCTACAAGAGGGAAATATTATATGCAACATTTCCTGAACTTGTTTTTACCTACTTTTTCCTACAGAGAACCTATTAATATCACTTCAAACTACTGTTTCACAGAATAATATATGCGCTCTCGTCTTTCCTATTTCAAAGTATCCACCACTTAAATATAAAAGCACTTCTGATTTCTGTTTCCCAATATCCAATAAGTAGCTAAGTTCCTTTTTCTTCCCAACTTATCACATTCATCTTTTCTTTCTATTCCCTCTAAACCACAAAATTTCAGATCTGGTCGTATATAACAGTTACAAATCCTGTCCATAAAACATTAGATACATTGCTATCAACACTGTGAGGGTGCCATGAGGACTAAAAGACAACAAATACGACATCTTGCATACTATCTCTTTCATAAGGACCCAACATTTCTACCTGATAGTTGCAAAATGTTCTTTACTATGCCAAATTTTAATTTGAAGTGTATGGATTTTCATCTCCAAGATAAGGGCAGCAGTGGTCTTATACATATCAGCTATGATTGAGGGCTGATGAGGTAATTAGGAAATGTTATGAATATGACATGAGTAAAACCAGTGGTACAGGGGGTGTCACAGCTAGCACTGGGTCATCATTCCCTCCAAAATATAATCAGGAGATAAACAACAAGTAACAGTTTACAGCTAGTTTCTTATTCGAGCATTTCAAGTTGGGTTTTTCTAGCTCTTTATACCTGTATACTGCATACCTCAATTAATTTATATGTTTCTGAAGAGGTGAAGACTGACTTTCATGTCGTTTAACCTCTTACTGACATGGGCAAGAAAAGACCAGGTATTCATATAGTATTTCCTCATTCAAGGCTTATCTGCATGGTAGGTGTTGGGGACACAGTGGTGAGCAAGACACAATAATTCCTGTCTCCATGGAACTTATATTCCTTTGAAGGAGGTATCAATCAATCAATCAATCAAACTACTAATTACACAATTTAATTACAATTGTGGTAAGTATATACTGGTTGATTCTTTTTTTAACCTTTTATTATTCATAGTTCAGTAAAAAAGGAAAAAAGTAGGCATGAAGTTCACACAGGGTTCAAAGCAGTGTCTGATTAGAGCCTTTTAGAATTGGCAAAAAAAAAAAAAAAGGAAAGGAAAGATAAGGATGGGTAAATGGGAAATGTCTGGTCACAAGGCAGTATTAGAAACAAATTCTTTGAACTTGTACCTATACTAGCAAACACATCTCAAAGTACTACCTCTGGCTTGCTGCCAAATCTAAATGAAAAACCACCCAATTTTGAATGCTTACTATATAGAGAGCACTATGCTGCCAGTTTTACATAAAGTGGATGATTATTAATGATGATGGTAACAATAGCTAACATTTCAACAGCGTTTTTGGTTTACTGTGCTCCTATGAGACTGGTATTAATCAGCTTTCCATTTTACAATAGAGGAAACTGAAGTGAGGCAGGTTAAGAAATTTGTCCAAGTTCACACAACTATTAAGGGGCAGAGCTGGGATTCACACCCAGTCAGTGTGGTTTGCTCCTCAGCACTCTGCCTTTGCATGTATGTTATGGAGGCATGGAACCACACCTCTCTGAGACAATCATCTATTTGGAAAAGCAATGCATAGAATTAAAAACAAAAAATAGACTACCAAGTAAATGTAAAATATTGTTCACATTACTGAAAACACTAGCCGTTACATAAAGTATACTTGCTTGAATCAGATATTTGAACACTTAAAATTGTCACATGCTAAGATTAGCCAAAATCTGAAAAGCTCTTACAGGTATTTCAGAAACTCGAGATATTATGTATTAAGAAGCTGTCACCAAAATTCTTGGGAATTTTAATCCAGAAGTGTCCTGTGTTTTAGGGATCAACAATTTTCATTATCATCAATATTTAATAAAGCCCATTATGTGAAAGGCATCATATTACACTAAGGAAACACAAAGACTGAAAAAGGGAAAAGATCCCGTCTAGCTTACAATCCAAGAATTGCTCATTAAAAATGAACTAGAAAACCTCCATTTGTTCTAGCAATAAGCTTATACTTTTCATACATAATGCGTAAATTTAACAGTATAGAGAGAATCATGTTATATAAATGTCAACTTACGTCTTTCAGAATCAAAATATTCAAGACAAGTTAATTAATCCATTCTGATGGATGACGACCTGTATTCTGAAAGCAGAATTACTGTAGTTCCTCAATCTTTAAAAATTATTATTTTGAATTTTGAGAATATGTCTTACTGCTATATTAGCAATGAGCCTAAGTATGCGGTCGAACACAAGTTAGGCACTTATATATTTGTTAAATGAATAAATGGCACTGCTAGAAAAACACAGAAATATAAAATCTGCACCCTCTCCATATATATTGCTGTCATATAACTTACAATTGAAGCAATGAAGTGCTTTTACTACATTCCAAAAAAAAGTGACCACCACAACTCAAGTTCAGGACCACCAAAATATTTCACATGACTGATAAAACAGGTAAGAGAGGAGTCTTTTCTGGATTGCCCCAGACACATTTATAATTCCAGTGATAGGTGTTCTGTTAACTTTCTGGGGAAAGATACTACTTTTACTGTAAAGTTTCCTGACGAGCCAGGAGTTATTTTTAGTATTATTATTTCAAAAACAAATAATAAAACATTCCCATAAAATAACATTACTTGAAGAATATTTAACAAATCAATTTAGACTGGAAGAATTTCTTTTTTAAACAACTTCAGAAATTTGTCATCAAATGTTTCCTCATTGGGGGAGGGGGTTAATTATGTCTGATATGTAAAACACAAAATCCAAGCTAGGAGTTTGGATGAGGTGGAGGTTAGGGAAAGAAGTGCAGTGATGGAGAACCTACCAATCTTAGAGAACCTCCCAATCTCCTCTCTCCCATTGTAGGTGCTCCTGAGAGGCTCTGGGAAGTACAGATTACAAGGTTAAAACCGAAGGTGTTCAATTTACCCTCAACAATAAATAGTTTCTGAATTTACCTTGGATGTACAAAATCATGTAAGGTATTGCAAAAGAAATTACAGACAAGGTTTACACAATTGATGGTTGCTAGAATTACTGGTGATGTATTTTGTCAGACTTTGTGCAGCATCAGATACAACTGCATATGCCTTAGAACACTCATCTTAAAGTCATAATTGTCTAGAAAAATAAATATTTTCTCCCTCTCTCGCTACACATATATATAATATGTATATTAGGTAGAGACAGGGTCTCACTACGTTGCCCAGGCTGATCTCCACCTCCTGGTAGCTGGGATTCCCAAGAAGCTTGGAATACAGGCATAAGCTACCACACCCAGCTATATTACAATTTTTAAATGAGAAGAAATATTTCTACTATTGATGTTTATGTAGGTAATATCTGCTTTAACAGGATAATAAAGTAGTATGCAAAGTTTGGGGAATGCAGTCTTCCCTAAGGGAAGACACTTTTACTTAACTGAGTATAAAAATTGCAAATAGATACAGCTTATTCATTTTATAGCTGTGCCAAACATACAAAACAAAACGTTCTGGCTCCACAGTCTTACAAGATACTTATCCTTCTAAATTCTCATTGTTAAAAGAATAATTCCCAAATTTATAAAGCAGACTTTTTAGTTATTATTATAGAACACAAAAAAAGTGAGCCTTTTCTACACGGTGGCAAATCAAATTCTTTCCTCAGAAGAAAACTCTGTAGGAACTTGTATGCATTATGGACCAAAAAATTCAGAAGTCACTCTCTCTCAAAAATAAACACCACCACCACCACCACCACCACCAAACAAAGAAACAAACAAAAACAATCACAGTGCTATCCTGAAAAGCATTTCGCAATTTTAAAGATTAACAACTACTCTGTATATGTGCAGGGATACACAAGGATCAGCAGACAGAAGCTTCCTTTGTCACTGCCAAATGATACTGAATACAGACCCTGTAGGATATTAAACACCTTGTATTTTACATGGATCTAGGGCCCAGCTTTTGAGATACTCCTAGGCAGAGCCCAGCTGTTTTGAGTGACTTATCCACAGGAGTTTAATTTCAATTGTATGCTGGGAAGCGGGAGGTAGTGATTATACCTTCTCCCAAATCTTTCTAGCACACTAATGAACATTTTAAGGAATAGTCTCCAACTGAGATTAATTTGTCCTTCAAATATTCTCCTCTTAATTCACTAATGGCAATATCTGATTCACCACACTTTAAATGGAAGAACACAAGACCAAGCTTATAATGAAACTTATGATTTACTCATTTTACAACTGAAAATGCCACAGAACAAATGTACCCTTCTCTGCATCCTCCTCTACTACCTTCAAAGGAAAACTGTACTGGAAGTAACATTATACTACTACTTACTTCCATAAAAATACATAAACTGGTTCCTTCAACTCTTTTCATTTGCTTATTTCTCCTGATACCAAACTTCATACCAATGTTCTTTTCTTCTTCTTAGACAGTATCATAAAATCGGGTGTGACTATTCAGAATTCCACCAGTAGTAGAATACCAATTAAATTATATGTTCATCCTTTTCACTCTTTAATCAAAAACCTAAAGGAAAGCATAAAAGACAAGTTTCAAATACCGTAACTAGATGTTCACAGAATGGGACAAAGAAAGGAACAAATGACATTTTACAAATACTAAATCCTGCCTTTGGATTTCAGGGGGTTGGGGGCATGCAGGAATTATATATATATATATATACACACACACACACACACACACACACACACACACACACACACACACATATACAGAATGGAGAAATCATTTAAAAAAAAAATCCAAGGGTTTCAGTTCACTACAAACTAACCTAACTGGCCCCTACTTAACAAAAGATTTTTACACACTGACTACACATCCATGAATAATGAAGATAAAATGACTGGTGACCAAAAAACTAAAGATGCGTAACATACTGCCTTTCTTTTCCCTAAAAAACCCCCAATAACCCATACTTCAAACCATAGTGATTCCATAATAGAAATCAATCCCCTCGTGGAATACAGAAGGATTAAATGATATTTTTTGAAGTGGCCATTTGGCCTCCGTTTCATGTTTTCTTCTTGTGGGTGTAGAGAGAACCTGTCAGTGAGTGACATTCAGAGGTGCTCAATGACTAATGAGCCTGCAAACTAAGCTTTATCTGTTCTCAACACTATGCTGTTATTCATCTTATTTACTCTTCTGAAATGATCTCTTTGGCTCCTTGAGTTTTATGACTATTTACTACTGCTGCTGGGGAAAATCAGAAGTAGTAAAGATGGTCACACACAGAGTAAGATTTCACACACTTTCTCCAATATATTTAGACAATGGGATACAGCTTCAAGACTAAGGATATGCCCTCTGGCCATGGCAAATAGGAAGCTATTTTGCATGTGTCTTACTAACAAAAATCAAGACTTGCCTTAAGAAGCAATTGAACCTGTATACTGCCAGAAAGGCTCAATTTCAGCCATGCAAAAGTCAAAATCGTTTTGACATAAATTTTTAAAATTTAAACAACTCTGGAGGGCCATTTGCAACTTATTCTCCAAGAACTTCTCATTCGCACATTTACATGCATACTAGCTGCTACTCATTGTGGTGGTCAATATGCTAGGCATCCACAGTGTTCGTAAAGTTAGGTGTTTTACAGGAATAATATAAAGTTCCTCTGTTGCTGAAGCATCTAAATGGTAACAACTACATTTACATTTCCCATTTCATATTGTTACTTCTATGTTTTCTAGTTTGTACCTCTTGGTTTATGCTCCAGAGTAGATCCAAAGCTACTTAAGGCATTAAAAAAAAAATCACTATTTTAGGCTCTCAGAAAAAGGTAAACATTACAATAACTTTTAAGCCAAGCTTTTGGAAAAAAAAGGACTTTTGAAGGTGGTCTAAGGCAGAGGTTGGCCAAAATCACCCACAGCCTGAGTTTGCACAGCCAAAGACTAAGAATTTTTATTTTATTATTTCACATCTTAAAGGCTTAAAAATGAAGAATACACAACAAAGATAGTCCTCAAAGCCTAAAATATTTAATATCTGACCCTTTACAAAAATATTGGCCTCTCCCTGGTCTAAGGCAACCAGTTGCTAAAATTAGCTCTATATCCACATAATGGAACTAGTCTTTTAAAAAATTCACTTCATACCGTTGGAATCAGTCTCCAGGACCAAGACTTAATCTTGATTTTAAAAAGCTCCTGTGGAACTTCTGAGCCAGAAGGATAATGGCAGTAGCCTGATCCCAATCTCTCTTTTCCCCCAAAAAGCACAATATCATAAGAAGTACAAATAAAACCATAGGTAGCCTCCAGTATTAACAGCAAGTGGAGTACCACAAACTTCAAATTACCTGTAAGTAGAGAAATAAATGCCAAAATCCAACAAAACTCCCTTGGCCAATGCAAATCTGAGGGTACATCGTAGGAGAGGGGAGGCTTAAGACTCTATGACAAAAGAGAAAAGGGGACCAAAGGACATAGAGGAAGTACAGACAAAATCACCCATAGAAAAGAAAGTCCAACACACACTGACAAAATACTAAATACTAGAATTTGATATTTCACAATATCAGCTATACAAGAGATTGAAAGGGAATAGCAGCGGAAATGGCAGGCACAATTAGGGCTTCTGGGGGAGAAGATAAACAGAGAAGGGAGGTGTCCCTTGGAGATATGGCAGTAAAGGAAAAGAAGAGAAAATTAAGGATCTTATAGAAACCAAAGAGAAAGACACATAAACTCCTGCCTCCTCTTCACTACCATCATTATCCATTAAAAAGATGTACTTCACTATTTTGACAATAAGCATTCTTAAACTAAGAACCTAGTTCACAAACTACCAAGGAATAAAAGAAAATAAAAATCAAGCCAACTCCATAGAAAAGGAACTGGAGGAAGAAAACAGAAAATGCAAATCACATTTCAGCTGATGAACATTCTCTCCACAAAACAATCACCCCCTGCCCCAAACACACTCCACAAAATGGAAGAAAACTGTAAAGCAATACTTCAAATTAAATTAAATACTCAAGCAAGTATTTGCAGATATTAACAACAGAAACAAAAATCACCTGGAACCAAAAATTCAAAAACTAAAAAGAGAGATGAACACAAATCCAGGAAGAAATACAATGACACCTGATCATTCTCAGGGAGGAAATTGAAAGAAAAAAGACAAAATTATTTTGGAAATTAAGAATTACAAAATGCTCATTGGAGAACGGATTTCGAGTAGAAAATCTAGCAAGGGTCACTGAAGAAATTAAGAAAAATAAGAGAATGAAAATTAGATTTTTTAAAAAAGGAGTAAGGGTCAAGAGGTAGTAGCTGAAACAGAAAATGTGCAAGAGATCCAACACTGTATAACTGGAGTCTTTTCAGAAACAACGGAACAGAACTAGTATTTAAAAACTATAATTCAAGAAATCTTTCCACATAGAAGAGGCAATCTAAACCAGCATAATGAAAGGGTCCACTGTATATCCGGAAAACTGGACCTAGAACAATCTACTTCAAGACATGTACTAAACTAGTTTAAAGATTAAAAAAAAATCCCCAGAGCATCCGAACAAAAAAACAAACATTACTTTAAAAAGTAAGAAAACTAGACTTCAAAAACATACAAAGAAAGATAACCACGGAACAGCATTTTCAAGAAACTTCAGAATGTGGGAGCTGAGCTTTCCTTCAAGCATTAAGTATACAAAAAGAGAAACAGTTTCGAATGTACAAGAACTCAGCAATACATTGGAGCATTCCTAAGGAATTTATTAGAGAGTGAAATTCATCCAACTAAGAGCTAATCTGGGAAGCTTTAGCAAAATGACTAATGGCAAGCATTTAATATAGTTAATCGTAGGACTAAAACTAAAGTGGAACACGGTAAAAAGAAAAGAATGCATATGTTATACACATGCTGATAACGTAGGAAAAATGCACAGATATACTGAATAAAAATGACAGAAGAGGAAATCCCCCAAAATAAGAGATTAAAGACTTCTATGAAAATAAATCTTAAAACCTAAATGAAATAATTTCTTAAGAAAATACAGCTTACCAAAACTGACCATAACAGAGACAGATGAAACAGAAAATGTTGCAAAGAAAAATCCCTATAAATTTTTTTTTTTTTTTTGAGACACAGTCTCACTCTGTCACCCAGGCTGGAGTGCAGTGGCGTGATCTTGGCTCACTGCAACCTCCGCCTCCCAGACTCAAGTGATTCTCGTGCCTCAGCCTCCTGAGTGGCTGGGATTACAGACGTGTACCACCACGCCCAGCTAATGCAAGTTTCTTATGAAGCAAATAAACACTGACATCTAAACCTAATAAAGAGAAAATTTAGACCAACATTACTTACAAAAATTGATGCTAATATTTTAGTTAGGATTTCTGCAAATAGTCTCCAAATGGCATGAAGAAAAAATATACCATGATCAAGTGGAATTTATACCAGGAATATATAGTCCAATATTAGAAAATCTGGTAAACAGAAATAAATGAGTACTTTACATTATAAATTATATCCACCTCAGTTCTAAAGTCAATTATCTTAATTAATGGGGAAAACTAGAGGCATTTAATATACAAGGCAAAGGATGCCTGCTAGTTCCACTACTATTTAACATCATTCTAAAGATACCAGTGAAGAATTAGACAAAAGAAAACAACTAGAAACATAAGAATTAGGAAGGAAAAATGATCTCTACAGATGACATAATAGTAGACCTTGAATATCACGGACTGAGAGCCAATGAAAATTAATTCAATGAAACAACTAAATATAAAAATCAAAACATACATAAAATAGCCTTTATATACACAACTAATAACCAATTACAAAATATAACAGAAAACTCCACCACGATAGCAACCAAAAAAGATTAAAGACACTTATGAATAAATATAACAAGAAATGTTCAAAATCTATATAAAGAAAACTGTAAAAACACCTGAAATATAACATGGTAGACTTAAACAAAGAGAGACATTCTTTGTCATGATTAGGACTTCTCTAAGTCAATTTGTAAATTTAATGCAAGCCTAATAAAAACAACAAGCTTTTTTCCTGAAACTAAACAAGCTGGTGTTTAGTTTAGTTTTCGTTTAGGGGAAACGAAACATGCAAAAATAGCCAAGAAACCACAGCGAAGAATAAAGATGATGGAAATATTAGCTCTACCAGATACTAAAATACACTGTAAAGTCCCTATGAATAAAACAGTATGGCAATGATAGATAAAAAGACCAATGGACTGAAATAGAAAGTCCAGAAACAGATCTAACTACATACAGAAATAAATATATGACAATGGTAGTAGCTTAAATCATTTGTGAGGGAGAGGAAGCAAAAATGGACTTTTCCATAAACTGTGTTGGGACTACTGAACAGTCATTCAAAGATGAAATTAGATCAATTTCTTATACCACATCAGAATAAATTCCAAATGGAACAAAGCAATGAAACTACACAAGAATTAGAAGAAAACATAGGTGAACCACTCTGTAATCGGAGTACAGGGTAAGGTTTAACTGTGACTTAAAAATCAGAGGTATTACATAAGCGTGATAAATTTGACCACAAAATTAAACTTCTGCATGGCAAAACACAACATAAGCAAAGATGAGACAGAAGTAACAAATTTGGAGAAAATATTACCAATATCACAGAAAAAGGGCTACTTTCCCTAATACATAAAATAAATGTTTTAAGTTGAGGGAAAAAAGAATCAAATCTCCTAAAGAAGAATGATTGAAAGCCATAGACAATTCACCAAAATATAAAAATAGCCCTTAAAAAATAAGATGTTCAACTTCACTCAAAAGAGAAATGCAAATTAAAACTATGCTGAAAATATCATCTCTCATCATTCACATTAATGAAAGTTCAAAAGCCAGAAAATACTGTTTGGCAAGGTTTGGGGGAAACAATCAATTCACCAGCAATGTATGTAAAATGTCATATGGCAATTTTAAAACTTAGTCACAATTTTTCTTTTACACAGCCATGTGGAGAGGTTGTAGTCTATGTCCCTACACTTGAATCTGGGCAGACTTAGTACTGCTTTGGCCAAAAGAATATCACAGAAGCAACATTATGGGACTTGAAGCCAGGTCAGCTTCTGTCTGACTGTCTTGGAATGCCCACTCTTCGGATATGCCCTATCAGAAATCAGGCTCCCAATTCCGTAAAGAAGCGTAAGCTACAAAGAGAGGCCATGTGTACATGTCTGGTTGACAGTCTAAACTGAGCCCAATATCAGCAGTCATCCCAGCCTAGGCACCAGATATGAATGAAGAAATCAACATGTAATTCTAGCCCGTAACTATTCTATCCAGCCCCCGGTCATTTGAGATTTTCCCATGAAAGTTCCAGACAGTGTAGAGGAGAGAACAAGTCACCCCGATGTCCCCAACCCAAATTTCTGACTGAGGATCCAGGAGCATAATAAAACAACTGTTTTACACAATTAAGTTTGGGGTGGTCTGTTATGCAGTAACGGATTGCTAGAGAAGGGAATCTGACAATAACTAATAAAACTATATATTAATTTACCCTTCATTCCAGCAATCTCAATTCCAGGAATCCACTTCGAAGATAAACCTTAGCACTATGAAAATACAAATGAACCAAGTTTTTCATTGCAGCATTATTAATAAATTCAAAATGCTGGAAACTACTTGAATATCCTAACGTTTGGAATATGCAGAATGGCCAAATACCATACAGCTGTAAAAAAGAATGAGGACAATGTCTACAAGTCAATATGGTGGAATTTCCAAGATATATCCATTAGGGGGGAAAAAAAGCAAAGTACAAAACACATGCTACTTTCTGTGTAAGAAAGAAGAAATAAGAAAACATACATGTCTATTTTTGGAAAAGAAACACAGAAATAATAAATCAAAAAACATGAAAATTGGTTACTTACAAAAAGAGCAGGGACGGGAAAGTAGAAAAGGAAAGGACTGACTGTACATTTTTTGTGTTGGCAGTTCTGAACTTTTATAAGCACATTAATGTTCTACATATTCAAAATGTAAAATTGAAACAAACTGGGTTGGGGCAGAGGGCCAAGAATTAAATGTGCTAACGCTGGGAGCTACCATTCTCGCTATGGAAGAATAAAGACAAAAATGGGATGAGGGGAAGGCAAGGAAGAACCCTGTAAACTGGACTGGAAGTGGAGCTATCAGTATGAACTCATGTTTCATATATATTTATACACAGCTATACACACATATACAGACAACATACACATGCCTATCCACTTCTTAAAACACAAGAACCTCTGAAGGATTAGGGAAATAGTGGTCATTCAGACTACATAACAAATTAGGACTGTTTCAGCACTCAGCTAAAATCAGCCACACCAAGAAAAGAGTAATTTTTAAATGAAAAAAAGTGAGTTATTTTAGAGCAGGTAATGCAGAGCTTTATGTTTACTGTCTAAAACTTAATCTTTTCCTTTTGGACCATTTGAGATTGGACAGCGGAGAGAAACTTGGCTTCTCTCCCTCTTGCCTATTAACCCATATTAATCTAAACAGGACCCCCATGTCTCATTTTACTAATATGAGCGATTTCATTTCCTTTTAGAATTTCCTTGACCATTGTTTACAGTTGTATTTCTACAGAAAAATTCATTTCAATTTCTAAACCAATGAAAGAGAACTTTTGGAGCACAATCCAATTTTAGTAATTGCCTATACTTTAAACTCAAAAAGTTTGTTGAAATTAAGTAAACTCTAAATTCCAAGCTTCAGGCACCAGTCTACCTAATTTGTATTTCTCAATGTAGCCTCCGCCATTGCCGTATTTTATTGTGACAGTCATTCATAGATGCAATTTAGCAGGATGATCAAGGGAGTGCCTTACCAAGAGTGGGACATTTGACCAAAAATCTAAATGAGGTGATAAGTAGTCTGGGACTTAAGTTCCTTATAATAAAGCCTAGAGTCATTTTTCCTCTTGTAACAGACAACAGAAGTGCTTGCTTTTAACCTCCAATCAAAGGATCTCTTCAACTCACTGAATTGGGAAACGTAACTATGGGTAAACGAAATCAATGTTTCACCAACATGTCCACTGTGTCTTCTATTTCCCACTGCAATCCCTCTGGTCACTATCCTCCCTCCCCCATCCTCAGGACAGTTTCCCTTATTTCAGGGGCTTTCTTCAACAACTTCTTTCAATCCAAACAGTAAATATGAAATCAGTGACTCTCAAAGTATGGTCCCCAGACTAGCAGTATCAGCATCACCATGGAGCTTGGCAGAAATGCAAATTCTCAGACCCACTCCAGACCTCTTAAGTCAGAAACTCTGGGGGTGTGGCCTCACCAAGCCTTCCAAGTGATTCTGGTGCATGCTAAAGTTTGAGAACCATGTTTTAGTTGACTAAAATTACATTTTAGTGTGAATTTCTTTGCTTTCTCTATTATGGACTGGATTGTGTCCCCCTAAAATTCCTATGTTAAAGCCTTAAATTCCAATGTGACCATATTTGGCAATAAGGTCTTAAGAGGTAATTAAGCATTAAAACAGGTCTTATGGGTGGGACCCTAATCCAATAGAACTGGTGTCCTTAAGAAGAGATACCAGCAAAAAGGCCATATGAGGACACAGCAAGAAGAAGGCCATCAGCAAGCCAAGGAGAGAGGCCTCAGGAGAAAACTTACCTTGCTGACACCTTGATCTTGGAATTCCAAACTCCAGAACTATGAGAAAATAAATTTCTGTTGTTTAAGCCACCTTGTCTGTAGCATTCTGTTATGGAGCCCTAGCAGACTAACAGATCCACTTTTGCTTCGGACATTATTTAATTTTAATATACTTTTTATCTCCAGGTATGGAATGAAAACACTACCATTTTTAAAGAAAGAAAATTTTCTAAAATTTCCTTCAGCATGTGTTCTTCAAGGCAATCTTTCACCATTTTTAGATGATGGATTATTTTATACCCTAATCCCTTGAGAAGATAAACCAAAAGTATATCCAGCTTAAGCTGTTAGAAATGTATTTCCAAGTACTAAATAATGCAGTTCCAATATCTACAATCCATTGTAATTTGATTTACTCTTTACCCTAAGCAAAGACCAGACCCCCTTCTCAAATTCCTTTCCTCTCTTCTCCCCTACTACAAGAATGCCAGATACTGATATGCTTTTGCGTACACTCACTTTTATTTTACTTTGTAGTTAGAATTTTTAAAACCATAACTGTATTTTGCCTTTTATCCAATGTTACGCAACATTATCATTAAACCTTCCAAAAAATTTCCCAAGGAAATTTTAGCAAAATTTGTTTTACAGTGAGTATACTCTTAAGAAATACTACTGTAATAAATGAATGTTATGGCCAACTAATCATACTGATAAACAACCTAACTGGTCTAAGAGCACTCTCTGGACAAAGGCCATTTCCATGTTTCACTATGCCTACATCGGTGCATGGCATATTTATGTTCATTCTCAACCTGAAATTACATGATTCATGTATATGGTGTATAAACATGCACAGATGCACATAAATTTATATTAAAGTGACAATAAGTGTTATTACAGTGGCCACATACACATTAAGAGAAAACTGAGTATTAGTCCAGATAAAAATATATAGATCCTGTCTCTACCATATATCTATAATTCCTTTAATATAATACTCCTCCTGGGGTTACTAATACAGTTGACCCTCTCTATCTGTGGGTTCTGTATCCAACCAACCACGAATAGAAAATATTCGGGGGGAAAAAAAAGGATGTGTCTGAGCATTTACAGACATGTTTTTCTTGTCGTTATTCCCTGAACAATACAGCATAACAACTATTTACATAGCATTTAATTATGTTAGGTATTATAAGCAATCTAGAGATGATTAAAGTACAGCCATGCACTGCATAACGTTTCGGTCAACAAGGACAAACCACAGATTTGATAATGGTCCCATAAGATTATAATACCAATTTTTACTGTAACGCTTTTATGTTTAGATACACAAACATTTACTGTCGTGTTACACTGCCTACAATATTTAGTACAGTAACATGCTATATGGGTTTGCAGCCTAGAAGCAATAGGCTATGCCACATAGCTTAGGGGCTGCAGTAGGCTATACCATCTAGGTTTGTGTAGTACACTGTGTGAATTTGCACAATAACGAAATTGCAACGCATTTCTGTATATGGGAGGATGTGTGTAGGTTACATGCAAACATATTTTACATGAGGTACTTGAACATCTGTGGGTTTTGCTATCTAGGTGGGTGGAGGTGGGGTGGTCCTGGAATTAATCCCCCATGGAAACTGAGGGACAACTGTACTTTCAAATTATTAGGCAGTAAGGCCAAGAAAGTGGTCAAATCACCTAGTGTCTTTCTCACTACAAGAAACATTAAGTTTTATTCCATACACTCTATTTACTAAGAGAGAAAGATACTAATATTTTGGGATTAAATTCAACATGGGATTAAAATAAATGCTGCTTAAACAGCAATGTTAGTATTTTACAACTTACAATAATATTTACTTTTTAAACGTTTAAATCAAACAAAATATATTTCATATATTTATTCAGGAACCATTAAAACATATCCAAGAATTCACTGGACTGTGAATTAGGAGGCAAAACTCATACAGTATGTGCAATATCACCTTTTCCATCAATTTAGTTATATGTAGAATGCTAAATCAGATAGTTATTTAAAAACAAAAACAAAAGTAAACTAAAACCAAGAACATGTAAGAACACTCTCCTCCAGGTGAGGAGAAGAAAATCAAGACCACAGTGCTGACAAATCCAGAGCTCCTATGTAAGCACCCAAAGGCACTCACTTTCTTATAAATTAGACATCATTCCACACCAAGGCTCTCAGCAGGCAGGAATCTAACCCAAGGAGAAGATACAGCCTTCAGCCAAGGTCAGATTTTTGTTCACTGTGCCAGGTGATGAATTTACAGCACTTCATTTCATGTAACTGTTGAGGTCTCATCAATGTTACTCTTCATTACTGAGGATAACTGAGTGAACTATAAATAAAGCAGCAGTTCAAACTATTAACTGCACAAAT
Source organism: Homo sapiens (assembly GCF_000001405.40). Lineage (NCBI taxonomy): Eukaryota > Metazoa > Chordata > Mammalia > Primates > Hominidae > Homo > Homo sapiens. Next base: position 89,688,331 of record NC_000012.12, read on the forward strand.
GTTTTAGGTTATAAAATATCTGGAGACTCACATAAATTTTTTCACAACTATTATAAACTGCTGAATAGGGGAGTGAGCTCCAGGGATCAGGAGTCAGACTTCTAGCTCTGGACTGTACATTTTAATGAAACTATTTTATCCTAAGTCTTGCTCATTTAGCACTATGATAAATGGACAGACAATAAATTTCATTTTATATAGGACAGAGACTACCTGCTTTGGCCAATATTATCCCCAAAATCTAGCCTAGTATCTGAAACTATAGGTGGCACTACATACAGCTGGCACTCAAATTCTTTGTTGAATGAATACTCCTTTTGTCACGGTTTAGGAAAGCTAAACATTGAACAGTGGAACAGGCACTAAGGTGGGAGTCAGATCTGGGCTTTGATCCTTACTGCAGGGTCTTGGGGTAGGTTGCTGTGTACCTGGGACTCAGTCTTCTCATCTGTTAAAGAAAGGGCTGGACCAGGTTTTCAAAGCACTTTTCTAGCTCTAAAATTCTTTGTCTATCCCCCAAATCTTCCTTATGTCTCCCAGTCCAAGTATAAAATATTGGTTTTGCCATCCGTAAGCTTAGGGCTAATCGTATCTTTTGCTTATAGGTTCCTTTACCAAAAAATACACAGGAAGAAGCCTCAACCTTAGTTGTTATTTAGATTCATTATCAAATTCTCTTTGATAGTTCAGAACCTTAGTTCACCACATTCACTGACTTCAGTGAATCTAAAAACCACCTATTCTGATTGGCAATAAACAGATGCTCTTTAGACGTTGTTTTCAATGCTAGCACTCTTTTTACAACTTACATACAGTCTGTATTTCAGCTTCTCTTGTCAGGTCCTAACAGGGCTACAAAATAAAATACAAGCTACCCAGTTAAATTTAAATTTCAGATAATCAACAAATAATTTTTTAATCCCATGTATGTCCTATACAATACTTAGGACACTCATACTAAAAAAAATTATTCACTGGCAATCTGGTCCTGATTTCCTAGTGTCATAAATTAACAGTTTCCAAAGAAATGTAATTTTACAATGCAGGTAAACACGAAATAAAATTTAAACTTTCTTTGATTCAGAAGGAAATTGGGTCTTCCAGCAGCTGAGTATAAACTCACTCTGTCTCCCAACCTACCACACTCACAAAACATTGGAAATGAACTGTAAAATGGCGTTTCCATCTGGCCTGCCTTTCTGGCCCCAGACAAATGCACTAACAACCATCATGCCTCTGAGAGGGAATTTAAAAACACTAAATTCCCAATTTGCAGCTCTGGGGCTGCCTTATTCCACATCTGGCCCATATTTAATACGGCTTCTTACTCCTTATCTATTTGTTAACTTGCTATATATTTGTAGACTTCCATTTGTCTATTTTAAACATACATATTAGAAACTAGTAAGGGAGATACCTTTTGTATCCTCACCTTCATCTCCTATCCTTCCTCATACACATAGTACACACAAAGTCATGTATACAGAAGTTTAGCAAATATTTTCTGAATATCAAAAGTTTAGCAAATGTTTTCTAAATATTAAATGTCATTGTAGGATACTGTAAATACAGAAATTGTAATGGTCTGAATTGAATTCCTACTAATCCTAACACAAACCTAGAATTCAACTTTTGAATAAATTCCTATCAATTGCTTTACTTTTCTATAGTTTAGGCATAAAATGTGCAGAAACCCCAGTTATGAACTTTCTGTATGCTAGGATTCTTTGTGGTAAGCTTTTACTGAATAGCTAAGATACTCTAAACTCTGTCCTATATGCTGCTTACTATGTGGTATGACTATAAAGCAATAACAGATATTTCAAAATAAATACCAGAACATATATAGCCTAATAAATGTTTATTTTTCTACCAAGAATTAACTTAAATCATTCTAATAATGCTGCCATTGCTTAAAACATTTGCTCTCCTTTTTTGAAATTTCCTTTATACTCTGGGATACTTTTTAAAGAAAATATCCTCAATGATGGCAAATCTTTTTTTTTTTTGGAAGATTTATCATTAAGAGTAATTCTGTATAAAAGTCTTATTAATAAAGTGGGTAGCTCACACATTTTAAGTATAGGGACATCGGTAAAAATTATATCACAAATACTGTTGTTTATCAGAGGCAAGGCAATAAAGTGTCTTGTAATACAGGATCCCCTGAATCAACTCAGAATGTCAACAACTTAAGTCCAAAGAACTTGCTCATTCTTGTGAGTTGAATTAAACAGTTTTGCTTTTTTTAAAAAAAAAAAACTAATAAACACGTATTTTACCATTTATTACTTACCACTTACTAATTTTGACATGAATGCTTTCTAAGATCTTGATTATTGTGCTTTTCTACTACAGACCTTAACTATTTTCCCCTGCTATCACTGGAAATACCACATTTAATCAAGAATTACTATTTTCTCCTAAAACTTCTGGTAGTATAAATTCTCCCTTTAAAATCAGGATAATATCAAATCTTCACTGCTTGTCACTTTAAGTGAGTGGCACAATATTCCCACAACCTAAGGAGAACTGGATTTAAATCTGGCTTTTTTGCAGTCAATATTTAGAATCAATAAGAATAAACCAAATCCCTAGCCTCTTGTACATTTTCCATCAATCTTTGGGTAAATTAGGCAAGCACTTTAAGAATCATCCAAGAACATTTTAATTCCAAAAAGGAAAAACGATCTAGTTTTTGACATTATTTCAAACTTCTAGTAACATGTGAGAGGCTCAACTGTGTACAGCAGAAAGAGCAGTGGACTAGAGTTAGACAGCTGGGCCCACATGCCTTTCTGCCATTCAGCATTTGGGCATGTAAACTGATTCATTTCTCTGTCTACAGGGAAAAAAAAATCATCATCCTATTTAGAGGGCTATTATATGGATTAAATGATACCAACTGTTACATGCAACATGCTTCTGATACAATCAGTCCTCTTCTAACTAAAAAAGAAAATCAGATTCTTTATCCTTATGACCTCAAATATTAAAGTCTATAAGCCAACTCCATTTTCTTTAAGGAAAGCAATGGTTTGAAGTCTGTGACTGTTATTAGTATGATACTCAAACTCTTCTCCATGTCAAAAACACTTATTTATTCACCAGAATTGGGTTATAAGATATTTGCCATAAGCTAAAACTTGTCATTATAAAGACAAACCTTTATTAAATACTTTACACAAAAATCTTCTGTCAATGTACCACATAATTTATCCTAGATAATTTGTAAAAGTCAAACATAATTAACCAGAAAGTGATCACTCAGGATTATTACTCAGTTTGTTAAGACTTATAATACATGTCACATACTATGCTAGGTCCCAACAAAGAACTGAGTCTATCTAGGGAGACAGATTTGCAAACAGATAAACTTAAGAGCCATATTTCCGACTCAAATAATCATTCTTTCCACTTCCCAGCATTCTTAGCCCACAAAACAGGAAAGTCCACCCCTTTTTCCATGTTGAGTCTATGGGAATTTGAATCCCTAATTTTTGTTTAAAATATCTTTCAGAAGCCTATAATTAAGAAGTAACACTGAAACCAAAAGCTAGCTTAGACACAGATTGCCTGTCACAAGTCAGGCAAAGCAATTAAAGAATTTGCCAACTCAGAAAATCACAGAATTTTCAAACTAAGAAAGGATGGTGTTTCCTTTTCATGCATTAGTACTCAGGGTCACTATTACATTAAGGACAAAAATAAAAATTAAAAACACAAAGACAATTAAAAAGCTGGGATTAACCAGTAGGAAATTCTAATGAAACCTATACACTTTAAGTTTCAAAGTTACAGGTCAATGACAAAGCTGCTAAAGAGGTTAAGATCATAGAACATAGGTTAAAAAAAAAAGCAACATGCTACCATGATGTTATTCTTAATCAATGGCCAAAATGATTTAGTTGACTTAAAACTCAGGCTAAGACTCAAATTTTTCTATATTGAAGAAAGTGAACTATGCCTAGACGACAGCAGATCCTTGAATAATATTTCATTTAACATGGTTTCATTACGACATTGATGAGAAAAAACAAAATCAATTCCAGGCTGGGACGACTGTGTGGAATCTTCACTTTCTCCCTATATCTGCATGGGTTTTCTCCAGGTATTCTGGTTTTCTCCCACATACTAAAGATGTGCTTCAGGGAGAGGCTCTGGCCACTCATGACCCTGAACTGGAATCAGCAGATCAGAGAAATGAATTAATAATTACAAATTATTGTCAAATAAAAATTACTAAAGTATACAATAATCATACAAATGCTCTATAAGAAATGATGTGGTATGAGAGCAATCTGCAAGCTTGCTGTTTTTATGATTGTTTTTGAACTTCGTGTGGTAGGAGGTGCTCCTTACAATTTTCACTTAGCAAACATTTATTCTTTGATTTAACCTACTACCTACCATGACCACTGTCACTCACTGATTCACCAAAAATTGGGTTGTCTTATTAATCTTTCTTAAATGTATGTATGGAATTACTTATTTCAATGTTTAATATCAGATATTTGGTAATGTTTTTGTGACCAGAAATATGCCATAAGAACTTAACTCTTGTTTATATCGACTAGTCTATGGTAAAATTGGTTTCGTTACACATCATTTCACTTAATGTTGCAGTGTCCAAGAACCTATTGGCCACACTGAGGATGTACTGTATGCTTCTGTCAGTAAAGTATTTCTGAATGTATACTTAATTTTTCATTTTACTCCCTACAACTAGTATTAAGCCAATAATTTATTTTCTAACTGTTATTTCAGAATTAAGTAAATACTGAATATGAAGTGATGGCAACACAGACAAGGAAATGACTGTGCCTAGGGAAGCTGCAGCAATGCCTTATCAAAGAACTGACTTTTAAAGTGAGTCTTGAATGAAGAGTCCTATTTTGTAATATTTAGGCAAGGGGAGTATGATTTACAAAGGCATAAACAATGAAAAGGTTGGGCATGTCTTTAACACAGGAAGAACTCCTGCTATGATACGAAGTAACCATTGTGACAGGAGGAATGGAGCAGTATAGAAGGCTCAGAGTTTAACTGGACACATTCATTTATTAAGTACTAACTTAATGAATAATCTAAATGATAAGCACCTAACTTTCTGGACAGGACAGAAGAACTTCATGAAGGAGCTTCATAATGAGTCCTAAAAAAATGACTAGTTTGGATGAGGACATTCCAGATAGGAAGAGCAGCACACAGCCGTTGCTTTTTAACCAAATTGTCCATGCCTATTAAGTTTTGTGAATTCTTATTTTTTACTTTAAAAACCTTCCTTTTCCATCACTAAAATGTAAATTTTCAATTAGTTCCTATGATACTTGTGCTTGATTCTAAACAGTCTTTCTAGTTTCTGAAATTTGCTCTCTTTCATCTGCAGTGTGCTGGCAAACCAGTTATCAAAATGTATTTAAAATATGAATAAATACAGCAAGTAAACACCTAAAGTGGAGTAAGGTGCTGAGAGTCTTGATTCATGAACTTCTGGCGGCTTAGAGGGCTTTTCTGCCAATTTCCTGGTTCTCTACTTTGTTTTACATGGTTCAGGAAACTGGATAAATAATAGCCTTAGGCTGGGAGAAAAATTATCCTACACCTCTCTCCATTCTTCTTCTATTTCTGCTTTCTCTTTGATTCCTCCCCATTCCAGTAGCATTCCAGATAGCGATTAGTCCACTAAGTTACATTCCAGGACAAGAAGACTGGTTTCCACTGACCTCAAAATTAGAGGAATGTCATGGTACAATTAATTTGATACATTTCGTCCTTTTATACCCATAACTATTCTAAGTAATTATTACTTGAGTAGCCAAAAGAAACACTTGCACTGAATGTTCAAATACATATATATAGAGAAAGATGTGTATCTACTAACTAGATATAAAAAAGTTATATTCAACTACATAATCTGTCCTATTCTCTCTCCCTCTCATATCCCACTTACAGCTGTCACCTTAATTTTAAAAAATCCCCAATGCCACTATAATCTATGACTTTTAATGACAACCTCAAACTCCTTCTGTGCATGTGCAGATCTAGATTAAACTATAATCTCTCAACATCCCCCAAACCACTCAAAGTTTCCTCCTTTCAACTCCTTAGGGTATCTGCTTATGGGGGGGTTACCTGGTATCAAATACATTGAAGGGGCATGGCCAAAGAATCTGCTCAAAAGAGCTTTCCCTCCACTCGGAAATAAGGCCTTCAACCAATACAGTTCCCACTTGTGGAAACATTTAATTTAAATCTAGGGCCACAGGTATACTTCAGGAAGGGAGACAGGAGGAGCAAGTCCAACATTATGAAAAACTGATAGCCTGGCTTGCTACCTAGGCTGTGTGCAGAAGTACAAACAGAGCTCAGCACAACTTAGAAAACCCTCCAAATGTAATTGTGACAGAAGGCCAGAGATCACCATCAAGAATTCTAAGAACTGGCCAGGCGCAGTGGCTCACGCCTGTAATCCCAGCACTTTGTGAGGCCGAGGAAGGGGAATTGCTTGAGCCCAGGAGTTTGAGACCAGCCTGGGCAACATGGCGAAACCCTATCTCTACAAAAAGTACAAAAATTAGCCGAGCATGGTGGCACATGCCTATAGTCCCAGCTACCCGGGAGGCTAAGGTGGGAGGATCACCTAAGCCCAGAGAGATCGAGTCTGCAGTGAGCCATGATCGTGCCATTGCACTCCAGCCTGGGCGACAAGAGCAAGATGCTGTTTCAAAAAAAAAAAAAGAAAAGAATTATAAGAATAGGATACAATGGTAGCAAAACTACTGAAGTCTGAAGGTTTGACAGCAGATTCTAGAACGCTTTTCTTCTTTACTTGTATAAGAATAGCTGGAAACAATATACCCCTATTCATTATAGAAGAGATCACAGACCAGGAATGGGACATGTGCACACACTTACACTGGTTCTGGAAGCATACAGCACCTGATGAATCACTGCACAAAAAAGGAAACCAAGAAGGAACACCAGACACACTGAGCAAGGCTGACTTAAAGCTCTACATAACAGTCTCTCCTCTCAGCAGGTCACAGTTGTTACGGTCTACCCTAGCAATCATATAAATATTTTTTAAAAGAAAATATTTATCTCAAATCTGAAATTTTCTACTTGAAATGAGAATTAAAAAAAAGAAAAAAATTCATATATGATGTCACAGAAAGAGCCTGCCAAGACACCTTTAAATTTCCCTAGTTTTACCTCGTTTACAATACTGAAACTTAACTTTTTTGGACTAACTCTTTAGCTGTAGTTGTATTTAAGTTTAGATGTCAAACTTCTGAAGTTTTCTCCTCTATTAAAAAAAAAGATAGATACATTAATCTATTAAGCAACATTTTACAAAAACATCTACTCACTGGCATTTTTAAATAGTAATACCCATTTCCATTGGCTGCTTCTTAGTATTCTATTCTATTTAGTAAAGTCTATCCTGCTCTTTAGAAGCAGGGATAGTAAAATTCTTGTTTCACAAAAAATTAAATTTATATAACATAGTTATAAGAAAATATTTCCAATCTTTGTGTCATTTACCTGACATATCATTCAGCTCAAATTTAAAAGAAACAGTATCTGTGATAAATTCTCACCCCAAGCACACTACAGTTTCTATAAGATGCAGAAGTCCAGTGTCAGTGGATTCAAGCTCAAGACCAGACACAAGAGGCTCATTCAAGAATCATTAACAACCTCACAGGTATAAACAGGGCATTGTGCCAAGGGTGAGTGACAGAAAGATGCACAGTTCCTGCTCCCAAACTGAACATGTCACGGAAGTGTCAAACATGTGAACAACAAAATATGAATTCTTAAAAGTGCTATGGAAATTTGGAAAAGTAAAGCAGAGACCTGGAAATGAGTGGGACATACTATAGACACAGCAAGAAAAGACAGACTCCCCAAAATCTGACCAGCCTCAGAGAAAGGAGACTGGAAGAAAATTTTAGTCATAAGACCACAAACTACCAAAATCCTTTAAATACAGTAAATACAGAGAAACAATCATAAATGAAGACAAACATATGCAAATAAAGATGCTCACTGGAAGATTATTTAACAGAAAAGAATTAAAATCAAAACATCCAATAACAAGGGACTAGCCATAGGATACAACATTATTAAAATGTTGTTAATGAAAAAATTTAATGACATGAGAAAATAATACAAAGTTTCTAAAAAGCACATAATTATACCTACATTATCTGAAGGATGTTAATAGGTAAGTTTTTCAAAAGATAAAAACCATTAAAGTGTTAAAACTAGCTATTTCTCAGACGGAGGATTATGAGTGATTTGTTTCACTTTACATTGTCCTATTTTCCAAACATTATATAGTGTTACATTTCTAACTGGTAAAAAGGTTATGTAAGTCACTGTATTTTAGGGTATTCATAGCCCTTTAAAACTATTCATAGCCCTTTTCATCTCTTTCTATAGAGAATATCTCATCCATATATTACACAGAACCCACTCATTTAAATGGGTTAATATGTGTAAATTGCTTTGAACAGTACCAGCAGGTAGAAGGCAGCTACACAGGTGTTCATTTTATTCAATAATCATACATTCCCTTTAGTCAAAGTAACTAGTGTGTTTTGGAGCTAGTCTGTTTTTCATGGCATGTTAACAAAAGAACATTAGTTTTGTTTTTTTTTTCACCCTCTAAATTCTAACATCTCTTAAGAAATGACTGCTGTTTTCCCGAGATTCTACTTCCTTCAAAAAAAAAAAAAAAAAAAGCAAGAAGTAATTCAAATATCAAGTTCCTTAATAGGAAGACAGAAATTTAATGAGTGGAATGGAATTTGGCCTTATCCAGATGAAGAAACAGAAATCATACACCAGACTCTTATCAGGCAGTGGGCTATATGTAATTATTTGGAAAAAATGTCTTTATATGTCTTTATGAGCTTGGGGTATGGCGGGTCAGAATCTCAGGGGAAGACTCAAGAAACCAAATAAGGCAATCAATTGTTCTATATAATAAAGAAATGAGGAATCTGGATTTGCAAAGTAGAGGATGACTGGAGGGAGAAATTAAGGAAGGGGACTCTTGAGTTATCCATAGACTGTCTTCACTAAAGAAATGTTCCTTCATGTCCACATTGCTCACTTCTGCTTTTGTAAAAATGGATTATTTTACCCAAAGTAAAATTGAGTTGTGTATCTAAATTGCACAAGACTGTACAAAGACACAGGAGATGAATGACAGATGACATATCTGGGTTATCCACACATTTAAACTTATTTCATACATGTATTCATTTTCAGTTTTGACAAACTTATACATGCATAAAGTCTGTTTAGGAAAACAAATCCAAAAGGCTTTTTTTTTTTTTTTTTTTTAAATATTAGCAGTCCTCTTAGTTCCTCCCCACCCCCACCGTTTTTTCAAATATCAGCAGTCCTCTTAGTCCCCCATCCCATTTTCTACTCTGAAGCAACTAGGAAAAGTACCCTCAAATCCTTCATCTCCACAAATAATGCTTACAAAGCTACCGCTTGCTTTTTCAGTTACAGGCTTCATATATATCTTTCCCCCACCTGCCGAGATGGAGTCTCGCTCTGTTGTCCAGGCTGGAGTGCAGTGGCACGATCTCAGCTCACTACCTCCGCCTCCTGGGCTCAAACAATTCTCCTGCCTCAGCCTCTAGTAGTGGGGATTACAGGCCCATGCCACTACGCCCGGCTAATTTTTGTATTTTTAGTAAAGACGGGGTTTCACCATTTTGGCCAGGCTGGTCTCGAACTCCTGACCTCAAGTGATCCACTCATATCTTTTATCACCATTCTTCTTCCCATCCCCAGCACAAACACAAATGCTTCCTAAAGTACTTTTATCAAGAACATATAAAGAAATTACAACTCGATAATAGGAAGAGACTGTATGTTACTGGAACCAAAATGTCCATCAACAGGCGAACGGACAAATTGTGGTGTATCTATACAGTGAATCCTCATCAGCAATAACAAGAACTACTAATATACACAACATGGATGAAACTCAATTATGGTGAGTGAATGTCAGACCAAAAAAGAACACATACTGTATGATTCCATGTACATAAAATTCCAGAAAAGTCAAATTATTCTATAGCGACAGAAAGCAGATCGGGGCTGCCTGAGGAAAGGAGGAGCTGGGGTAGGGGAAGGGAAGGAAGATAAGGAGGCACAAAAAATTTAGGGGAATGATTACCTGACTGTGGTGGCGACTGTGGAAATATATACATGCCTCAGAACTCAAGTTTTTCACTTTAAGTGTAAAGTTTATTCTATGCCAATTATATCTTAGTAAGACTATAACAAATTTGTTTATGAGAAAAAAAGGACACAAACTAAATAGAAGTTCTGGATTCAATATGGGTTTCACAGTAGGGTGAGCTGACTGGGACATTTTCTTTGGAGACACAGACACAGCCAATGTCCGATTCTTGAGGTCTTTTACCTTGAGCTGGTCAGGTTAGATAAGACACTTCTATTCTGGCCAGAATTCTGAAAGCTGGGTGAGGGAAGAAGACTGGTGATCTTAACATAAATAGGTAAACACTCGGTTTTGAGTGTGGTACCCTGGTTTTCAACTGTATTCCCAGTGTGCATAGCCTTCTCCAGAAAGCAAGCTTCCAGCCTTCTGCAAGGATGAAGGAAAAGAGATCACAGAGTACAGACAGAGGGAAAGATATCTGGGTATCAAATTCCTAAAATTTCAACCAGTTCTCCCGTTTTGCCCCCCTGTCCCCTCTTCACCATGGGTCCCATGTTTTCCCAGCTTTGAGCTCTCAGGGAATTCTATAAACTGACTTGTTTCTGGGCTTTTCTATTACTTAGAGATCAGCTTTTTAAGTCTACTAAGTCAACGCCTTCTAAAATTTTGGTGTGGGTTTCTCTTCTCCCTTGTGGATTTATGGCTTTTTTAAAAAAGAATTCCCTTATTCTCATTTTAGTATATGTTTGGCAAGAGGCAGAGTTAAATGCTAGTAATATGCCACTTGTTTAACTGAAATCTTAGATAATTTAGCTTTTCAATAAATGTATTTATCTTCATAAATCAAACACGGTGTATCACAGACGAAACGTCAAAATGATGACAAAGTAGTTAAAAGACAAAATTGGAAGGCAAACCTAACAGAATAAAGAAATAAATGGTTGAAAGTTTGGGGGGAGCGGGTAACCTGTTTTTGCTATACAAATTTTGTTAAAAGCCAAATTTTCAAGAGAGAAAAATCAAAACCCCCTGACTTTGTACTTTTTGAGGAGTTAAAGAAACCAAGTGATTTATCCAAGACAAGTGGGCTTTTTAGTGGTGAAGATAAATTTCACATTTAAATCTGGTGAGTCCTTAACATATCATGGAGTAAAAACCAAAACCAAAGGAGACACAGGCTCTGAGAAAGGTGGGTATTTCTAGCAAAAGAAATGCTGTCAGCAGGAGGGCCGGAGGTGATCAAGTTCCAGCATTAAATTATGTACATAAAAACAGTAGTGCTTAAGCTCAAAGGCAGGGTCATCTATTTTTTGAGACAGAGACGGTCTCCCTCTGTCGCCCAGGCTGTAGTGCTGTGGCACAATCTCAGTTCACTGCAACCTCTACCTCCTAGAATCAAGCGATCCTCCTACCTCAGCCTCCCAAGTAGCTAGGACTACAGGTACACGACACCATGCCTGGCTAAATTTTTTTTTTTTTTTTTTTTTAGTAGAGATGAGGTTTTGTCATGTTGCCCAGGCTGGTCTCAGACTCCTGTGGTCAAGCAATCCTCCTGCTTCAGTCTCCCAAAGGGCTGGGATTACAGGCAGGAGCCACTGCGCTCGGCCAAAGACAGGGTAACATAAACTTTACCCTAAATCCACTGTGCATGCAGAAAGGGGTTGACTGACGAATCCTTGTTTTTCTGAGACTCGACATGCAGACAGTTTGATGCTAGAGGAGCTCCCTTTCCTAGGCTTTGTCATATTTCTTTCCCATTCACTGACTGACCTTCCTTGTTTTCAGCCCTCTATTTGCACTGGTACCCTTTAACTCAGTAGTTCTCCGCTATGGTATTAGTTGTCAGGAGTGTCCACACTTAAGTACCTTAAGTTCATGAGTCATTTTTTAAGCAAACAAAAAAGAGTAGTTATAGCACTTACTTTCTTTTGAGCATGAATAGAGAAGAAAAGGACAGAAGTATAGCAAAGAAATTAAAAATCTCTTAGTATTAGAGGTACTAAAAAAATCTAGATATTAGCAAGGGAGAATGGAGTATATGTCAGTATCATCCATGAGTGTCCCAGTAGAAAAACAACTTACTAATCTAACCAATTTCACTTTTGCTGATTCCATTCATCTCTACCTTCAGATTTCTTTTTATTTTCTTCACTACCAAAACCACTCCTGTGCTACTCTTTGACCAACAATTTTATTATGATTATTATTGCAACGTCAATTAAAGCAGGAGCAAGTCTTAGAACTCCTTCCACAATACCTTACCAACAATTAGACCTATAAAATTTAAAAGGTTGGGAGAATACTCAATAGCAGTGCACCTGTAAGGTCTCAGCTGTGCTAATCATAGGAAAATGAATAATTTCTGGAGAACAACTCTTATTTTTTCAAGCATTTTTAAATATAACAGCTTACATACTAAAGCTATATAAATCTTTAGTTACTTAAATGTCTAAAATTACTACTCTATGTATCACTCAGACATTCAATAGAAATGATAAAGTCAAATACAGGCTTTCCTTCTTGACTTCTTGGCAGCTGGAAGAATAATCCATTGCTATACTCTAATACAGACCATATACCTACTCTTCTTCCTGATGCCTAGTGATTCTGTAGCAGGTCATGATCTAACAGTTTGCTCTCAGTTCATGGAACGGCAGCAATGATATGATGCTCAGTCTTTGGTCTGTCTAAATGTGCCCATTCTTCAAAACTCAGCATTACTCCACCCTTTCCCATCATCTCTCTTTGATTTTCTGGTCTGAAGTCCTCCGGGTTGTACACTTCCCATTTATTATCCCTTTGTCTTAGTAATTCATTTGGAGATAACATAAAAGAACTGAGATAAGATATAGGGTTCTATATCACGATATATAGAACTTTATCCAGCAAATGTTCAGGTACTATTTTTTTTGGCATATTGGTTTAGGATTTAGACATTGTGTAGCTTCTGTTAAAGTAAAGCAGAGAAGGTTAAGGAAATTTTTCTGGGAGATTTTTAAAACCTTTTTACCTTTGGAATTTTAACCTTACTCAGATGGGTTCATAAGGCAATGTTTTATTTCTGGAAGATAGCTACATACATTTCACAGAATGTTACTAGGACAGTAGAATTTAGCTTCTCTACAGGCAGGACTTTTCCACTTCTGAATTTCAATGTGGCAGTTAATTTGGTTTTTTTGTTTGGTAAACAGGTTCTTTGCTGTGTCACCCAGGCAGCCTCGAACTCCTGGCCTCAAGCGAACCTCCTGCCTCAGCCTCCCAAAGTGCTAGGACTTATAGGCATCAAGCACAGCATCTGGCCCCTAAGGGTCCTATCAGGTGAGAGGAAAAACACATACACATTCACAACAAAAGGATGAGGGACCACCAGACTCTAAGACCGTCACACAGTGGACAGTCAGCAATACTACAGTATGCAACACAGCTCTCAACTCCAGGAAACACAATTCATTTTGTGTTGTATGTGAACAGCATCCCCTGGAGTTGTGCAAAGCAGTGATCCTGGTACACAAAGTTAACAAGGTGAGATGTTCCACTAAAGGGAGTTTTGTGAAATGAGAGGACAAAACACTAGCCACATTTAGATTCAGCCCTTATTAGCACCTTGAAGTACCAGAGAAGTTCCAAACTGCATAAACCAGCATATCCTGGAGTTTGGTTGTGCCTCTTTCCCCCAGGAAATCCCTATTAATATTTTTTGGAACCAGCATTCTAAAACACAATTTAGAAAACACTGAGCTACTTTATAAAAGGCCTTCAGAGTCAAGTTGTATTTTGATAAAGAGAAAAATAAAAAAAAGATGAAAGTTTTAGTGAAGAAACTGTGGTTTAAAATAGGTTATTGAAAAACAAAAGAAAATTCTGGCACAAATATGAAAGGTAGATTAAAGCAGCAGATCTGAGAGTTTTGAGAGTACAAGATTATTATTTAAAATCCTCCTGAGAGAGAACTCACTCACAGGGTTAATACAATGAATAATAGATCCACATTGTTAATAAAAAAGTATTTAAAAAGCATCTTTCAAGTTAAACAGTCAAATCTTCTTTAAGACCTATTTTTTTCAGAAAACATAAATTTGACTCCTAAATTTATCAGGTCTGTACAGTAGTCATGCCAGTTTACAGTTAGGCAGTGTAATCTCAGATTTCACAGTGTAAGCAAGCATTGGTCCATTCAACACTACCTTTATTTGTTCCCTCAGAGGCCCAGGTGACAGTAGTATTACTACAAAAGCAGGTATCCCATATTTTAAGAAACCATATTGTTGGAAGTCACTGTACTTAGAAATACCAAATATTCTTATAACTAAAAACACCACATACGATTTGGAATAGCTGACACTGTCCTAGGAAAAATTTAATAGAAAATAGCTTTTAAAAATATGGCAAAAAAAAATGTGCCCACAGTTTATTTGGACCTCTCTGCCAAAAATATTTATTAATTTAGATTACCATAAGCTTTAGTAAATTACAAGCTATGATTCCTAAATAAACCTTAAGGTGTAGCCAACAAGACTAAGTTTTGGAACAAACAAAAACAGGTTCCCAACAGTCTTGAGATGAACCTGCTTTGAAATTAATTTTATTATAAAATATATTTTAAATGCAGATACAGGCTATTTGCTATACTGTTATAAATGAAGCAAAAAACAACTGCATTTCAAAACTGGTCTTAAAGAGGAAAATTATTAAAGGCAGGTAATTCACGTGGATATGGTATTAGATAAAATAGTTCCAAAAGTCAGAGTAGATTGGTGAACTACACAAACGGTTATTTAACATTTAAGTGAGACAGCAGTAACTTCTGTTTTAATGCATAAAATAGTAAATTATCAATTAGTATGCTATCACTAATATTCTTGGAAGATCTACTTGCTGTTTTTGAAAGAGCAACTGCTTGTTAACTAAAATTAAAGAGAGCTATCTATCCACTAACTTATGTCCTTTTAGTCTGAAGGAATATCCGATCTTTTCTTCTAACAAAGAGCTAGACTAAAGGATAAACACACACTACTGTAAGGATACAGCATGCATTATTTTTATGAATATAAACTCTGGTGTCTAAGTCATTTGAAAATGGCAGACATTAAGACATGAAAATAAAAGAACATTCTCTAATAGTTTACAGTGCTTAATAAGTAACTTAAGTAACCACAGATGGATCTTCTGAAAGACTGGGCATACATAGATAACAGAAATATTTTCAATTTATCAGTTCTAGGATTGTCACAAAAACCATCGACATCAACAAATCAAACTTTGCTACTGATTTAGGTATCTCTACCATGTAACTTTAACTTAGTTATAAATGCAATGTCAATGTTTCTCAAAATGCAGACTACTGTAGCATTTGGCCCCACCTCAAATCTGCTGAATCAAAATTCCAGGGGCAATGCCAAGGAATCTGCACTTTCAGTAACTCCCCCAGGTGATTCTTCATGCACATTAATGCTGGAGAACCACACCTTTCTTGTGAGATTTATAACCAGGTTTTGGATTTCAGGAACTAAAACCTCCTCATTTGGAACCTTTTAAACTAAATTTCATTACAGAACAAATGAATATTTCAAAGAGATTTAGGTAATAAACATGTTATAGTATAAAAACAAGTGCATAAAAAGTTACAGCAGAAATTTAAAGAAGAAACTTTTAGTACAGCACATTTTATTTTTATTCAAGATTTAAGACACCCCTAGGCCAACAGTTCTTTGAAATCAAAATTCCTAACTTAAAAAAATCCACAATATTAAAAATATAGTATTTCAGATACGTTCACATTCACTCAGCTGTTAAGTAAATCAAAACACAAACTGTTTGTATTACACCAAATATAAGTAATGATTAAATTTATAAAGCTCAACCCAAACAAACCCATTCATATTTCTCTATTAAATTTACTCTGATCAAAACTGATTTTCCATACATAACTTTCATAAACTTACATAAACGTGTATAATGAGAAGAGCAATGAGCAAAATCTAGAAGCCACCTAAAGTCCAGTTTGGGCTAAAAAAGCTGCTAGCTATATGACCTTAGGGCCTAGACAAATCACTTTGCCTACCAGAAAAAAAACAAAAAACAAAAAACAAAAAAAAGTACAATTGTCTGCCTTACTCACCACACAGGATTATTGTGAGAATCAAATGAGGTCATATGTAAATACATTCTGAAAACTGTAAAGTAGTTAATAATAATACCTGTGATTTCTGAAGACAGCAAAATTTGAGAGACACTATCTTTGGGCACCTGCTGTAAAATACACAAACTACCACCAGAAAAATTAAAATGTATATGCCACTAAAGAATCAACGAAGAACATAAAAACTGACCATTCAGATTTAATTAGATATTGGACACTATTGAGTATACCGTATTCTGAAAAATACAAATACAAAAATTCGATTCGATTACCTGTCCTATGTCCCCATTTATAACAGAACCATTTCTTGTGTTAAGATATAAATGAAATGTGATGGACCACGAGAGTTGGTAATTGTCAAAACTGGCCAGTAAGTATATCATTCTCTCTACTTTCCTATGTTTGATAATTTCTATAATAAAAAATTTTAACAAGACAACAATATATGTGGTATGTATAGATAACATTTCTAAAAGCTAAAAAGTGAATTTTTTAAAGTTATTTATCTTTATGAAAATTATTCCCATAACCATTGTATGTTATTTTCCTGGCAATGTCACCTCAGATTCCACCTAGTCCCAAATAAGCTACTATTAGTACCTTTATTACATATCATGACAGCTACTAGAAAATAATTATTCCCTTCCATCTGGTCAATACTCTTGCCCGAGATGCAAAAACCTAAATGTTTGTTTCTGCTTTCTGATCCTCAGTCCTTTTATTGTTTTTTGCTCATCCATTACAAAATTCCAGAATAAAAAAGTGAAAACATCAATTTTACTGTATTCATGTGTAAAATGTAAGGGAAAAAAACCAAATATTATTTTGTTCAATATTACAGAAGACCAATAGTTATAAGTGGCCGTTCCTTTTAAAACTCATTTCCCATGGTAAGAGACTGTTGCATCTGAAATGAAGTTAACATGTCTGTCAGTCAAAGGAAATTAGTAAATCTTACTCTGAAATCAAGGAATCTATGAAAGTATATATAACAACATATAATTACTCTACATGCAACAATCTAATAGCTCAAATAATGTCCTTTATCCCGGGGCCATATTCCATAGTTCGACAGAGAACACATAGCAGTAAGGGGATAAAACACCTTTCATCTCAGAGTTTTTGGCTAATTTTAGTTTAATAAAGACTTATCTACAGCTCAATAGCCAATGCTTTACATTGTCTATAGAGAAATTGCAAGTGTTGAATGAAACCTTAAATGCAGATAGAAGGGCAGTAATATTTTGCGGTTTGTAAGTAAGACTATATGTAATAATATCCACATCTTAATTCATTACTTGGGAGCTAAATCCCTTTTCTCATGTTACATCAAAAAAGGAGGCTGTGCCTAAAGAGACAGTGTTCCTTATACTTATGATTTGGGAAGGAAGGGAAGGGAAAGAAATCTCAACTGTCACTACAGTAACTCTTTTCTAAGTATTAAAATCTCCATTTATTTTTACATGAGATGCACCTGAGAGGAGCCATGTATACAAACCACTTTTTCTAACATGGTCTTTATTAAACTTTGAATATAAGTACACCTGCTCGAAGTGTTCATCTATATTATTTAAGAACAAGCAACTGTAAAACAGTAAAATCACAAAAGGTAAGTTGTTGGAAGACAACAAAAAAGAATTACTATATCTGATCCTGCGTGTTTATTTTAGAATCTGTTAATAGGCCTACAGCTAAAAAAAAAAAAAAAATTGTAAAGCCACTGTCATACTGGTAGGTACCTTTATTTGGTGGCAATGGCTAGTTCAAACCACCTATTAAAAGCAGCTATTACTTTCCTTCTTTTACCAAGAATATCCAGACCATCAATATTATTATAAACACAAATCAAAACTAGTTTCTCATCTCATCTCAGAATGCTAAAATCCCAAGCTTCAATAAAAAAAAGATTTCCCATACAATTGCAGAAATTTCTCTCAAAAGAGAAATGAGAGAATACAGAAAAATGAAGACAATTCCCCCTTACACGTCAAAATGGGGATGCCAATAATGACAGCTGCGATAAAAATCAAGAAGGCGTACCCCGAATTTTCACCATTTTAATAAAAGAAAATCACGAAATTTTAAATTAAAGGTGGCGCTCTGTCCTCAACTCACCCGAATGTGACTCACTTTTGCAGACTATATGGTAGGAAATTAACAGTTACTTTTCAAAGATCTTTGCAGTTACACCCAAGCCAAAATCAGGACAGAGATCCACCCTTAATTACAGCAATTTAGCTGTCTTATCTAAAGCAAGGTAAAAACTAAAACGTCCTCCTGAAATCATAGCTAAATAAGCCCATTTCATATACTAGCTATCAAAGGTTCCCAATTAAAAAAAAAATGTTTCTATTTACTTCAAATTTGAACTCACCAGGAGGATAAAGAAAAAGAGAGGGGAGGAGGAGGACCCAAATGAAACGCACAAGTACAAAAAGCAGATTCTCCTCCAATCCCTCTTAATTCCCCCAATCCACCCCTGCCACACACAAGGACAGGGAGTCTCGGGAAGGCTGGCATCGGGGCAAGTGGTGAAGGCCCTCCATTCACTCACGTGGGCCACCATCCAAAGGGTTACACACCCTCTGCCAGATGAGAGCCTCATACAAACCAGGCCCTTACAAGTACTTCTTATTATAAAATACACCCACGCTGAACAAAAGCCTTATTTTAAAATAAGACTGTCCTCAGGTGGGGGAGGTTAAACACAACAAAGGCTTCCATGTTGACAGGCAGACAAGTTCAGATATATGCATATACCTACACACGTATGAAAAAAATCTATGTAGCTAATTTATCACGAACAGCAATCGATACCAACAGAAGCCATTAGATTATTAATAAACCAAGAAAAGTAGCGGGCACAGAAGCGAAAGGTGGCTGTCTGCAGCGCTCTAACCCAAAGAAAAGGTAAATATCAGCCTGTCGAGGAGGGTCGAGCCCTCCAAGTACCTGCAGACCCCTTTAACCCACCCGGACGCCCTGCCCTCCCCTCCGAGCCAAGCAGCGCACAGGGTGCGAGCACTCCCAGCGCTGCGAGTCCCGCAGAAAACTGGTGAATGAAATGCGCACAGAGACCAACCTGGCTGGTGACCGCGGCGCAGAACCAGGGGTCGCTAACCAGCTTAGCCACAGGATTCTCCCGCAGGATGGGATAAAGAGAGCACAGCCCCCACCCCACACCCCTGCCACTGGAACGCGGTCCTCCTACAGACTCCTTCCTCAAAAAGGGAGGTGGGGGCGCAGGCTTTTTTCTCTTAAACTAAGTGAATAAACACGAATCGGAAACAACTGTGAACATCCTGGGGGGCCAGACGGAAGGCGTGAGGAGAAAGACCAGGCGGCTCTCCAACTCCCGAGGAATCACCGTCCTGACACGCCAACAATCAACCACCAGGGCCAGGGGCCGACCAGGGGCCCCCGCTCCCCTCCCGCAGTGCGTCTGGGGGGCCGAGGCCAAGGATTAGAGGGGTGACCCTCCCGGGGCGCGGGGAGAGGGAGTGCCGGGCACGGTGCCCTCAAGGTCACCACGCGCCGTGGCGGGGGCGACCGGTGGCGGGATGGGCTGTGGCGCGGCCGAGGCGGCTTCGTGAAGCCGAAGACCTGCGGGTGTAGACCAGAAGCCCCAACAAGCCCCATCCCTCGGGCCCGGAGCAGCGACTCCCAGACTGACCCGGCGCTGAGGTGCACGGCGAGAAGCCCGCTCACCTTCACAATCTCCCGGCAAGAGGCAACCTGCGAGGGGCCCCGACCGCCCCCGTCAGCTTCTCCCGAATCCGGCGCAACCCGCTGCGCACCCAGCTATCAGGATCCCCGCCGCGACGCCCGACCTCCGTGCTCCGCCTGGCCTCCCCCGCAGGTGACCTGCCCCGCCGCCCCCGGCCGCGGGCGGGCGGCGGCCGCCACTCACCTCGCCCGGCAGTGGGAACCATTTTCCGAGGGGGAAGGAAAGGCAGGCTGCGGGAGGGTCGCGGGGCGTTAAGGGGCAGCGGGAAACGCAGAGGATGGGGGCTCCGTCCTCAGCGCGTCCGCAGCCGGCTCGCAGGGCTCGGGGCGCCACGCGGAGGTGCAGCTGCACCTCGGGGATGGGGCGGCCAAGGAGCCGAGAGGCTCGGCGTCCACCAGCCGGGGCTCCCTACTCACGCTGCACTGCGAGGAGGCGGCGGCGGCAGCGAAGGAGGAGGAGGCGGCGCCCGGCCGTCCCCGCCCAGAGCCCGGCAGCCACCGAGTGGCCGCCCGCGTCCCCGCAGGACCCGCCTCCTCGGCTCCGCAGAGCGGCACACAGGGCGCGCCGCGCTCGCTCGGCACGGGCAGCTCAGCCGGCCTCACGCCGCCGTCCGCAACAGCAGCCGCGGGCGGGGTGCAGCCACCTCCGTGAGCGCCGCAGCCCGCCCCACTCGGGGCGGGGCCCGCGGGCACCGGAGAGCGGACGGCCGAGCACGAGGGGGCTGCGCGCAGCTCCGGGCAGGGACCCCGTCTGCACCGGGTGGCCTGCAAGATTGCCGGGGTAGGCAGGGGGAGGAGAACGCTCACCCGTTCCGGTCTGGCGCTCCCTTTTCTCCACACCCACACGCCTCCCGCTCCACGCTGGCGGCGCAGCTGCTCCCGCTGCCACAGCCGCCACCGCCGCCGAAGCTCGCGCCGCCGCCGCTGCCGCCTTGGCTGAGCGCGGTCACGTGACGCGATCCGCGGGGAGCCTGGGGGCGGGCGAGTGCGCGCGCGCGCGCGCGGAGGAACCGCGGCTCGGACCGGGACTGGGAGCTGAGCGGCACTGGGAGGGCGTTTAAGGGGAGGACCCGGCGAGCGCGCCCTCGGCTGGCGAGCGCGCGCCTGGCGATTAGAACTTGCCGCGCGGTCGGGAAAGGGTGGCCGGAGTGAGGGGCGGAGGTGGGGACTTGCGCCTCCGCACGCCCCTCCCTTTCTTCCTTCCCCTGAGCGCCTTGGCTTGCCGCTGCCCCCGCCCCCTCCAGCGCGCCCCTTCCCTCCTGCCGCAGCCTGCGATTGGCTGAGAGGCTCTGACGTCCGTGTTTCCATGACGTGTTGGTGCAGGAGGGAGCGGCGGGGGAGGAGGGGGTGGCCAGGCGCGCGGGGAGGTGACTCCGTCAGTCACAGCTGCTGTTTCGGCGCGGGGCCGGGCCGCTGCCGCGACGTGTGGAGGCAGGAGAGCGATGATTGCCGCAGGAGAAGTGCGGGCGCCCTTCACCTGGGGCCCCTCCCGAACCGCCCCCGGGCCCATGCCCCTCCAGGGCCCAGGAGCGAGCCAGCGGGAGGGCGAGGGCGAGCGCTCCTGGCGAGGACAGATTAAGGCGAACCCCCAGTCAGCGGACATTTGAGCGGCTCCTCGCCGCGTCTCTGCCCCCACTCCAAACCGGACTCGACGCCTGTCCCGGGCCGTGACGCACGCACCGGAGGAAAAAGTGCTTCTCGGCTCGCTCCCTCTTTGGGGAAGAGAGCTCACTCCCCATGCGGGCGCGGGACACTCCATCTCTGTTCCTGCCGGTCGGGTCCGCAAACACCGGGGATCCCAGCTGCGGCGCCCAAAGGGTTAACGCAGGCGTTCGGCCAGTGCAAACCGGCCTCGCAGGATCCGCGCTTAAAATCCGGGTGTTTTCATTTTGGGTTTGTTTCTTCTACTATGCCAAGCTGGTGGCTCTCTTTTAATTCTCTTGTAACATCTCAACCCTGCACCCATCTTTCCTGAGGGGAAAAGGAAACGGGATAACTTGCGGTATTTCGATGCTCAAAGGTAACCGGCGGCTCTGCTCCAACCTTCAAGAGATTTTGCAAGTTGAAAAAAAAAAAAAAACCATCCTTCGTAACATCTACTTAAAAAAAAAAAAGCAAGTTTTCCTTCTTGTACACGCATATACACAGTAAAGATGTGTATCTTACCTAAGATACCGCGCTTCATCTTCATCTAATCTTTATTTGAACTCACCGTCGCCACTGGCCCAGAGACCTTGTCAGTGTTATTTTCAGTATCAGTTAATCAGAACAAAAAGATAAGTTCTGCAATCTTCTTTCTCTTAATTCCAGAACTGGAAAATTAATATTTATATAGCCTCCTCAAAAGCATACAGGCAATAGGAAGTATGGTATTATGTTCACGATCTGATGATAGCATTTGTTTTAAAATATTTTAAAAGATTAGACACAAAATGTGTAAAAGACGTTTAAAAGTGAATAAATATAAATCAATGCTGTTGCAAATAATTTTTTTATCAGTTTATGTATCTCACTAGGCTTGACATTACCAGCCTTCTGAGCTGTGCCCTTGATGTGTAAGATAAACGAACATTGAACAGAATGATAGCATTTTTCCTCTCTTCAGTCACTGATGGAGAATTGGTTAATGTGGTACAATAAATAGCCCTTCCTGACACTATTTCAAATCTTTTTAACAGAAGAATAACCTAAATTTCACCTAATAAATTTCAATATTATTTCCCCCTAAAATATCTTTCAAAACGACTCAGAGACATTTAAGAATCACTGGCTTTTTTCCAACTTTTCCTCCAAGGAAGTTACAATACAATGTTGAATTATGTATTCTACTTTAATCAAGAATTTGACATTAAAGTAATATGTGAATCATTGCTATAGTACACTAGCAAAATGGGTAATAAACTAGAATCTGTTCACTTTGTGGGTTTGTTCCAGTTCCAGATTATAAAATGAATGCTCTTAAAGTGTTGTGGTCATGAAACAATTATTGAGCATCTTTATTTAAGAACACGATTCAATTAAGTTTTCATTTATATCGATAAATCTATAAATGAAACATACGGAATATATATATTCATGTATATCCATAAATGAAAACGTGTGTGTGTGTGTATCCCGGAACATATTTGTATGCATTTTAATGAAATGTGAGTCATATGCAATGACAAACTTTTACTGTCATAGTCAAGAAAATTGTACTGTAGTTTGGTTTTTATATTTTTATTCTTCAAATAGGAAATAAAGGGTGAAAGCAATATAGAAATAACTGTTCACATTACATTAAGAAATTCAATTTTTTTCTCCCACAGGCTTAGTACTAAAGCATCCCTCACACATATTTTTCAATGTAAAAATCAAGAAAATATTGCATTGCTTACTGTTTCCTTGAAAAAAAATTGAACTATCTGAAATCAAAGATGCCACTGTATGTAACAGTATTCTCTTAATCTTAGACCTAACTTATCCCATGTGTTTAACTGATCTAGAGATGTATCTTTGCATAAGGAACAATATAATAATACAATTTACTGGGGAAATAATATTTTAAAGTTCTTTTAATATGCATTTTAGCTACAATGCAAAACTTATAAAAGTATTTAAATCCAGTCAGGTGCGGTGGCTCACGTCTGTAATCCCAGCACTTCGGGAGACTGAGGCGGGCAGATCACGAGGTCCGGAGATTGAGACCATCCTGGCCAACATGGTGAAACCCCGTCTCTACTAAAAATACAAAAATTAGCTGGGCGTGGTGGCTCATGCCTGTAATCCCAGCTACTCAGGAGGCTGAGGCAGGAGAATCGCTTGAACCAGGGAGTCCAAGGTTGCAGGGAGCCGAGATCGCACCACTGCACTCCAGCCTGGCGACAGAGTGAGTCTCAGTCTCAAAAACAAAACGAAACAAAACAAAACAAAAAAGTATTTAAACCCCATGACAAGTTACCATATGAGATGTTAACATTGAAGAGTGGCTGCAGATTCAAAATAATATATTTGGTATTTTTAAGGTATGCTCTTTTTCATAGAGTAAATCTAAACAACTGAGATATTTGCTGAAAAGTTGATCGATTCAAGAGATATAACACATGAAGACAGTTTTCTAAAATCCTCAATGTAATTAAGTGTAAAGAGAAACAAAGAACTTTATTCTGTCACATGCATCTAGCAATAGGACAAAATAAAGACATATCAACTGCAGTGTATTTTAAAAAACATATTCTTTCCCCGTAAACACATTTTACATATGTGAATGCATCAGTCCTGATCATTACAGAATCCTAAAGAGGACTGATAAGTACAGGGAGGCAGAGAAGGAGGATATTAAATTCTTAATTTAAAATAGCTGTATATGTTCTCAAATTTCTATTAACCTGAATCACCAGAGAGAAGTGTCAAGAGAAAGATTACTTAGCTGAAACCCACAGAGAACTGTTATCTATTAGTAACAAATTACATTTGCTGAATTAAATGGAGTATAATTATATGTAAGCCTAAAATAAGAATTTTCAAGTCACATAATGGAAAATTTTTATAGGTGAAAAATGCAAAATCGT
This sequence comes from Homo sapiens, assembly GCF_000001405.40. Classification (NCBI taxonomy): domain Eukaryota; kingdom Metazoa; phylum Chordata; class Mammalia; order Primates; family Hominidae; genus Homo; species Homo sapiens. The sequence continues at coordinate 89,712,962 of NC_000012.12, forward strand.
TAGATGTCATTTGACAGGAATTATTAGTGCCTACATACAATGTGCTCTTCTAGGTATAACACATTTTTTTTAACCCCAAATGTTCTAACCCACATAATATGGTCCTAAATCTAAATTCCAGAGAAGCGAAAAAGACGTAGCTCATACCTAAATGTTGAGGAAGTTTTTCTAAGGAGGATTTGGACTTGATTTGTGCTGAAAGAGATATAGGATTTAAATTAATGGAAAAGATCCGCAGTAGTAATGCCAGGAAACGTACCTGGGAACTAATAAGTTTACCACATTTATTTTTCTATCCTTTAATATTCAAGAAACGTGTTCACTACCTTTGATATCCCTCACTTCCCGAAGTGGAACTCGTAATTTTCTCACTAATAATGGTGAGTTATGATGTTTCATAATCATCAATAATGGTGAGTTATGACACAGGGTGATGAGGTTTGGGTGAGATATGTATATAAAGTTCTTAACATAGTGCTTGATGTATAGTATATGTTCAATAAATGTCATAATTATCATTCATAAACATTCTCTATTACCAAGAAGATATACCAACAGCAGCAAATGTTACTCATTTTTACTTGTTTGATGTATTAAGCCATTCTTGTGTTGCTATAAGGAAGTTTCTGAGGCTGGATAATTTAAAAAGAAAAGAGATTTAATTGGCTGACAGTTCTGCAGCGTGTACAAGCATGGCACTGGAATATGCTCAGCTTCTGGGGAGGCCTCAGGGAGCTTTTACTCATGGTGGAAGGTGAAGCAGGAGCAAGCACATCACATGGCCAGAGCAGGAGGAAGGAGAGAGGTGCTACACACCTTTAAACAACCAGATCTCTTGAGTACACACTATTGGGAGGACAGCACCAACCTATGAGGGACCTGCCCCTATGATCCAATCACGTTCCACAGGCCCCACCCCCAACACTGGAGATTACAATTCAACATGAGATTTTGAGGGGACAGTATTCAAACTATATCATTCCACCCTGACCCTTCAAATCTCATGGTCTTCTGGCACTGCAAAATATATTCATCTGTTGCCAATAGTCCACCAAAGTCTTAACTCATTCCAGCATGAACTCAATTAAAAGTCCCAAGTCCAAAAGCTCATCTGGAGATGAGTTCCTTCCACCTATAAGCCTGTAAAATCAAAGGAAGTTATTTTCTTTCAAGATACAGTGGGGCTATAGGCATTGGGTAAACACTCCCATTTGTAAAGGGAGAAACCAGCCGTAAGAATGGGGCTACAGGACCCACACAATGAAATCTAACAGGGCAGTCATTAAATCTTAAAGCTTCAAAACAATTCCTTTGATTCCATGTCCTGCATTTAGGGCATACTGGCACAAGGGTTGGGCTCTCAAAGCACTGGGCAACTCCACCCCTGTGGCTTTGCAGGATTCAGCCACCATGGCTGTTCTCACGAGTTGGAATTGAGTGCTTGTGACTTTTCCAGGTGCAGGGTGCAAGCTGACAGTGGATCTACCATTCTGGGGTCTGGAGGATGATGGCCACCTTCCCATAGCTATACTAGGTAGTTCCCCAGTGGGTATTCTGTGTAGGGAGTCAGATCCCACATTTCCCCTTGGCACTGCCCTAGTAGAAGTTCTCTTTGAGGGCTCTGCCCCTGTGTCAGGCTTCTTCCTGGGCATGCAAGCTTTCTCATACATCCTCTAAAATCTAGGTGGAGGCTGCCAAGCCTCCTTCACTCTTTCACTCTGTGTACCAACAGGCTTAACACCACATGGAAGCTGCTAAGCCTTATGGTGGAAGGCTTACACCCTTTGAAGCAGTGGTCTGAGCTCTATCTGGGTCCCTTTGAGCCAAGGCTGGAGCTGGAGCAACCAGGATGCAGGGAGCAGTGTTCCAAGGCTGCACAACGCAGCAAAGTCCTGGATCTCGCCCATAAAACCATTCTTTCTTCCTAGACCTCTGGGCCTGTGATGGGAGGGGTTCCCTCGAAGATCTTTGAAATGCCTTTGAGGCCTTTTTCCAGTTGTCTTGGCTATTAGCACTTGGCTCCCTTTTAGTCATGCTAATAACTCTAGCAAGTGGTTGCTCCCCAGCCTCCTTGAATTCCTCTCCTGATAATGCTTTTTCTTTGCCACATAGCTAGGCTGCAAATTTTCTAAACTTTTATGCTCTGCTTCCCCTTTCAATATAACTTCCAACTTTAAGTCATTTATTTGCTCTTACACCCAAGGATAGGCTGTTAGAAGCAACCAAGTAATTTCTTGAATGCTTTGCTGCTTAGAAATTTCTTCCACCAAATACCCTAAGTCATTACTTTTTAGTTCAAACTTCCACATACTAGGACATGAACAGAATTCAGCCAAGTTCTTTGCTAAGGCATAATATGGATGACCTTTGCTCCATTTCCCGATAAATTCTCATTTGCATCTGAGACCTAGTCAGCCTGCACTTCACTGTTCATATCACTGTCAGAATCATAACCATTTAACCAGTCTCTAAGAAGTTCCAAACTTTCCCTCATCTTCCTATCTTCTTCTGAGCTCTCCAAACTCTTCCAACCTCTGCCTATTACACTATTCCAAAGCTGCTTCCACATTTTCAGGTATCTCTATAACAATGCCCTACTTCTCAGTACCAATTTTCTGTGTTAGCTTGTTCTTGCTTTGCTTTGAAGGCATACCAAAGACTGGGTAATTTATAAAGAAAAGAGGTTTAATTGGCTCACAAGTCTGCAGGCTGTACAGGAAGTATAGCACCAGTATCTGCTCAGCTTCTGGGGAGGCCTCAGGGAGCTTTTATTCATGGCAGAAGGTGAGGCAGGAGCAGATATGTCATATGACAAGAGCAGGAGTGAGAAGCAGAGGAGGTGTCACACACATTTAAACAACCAGATCTCATGAGTATTTACTACTGCAAGGACAGCACCAAGCCATGAAGATCTGCCCCCATGACCCAATTACTTCCCACCAGGCTGCAACTCCAATGTCAGGAATTACAATTCAACATGAGACTTGGAGGGGACAACATGCAAACTGTGTCATTTGGTCAAGTACACTATTATCTTAAAATTATTATTATTTTTTGCATACTGTGAGACAGACATTATTTGTGATACTTTTAAAGTGCACCAAATTTAGTCACTAATCATCACTTAATTTGACTAAATAAAGTCTAAGCCTCTTCCTAGCAAATAAAATCTTAATCTGAATCAGTAAGACATGCTTTTGGCTACAAGTAACCAAGAGCTAAACTAGTAGTGGCTTTAATGAATAGCAGTTTATTATTCTTAAAATTATGGTATGGTTGATTCAGCTGTTAAACATAGCCATCGAAGATCCAGGCTCAACCATCCCTATTATATGATATCAATAAGAATATCAGCAGGATTTTCTCACATTTGTGGTTTTCTAATGCTTATACTTTTATATAATTTTTCATTGTTGCCCATTTTTCTTCAAAACTCCACTTTTAAGGGTACACAAAAGAATCACCTTTATGAGTTTACTGATGCAGATTCCTGGGTCCCACTCCCAGAGCTTCTGATGGAGTCTGGACTAGAGCCAGCAGATCTGCATTTTTGACAGTCCCTTTAGCTGATTCTGATGCACCACATTGTCTGTATCCCTCCTCTGTTATAAGGTAGGAAAACGAAATGTCTTTTTAGGAGGCATTGGCAATAAGAGGATGGTTTATCTATTCATTTATACAAAGAAACTTATTAATCACTTATTACATGCTGATATGGTTTGGCTGTGTCCCCACCCAAATCTCATCTTGAATTGTAGTTTCCATAATCCCCACGTGTTGTGGGAGGGACCTGGTGGGAGGTAATTGAATCATGGGGGCAGTTTCCCCTATGCTATTCTCTTGATAGTGAGTAAGTTTTCATGAGAGCTGATGGTTTTATAAGGGGCTTCCCACTTTGCTCGGTTCTCATTTTTCTCTACCTGCCACCATGCAAAGAAGGACATGTTTGCTTCCCTTTCTGCCATGATCATAAGTATCCTGAAGCCTTCCCAACCATGCTGAACGGTGAGTCAATTAGATCTCTTTTCTTTATAAATTACCCAGTCTCGTGTATATCTTTATTAGCAGCGTGACAATGGACTAATACACATGCCATGCCTAACTGAAACTGGCATATAATGGGCACTTGAAATAAAGATTTGTCCCAAATGAATGAACAAACAAATGAACTATCAGCTCCCTGATGATGAATTCTAAATTTATACCCACAGCCTTGTTCCTTTATTCTGATGACCTGACAAACTTCTTACAGGGTCAATTCTTTTTGTCTTTCAGATAGGAAAAATGGAATGAAGCCAATTCACCAATCATCAAAAGAAAGTCACTGAAAACCAATTTGTTGACCTATGTATTGTTGGTGTCAGAGGAAAAGGGGTCAAGGGAGGAAAGCTGAAAAGTGCTGGTGAGTGAGTGGAGAGTTAAAAGGAAGGTAAGATCTAGAACATATAGAAAGAATTCACCATGAATAGAAAAGGGAACATCTCTTTCTCTGAGGCAGAAAAAAGGCAAAAAATAAAAAAATGTGAAGAAAGAGTAAAATTTGAAGTTTCAGGAGTGGATGACATAGGCACATAAATGTCAGTCTTAATATTCCTTATATAATTGTTGCCTATGATCATTAGCCAGAATTGAATGAGGCTAAGGACTGAAATGGGCAGATTAAAGAAACTGAAGGACGAGCAAAGGATAAAGAAAATGTTACCCAAGGCCCAGGTAAATAAATAGAGTACAATTTTATAGCAATATAGGTTTACATGATATTCTCTGGTGGCTCAAACTTGGGGCTCCCATTATAGTTACAGCTATTAAGAGTTCAGGATATTCTGGTGCAGAGGGATGGAGTTGGGCACTGATTACCAGGCTGTATTACCAGACTGCTTATGAAGTCTTCTCAGGCTTCCGTAATAAAATACCATAGACTTGGTGGCTAAAACAACAGGCATTTATTTTCTCACAGTTCTGGAGGCCAGATGTCCAAGATTATGGTATCATCAGCATTGCTTTCTGGTGAGGTCTCTTTACCTGGCTTACAAATGGCTACCTTCTGCCCTGTCCTCACATGGCCTTTCCTTGGTGCAAGTGCATGGAGAGGTATCTCTTCCTCTTCTTATAAAGACACCAGTTCTTTCAGATTAAAGACCCACTCTTGTGATGTCATTTAACCTTAATTACTGCCCTAAAGGCCCTATCTCCAAACAGTCACTTTGGAGATTAGGGCTTCAACATACACATTTTTGGAGGACAAAATTCAGTTCATAATGCAGACTCATTTGGTTAGCATTTTTCAAAATTCACATAACAAGGTCCTTCAGATCCACTGGATTAGATTTCCTGTATTATGCAACCCCACTCCTCAAATGTTTGTTTATGTATATATACGTGTGGTGTTATGTATGAATGCTGGGACAAATATATGAAACAATGTTAATATACAACTGAGTACAAAAACAGAAGAAATATGCAGTGCTAGAAATAGAGAACTCAAAGGTAGAGTGAGTACACAATAAGCAGATATTAAGCCCAGGGGATTACCATACTCAGAAATAAGTCAGATATGTGTAACCATGGAGTTTTAAAGGTAGGAGATGTGGCTGGATCTGAGTGAGGCAAGGAGCTGAAACTGAACCCTTATGTGCTATGGTCTGAATATTTATGTTGTCCCAAAATTCACATGTTGAAATCCTGACCACTAAGGTGATAGGATGAGGAGGTGGAACCTTTTAGGAGATAAGGCAGAGCTCACACAAATGGAATTAGTACCCTTTTAAAATATAGTAGACCCAGGGAAATTATTCTGCCCCTTCTACCATGTAAGGACACAGCTATAAGGCACTATCTATGATACCTGGAAGTGAGACCTCACCAGACACCAAAACTGCCTCCACCTGGATCTTTCACTTCCCAGCCTCCAGAACTGTGAGAAGTAAGTTTCTATTGTTTATGAGCTACCCAGTCTATGGTACTTTGTTGTAGGAGCCCAAATGGACCATGACACCACATAAAGCCAGAATCCTGCTTTATAGCCAGTGGTATGCTGGTACTACTTCCTACCAACTTACCTAGCTCAGGAAGTGTCACAAAAGCATCAGGGAATCTCATCTTCTTCCCAAGACTTTGGGAAAGAGGTACCAAAAACAAAAGACATAAAATAAATCTACCCTAGTCACATCACTGAGAAACTTCATGACATTAAAAGACAAAGAGAAGTCTTAGCAGCAACCAGACAGGATAAAACAAACAAAAACAATTTAGCATGACAGCCACCTTTGTATTGGCAATTGTAGATAGGCCAAGAGAAAAAGGAATAACATCTTTAAAGTTCTTAGGGAAATAACTGATATGGTTTGGCTGTGTCCCCACCCAAATCTCATCTTGCATTGTAACTCCCGCAATTCCCACATGTCCTGGGAGGAACCCTGTAGGAGGTAATTGAATCATGGGGGCAGGTCTTTCCTGTACTGTTGTTGTGATAGTGAATGGGTCTCATGAGATCTGATGGTTTTAAAAAACGGCAGTTTCTCTGCAAAGGCCCTCTCTTTCAGTGCCGCCATCCACATAAGATTAACTTGCTCCTCCTTGCCTTCCACCATGATTGTGAGGCCTCCCCAGCCATGTGGAACTGTAAGTCCAATAAACCTCTTTGTGTTGTAAATTGCCCAGTCTTGGGTATGTCTTTATCAGCAGCGTGAAAATGGACTAATACAATAACTCTCCCAGAATGTATACTGAGGTAAAATATCATAGGAGTGAAGATGAATGTAACGTTTTCAGAAAAACACTAGGAACATACTTCTCACAAACCAAAAGAGCAGAGTTCCCATCCCAGCACTTTGGGAGGCCGAGGTGGGTGGATCACCTGAGGTCAGGAGTTTGAGACCAGCCTGCCCAACATGGCGAAACCCCATCTCTACTAAAAATACAAAAAATCAGCCAGGCGTAGTGGTGCATACCTGTAATCCCAGCTACTTGGGAGGCTGAGGCAGAAGAATCACGTGAACCTGGGAGGTGGAGGTTGCAGTGAGCCAAGATCATGCCACTGCATTCCAGCCTGGGCGACGAGCAAAATTCCATCTCAAAAAAAAAAAAAAAAAAAAAAAAGCAGAGTTCCCAAGAAAGTCACTCCTTTCATAAACATTTGAAGTTTCTGCGTACCCTGTTGGATGTCTGCATAGGCACAGATGTGTTGACATATCTGTTTTTAACTTAGGAGAGTAAAGAGAAATGGAGAGGGGAGCCAGAGTGAGAGGAAGAGTGGAAGGAGAGTCATCTTTTTGTCCCCACCATGTGGCTTGGCATAGATGCTTAAGTTTCCTTGTAAGACAGCTTGGAATGAAGCTGCCAGCCAGGTGAGAGCACCTATCAGGAGACTACAGGGTGCAGCTCCAGAGAAGAGAGTTACAATGAGGAACAAGAGGTTGGTAAGAAGCCTATCTCATATGATAGGAGACAGCAGTACAAGGCCTTGCTGAGCTCTTCCAGAAACTCCCACATAGACCCACTAAAAAGTCAGTGTTTGGTTGCCTGCCACATTAAAAGTATTGACAGGCCGGGCGCGGTGGCTCACGCCTGTAATCCCAGCACTTTGGGAGGCCGAGGCGGGCGGATCACGAGGTCAGGAGATCGAGACCATCCCGGCTAAAACGGTGAAACCCCGTCTCTACTAAAAATACAAAAAATTAGCCGGGCGTAGTGGCGGGCGCCTGTAGTCCCAGCTACTTGGGAGGCTGAGGCAGGAGAATGGCGTGAACCCGGGAGGCGGAGCTTGCAGTGAGCCGAGATCCCGCCACTGCACTCCAGCCTGGGCGACAGAGCGAGACTCCGTCTCAAAAAAAAAAAAAAAGTATTGACAGCCAGAGGGGATTTCGATAGAGTCTAGCCAAGCAAAGGGACTGCCCTTGTCTTCTCCACCCTCCGTGCCCTCAACACTGGAAGAGCCACAGCTTCCAGAAGGGAAAGGGGAGGGGAGTAAAATGCAGATACTGAGTGAGCACTCTCCAATCCTCAATACACACAGACAGTGATGGGGGAGAGAACCTTTTACTCAGATAGAGATTTAAGATTTTAACAGTAGTAGATTAAAATTTCATTGATAGGCAGTAGAAGGCTTTGCTGGCCTCATCTAAAAACTCCCAGAAGAGTTCAAAGGTCCCAGAAAGTTAAAGGCTCTGCTTCAGATGTTGTTGAGGAACAGGTGTGGAGTATTCATTGGCTCATGGTTGAAATCAGTTGTTCAAGAAAAATACCTCATTGAGCTGAGCTTGAGGCCCTAACCAAATAGGTAGGCAAATGAAATCAGAGTAGGAATAAACACGAGTGAATTGGAAGACATGAAGCAGTTACAGATCACAGATACACGAAACACAGCTTAGGTAGCTTTCCAGAAAGAGGGCTGATGTGACAGGTAAGGACGTACTTGAGGTAGAGACAGGGCGGGAGAATCAATTTTAAAATTTTATATATAAAACTGCTGAATGATTAACACCATGAAAACCTGGCAATGAGCTATGTCTGGTCAGATGCACCTTCCTATTTCTACTCTCAAGACCTACAAATGCTGATTTCTTCATGACATTTCTTTATGGTAATGATGGAGAAATTTCTGGAGACAACTTGTCACAGAATTAAGTTGTCCAACTTACTCTCCCCATCGGGCTATTGTGAATTTCCTGGTTCCCGACCACCTGCCGGGTTCTGACCATTTACTTCCTTTCCTCTTTTGGAGCCGGTATCCTCCAGGTCCACATTGTTTGCCCTGAACTCCAATAACTACCTTCTTATTCTTCTTGCTTGCCCAATTGCTGGCCCAATGATTAGACTTACTTCTCATATCTATTTATACTCACTTCTGCTTACTTGTTGCTTAGTTTCTGACCTCACTGGCTCGTCTTGAACTTTGTTTATGCCTGTTTCTGAAAAAAGAAAAAGTCCTGATGACTGATTCCCTTACCTTGTCAAAATTCTCAACTCTGCTGAATTTCTGGCTTTTCCAGTTCCAAATTCTAGCCAATTTGTAATGCTTGGCTATCCTTTATCACAATCACAGCATTAAGAGTTGACTGTATTTTTCTATTATCGGTTTCATTTCTTATTTTATTCAACTAATTTGTTTTTTAAAAAGTACACATTTCTCAAATGCCTTCTTTCAATGTAAGCTATAGAAAGTCACTCTACTGTCAAACACAAAGTTTACCAAGCAAAATTGCTTTTCCCAATACAGTCTTGTTTATAGGACTTCAAGAACACTTCTACCTAAATAATCTATCACAAAGAATGAAGATTTAATCATTTTGATTTGGTCATAATAAGTTCTCTTTGGGCTGTTACTGATATAAATACATAACTTCTGTATTTGTGTTAACGTTTTGGAGGGTGGCCCTAGTCTAACTAAAAATCATGTTTTTAGTTCTTTGATTTTCTTACATATATATATATTTTTTTAAGACGCAATCGGGGCTCACTGCAACCTCCATCTCCCAGGTTCAAGTGATTCTCCTGCCTCAGCCTCTCGAGTAGCTTGGACTACAGGTGCACACCACCTTGCCCAGCTAATTTTTGTAGTTTTAGTAGGGACGGGGTTTCACCATATTGGCCAGGATGGTCTCCATCTCTTGACCTCATGATCCACCTGCCTTGGCCTCCCAAAGTGCTGGGATTACAGGCGTGAGCCACCATGCCCAACCTATATATTGTTTTAATGCTTGCTTTGCATACATGTTTACATTTAAATTTTGCATCACTTTCCAACAGTGATATAAATTCTCATTATCCTTAATCATTCCTTTTTGTGTCTCTAAAAATGAAGTGTTGGGCACTTAATATCCTCGTATTTTTCTTAGTTCTGTGTCTTAGACATTTCTTCCAGATTTTTAGAACCTTTTCCATTACTATTATAAATAGAAAAATACTAAGATGCCTCCCTCATTTAACTCTTTTGTTTTTAATCTCCAAGAATTCAAATGGTAAAACTAGGTATATTATATAAATGTGTATATATTCTTTGTTTTTTTTCGCATTGGACATTTATCGTTAAGTTTTTAAATATTAGGTATAGATAATTATCTGTATGTATGTATGTGTGTTTTTTTTATAATTCAAACAATACAGATATATATAGTGTAAAAAGTGAAAGATCCCTGTAATCATACCCCAGCATAACCAGGGTAAAAAGTTGTTATTTTTCCAAAGTGGTTCTTGCTGTGGGGACATACAAGGAAATAGAGGATACAGCATAGAGTGTCTGGACTTAGGGAACATATACATCTAGTGGTGCTGACAAGTGAAACAGCAAGAGAGAGAAGTCCAAAGAAAAACATAAAAATGTGACAGTGTAATACATGCTGTATCAATTCATCCTGAAGGAATTCAAGTTAATTGGAAAGAATATTATGAGAAAGATAAATCTGAAACTTAGCTTTGAGAAGGAGGCAACATAATGTTAGAAAGAGCCTGAGCTTTGATATAAGGATTCCAACTCCATTTCTGAAATTTATCAGCTGTGTGATCTTGGGCAAGTTCCTTAACTGCTCTGATTTTTTAGTTCCTGCCTGTATAAAATGAGGATAAACTTCTAAGGTTCTTGTGAGGTTGAAATTAATGTAGTTTTTCATGATAGATACTCAGTAAATGGGTGTTTAAATTCATTATTTACCCACATAATCTGCCACATTTGATATTGTCTTAATATTCTCTAGTGTGTATAAAAATAATATAATGTACTGAAAAATGTAGAAAACATAGTTATAATTTATACAGCCTCAAAGGGAATTTTTATATAATTATATAGCCTCAAAGGGAATTTTTAAATTTTATCCATATTCATCATTTAAAAGGAGATTTAAAAAATTTAAAGAATTTTGAAATAGTAAAGAAATTGAGATTTAGGCTCTATCGATGTGACATATATTAGTCAAACTAAAAAGTCAGATAACGTTTTTTATCTTATAGGATCCTTCAGTGTCTAAAAGATTGCCACACTTTGTTATGTTAGGGTCAAATCAATGACTATACAGGCACGGCAAGAAAACTAACAAGTGTTTCTGAGTAATGATTATGTTCTTCCCTGAAAACAAAGACAAGCAATTCTTTAAGAAAGCTTAAAACGGCCATTGAACTCTGAACCAAAGCCCAATAACGAATATCAAGCTACCTCCTCAACAAGAAATGTTATCCCAGCAGTGCAGCTGTGAGCTAATTAAACAGCCCAGATCGTTGTGCTAAACTTTAGTACTGCATTTACAGAATTAATTCAGAGGACATGTTATTAAACTCTGGGGTTTATCAGAAGAAGGCAGCCTCTTTTTTTTGAGCAGCATTTAAAAAATTAACATACTGGATAAGCTGCTTATTATAGATGGAGCCTATGACATCCTTCATGTACATGCAAAAACTAAGCAATGAATTTCTAAGCAAAATAATGAAGCTATTGCACTCTGAGACCAAAATGTAAAAATAGTACTTTAGATATCCTGAGAGCACTTTCAAAAAAAATTATATTCTATATGGTTATTTCTAAAGTCCTGAAAGACATACTGATGATGACTAATATGCTAGAATCTAGCATATATATATATATATATAATATATATGTGTGTGTGTGTGTGTGTGTGTGTGTGTGTGAGAGAGAGAGAGACAGAGAGAGAGAAATATGTAGCAATTCTATATTTAATTAACTTGGAAATCAGTCATAACTGGCATGTGTAAGACAAGAATATTTTAAATTATTGTGAAGTATAATACTTTCCCTCTTAATTAGTCTTAATAAAACTTGGACTTTAAAATTTATATCTAGAAATCTAAATCATAAACAAAATTCCTACTTTATTGTAAATGCTGATGGCTGTCATTATTTAAGTTATTATGCATAGGCAATAATGGTAGGAATAAGATATGGAGACATTTATGACTGGAAACTTTGTGGAGGGCATAAAATATGTTACATTATTTTAATTTTGTTGATGTAGTGGACTCAAGAAGATAAAACAAATCAGTGAATTCTTTACAATCCTAGTCACTCATCTTTAAAACAGGGAGAGCAACACTTATCTTACATTATTTTCAGTACTGCAACAAAATAAGATAGCAGTTTTTGAATAGTTCAATAATTCTAATACTTGTAAAGTAACAGATAAAAATAAGAGAGTCCTGAAATAAAGCAGCATACCTACAACCATCTGCTCTTTGACAAAGTAGAGAAAAACAAGCAACAGAGAAAAGATTCCCTATTCAATAAATGATACTGGCAACACAAAAAGAAAACTTAAGGCCAATATCCTTGATGAATATCAATGCAAAAATCTTCACCAAAATACTGGCAAACTAAATCCAGCAGCACATCAAAAAGTGTGTCTACCACAATCAAGTAGGCCTTATTTCTGGGATGTAAGTTTGGTTCAACATATGCAAATCAATAAATGTGATTCATCACATAAACATAAGACAAAAGCCACATGATCACCTCAATAGATGCTGAAAAGCTTTTTATAAAATTCAGCACCCATTTATGTTAAAAACTCTCAATAAACTACGTATGAAGGAACATACCTGAAAATAAAAAGAACCGTCTATGACAAACCCACATCTAACATCATACTGCATGGGCAAAAGCTGGAAATGTTCCATTGAAAACTGGCACAAGACAAGGATGCCCTCTCTCACCACTCCTATTCAACACAGTTTTGAAAGTCCTGGCCAGAGCAATCAGTCAAGAGAAAGAAATAAATGGCATCCAAAAAGGAAAAGAAGTCAAACTATTTTTATTTCCAGCTGACATAATTCTGTATCTAGAAAACTCCATAGTCTCAGCTCAAAAGCTACTTAAGCTGATAAACAACTTCAGTGAAATCTCAGGATACAAAATCAATGTACAAAAGTCACTAGCATTCCTATACACCAGCAACAGTCAAGCTGAAAGCCAAATCAGGAACACAATCTCATTCACAATTGTCACAAAAAGAATAAAATACCTAGGAATACAGCTAACAGGGAGGTGAAAGATCTCTGCAAGGAGAACTAGAAAACATTGCTCAAAGATTGATTCAGAGATGACACAGACAAATGGAAAAATATTCCATACTCATGGATAGAAAGAATGCATATCATTAAAATGGCCATACTGCCCAAAGCAATTTATAGATTCAGTGCTATTACTATCAAACTACTAATGATAGTCTTCACAGAACCAGAAAAATCTATTTTAGAATTCATATGGAACCAAAATAGAGCTCAAATAGCAAAGGCAATTCTAAGCAAAAGGAAGAAAACTGGAAGCATTATGCTACCCAACTTCAAACTATACCACAGAGCTTCAGGAACCAAAACAGCATGGTACAGATACAAAAACAGGCCCACAGACAAATGAAATGGAATAGAGAGCCCAGACAGAAGGCTGCACACTTACCACCCATCTAATCTTTGACAACACTGACAAAAACAGGCAATGGGGAAAAGACTCAGGACTCCTTATTCAATAAAGGGTACTGGGAGAACTGGCTAGCTATATGCAGAAGATTGAAACTGGACCCCTTCCTTACATCATATACAAAGACCAACTCAAGAAGGATTAAAGACTTAAATGTAAAACCCCAAGCTACAAAATCCCTGGAGGACAACCTGGGCAATACCATTCTGGACATAGGAAATGGCAAAGATTTCATGATGAAGATTTCCAAAGCAGTTGCGAAAATTGACAAATGGGATCTAATTGAACTAAAGAGCTTCTGCACAGCAAAAGAAACTATCAACAAAGTAAACAATCGACCTATAGTATGGGAGAAAATATTTGCAAACTACGCATCTGACAAAGGTCTAATATCCAGCATCTATAAATAACTTAAACTTACAAGAAAAAAACAAACATCTCCATTAAAAAGTGGGCAAAGGACTTAAATAGACACTTTCCAAAAGACATACATGCAGCCAACAATCATATTTTAAAAAGCTCAACATCATGGATCATTTGAGAAATGCAAATCAATCTATGGCCATACCACCCTGAACCTGACCAGTCTCGTCTCATCTCGGAAGCTAAGCAAGATCAGGCCTGGTTAGTACTTGGATGGGAGAAATGCCAATCAAAACCAAAATGAGATACCATCTCACACCAGTCAGAATGGCTACATTAAAAAGTCAAAAAATAACATGCTGGTGAGATTATGGAGAAAAACGAATGCTTATACACTGTTGGTGAGAGTGTAAGTTGGTTCAATTATTGTGGAAAACAGTGTGATGATTCCTCAAAGGCCTAAAAACAGAACTACCATTCAACCTAGCAATCCCATTACTGGATATATACCCAAAGGAATACAAATTATTCTACCATAAGGGCACATTCTCATGTATGTTCATTGCAGCATGATTCACAACAGCAAAGACATGGAATCAACTTAAATGCCATCAATAGTTGACTGGATAAAGACAATGTGGTACATATACACTATGGAATACTATCAAACCACAAAAAAAGAATGAGATCATGTCATTTGAGAGAACATGGATGGAGCTGGAGGCCATGTTTCTTAGCAAACTAATGCAGAAACAGAAAGCCAAATATTGCATGTTCTTACTTATAAGTAGAAGCCGAATGATGAGAGCACATGGACACATAGAGGAAAACAACAGACACTGGGGCCTACTGGAGGGTGGAGAGTGGGTGAAGGGAAAGGATCAGAAAAAATGACTAATGGGTACTAGGCTTAATACTTGTGTGACAAAATAATCTGTACAACAAACCCCTGTGACATGAGTTTACCTATGTAACAAACATGCACCTGTACCCCTGAACTTAAAATAAAAGTTAAAAAATAAAAACAACAAACCAACAAAACAAATATTATACTAAAAATAATTTTAAAATGGTGCTGGGATAACTGGCTAGCCACATGCAGAAGATTGAAACTGGATTCCTTCCTTACACCATGTACAAAAATCAACTCAAGATGGATTAAAGACTTCAACATAAAAACCTAAAACTGTAAAATCTCTAAAAGATAACCTGGGAAATATCTTTCTGGGCATAGGCCCTGGCAAAGATTTCATGAAAAAGACACCAAAAGCAATTGCAACAAAAACAAAAATTGACAAATGGGGCCTAATTAAACTAAAGAGCTTCTGTGCAGCAAAAGAAACTATCAATAGAGTAAACAGACAACCTATAGAATGGGAGAGAATATTTGCAAACTATGAATCCAATAATGGTCTAATATCCAGCATCTATAAGGAACTTAAGCAAATTAACAAGCAAAAAATGAAAAACCAAATTAAAAAGTGGGCAAAGTACATCAGTAGACATTTTTCGAAAGATGTACATGTGACCAACAAACATAGGAAAAAAAGCTCGTCATTAATCAATAGAGAAATGCAAATAAAAACCATAATGAGATACCTCTCTCCTCAGTTAGAATGGTATTGCTAAAAAGTAAAAAAATAACATATGCTAGCAAAGTTGAGGAGAAAGGGGGACGTTTGTACACTGTTGGTGGGAGTGTAAATTAGTTTAGCCATTGTGGAAAGCAGTTCGGTGATTTCTCAAAGAACATAGATCAGAACTACCATGCAACCCAGCAGTCCCATTTTGGGTATATACCCACAGGAATATAAATCATCCTGCTATAAAGGCACATGCACTCATACGTTCATAACAGCACTCTCCACAATAGCAAAGCCATAGCATCAACCTAAATGCCCATCAACTAGACTGGATAAAGAAAATGTGGTGTGTATGCACCATAGACTATTACACAGCCATAACAAAGAATGAGATCATGTCCTTTGTAGCAACATGGACAGAGCTGGAGGCAATTATCCTAAGCAAACTGATGCAGGAAGAGAAAACCAAATATCGTATGTTCTCACTTATAAATGGGCGCTAAACACTGAGTACACATGGACACAAAGAAAGGAAAAACAGATACCAGTGCCTACTTGAGGGTGGAGAGTGGGAGGAGGGAGAGGATCAGGAAAAATAACCAGTGGGTACTATGCTTATTACCTGGGTGATGAAATACTCTGTACACCAAACCCCCAGGACACACAATTTACCCATGTAACAAACCTGCACACGTACCCTTGAACCTAAAATAAAAGTTAAAAAAAGGTAACAAATGAAAATATTTCTGAAAAGCCAAAAGAAGCTTAGAAAAACACTTCATATAGACACACAAACCTCATATACAACACATGCTCCTACTGATAAATTTCATAGGTAAAAGAAAGTAAGCAGCGGGGTAATGTGAGAGAAATTTTTGACATATCTTCTTAAAAGTAATTTTTAGTTTTCATTTTGATTTATGAAAATTTTAAACTTACAGATAAGTATAGAAAATAATATCCCAGCCACCGTACCTACTTTTGAACTAGAGTGGCAAAGAAAATCTGATGGCAACCTTTTTAGCAGGGTTAACTCAGCTGACTTTAAACCAAAAAAAAAAAAAGCAAGTAGAGGCCGGGCGCGGTGGCTCATGCCTGTAATCCCAGCACTTTGGGAGGCCGAGACGGGGGGATCACGAGGTCAGGAGATGGAGACCATCCTGGCTAACACGGTGAAACCCTGTCTCTACTAAAAATACAAAAAATTAGCCCGGCGCGGTGGCGGGCGCCTGTAGTCCAGCTACTCCGAAGGCTGAGGCAGGAGAATGGCGTGAACCCAGGAGGCGGAGCTTGCAGTGAGCCGAGATCGTGCCACTGCACTCCAGCCTGGGCGACAGAGCGAGACTCCGTCTCAAACAAACAAACAAACAAACAAACAAACAAAAAAGCAAGTAGAGTACACGATATCTGCTCTTATCATTTCACATGGTTCTGTCTGAAAATCAGTTTCTAGTTGGGCCATCAAATCTGTCTTCGAAATAGGAGTACATACTTTGGTCAAGGAGTTGATTTGCTCTCTTAGAGCCTCCAAACTCCAAACTCCTTTCTAAATAATTCTAAGTAGGAAGGAAAGACTTTTTAAAGGATTGGTCTTTTAAAGCAAATTAAAAGACAACAAAGAGAAAGTTAATTAGCTTAGTAGATTTTTGTAGCAGTCTTAACATTTTGAGCCAAGACACAGAATTTTACAAATATCCACCCTAGCTCACCCAAACCAGACACTCCCTTGATAAGATGAAATGGTACACTCCTGCCTTTGTCCCCAAACCATTGCTGCAGCTGGTTGATCAGTGGTTGTCTTACTCAAGACACTGAGTACACATAGACACAAAGATGAGTACTCTTCTTTGTGATGAGGACACAAACGAGGCAAGTGGTTGTGGTGGTGAAGATAAAGGGAAATATTAAGGAGTTTGTCCCTATAGGATTCTGATATCAATTGCCACATTTAGGGTGATTCCTGGAAGAAGGTTTTGAGGCAAAGATTAGATAACTTGATAAAAACGTGATGTTAGCAATTTTTTTCGTGAAGAAGATAGTTTTGAGAGTAAGTGATGATAGTGGAAAGGCAGTGTGAAGCCATCATGGAGTCTTAAGCAGCAGGTGCTTGGATCAGATTTGTTTTTAAAAACGACTCTGACAGCATTATGAATTAATGGTAGCAGGGGGCAGGAATGACCCTCCAGCAAGGCCAGGCTATTTCAGTAATGCAAGTGGAACTGATGAAAACATAAACTAGGCAAGTGGTGGTGGGGGTGAAGGTGAGGAGAAATAAGAAGTTCGTCTTGATAGGATTCTGATATCAATTGAATCATCTAGACATGAGTAACCATCTAGACAGATTAAATGTCTTAAGACGTTACAGTTTAAAATGTGCATATACTTTTATTCATAAAAATTATAAGTACAATATATACAGAAAGATAACAAATATTTGAATATGGTATATATAACATTGGTAACAAGCAAGAAAATAATTGAGGCCAAAAATGGCCAATTTAATGAGTAAGACAGAAAAATAGAATTTCCCTTTAGGTGAAATTCTTGGAATATATATATATACATACACACAAACACACACATATATATATAACATATATATATATAACAAAGATATATATATGTAGTGTATTTAAAAGTTGTATAGATACAAAAATGTTTATCGTATATGCATATGATTTCTATAATCACTCTGTCTGAACCAAACCCTAAAGATTTAGGTAAAAATAGATCTTGCATATAAATCTCTCTCTATTAAGGCATTTAGTCCATCTGAGGCTAAAATTGTCACATTCAATCAATACCCATTAATGGTGATTGGAAGGAAACTGATCTGGAAAGGAGCCAAATGACAAAATCAGTTTCCAAAAAGAAACAGAGCGTTTATAATAAATACACAAAACACAACTCAGTAAGCATCAAAAATAATTGATGCCAAAAATGACCAATTCAGTGAGTAATATCTTACTCACTGATAGAAAATATCGAACTCTCATTTCCTTTGGGCCAAATTCTTAAAGCTATTTTTTGTGCCTTTCCATTTGCCCCTTGCTGACCTTTCTGTGTCATCTTTTGAATACTGAACACTCTCTCACTGCCCAGGCTCCCTCTTCCTGGTTTACCGTGGCCCCATTTTCCAACAGACCTAGAGTCTTCCTTTCCATGCTATAAGCCTAAAGTGGTAGGTGATAATGTGAATTTCAGATGCCTCAATCAGTGGGACACATATTTTTTAGTTAGAAAGCAGGCACCCCTTTGGGTGTGTCTCAAATCATAGAACATACAGGGAACTACCTACCTTTTTATGTGTAACACTTTCCTTCTAAAAAGACCAAATGGGACATTATATCTGAATTGCCATTCAATTCTTTTTCTTTATACAAACATTTATCTCTCTACTTGGCCCGTAAAAATAAAAAATAAAAAGTAAGAGGATGTGTAGCAATCGGCCCCTTCACATTCTTGCCAGGATGATGATTCAGGGCCCTAATAGGCACATGACTTTCAGGCTTTCCCCTGTGTCACTTTTCCACTGCATCTCATTTAGTGCATGTGCTAATCCCCAAAAATCCTAAGTGTAATAATTTGTGAAATTTTCTATGACTGTAAAGATGCATAAAGTTTTAATACCCTCCATGGACAAAAGTCCATTTTCTTTTTTTTTGTTTCCTTGTTTTTGCTGATAGTAACTTAATAAGCAAAGAGTAAACTGTTATCCCTTTAATTGATCTCCACTGGTTCATTCATAGGAGGCTTTTAGAAATGCACTTATTATATAATTAACAGAGATTTGTGACTCCTTTGTAAGTCGTTGGCCATAAAAGGCTTTGTTTAATAATCACAGTCATGTCTTCTGTTACTCTGTGTCAACAGCACAGTGTCACGCTCAGAGACTGCTTTCTTACAGTCTCAGCAATCTCTTTGGTCTTTTATGCCTCTCCTTAAGTTCTCTCAAGATCTGTTCTCTTCAAGATCCAGGTGCTTCTGCTGTTCTACTCAATTGTTAAAAGAAAGAAAGAGAGAGAGAGAGAGAAAGAAAGAAAGAAAGCATCATAATTTTTAAGAAGATTGGAATCACCAGGACTTGTTTTCTTACCCATTTCTCTCTTACTTCTATAATACTCATATTCTGTGGCTTTAGAGAAGTCCTCCTACTCTGAGATTAAAAACTCTAATTTGTAACTTAAGCCATTATAAAATGTATGCTAGAGGATAATTCTGGTTTTTAAATATGGTACTTATAAATACAGCATTATTAGAAGTCAAGAATGTTTCCAACTTCTGTGTTTGTCATATATTTGTCTAGGCCTCTATAGTAAACTGCTTTACCCTTGACCTCTAGCTACGTTTTCTCCTCCTTCTTCTAATTGCTCCAAGCTTTCTTCTTAGGTCATTGCAAGCTGTCCTACTTCTTCCCTGGTACACTTATGTTCTGTATACTTGGACTGCCTGCCTGTTCTCAGTTTATTTCTCATCCTTATTTGGAAAGTACAGAACTTGAGAATGGTAAACAAAATCGACATTCTTTGTTATTTGGTAGGCAAGTAGCTAATTTAAGAATTAAAATAGAAGTATAAATTATTATAAGAGTTATAAGTGGTTGAGTGCCAATTTTGTGCTTTTAGCTGTAGAAAAGAAAATCATTTTCTTACAAAACTGTGACTATACACTGTTGGTAATAAAATATTCATGCTAATCATGTTCATAAGATTGTAACAGAAATGCTGATATTCTAATATCTCCATTTCTCCCCCTATGGTACTTAGTAAACTATGGAACTAGATACTAGTCTAGAGCATTTTTTTCTTTCTCATATTATATTATAGGTCATTCTAATACTAATTGTAACTAAAAAGTAAGCATTTTCTAAAACTATTTCTATTACCAATGAAAAATTGTGTTGAATGCTAATACTAATTATTTGTCAATGGTAACCTTTTGTTAAAAGAATTAATTCTTTTGTTCATACTAGGCAGGACAGAAACTGAACTGGCAAGAGAGACAGATAAATCTAAATTTCTGTAGCACTTTTTTCTCTCAATATAAATATTTAATTATGTAATGAGAAATTCTTATGAAAAATTGTGACATACAATGGGATTGATTCTTTCTCTGTAAGTAGGGCACTAGTCATGTATCTGAGAAAGAAATTAAAACTTTTAAAGTATTTTTAAGTGATGGATCTATTCTAGGCACTTTAAAATATTCTCTTTAATTGTCACTGTACCCTACAAACTAGATATTATCATCCCTATTTCACAGATGAGTAATTAAGGTGAAATAACTTGCCCACAGCTGCACAGTTAATACTAGGAAGAGCCAGAGGTATGACACAAGGCTGATTCTAAAGCTCATGTCCTTTCCATCTTCTTAAAATAGGCCCCTCTGCTCATTCTTCAGGAGAAAATCAGCCTTGCGATATATTATAATACCTACCACGAGAGCCTTGTGGTTTGGTGGATAAGGATGTGGGATCTGAGGTTAAACTGAATTTGGAGCTCAATCCTGTCACTCACTGATTGTGTAATCTTGAACATTACTTGATGTCTCTGCGCTTCAATTTCGTCATCTGTAAAAATGGGGTGATAACAATAATATCCACTCAGTAGTGTGGTTTGTAAGGACTAAATGAGGGAATACACATAAAGTTCTCAATAAAGTGGTGAATACATAGTGTTCAATGGACATTTTCCAGGAGTTTGTTCTCCCTATAAAAGTTGGTCTTTTTGTGGGTAGAGAAAAGATGTATGGGTTGTAAATTCCTTTCTTCTTAGCCACTTATGTCTGGCTGATTTGGAAATCACTGCTTGTTTTAGATCCCTGCCAGATTTTACATGTTCATTTTTTTTTTCCTTTCATGCATCGTAGAAGATTAAAAATGCCCATAAATTCTTTGCTAATTCACCCTTTGAGAAGATTTTCCTTCTCTTGAATATATGCTAGACTTAGTGACTTACTTGATAAATAGAATATTGCAGAGTGGGACTTTTAAGGCTAAATAAAAGGAGTCTTGCATCTTTTGTCCACATCTCTTTGAATGCTTCTCTGGGAGTCCTCAAGCATCAAGTGAGAAGTCTGACTGCCTTGAAATGTTGCAGAGGCCATGTGTAGGCACTCTGGTCATCAGATCCAGCTAAGTCAAGTTTTCCAGTCATCCCTGCCAAAGTATCAGACATCCAAGGAAAGCTGTTTTGGACCCTCCAGACCAATCTGGATATCACTGAAGATGCTTAGTTGACAGAAGAATCTCCCAGCTGAGCCCTGCTTTAATTCCTGACCCCCAAAATTATGAGATATAATGAAATGGTTGTTGTTTTAAGCCACTACATTTTGGGGTAATTTGTTACACAGCACTGGATAACAGAAACATGCATTTATTTATTTTAAAAGAAACTCCTGTGCGAAAAACTCTTCTAGGTAGTGGGGAATGATGCATCTATGAACAACTTTAGCATGATCACTGATCTCATGAAGGTTACTGTCTTAGCCAGGGTTCTCCAGAGAAATAGAACCAACAAGATAAGTATATACAGGCATGTATATATAAAAGGAGATTTATTATAGGAATTGGTTCACATAGTTATGGAGGTCAAGAAGTCCAACAATCTGCTGTTTGCAAGCTGAGAAACAAAGAAAGCCAGTGGTGGAATTTAGTCAGAGGCCAAAGACCTGAGAATTGGGGTATGTGTGAGGGAATGAGCAGATAGTGTAAATCCCAGTCTGAGTCAGATATCTCAAGAACCGGGAACACCAGTGTCCAAGTGTAGGAGAAAATGGATGTCTTAGCTCAAACAGAGAAAGCAAATTCGCCCTTCCTTTGCCTTTTTATTCTATTCAGACCCTCAATAGATTGGATAATGCCCGTTCACATTGGGGAGAGTCATCTGCTGTACTCAGATCACCAGTTCAAATGCAAATATTGCTAATACCTACTATTTGAATTAAAATTCCTTTAAGATTCAGTAAATATATCTGATAAGAAAATATTTCTGGCTACTTGCTATTCCTTTCCTTTGAGCCAAAATGATCCTGTAGAATATGATCATTCATTCCCCTTACTCATCAGACTTAGCCCTAATTTTTTTTCTGTTCCCCCAATCAAATTCATCCTGCAACAATAAGAATTTTCCAGTATTTAGGATATTCAAAAGGATATATTGTTCACTTTAATGAAAAGACCAAAAAAGGAATGTCAAAAATATTTTTAACAGTAGTAGTGGCAAAGCCAGCATGGGTGCAGGGCCTCCTGAGGTGACTCGTTTGAAAGAAACATCATTCATTTGGATATTCAAGTAATGTTATATTTTTTAAAGAAACAATTACACTATGCTATCATCATGCCATATTTTGTGGGTGTTCATGCGTGTGAGCTTGATTTCATTTGTGCTCATCTTTTCGACTATTTTCCATGTGCCAGTGATTTTTTCAAATGTGTCTTCTACTTCAAATTTCTGACTGATCTCTTATTATTTATATCTCTGAATTTCCCCAAGCCCTGAAATTCTGTTTATTCTATCTAGGCTTAGCTAATTTTCTCCTCTTCCCAAACATTTACTTCTCTTTTAATTTCTACTGAATGAATGGTATGGTAACCAGCTTGGTTGCCTAAGGTAAAAATGTGGATGTCATCTTGGATACCTTCTGCTTTCTCAACACTCACAATGAATTTCTCATCAAATCTGGTTGATTCTACTTTAAAAATATATCTTGAATTTCCAACAACCCTCCCCAATTACAATTGCCTTGATTCATGATTTTATGTCTCTTGCTAGACTACTGTCCCTTCTGCCTGGAATGCTGTTACTCACTTTGACTCCATGGTGAACATGTTTTTCAAGACTCGGTTTAAGCTCATCCCTTCCGTATTCCGTAGCATCATGTTCATGCCTCTGAAGCAGCCTTAAGCACATTGTAGTATTATTCATTTATATTGAGGTCTATCTTCAACTTTTTTTCACAGCTTAGTATAGACATGGCATTTTATTTATTCATTCAGCAAGTATATATTAAACATGGGACAGGCAGACTGCTTGATTCTGCTGTACAAAACAGATAAGATCTCAGACCTTGTGGGTCATACAACATGGTGAGGGAGATAGATAATAAAATAAATAATTACAGTAAAGGGTAATGAAGATAATAATAGGTGGATGATAGGAGGCCATGACAGTATGTAATATATTATATGGGATAAGAAAAGTGTTTACCTGAGGCGGTAACATTTAATCTGAGACCTGAAAGGTGTGTTAGAGTCAGCCAGATTTAAGGATGAGAAGATGGGACTAGGAGGAAGCATATTTCTTTCAGAGGAAATAACACATGCAAAGACCCAGAGGTCACAGAGTACTGATCAAAGCCCTTGAAAGTTTGCTTGATATCCTGTCTTATAGGAAAAAAAATTTTTTTAAATGAAATCAAAGCCATTGAAGGGATTGGAAAAATAATGTAAAGCTATCAATAAATATTTATTGAATGAATAAAGTGTGGGGACATGAGTCCGTCTATAATACTGAGTTTACTAAAGAACATTAAACTTTTTTGAGTTAAATTGTACAAAAAACTTTTAAATTTGTTTGTGGATTTCCCTATACTCTTAAACAGAAATCACCTAATTATACTTTTATTTGAAAATTTAAGCAAACCAGTAATAATTCCAGTTTGCATTGATGCAACAGCCATTTTTAGTTGTCTATTTCATATCCACTCTAATCTCTGTTCTCCCTTATTAAGAAAACCTCCTTTTCTTGGGGTTGCAAAGGCAATTGACTGTGATTGCTCTAGAGTTGTGATATCTAATATACTAACCACTAGCCACATGTGGCTGCAGAGCATGTGAAATAAGACTAGTCTGTGGCTGGCTTCACCACCTGCTGATTGAAGAGCCCCAAAGTCTTAAGGAAACATAGGCAGTAGCCACGTAGTGGTTATAGTAAGCCTTGGGCAAGACCCAGTGCTGTGTTGGCAGGTCTGACCCAGTGCAGTCCCAATAGTGGTGGCCATAGAAGTGCTGTGACATCTCTCCCCCAGCCCCAGGCAGCTCAGCAGAGAGAGAGAGAAACTCTGTTTGGGAGAAAGTAAGGGAAGAAAACAATAGTTTCTGTCTGGCAATCCAGATAATTCTTCCTGATCTTATCCAAGACCACCAAGGCAGTACCTCTATAAGTGTGCAAGAACTAGTGTTACTGGGCTTGGGGTGCCCCCTAATGCAGATACAGCTGCAGTAAACAAAAACTTAGATAACAACAATTAAGTCCCTTTGAATACCTGGAAAGCCTTCCTTCCCAAGAAGGACAGGTACAAATAAGCCTAGACTGCGAAGACTACAATAAATATCTAACTCTTCAATGCCCAAACACTGACAAACATCCACAAGCATCAAGACCATCCAGGCAAACATGACCATACCAAACAAATGAAATATGTCACCAGGGGCCAGTCCTGGAGAGACAGAGATATGTGACCTTTCAGACAGAGAATTCAAAATAGCTGTTTTGAGAAAACTCAAAGAAATTTAAGATAACCCAGAGAAGGAATTTAGGATAAAAAGAATCAAGTAGAAATTCTGGAGTTGAAAAATGCAAACGACATACTGAAGAATGCATCAGAGTCTTCTGTATCAGGAATGA
Organism: Homo sapiens; assembly: GCF_000001405.40. Classification (NCBI taxonomy): domain Eukaryota; kingdom Metazoa; phylum Chordata; class Mammalia; order Primates; family Hominidae; genus Homo; species Homo sapiens. The sequence continues at coordinate 89,737,951 of NC_000012.12, forward strand.
TCAAGCAGAAGAAAGAATTAGTGAGCTTGCAGACAGGCTATTGGAAAATACACAGTCAGAGGAGACAAAAGAAAAATGAATAAGAAGGAATGAATCACATATACAAGATCTAGAAAAAAGCCTCAAAAGGGCAAATCTAAGAGTTATTGGTTTTAAACAGGAGGTAGAGAGAAAGATAGAGATAGAAAGTTTATTCAAAGGGATAGGCCAGGTGTGGTGGCTCACGCCTGTAAACCTAGCACTTTGGGAGACCAAGGTGGGTGGATCTCTTGAGGTCAGGAGTTTAAGACCAGCCTGGCCAACATAGTGAAACCCTGTCTCTACTAAAAATAAAAAAATTAGCAGGGCATGGTGGCATGTACCTGTAATCCCAGCAACTTGGGAGGCTGAGGCAGGAGAATCCTTTGAACCTGGGAGGTGGAGGTTGCAGTGAGCCAAGATTGTGCCACTGCACTCCAGCCTGGGTAACAGTTGAGCAAGACTCCGTCTCAAAAAAATAAAAATAAAAATAAATAAATAAATAAAATATATAAATAAAATGAAACATAAAGCATAAAACAAAGGGATAATAACAGAGGACTTTCTAAACCTAGAGAAATCAATATTCAAGTACAAGCAGTTTATAGAACACCAAGCAGATTTAACCCAAAGAAGACTACCCCAAGGCATTTAATAATCAAAGTTCCAAAGGTCAAAGTAAAGTAAGGATCCTAAAAGCAGCAAGAGAAAAGAAACAAATAATATAAAATGGAGCTCTAATAGATCTGGCAGTAGACTTTTCAGTGGAAACCTTACAGGACAAAAGAGAGTGACATGACATATTTAAGTGTTGAAGAAAAAAACCTTTTACCTCACAGTGTTATACTGGTGAAAGTATCCTTCAAACATGAGGGAGAAATTATTTCCCAGACAAACAAAAACTGAGGGATTTGATCAACAACAGACTGTCCTACAAGAAATGCTAAAAGGAATACTTCAATCAGAAAGAAAAGGGTGTTAATGAGCAATCAAAATCATCTGTAGGTACAAAACTCACTGGTGATAGTAAGTTCACAGAAAAACAGAGAATATTATAGCACTGTAATTGTAGTGTGTGAACTACTCATATTCTAAGTTGAAAGACAAAAAGATATCAATTAAGAATAATAACTTCAACAAGTTTTCAAGACATAAACAGTACAATAAGATATGAATAGAAACAACAAAGTAAAAAAAACAGGGAGACCAAATTACAGTTTTTATTAGTTTTCTTTTTACTTGTTTGTTTGTATGTTTATGCAATCAGTGTTAAGTTGTCATCAGTTTAAATAATGGGTTATATAATTTGCAAGCCTTGTAGTAACCTGAAATCTAAAAACATACAATGGATACACAAAAAATAAAAAGCAAGAAACTAAAACATATCACCAGAGAAAATCACCTTCACCATAAAGCAGTCAGAACGAAAGAGAAGACCACAAAACAAACAGATAACAAATAATAAAATGGCAGAAGTAAGTTCTTATTTATCAATATATTATTGATAACATTGAACATAAATGGACTAAACTCTCAGACCAAAAGACATGGAGTGGCTGAACATATTTTTAAAAATGACCCAATGATCTGTTGCCTACAAGAAACACACTTCACCTATAAAGACATAGACTGAAAATAAAGAGATGGAAAAAATATTCCACACCAATGAAAACCAAAAAAGAAAAAAAGAGCAGGAGTAGCTATATGTATATCAGACAAAATTGATTTCAAGATGAGAAGTATTAAAAGAGGCAAAGAAGGTAATTATATAATGATAAAGGGGTCAATTCAGTAAGAGTATATAGCAATTATAAATATATATGTACTCAAACACTGGAGTACCAGATATATAAAGCAAATATTATTAGAGCTAAAGGTAAAGAGACAGACCCTCAATACTATAATAGCTAGAGACTTCAACACTCCACTTTTAGCATTGAACAGATCATCCAGACAGAAAATCAACAAAGAAACACTGAACTTAATCTGCACTATAGACCAAATGAACCTGATAGATATTTACAGAACATTTCATCCAAGAGCTGCAGAATATACATTCTTCTCCTCAGCATATGGATCATTCTCAATAATAAACCATATCCTAGGCCTCAAAACAATTCTTAAAACAATTGAAATAATGTCAGGTATTTTCTATGACCACAATGGAATAAAACTAGAAATCAACAACAGGAGGAATTTTGAAAACTATACAAATACATGGAAATTAAACAATAGGTTCCTGAATGAAAAGATAAAGAAGAAAATTAAAAAATTTCTTGAAGCAAATTATAATGGTAACACAACATACCAAAACCTATGGGAAACAGCAAAAGCAGTACTAAGAAGGTAGTTTATGGCTATAAGTGCCTACATCAAAAAAGAAAAGAAGAAAAATTTCAAATAAGCAACCTAACAATATATCTTAAAGAACTATAAAAGCAAGAGCAAACCAAACCCAAAGTTAGTAGTGGAAAATAAATAACAAAGATCAGAGCAGAAATAAATAAAATTGAAATGAAGAAAACAATACAAAAGATCAAAGAAACAAAAACTTTTTTGAAAAGATAAAAAAAATTGACAAACTTTTAGCCAGAATAACTAAGAAAAAAAGAGAGAAGACCCAAATAAATCAGAGATTAAAAAAGAAAACATTACAACCAGTACCACAGACATTCAAAGGATCATTAGAGGTTACTATGAACAACTATATGTCAATAAATTGGAAAACCTAGAAGTGGATAAATTCCTAGACACACACAACCTACACAGATTGAACCATGAAGAAATCCACAACCTGATCTGACCAATAACATGTAACAAGATCAAAGTCATAATAAAAAGTCTGCCAGCTGAAAGTCTGGACACAAGGCCATCACTGCTGAATTTTGCCAAACACTTAAAAGAAGAACTAATGCCATTCCTAATAAGAGTATTCCCAAAAAAGAGGCAGAGGGAATACTTCCACACTCACTCTGTGAGGACGGTATTACCCTGTTACCAAAACCAGACAAAGACACCTTAAAAAAAAGAAAAGAAAAATAAAGGCCAATATTTCTGATGGACATTGATGCAAAAATCTTCAACAAAATAGTAGGAAACTGAATTCAATAACACATTAAAACAATCATTTATCATGAGCAAGTGGGATTTATCCCAGGGATGCAAGGATGGTTCAATATCTGCAAATCAATCAATGTGATAAATCATATTAACAGAATGAAGAACAAAAACCATATGATCATTTCAATTGATTCTGAAAAAGCATTTGCTAAAAATCAACATCCCTTCATGAAAAAAACTATCGAAAAACTGGGTACAGAAGGAACATACCTCAATATAATAAAAGCCATATTTGACAGACCCACAGCTAGTATCATAATGAATAGGAAAAAATGAAAACCTTTCCCCTAAGATCTGGAATATGATAAGGATGCCTGTTTTCACCACTATTATTCAACATATACTGGAAGTTCCAGCTAGAGCAATCAGAAGAGATAAAGAAATAAATGGCATTCAAATTGGAAAGGAATAAGTCAAATTATCCTTGTTTGCAGATGATATGATTTTATATTTGGAAAAACCTAAAGACTCCATTAAAAAGTATTAGATCTGGTAAACAAATTCAGTCAAATGGCAGGATACAAAATCAACATACAAAAATCAGTAGCACTTCTATATGCCTGCAGCAAACAATCTGAAAAAGAAATAAAAAAGTAATTCCATTTACAATAGCTACAAATAAAGTTAAATACCCAGGAATTAACTTAACCAAATAAGTGAAAGTTCACTATGATGAAAACTATAAAATATCGATGCAAGAAATTGAAGAAGACAGAAAAAAATGGAAAGATATTCCATGTTCATGGATTGGAAGAATATTGTTAAAATGTTCATACTACCTAAAGCAATCTACAGATTCAATGCAATCCCTATCAGAATACCAATGACACTATTCACAGAAATAAGAAAAATAATCCTAAAATTTATACAGAATCACAAAAGACCTAGAATAGCCAAAGCTATCCTGAGCAAACAGAACAAAACTGGAGGAATCATATTACCTGACTTAAAGTTAAACTACAGAACTATTATAACCAAAACAGCACGGTGCTGGCTTAAAAATAGACACATAAACCAATGGAACAGAATAAAGAACCCAGAAATAGATCCTTACATATATGGTGAACTCATTTTTTACAAAGGTGTCAAGAACCTATATTGGGGAAAGGACAGTCTCTTCAATAAATAGTGCTGGGAAAACTAGATATCCATATACAGATGAATAAAACTAGACCTGTATCTTTCACTATATACAAAAATCAAATCAAAATGGATTACAGACTTAAATCTAAGGCCTCAAACTATGAAACTACTGCAAGAAAATATTTGGGAAACTTTCCAGGGCATTGGACAGGGCATAGATTTCTTGAATAATATCCCACAAGCATAGGCAATCAAAGCACAAGTGGACAAATGGGATCACATCAAGTTAAAAAGCTTCTGCATGGCAAAGAAAACAATCAATGAAGTGAAGATACAACCCACAGAATGGGAGAAAACATCTGCAAACTATGTGTCTGACGACAGATTCATAACCAGAATACATAAGAAACTGAAACAACTTAGGAAAAAATACAATAATCCAATTAAAAAATGGGCAAAAGATCTGAATACACATTTCTCAAGAGAAGAAATAGAAATGGCAAACAGTGATATGAAAAGGTGCTCAACATCGTTGATCATCAGAGAAATGCAAATCAAAACTACAATGAGATATCATCTCACCCCAGTTAAAATGGCTTTTACCCAAGGCAATAACAAATGCTGGTGAGGATAAAGAGAAAGGGGAACTTTTGTACATTGTTGGTGGGAATGCAAATTAGTACAGCCACCATGAAAAACAACATAGAAGTTCTTCTAAAAACTAAAAATAGCACTATCATATGATTCAGCAATCCCACTGCTAGATATATCCCTCAAAGAAAGGAAATAAGTATATTGAAAAGATATTTGCACTCATGTTTATTCCAGCACTATTCACAACAGCCAAGATTTGGAAGCAACCTAACCAACAGATGAATAGATAATAAAAACGTGGTTCATATATACAAACAGTACTATTCAGCCATTAAAAATGAGATCCTGTCATTTGCAACAACATGGACGGAACTGGAGGTCATTATGTTAAGTGAAATAAGTCAGGCACAGAAAGACAAACTTTGCATGTTCTGACTTATTTGTGGGAGCTAAAAATTAAAACAATTTGAACTTGTGGAAATAGCAGAATGACGGTTACCAGAGGCTGGGAAAAGCAGTGGGGCTTGGGTGGGGGCAAAGAAGTATGGTTAATGGGTACAAAAAATAGTTGGGGCCGGACGCGGTGGCTCACGCCTGTAATCCCAGCACTTTGGGAGGCCGAGGCAGGCGGATCATGAGGTCAGGAGATTGGGACCATCCTGGCTAACACGGTGAAACCCCGTCTCTACTAAAAATACAAAAAATTGGCCAGGCGTGGTGGTGGGCGCCTGTAGTCCCAGCTACTCGGGAGGCTGAGGCAGGAGAATGGCGTGAACCCAGGAGGCGGAGCTTGCAGTGAGCCAAGATCGTGCCACTGCACTCCAGCCTGGGCGACAGAGCAAGACTCCATCTCAAAAAAAAAAAAAAAAGTTGGAAAGAGTGAATAAGGTCTAGTACCACAACAGGGTGACTATAGTCAATAATAATTTAATAGTACAATTTAAAATAAAGAGCATAAGTAGATTGTAACACAAAGTATAAATGCTGGAAGTGATGAATACCTCATTTACTCTGATGTGATTATTACACATTGTATGCCTGTATCAAATTATCCCATACACCCCATAAATATAATACACCCTACTATGTACCCACAAAAATTAAAAATTAAAAAAGAAAGCAAAAGAAAGAAATAAGGCTAGTCTGAAATGATATGTTGTAAGTATAAAATATACACTGGAGTGCAAAAACTATAAAATGTAAAATATGCTATTAATAACTTTTGTATTATTTGCTTGTTGAAATAATATTATAAATGTTAGATTAAAATATATTATGAAAATTAATTCACCTGTTTCATTTTACTTAAAAAATGCCTACTAGTAAATTACATATGTGGTTTACATAATATATGTATTAGGAAGCACTGAATTAGGCCATTCAAAACAATCCTGCTTTTCTTTTCCCTTTCCCAGCTTCCCTCAAAGGTAAGTATGACCATAGGATCCAATTCTGGACAATGAGACCTGGGCAGAATTCTAGGTGTGTTCTGGGAAAGTTTGGTTTTGTTTTGTTTTTAACTCCTGGTAAGGATTGAAACTGCATTGCCCTTTTGCTTTCCAGCTTCTTTCCCCCACTGAATTGTGGAGATAATAGCAAGTGGACACATGGGTTATTAAAAATATTTTAAAAACATTTTTAATGATTCAATATTTTTGGGAGAAAGGCTAATAGAATCGCATAGATTTTTGTCTTTGACAATATTGATTCATTGCTACTATATAAGAAAAATGGCATCCTATTTATGTAAACTACTATTGGTTCTGCATTCTATTTCTTATAGCCAGACAAGTTATTAACTAATACAATTGTATCTGATATTATCCTCAGGGTGGATTAGATTGTGTGGAACCGTTATGCCTGTTCTCAGCACCCTCTGACTGCTATGTATTTACATCTGCTTTTTAAACAATAATTTTTTAAAATTATATTTTGTTGGGTACAGTATTCTATAAATGCCAATTAGGTCAAGTTGTTTTATAGTGTTGTTCAAGTCTTCCCTATTTGCACTGCTTTTATCCATTAATTTGATTAATTATTGAAAGGGAGGTGTCAAAATCTCCAGCTATAATTGTGATTTGACTACTCTCCTTGGAGCTCTATCAGTTTTTTGCTTCATAGATTTTGAAGCTTTGTTATCAGGTGCATAAAAGTGTGGTGTGGTTATATCCTCCTGATATATATATATATATATATATATATATCCAATGTAATCAATGCTTTTTCTTATTATGGAATGACCTTCTTTATCTCTGATAATATTTTTGTTCTAAAAAATCTACTTTGTCTAATATTAATATAGCCACTTCACCTTTTTTTGTTTAGTGTTATCATGGTGTATCTTTTCCTATTGTTTTACTTTTAACCTATTTATGTTTTTTATATTTAAAGTGGGTTTCTGTAAACAAGTGGTTGGATTCTGCTGTTGTACTCAAACTGGCCATTTTGGCTGCTAACTTAGGATGTTTAGGACATTTACATTTAATGTGATTATTGGTATGGTTGGGTTTAAATCTGCCTTGTAACTATTTCAATTTTCTTCATCTGTTTTCCACTTCTCTTTTTCCTTTTTTTTTGGTTTGTTTTTATTTCATGTTGAATATTATTTTATGCTTTCATTTTATCTCATTTGTTGCTTATATTACCTTAACTCAGGAAGACCGCAAATCTCTACTCGTTTCTCTCCCACTGGGTCATGACCTAGAAACTTTTTTAGCCAGTAAGCTGGGGCAATAACAGGGCTCAACTTGTTTGTCTCTTGTCTCTCAGAAATCACTGCCTTTCATTGCCTGGTGTTTAATGTCTTGAAAACCATTCTCATATATTTTGTCTGGTTTTTTAATGGTTTCAGGTGGGAGGGTAAATCTGGTCTGTGTTACTCCATTTTCACTGGAAGTAGAAGTCTCCTTCATTATCTTTTTGATATAAGATTGATTACATACAAAAAATTGACATGTAAATAATGAAATGTAATGTAAGTATCTGCTTGTTTTACTTTTTTCTGTTACCTCCCTTCTTTTCAAGGGGTGTGTGAGCTTTCACTTGTAACGATACAATTGTTTCTTCTCTTTCTTTTATACACCACCACCAAACAATTCAGATGTTCTGCAATTCCAGCTTTAAAAATATACCCCAAATTGATCACATCTACTGTCAGTGCTTCCCAGGTTAAGCCACCATCATCTCTGGAAACTACTGCAATGGCCACTTAACTTGTTTCCTGCATCTATCCCTCAGCTCTCCCAGTCTGTCCCCAAATATCAACTAATTTTTTTCTTATGTTTAAAATTATACTATAATTTGTAGTGATAAACACATATATTTAATATACCATTCTGTGAGTTTTAACAAAGGCAGATATAAACCTTTCTATCATTTTAGAAAGTTCTCTCATGTCCCTTTTTAGTCAGTTCCCACTCCACCCACAAGAGACAATGACTGTTCTGATTTCTATTAGATTAGTTTTGCTTTTTCTAGAATCACTAATTATATATTATTTTGTGTCTAGTTTCTTTAACTCAGTATAATTTTTTTAGATTCATTCATATGGTTGTGTGTATTGGTTATGTTTCTTTGTATTTTTGAGTACTAATCCACTGCACAACTGCACAATAATTTGGTTATCATTCTTTTATTAGTGAGTACCTAGGCTGTTTTCAGTCTTTGGCTATTATAAAGTTGCTATAAATATTCGTATAAAAGTGTTTTTGTGAACATATGCTTTTATTTCTCCTGAGTAAATATCTAGAAGTAGAAATTCTAGGTCATTGGGTAGGTATATGTTTAACTTCATAAGAAACTGCCGAGCCATTTTAAAAAGTGATTGTACCATTTTACTCTTCCATTGATGATTTATGGGGGTACAGACCATTTCATATTCTTTGCAACATTGGATATTGTCAGTCTTTTTAACTTTAGCCATTCTAATAGGTAGGTAGTGCAATCTAATTTTGATTTAAATTCCATTTCTTGATTAACAATGTTGAATCCTTTTTTATGTGCTTATTGGCTATTCATATTTGTCCTCTATAAAGTCTCTTTTCAAATCTTTTCCTCACGCTAAAAAAGGATGTGTGATGTCTTTTTATTATTGAGTTGTAGAAGTTTCTTACAGAGTCTAAGTGCAAGTACTTTCTTAGATACATTTTGCAAATATTTTCTCCCAGTCTGTAACTTGCTTATTTTTGTTGGTGTCCTTTGACAAGCACAAGTTTTTGATTTTGTTGAAGACCAATTTATCAAATTTTTATTTTATGGTTATATTTTCTGTGTTGTGCTACAAAATTCTTGTCTATCCTATGTCATACAAATATTCTGCTATGTTTTCTTCCAGAAACTTTATAGCATTAGTTTACATATGGGTATTTGATCCATCTTGAATACAGTTTTGCATATGATATGAGGTAGGTTTAAGATTTATTTATTTCCATAGAGATATGCAATTTTTCCAGCAACATTTTTAAAAAAGAATTTTGTTTCTTCACTGAATTGTTTTTGATGCCTTGGTCAAAAATCAGTTGACCAAGTAACTGTGGCTTTATTTGACTCTCTATTCTGTTCCACTGGTATATTTGTGTATCCCTACACTGATACTACGCTCTTTTGACCACTGTTGCTTCCTAGTAAGTCTTGAAATCAATTAATGTAACTTCTTCAATTTTTTTCTCATTTTTCAAGATAATTTTAGCTAGTTTAGGTTGTTTGCATTTCTATATACATTTTTGAATCAGCTTGTCAATTACGTTTCTTTTTTTGAGACAAAGTCTTGCTCTGCAACCCAGGCTGGAGTGCAGTGGTACAGTCTCGACTCACTGTAGCCTCGACTTCCCAGGTTCAAGGGATCCTCCCACCTCAGCCTCCCTAGCAGTTGAGACCACAGGCACATGCCAACACACCTGGCTAATTTTTGTATTTTTTGTAGAGACGGGGTTTCACAAAGTTGCCCAGGCTGGTCTTGAACTCTTGGACTCAAGTGATCCACCCACCTCAGCCTCCCAAAGTGTTGGGATTACAGGCACCTGGCAGCTTGTCAAGCTTTATTAAAAAAAAAAATTCCCTGGAATTTTGATTCAGATTACATTTTAGTCTATTGATTAAATTTGGGGAGAATTGCCATCTTAACAATATGAGTTGTCCAATTCATGAACATAGGTTATTTCTTTACTTATTTAGGCTTAATTTCTCTCAGAAATGAGTTTTAGTTTTCCATGGGGAGGTCTTATACACCAACTATTAAATTTCTCCCTATTTTATATATTTTTGTTACTATTATAAATGGTATATTTAAATATTCTTATTTTTAATGTTTGTTACTAATATATAGAAATGTTATTAGTTTTTTGAACATTGATATATCACGTGGACTTGCTTAATTCATTTCTGGCTCTAGTAGCTTTATTTATTTATTTATTTATTTTTCAGATTCCTTAGGATTATCTATATACACAATAATGTTGTGGCAAATAAAGACAGTTTTACTTCTTCCTTTCCAAAATGTATGCTCTCTTTTTTTTTTTCTTGACTTACGACAGTGGCTAGAATCTATATAGTACCTTGCTGAATAGAAGTAGCAAGAAAGAACATCCTTGCTTTTCTCTTAATCTTGGGGCAAAAGCTTTCAGCCTTTTATCATTAAGTATGATGGTAGCTTATATTGCTGGACTTATATATAATTACATATTGCAGGATTTGATTTGTTAATATTTCTATAGAATCATTTTCATCTTTATTCATGAAGGCTATTACCTGTACTTTTATTTTCTTGTAAAGTTCTTGTATGATTTTGAAATCAGGGTTATTCTGGCTTCATAAAATGGTCTCTGAATTATTCTTTCCTCCTTTATTTTCTGGAAGGGTCTGTGTAACATCAGTGATATTTTTTTTTAATGTTTGATGGAATTTACCAGTGAAGCATCACAAGTTTCAATTGCCTTAGTAGCCCTCAAATTCAATCTCTTTTTTCCTCCATCTAGCAAAAGACTCTGTTCAACATTTGGGCTCCACTTTGCTGTGCTGCGTTGAGAAAGTGCCCTCAGACAGAAAGCTAGGGAGAATGGAGGGTTTACTTTGTGTTTTCCTGCACTCAGGGATTATAGCCATGCAGGCCTGATTGTCCAATGCCTGGAAACTTTTGCTTCATATTTTGTCCAGTTTTATGGTTATGCATGGCTGAAGCATAAAGCCAGTGGCCATTTTTTCTATCATAGTCAGAACTGAAGGTTTAGAGTGATGTTTTGTAATTAAAAACACATTGTGTTAGTTTTTGGCTCCAAACTCACCGTCCAAATGGAGTGCCAACTTATTGCAAGCAAAATTCAGATTTTTTTTCTATGGCCAATAAGACCACACATGAGCTGGCCTCCTACTACCTATCTATCTCATCTACTACCATCCTTCCCTTCACTTTGCTCTAGCCATGCTGGACTTCCTGCTATCCTTTAACATACCAAGCTTTTCCACTTGTTCGCTCTGCCTGTAAAGCTATTCCCCAAGATGCTCCCATGATTTACTCACTCACTTTATTCGTGTCTCAGTTCAAATGTTACCTCCACAGTGAGGCCTTCCCTGAACACTGTGACAGAGAACTCTTGCACCATTTTTGTACTCTATCATCTGATCACGCTTTACATACGTTCATAAGTCTCAGTGCTTTTTGAATGTATATTATACATTTTCCATTTACAACTTTCTGTTGCAACTTTTCAACTGTATTTTTGTAGCTCAAAACAGCCATAGACAATATTTAAATAAATGGATGTGGCTATGTTCTAACATAATTTTATTCACAAATAAAAGCGAGCTGTAGTTTGCCAACTCCTGGTCCAGACTATCAATACATTGTCTCTGACTTATACATATACGACCTAAAATTATCTCATATGTAAAAATGATTTTTTTTTCTTTTTTTCTGAGACGGAGTCTCAATCTGTTGCCTAGGCTGGAGTGCAGTGGCACGATCTCAGCTCACTGCAAGCTCCACCTCCTGGGTTTACGCCATTCTGCTGCCTCAGCCTCCCAAGTAGCTGGGAGCACAGGCGTGTGCCACCACGCCCGGCTAATTTTTTTGTATTATTAGTAGAGACCGGGTTTCACCATATTAGCCAGGATGGTCTTGATCTCCTGACCTCGTGATCCGCCTGCCTCGGCCTCCCAACATTCTGGGATTACAGGTGTGAGCCACCATGCCTGGCCAAAAATGATCTTTTTATAAGCACAGTAGCTTATCCACCATGGTTACAGACAGCTCTGGTACAATTTCCAGACCTCCTGTAGTTTAAGTACAGAAATTCTGTACTTAAAAAAAAAAAAATTCTTGTTTTTCTTTTATTCATGCCTCAGTCCTACGGTAGAAAAATACTTCAAGCTTTTCAACAGACTTTAAAGATAATGTTAAAAATACATCACTCACATTTTGAAATTCTGTGGATATATCAATTAGCAATGCTTTCAGCTGCAAGTAACAGAAAACCAGACCAACAATGACTTAATCATCAGTACACTTTTTGTTTTCTTAATGAAATTCTGTAGGTAGGTGGCAGTTCAGTGACTTAATGAGGATCTCAGATTTTTTCATTCTTCTATTCCACCAATCTCAGATTGTTGGCTTTTGTTTTCCAACTTAAAGCCTCAAGAGGACAAGATGGCTGCCACGGCTTCAAGCATTGTTTCCTTACGTAAGTGTGCAAAGCAGAAAGGGAGGGAAAGGATCAAAAGACCTTCTCCTTACATCCCCTCTCTTTTATCATGAAAGAAAATCTTTATCAGAAACCTCCTGGCAGACTTGCCTTGCTTCTTACTGAGATAAACTAGGTCACTTACCTCTGCTTAGGTCAGTCACTTGGACAAGGAAATGGAGGTTCTGTGACTACTTTAGTTGAGGGGTTGACAAACTAAGGTCTGTGAAAGAAACCCAGTCTTGGGCCTGTTTCTATGAATAAAGATTTATCGGAACACAGCCATACCCATTCATGTTTATATTGTCTATGGCTGTTTTTGTGCTGCAAAAGTAAAGTTGATTAGTTGTGACAGAGGTGTATTTACTACCTGGTTCTTTACAGAAAAACTTTGCTGTCCTCTGGCTTTGACTTAAATTCATGCCCTAAGTCTAGCCACAAAATCAGGACTCTTTAAACAAACAAACAAAAAAATTAGGAGTGGCTCGTAGGAAGGCAAATAATAGTGACCCCTATTATTGTTTATAGTCATTTATATGGTATGCTAATGCATATTTTAACAAATGGCTAACAGATGTACTTTTTGAAAACTCATTTTCAAATTCTCAGTTTGGGCCCTTCACTCCTTGTTCCTGTTGTCATTCTACCCAAATCTTAATACCATCCCTAATGACTAATCTCGTCTCTCTCAAAACTTCCTTTCAGCCTTTAGGAATTTAAGAAGAATTCAATAGCATTGAAGGCTCTGGAGGGAGTATAGTGTAGGATTCAATTATTGAGTAAAACTGAATTTCAAACTTTTTCATTCTGCAACACATGATAAGGGTGCCTCCCTGCTTTGCACAACTCTCTGTAGATTTCCTTCCCTGGCAGGGCGCTGTGGGCCTGGCTGGTGTTTTCCTTGAGTCTGAGTTGATCTCCTCAGAGCTGAGGGAGAACACTGGAAAAAAGTGTCCTTTAGAGATTTAGAGATATTGATAAGCAATTAGAAGATATGCCACCAAATGCTGGTTAAGAAGATAAGTCAATCTTTTAGAAAGTTTGAAGCAGATGAAAGGAGATGCTGGAGGAATTTTCTGAGCTCCATCAAGTTTGGGTTCCATAACTTTGTGCACTGCTTGGGTTGTAGCCAGTTATAGGAGCCTATGAGAGTACACAGTTTTTTCTTTTTAAAAAATATATATATCACCACACAATTTCCTACTCCTTTACCCTCCCAGATCCTACAGCTTTTCATCTAGATATAACAACAGAAGTGTTTAAAAATAGAGGCACTGGGAGAGGAAAAAGGGTCTGGGATGTGAAGGAGACAGTTTTACTTTTGTTCAACAGCCACTAGAAATTAGTTTCAACTTTTCAGATCTAAGCTTATTGAGAGGTTTAACCTGCAGTTTGATGAAAAATTCAACCAGTGTGAAATTTTGGAATACAGAATATCTGTGAGTGAGGACAAACAGACCTTCTATGATCCATTTTGTGGCTGAAACTTTGATTCAAAGAAGAGACAGTCCAGGCCGGGTGCGGGGCTCACGCCTGTAATCCCAGCCCTTTGGAAGGCCTAGGCGAGTGGATCACTTGAGGTTGGGAGTTTGAGACCAGCCTGGCCAACATGATGAAACCTCGTCTCTACTAAAAAAAATAGAAAAGATTAGCCAGGCATAGTAGTGGGTGCCTGTAATCCCAGCTACTTGGGAGGCTGAGGCAGGAGAATCGCTAGAACCTGGGAGGCGGAGGTTGCAGTGAGCCGAGATCACCCCATTGCACTCCAGCCTGGGCAACAAGAGTGAAACTCCGTCAAAAAAAGAAAAAAAAAAAGAAAGAGACACTGAGTTTGTGCCTCTAATTGTGCCTCCCCTTTCTTGGGAATAATAGCCCTGTAGGGCAGGGGAGGATAAATAAGAGCTTCTAGGGTTTAACTTAAAAATCAGACTATTTAAGCCCCTGGACCTCTGAGCCTTTCCATGTCCCCTTGCTCATGCTCTCTCTACTTAGCTGTTAAAAGATCTGCTCTTGCTGCACTGTCACTCTCCACTCTCCTCCCCCTGCTCAACTGGCTTCAGTCTATCCACCATCCTCTCACCGCAGCTGCTACCACTGCTGTTCTCAGAGAGGTGTGGAGGGGTTTCCTCCTCACCACTGCTCACAGCTCTGTTTTAGGATCCCTCTGTTAGCCTGTCTCTTAGCTTACAGGCATTCTGCCAAAGAATCTGGAGCCTTTCCTAAAGGATGGGTAGAAGTGAATTTGAGTGACACAATCATATGTCTCCCTAAATGGTTTCTTCTTCCCTACTAATAATAGGTATCAATAGGATTCTACGTATCTTGACCTTCTCCTACTTCAGGTGGGATCTAAAGAAAAGGTCATCTTCCCTTTTCTTTTTGGTGGAAGGGTATTCATTGTGGTTTCATAGGTTTTCCATCTCAATATTTCTCTCAAGAACACTAGCAGGAGTGTGATGAGCCCTGGCTATCCTGATGGCCCTGTGGGCACTGACCTGCACTCTGCACTCTCTGAGCCTGGCACCCCCGACCGTTGCCACTTCTGTCCCGAGTCTGTTCCCTGCCTCCCAGGTGATGAACAATGCCCTCTTCCAATGGCCCTCTGCCTTGATGTTGCTCCCCTGCCACCAAATCCTTACTTCTATGGCCCTTAGTGCCAACTTTGTGCCTTGAAAGAGTCATACCAAGTACACAATTAAACCAGTGAAGATGAGGAAGTCTGGGGGTGAAGACCACACAGGCCAGATCTGGGTGCACGGTATTGACAGGGGCCACAAGCAACATTATTGCATGATTGACTTTTGTGTTTCTGGCCTGAGGAGGAGACCAAGTCAGGACCCTTTGAGGAGAAGGTTATCCAAGTCCACCGTGATCCCTGTAGGTCAGCAGACATAGCTCTGGTTGCTGGGGGTAGCCAGAAACACTGGATCATCACCACAGAAAACTTGCAGGCTGGAGATACAATCCTGAACTCCAACCACATAGGCCAAATGGCAGTTGCTGCTCAGGAAGGGGATGCACATCCACTTGGGGCTCTGCCTGTGGGAACCCTCATCAACAACATGGAAATTGAGCCAGGCCGGGGTGCCCAGTATATCCAAGCTGCAGGGACGTGTAGTGTGCTACTGTGGAAGGTGAATGGCACAACCGTTATCCAGCTGCCCTCTAAGAGGCAGATGCAGGTGCTGGAAACATGCATAGCAACAGTAGGCTGAGTATCCAACACTGATCATAACAAACAGGTCACTGGCAGGGCAGGTCACAACCGTTGGCTGGGCAAGAGGCCTTCCAGTGGGCTACAGCACCACAAGGGGTGCTGGGCTGGCCGAAAGATTTGGCCACTACCCTTCATGAAGAGTTATGTGAAGCTGCCTTCTGATGCTGCCCAAAGCTGATATCCCTGTATTGTAATAATGTGCCCCCCTCCCCTGAAAAAAAAAAAAAGAGCACTAGCAGGTTCTTGAGCAGCTGGAACTCTTAGAAACTTGCTGTTTTACCCCAAGTTTCCAGTATGAGTATAGTGATTAGATTCTCCTTCTTCTCATCTTTTCTCTTTCACTGGCCCTCAAGGCACTTAAAATAAAGCCATTAATATTTCATGGTAAACCTTTGTTTTTATCATGCTCACTTCAGCAGCACATATACTAAAATTGGAATAGTACAGAGAAGATTAGTATGGATGACATGCAAATTCGTGAAGTGTTATATTTTTAAAAGAATGAAATGCTGTCACTTACAGCAACATGGAGAAACCTGGAGGGCAATATGTTAAGTGAAATAAGCCAGGCACAGAAAGACAAACACCACATACTCTCATTCATTTTTGAAATCTAAAAAGTTGTTCTCGTTGAAGTGGAGAGGAGAATAGTAGTTACCAGAGGATGGGGAGGGTAGGAAGGAGAGAGAGATGATGAGAGTGATGGTCAACGTGTACACATTTACAGTTAGATAGGAGGAATAAGTTCTCATGTTCTTTTGCATACTAGACTGGAGATGACAATAAAATAGCTAAAAGAGAGGTTTTTGAACATTCTTATCACAAAGAAGTGATAAATGTTAAAAGTGATGGCCATGTTAATTACCCTGATTTGGTCATTACACAATGCATACATGTGCAATCAAAATATTACATTGTATCCCATAAATATATATAATTAGTATGCATCAATTAAAATTTATGCATAATTAGTATGCATCAATTAAAATTTATGCATAATTACTATGCATAAATTAAAACTTTTAAAAAAAACTAGTTTTTTATACTATTGAAAACATAGTTCTATGCATTTTCTAAAATGCCACCTATGCCCTTCCTATTCAGAGCCTCTTGGCTTTAACACATACTGGCCAACTTGGGACCACAGAGGAGGAGCTAAAACATGAGGGATTGGTTTAGGAGGTAAGGGGAGACCCAACATTCATGGCTCTGGGCTTCGGTCATTTGTTCTCTTGTTGGACTTTTTAAAAATAATTTCAACTTTTATTTTAAATTCAGGGTGTTTATGCGCAGGTTTATTACATGGGTATATTGCATGATGCTGAGGTTTGAGGTATGATTGATCCCATCATCTAGGTACTGTACATAGTTCCCAATAGTTAGTTTTTCAAAATTTATCCCCCTCCCTCTCTAGTGGTCCTCAGTGTCTAATAGTAAACATTTGCTACGTCTAAGATTACATGTTAATGATACCGGAGATTACACATGTGCAAGAGGCATAGCTAATGCTTCAAACAGTATAGAGATGGGAATAATTTATATAAAACAGAGAATCTGGGATAAAATCTATGTACTTATATTATAAATTTGGGATTTTTCCCTAAGGAGATGATATTTGAAGTTTTACAAGAGGCATTCATTCATTTAGTCATCAAAAATTTGTTAAGCACCTATGTAATAAACACTTCTAGGTGCTATAATAATAAAATATGAGTGAATGGCAATGGGGAGTTATTTGTTAATGACTCTAGAGTTTCAGTTTTATAAGATAAAGAGTTCTGGAGATGGATGGTGATGGTGGTTGCACAACAATATAACTGTTGGCTTTTTTTTGTTTGTTTTGTTTTTGAGATGGAGTCTCACTCTGTTGCCCAGGCTGGAGTGCAGTGGCGTGATCTCGATCTCGGCTCACTGCAACCTCTGCCTCCTGGGTTCAAGCGATTCTTGTACCCTAGCCTCCTGAGTAGCTGTGATTACAGGCACCTGCCACCACACCTGGCTCTTTTTTTTTTTTTTTTTGTATTTTTAGTAGAGATGGGGTTTCACCATGTTAGCAGGCTGGTTTCAATCTCCTGACCTCAAGTGATCCTCCTACCTCGGCCTCCCAAAGTGCTAGGATTACAGGCATGAGCCACCGCACCCAGCCATAACTGTTCTTAATACCATTGAACTGTACATTAAAAATAGTTAAGATAGTATATCTTATATTATGTATATTTAAGCACAATAAAAATTGAAAACAAAACAATAACAAAATAGATAAATGAATAAATAATTTAAAAAAACATGAGGAAACAAAAAAAGACCTTTGCCCTCTATGGAGCTCATAATCTAGCACGGGGCAATAGACACTACATATTATATTATTTATACATTAGAAGGTCATAAGTGCTAGAGGAAAGGTAGGGGGATTAGGCATCTCTAGGTTAGTTGCTGTTTTAAAAAGAATTGTCAGAGTAGGCCTCTTACTCTTTGATCAAAGACATGGAGATGATGGAATTAGCTACATAAATATCTGGGTTCCAAAGCAGTGAGAACATCCAGTGCAAAAATCCTTAGGTAGGAGCATGCCTGGCACGTTCTAGGGATGTCAAGGAGGCCAGTGTGGCTGGGACAGGGTGGGGGCAGAGAGAGATAGGTAGGAGTTGAGGTTACAGTGGTAAAGGGAAGTCAGATCATATGGGTTCTTGAGATCGTTGGAAGGACTTTGGTTTCTACTCTGAGAGAAATGGGAACCATTGCAAAGTTTTAAAAAGGAGAACGGATGATGTGACATATTTTAAAAGGATAATTATTTACAGAGAGAATAGACTCAAGTGAAGAAGCAGGGTACCTGCTTAGGAGGCTGTTGTATTAGTCTTTGGGTGAAAGATGGTGGTGGCTTGGACTAGAGCAGTAGCAGTATTCGTGGTGGGAAATGGTCAGATTTTTACATATTTTAAAGGTAGCGCCAACAGAATTTCCTAAAGGATTAGAGGTAGGGTGGAAAAAAGAAAAGTCAAGGATGACTCTAAAGTTTTTGACTTGAGCACCTGGACTGTTGGAATGACATCATGGGAGAGGCTTTGAGTGAGCAGTTTTTTTAGGGGGAAGATCAGGAGTTCAGTTTTGAACACATTGAGTAAACTCTGTTATTACAATTTGGTTTTTTAAGTTGCACAAGTGAGGGCCATGGAAAATATGAGTCAACGGTATAGTATCTTTCACATAGTATTGGCTCAGAGTAGGCGTGTCCTTTAGATGTGGAAGAAAAAAGAGGATGTAAGATTGTAAGAGCTCTGTTGCTGACTCATGTTTTTCATGACTGTCACTTGTGCAACTTAAGAAAATTAACTGTAATCATAACAGCTAACAATATTGAGCTGTTACTATGAACAAATAGATGACATGTTAACTTATGCTAATGTGTGTAATTGAAGGAAATGTTAAATTGCAGTTAGAGGGTAGTGAGATTCCCATCCAAGTTCATGGAATCTGTCTTCTGTCCTTGGACTCCAGATTGAGAACCCTGCAGTGATTTTTAGTTTACAAATACCCCTGGGCCTAGATTGTTATCCTCACAGCAGTCTTAAGGAATAGGTCAGTGAGGTTATCCCTTTCATACTCGGAAGTCGGGAGTGGCTTGCCCAAGATAAAAACATGAATTCAACTTCCAGGTTCTCTGACTTCAATGCCAACAATTTCTCAATATTCCCTGCCACCCAACTTTCACTGATCATTTAAAAACTTACAAAAATGTTAGAATAGTACAGTACAATGAACACAGCATACTTTTAACCTATTTCACTAACTGATTATTGTGCCACATTTGATTTATGTCCTTACAAACACACACATACACATACACACAAACACACACGGGAGTTTTTTAGTGACTTTTTAAAAAGTAAATTGCAGGAATTCTGTCACATCCAAGTATGTTTAACCTGCATCCCTTAAGAATAAGAGCATTCTAGAGAACCCATAAATAAAGTCACACACCTACAACCATCTGATCTTGGACAAAACTGTCCAAAATAAGCAATGAGGAAAGGACTTCCTATTCAATAAATGGTGCTGGGATAGCTAGCTAGCAATATGCAAAGGAATAAAACTGGATACCTACCTTTCACCATATACAAAAATTAATTCAAGGTTGATTAAAGCTTTAAATGTAAGACCTCAAACTATTAGAATCCTAGAAGAAAACATAGGAAACACTATTCTGGCCACTGACCTTGGGAAAAAATTTATGATTAAGCAATTGCAGCATAAACAAAAATGGACAAATGAGACCTAATTAAACTAAAGAGTTTCTGTACAGCAAAACAAAAACAAAATAAAAACTATAAACAGAGTAAACAGACAACTCACAGAATGAGAGAAAATATTTGCAAACTCTGCATCCAACAAAGGTCTAATATCTAGTATCTATAAGAAATTTAAATAACTCAGTAAGCCAAAAACAAATAACCACATTAAAAAGGGGTCAAAAGACAGAATGGACGCTTCCCAAAAGAAGACACACAATTGGTCAACAAACATGAAAAAGTGCTCCACATCATTAATCAGAAGAAATGTAAACCAAAACCACAATGAGATATCATCTCACACTAGTCAGAATGGCTATTATTAAAAAGTCAAAAAACAATAGATGCCAGTGAGGCTGCAGAGAAAAGAGAACACTTATACACTGTTGGTGGGAATGTAAATTAGTTCAGCCACTGTAGAAAGGAGTTTGGAGATTTCTCAAAGAACTTAAAAAAGAACTACCACTTGACCCAGCAATCCTATTACTGGGTATATATCCAAAAGAAAATAAATTGTTCTACCAAAAATACACATGGAGTTGTATGTTTATCATAGCACTATTTATAATAGCAAAGTCATAGAATCAACCTAGGTGCCCATCAGTGGTGGACTGGATAAAACACTATGTGTGTGTGTGTGTGTGTGTATATATATATGTATATATATGTATATATAAATACGTATATGTGTATATATATATGTATATATATGTATATATAAATACGTATATATGTATATATGTATATAGAAATACGTATGTATGTGTGTGTATATATGAATATGTGTGTGTGTGTGTATATATATATATATATATATTTTCAAGATGAAGCCTCGTACTGTTACCCGGGCTGGAGTGCAGTGGCACAATCTTGGCTCACTGCAACCTCTGCCTCCTGGGTTCAAGAGATTCTCCTGCCTCAGCCTCCCAAGTAGCTAGGATTACAGATGCCCGTCACCACACCCAGCTAATTTTTTGTATTTTTAGTAGAGATGGGATTTCACCATGTTGGCCAGGCTGGTCTCGAACTCCTTACGTCGTGATTTGCCCACCTTGGCTCCCAAAGTGCTGGGATTACAGGCATGAGCCACCACACCCAGCCAGAAAATATTACATATATATATGTACATATATATACACACACACACACATACACACACACGTATATATGTATATATGCCATATATGTATACCCACACATACCATGGAATACTATGCAACCACAAAAATAACTAAATCATGTCCTTTATAGCAATATGGATGCAGCTACAGGCCATTATCCTAAACAAATTCATGCAGAAACAGAAAACCATAAATGAGAAAGCCTATTCTCATTTATAAGTGCGAGCTAAACATTGGGTCCACATGGACATAAAGATGGCAACAATGGACACTGGGGACTACTCCGGGGGTGGAAGTTTGAAAACTTAACTACTTACTACCTGAGTGATGGGGTGAATTGTACCCCAAACCTCAGCATCACACAATTTACCCATGTAACAAACCTGCACACATACTCCCTGAATCTAAAATTAAAGTTGAAATTTGCTTACAAAATGATTAAGGATATTCTCCTAAAAAACACATCTTTTCGTACCTAAAAAAACACATCTTTTCGTACCTAAAAAAACTAATAATAATAATCCAAACCATCACCTAATATAACCTCTATATTTAAATTTCCATAACTGTCACCAAATGTCACTTATAGCTGTATTGTTTTTCTTTGTAGCAACCAGTCTAGGATTATGTATAGCATTTGAGTTTGAGATCTTTCATCTCTTTTTACAGAATAGTTTCCCACTCTTTTTTTTTTTTTTTTTTTGCTTTTCATGCTATTATTTTTTTCTGAAGAGTCTAGGTCACTTGTAATAAAAAGTGTTCCAAATTTTGTATTTGTTTAATTGTTTTCTCATAGTTAGATTTAGGTTAAAGTATTTCTGGCAGAAAGAGTACACAGGTGAATGACAGGTTGCTCCATTGTCGGTGATACTGAGTTTAGTCACTTGATTAGGATAGTTACTGCCAGACTTCTTCATTGTAAAGGTAAACTTTCTACTTTTTAATTGATAAGCTATCTGTGGAGCAATACTTTGAGTTCAAGGTTTTAGCATCCGTTGATGATCCTTGACTGAATTAATTACTACACTGGAGAGTACAGAATTCTCGTTTTCTCCCTATACTGCCTGTAGACTAGGAATCTTCTGCTCCTAAAGCTGTACTTCTAGTGTTCTGAAACCAGTGTGCTCCACTGTGGATACCACCATGCAGTGGTAGAAGGAGCAAGAGGTGAGTCATGGAATCAGATAGCAGATAAAATGGCAGATCAGGTACTAGAGATGCTGGGCATGGCATATTATTGAGAAGCAAAAGAGCTAGTTTGGTGATACTAAAGTTTCAATTCTGTATTTTTTGGGTGGTCACACTTTGTATTTTCCATTCGTTAGCTAACTTTCCTTTCAAAATAGTGTTTTTGGGGGGGAAGGGAAAATAATTAAACACATTTGATATAAATCTATTTTTAATCCCTTTATTATAGTTTTCTGTTCTCTTTGCATTTTTCCTCTTGTTTTCTCTTCTCTTCTTTTCTCTCTTTAGAGCCCTTTCTTCTTTTTAAAATATCTGCTCAAAATTTAACTATGAATTTTCTGTTTTCTCAATTTACCTCTTCCAATTGATCAGACTGTAATTTTTCTTCTAGTTGATTGGTGCTTTTCGCTCTTCTAGGTAGGATGAGGGCTTCAGAAATTATATGGCAACTTTTAATTCTCACATGTGATGCCCTAGGCTCAACTCTTCATGTAATAAAACACCTTATTTTAGAAAATATTCATTTAAAAAGATATTACAACATATTCTCAAACAAACTTTGATGAGTTTAGTTGTCTCAGCACTACTCTGGCTATTTTAAAGTACATTATTTTGTTAACCACACCCTTTCACCTTTTATAAAGCTGAAAAATAGGAAGCGTTTTTTTCTTTTCATTTTTTGTCTTGGTAGTTTGTAACCACATTTTTTGCACTGTGGTTTCATGTAAGCGGTTGTTGATAATCAACTGATGAGTGTTGTTATGTACAAAAGTCATGCTTTTGAGGCATGGAAGTGAGTGAAAGAACATTTGAGACAATGTATATTTAACTCTACAAATAACATGTTTCTATGGTATGGAAGACAAATGATTTTCTCTAATTTTTCACCTGTCCAACAAACAGCACTTTGGTTGTTCAAAGATTATTGTCATGATTCACTTTGTAGTTTAAAATAAAGATTAGATATTTTTTGTCTTAGTGCAATTTAATTACTTATTAAAAAAAATCCCAGGAGGCTTTAGCAATTCCCTCCTGAATAATTTACAACTCAAAATGATAATAGTAATACTATAGTATATGACATTGTTTTAAATTAAAAGATGTAAGTTAATCGATTGATATGATTTTAAATTCAATTCTCTGAACGAAAATTAAGAATTAAGCTCACACATAAGGATTGGAGAAGGCCTTCTGTGGTGGCAGTTGTTAATGTCTTTCAGTGCTTTGGAAGAAAATTGCGGAAGGAGACTTTGGCTATGCCTCAGGGATGTCCTTGACACTGCACCTGCCACGTGATTTTTCCAGACAAGGAAGGCTATTTTCCTCAAAATGTGAATTTAATCCCTATGTAAACCTTCTGAGGCTAGAAATTCAGTCACATTATATAGTATAAATGATATTTTAGAAGAATATGTTGTTTGAAGAAGATCAGTTTTGAGCCTGTTTAATATTAACAAAGAATTTCCTAAACTTAGTTGCCCCTGGAAATTATCCTTTGTACTGAAAAACCCCCAAAACACAAAACATGTTAAAACAAAACAAAACAAAACAGTGGCACTTGTGTTCTATAGAATTCACTTTGGAAATTGAAATTTAGTGACTTTATTTTGGAAGTTAAAGTCTATACCAGATAGTTTTTGAAAGCACCTTCAATCCTATAACAATAAAATTCCAGTATAACATGTTAGCAAGATCTTGTGTTCAACATTGTGTTATAATATACTATAGATACAATTTCTCTGTAAGAAAAAAAATGTTGTTTACTAACGTAAATGCAGTTTTAAGGGGAATTAAAATGAGTTTTCGTTACATGATATTTTATTGGATGACTAAAAATGAGCTCATTTTAAGTGGAAAGACTGGTTTTATGATTCAGATATTTTTATTATAATTTAAAAAAGCATTTTCTTATAGTTTCTTTGAAATTAAAAAACAAGAAAACGTCAAAACCTGCCATTGAAGATTTTCTGGTGTCCTAGTGGCACTTTTCAGATGAAACTTTGAGAAACATTATTGTGATTTTTTAAAATAATAAAATGCTAACATGGTGCTATTGTATAGTCAAAATGTATAAGCAGTTAAATGTTACAGAATAGTTGAAAATATGTAAGACATTTATTTCATTGTTCCTTAGAAATTTTTTTTCATCAACCCTTGTTTCCTGAGCTAAACCAACCGAGGGACAAAAATAAGATTACAATGACAGAAAGTAGGAATTGTCTGTTTTCCTATTCCTTCTTCTTAAGCAGTACAGTCCTCATATATTCCTCTTAAATAGTTCTGGACATCCCTAGAACGTGGTCTCACAAAGATCAGGAACTAGTCCTTTTCACTTCTATGTGGGTTGATTCATTTTCTTCCTTTTCAGGTCATTATGGTGATGACACCAAAAGTGGCAATTACAAAGCCACCAGTGTTAAAGCTACTAACGTCATCCTCTTTAGGTTGCTTGATGTTGTTGCTGTTGGTCAATGTGGATAAGTAACAGCTGCCTCATCCTGCTATTGCTAAAGTTACCTACAGTGACAATGAAGTTGATCAGCACTCTCAATGACCCACTGAGATTTTGGTGGATAAAGTTGCTTCTTCTTTTTCGATTTGACCCATCACAGTATACAGGACTCATGGGGCTTAGCTGGAGGAAAATTATTAGTGACCGCTATTATCTGATTGGCCTTTGATTTTCTTTGCCCTCAGGATGAATTCTTTTCCTGTAGACTTATCACCTTTCAAATAAATAATAGCCTAGAATTCCTGTCCTACAAGTTCTTCAAGTATGTCCAGACATAAATATTTGCCAAATATATTAAGAAATATCTAGCAAACTTGGGAGGACTACTTATATTCAGCACAGAACAATTGAAAAGGAGAAACTAACTGACTCTGTAATACCAATAAAGTAAGTTTGTGTCATTAGACTCCAAAATTATAATGGTCTTTATCTAATCTCCAAAATTCTTATTGACATTGTTTCCTTTATTCTTAACATTCCTAATGTCTCTGGATCACTTTTCATTTCTGTTGATTCGAATATTTATTTATTCAAAATCATCTTGGGTGTTATAGCTCTAGATTTGGTGGAATAAATTTCTGTAATAATTTTTAGCAATATGAAGCATTCCTTGAAATCCAGTGTTTCTATGGAACCTCTTAAGTGAATACAGTGGGGAACATATTTTTGAAGATTAATTGTAAGAGATGTCACAATTGTTAGTACTCTTGTTTAGAAGTTACAGAGTCCTGGCTGGGTGCAGTGGCTCATGCATGTATTCCCAGCACTTTGGGAGGCTGAGGCAGGTGGATTGCTTGAGCCCAGGCATTCACTACCAGCCTAAGCAACATGGTGAAACCCCATCTTGACCAAAAAAAAAAATGCAAAAATTAGCCAGGCATGGTGACATGCACCTGTAGTCCCAACTACTTGGGAGGCTGAGGTGTGAGGATCACCTGAGCCCAGGGAGGTTGAGGCTGTAGTGAGCTGTGATTGTGCCACTGCGTTACAGCCTGGGTGGCAGAGTAGGGCCCTGTCTCAAAACAAACAAACAAACAACCCCAAAACCAAAAACCAAAAAACCCTACACACACAAAGTTACAGAGCCCTATAAAATGAAAGGAAACCTTGGAAAGGGCAGGTGGGTTTGAGGCTGGGCCACAGACCTATTTGGAACCAGGAACTCAAATTATGCCATCATGAATGCATTGCTGCTGCTATTTCTCTGTGTGTTAGAAAACGTGTTTGCCAACAGCACTTGAATTTTGTGTATGACCACTTTAGCCATCCGGACTCTCTCAGTTCTATTTCTAAAAATCCCCAGAAAGGACTCTTATTATCCAGCTTGTGAAGCCTTAGATCTGTTACGGGTTGAATTACGTCCCCCTAAAAGATGCTAATGTTCTAACCCCAAGCACCTGTGAATGTGATCTTTCTTACAAATTGGGTCTTTGCCAGTGATCCCATTACTGAGTATATACCCAAAGGATTATAAATCATGCTAATATAAAGACACACGCACACATATGTTTATTGCGGCACTATTCACAATAGCAAAGACTTGGAACCAACCCAAAAGTCCACCAATGGTAGACTTGATTAAGAAAATGTGGCACATATACACCATGGAATACTATGCAGCCATAAAAAAGGATGAGTTCATGTCCTTTGCAGGGACATGGATGAAGCTGGCAACCATCATTCTCAGCAAACTATCACAAGGACAGAAAACCAAACACCGCATGTTCTCACTCATAGGTGGGAACTGAACAATGAGAACACTCGGACACAGGGCAGGGAACATCACACACCAGGGCCTTTCAGAGGATGGGGGGCTGGGGGAGGGATAGCATTAGGAGAAATTCCTAATGTAAATGACGAGTTGATGGGTGCAGCAAACCAACATGGCACATGTATACCTATGTAACAAACCTGCACGTTGTGCACATATACTTGAAGTATAATTTAAAAAGAAAAAAAAGAATTTGGGTCTTTGAGCTGAACAGTGAGAACACATGCACACAGGGAGGGGAACAACACACACTGGGGCCTGTCGTGGTGGGGAGCAGGTGGTGAGGGAGAGCATCAGGATAAATAGCTAATGCATGGGGGGCTTAATACCTAGGTGATGGGTTGATAGGTGCAGCAAACCACCATAGCACAAGTTTACCTATGTAACAAACCTGTACATCCTGCACATGTATCCCAGAAACATAAAATAATAAAATAAAATATCAAAAAAAAGAAATTGGGTCTTTGTAGATTATCAAGTTAAGATGGTTCATTAGAGTGGTTCCTAATCCAATAAAACTATGAGTTTGTAAAAAAGGACAATTTGGATACAGATATAGACAGGTATACAGGGAGAGCACCATGTGAACGTGAAGGTGGAGATTGGATGAAACTTCTACAAGGCAAAGAGTGCCGAAGTTGTCAGCAAACCACTAAAAACTAGGAGAGAGACATGAAACAGATTCTCCCTCAAAGCACTCAGAGGGAACTAACCTTGCTGACACCTTCCTTTAGCCGCTAGAAACTGTGAGACCCAAATTTCTATTTAAACCATTCAGCTTTTGAGACTTTGTTGCAATGACCCTAGCAAATGAATACAGAACCACTTAATAGTGGCTTGAGGGGTGGGATTATCAGTACCACGGGAACCACATAGATGGGTGAAAGTTGATTCTCAGAAATTGGTTCTGGGAAGACAATCTCATAGATTTTCACTACAGATCCCCCAAGACAATTTGTTTTGACTTGAAACTCAACTATGGACATTTTCTTTTGAATAAATTAGCTTGCTTAGGAATTGGGTGAATAATTAAAAATAATCTAAAAATTAATTTGTGGATATTTTCTGATTGGCATTATCTGTCTCAGCACACAAGTTGCCATAATGGTGGGGAAAGCAACAAGTAACAAGCCTGCTTTGCTCTAGAGCAGATTGATATATGTAGATAAGTGGAATTTATGTGAAAGAACCAATAATGTTTGAGAGTCTGCTGATAAAAGATGACATTGAGTAAAATGATGGATTCCTGTCTTAAAGGGTAACTTTTCTTATTATTTTCTTAGGCTGTATTGTAGTTGTTATTTATAATACGCTCCAGTTGAGGCATCATCTTGTAATTATTGCTCCCTCTACTCTTTCTCAACTTACTCTTCACTATGAGTGTTAGTATTCAACAGTTTAGACTTCATCAATAAGTAATTTCCATCAGAATGAGGAAAGACTGGTCCTTCTCTGTTTATGTTTTCTAATCTTGGAATGAGGTACCTTAGACTAAATCAGGGATTGGGTAAATTATAACCCTCAGGCCAAATTTAATCTACCACCTGGTTTTACAAAGGCAGTTTTATTATAGCACAGCCACACTCACTCATTTACTTACTTTCTGTGGTAGACTTCATGCTACAATGGCAGAGGTGAGCAGTTGCAACAGAGACTCCATGGCCCAAAAGCCTAAAATATTAACTATCTGGACTTTTACAAAAACAATTTTCCAACCTCTGACCTAGGTAGCTATGTAAAGGGAGAAAAAGAGGTTCTGTTTTTGTTTTTGTGCTTTTAATTAAGTCTACCAGGGACAGACTTATTAGCCTTTAGAGTAAAACGTAATCCCCACGTTACTAATAACATGAACTCCACATTTAAAAAATGGACTACATGGTTTAAAATGCTTTGTTTAAACTCATTTTTTCCTTATGTATAGTTGTTTGTAATTAGTAATTATTCAGCTCTTCTAGTTTACTTTTTCTTTTGCAAATAACTGGTTACAGAAGTAAAAAATAGAAGGGTTGTCCGAAGGCATCATGTGTTTTTGAGAGTAGTTGATCTAATGTTTCTTGAAGCCAGGAAGATATTTGTGCACTTTGTCTGTGGCTTCATTTCCTTACAGGAAATCACCTGGGGCAGATAACACCAAGCTCAGTGTATTCTTGTTGCTCAGTTGATTAGTTGATTGATTTGAAATAACAGAAATAATAAAGAAAGATATTTCTATTTGGGAAAATTTTTTTTTAAAGTTTATAATAATGTCACCCTAATAAGTTAGTTAATCTCTCTGAACTTCAGTGACCTTCTCTGTAAAGGTACTACCTATTACATAGTGTTATGAGGATTAAATGAAATGGTCCATTTAAAGAGTTTGATAGAGTATCTTGTGTATAATTAGAGAATAATACATTTAATTCTTGTTATTATTATTATTATTGCTATATTTTTAGCTACTGTTTTAGGCTGAATATTTGTCCTTTCCAAAATTCATGTGGAAATTTAATCCCCAATGTGGCAGTGCTGACAGGGGGCTTTTAAGAGGGAATTGGGTCACGAGGGCTTTGCCCTCATGAGTGCATTAGTCCATTAATGGATTAATGAATTAATAGGTTAATAGATTAATGAGCTCTCACAGGAATGAGACTGGTGGCTTTATAAAAAAAAAAAAAAAGGCAGAGCGATATGAGCTAGCATGCTCAGTTCCCTACCCATTTGATTCCCTGCACAGCCTTGGGACTCTTCAGAGAGTCCCTACCAGCAGGAAGGTTCTCACTAGATGTAGCATCTTGACATTGGGTTTCCCAGCTTCCATAACTGTAAGAAACAAATTCCTTTTCTTTAAAAATTACCCAGTTTCAGATATTCTGTTATAAGCAACAGAAAATGGACTCAGACACTTACCATATCCTAATTCCTGTGTTATATTTTAGCTACAGGGAATGTTAATAATTCATTTATTTATTGTATTTCTTACTGTATTCTTTTGGATTCTCCAGAGAAACAGAACCTCTCAGGTTCTTATATATTGATTATAAGAAATTCTGTGGAGGCTCAGAAGTCTCAAGATCTATAGTCAGCAAGCTGGACACCCAGGAGAACAGATGGCATAGTTCCAGTCCAGGTTGGAAGGTCTGAGAATCAGAAGAGCTGATGGCCTAAGTTCCAGTCTGAGTCCAAGTTCTAAGGCAGGAGAAGTCTGATATCCCAGCTCAATGATAGTCAGGAAGAGAGAGTGAAGTCTCCCTCACACTACCTTATTATTCTATTCAAACCATTCAAAGTTTCCATAAGACCCACCCACATTGGGAAGGTCAATCTGTTTTACTCAGTCTACTGATTCAAATGCTAATCTCACCCAGAAAATTGCTCATGAACACACCCAGAATAATGTTTAATGAAATATCTGGGCACCCTGTGACCCAGTCAAGGTAACACATAAAATTAACATCCCAAGTTCACCCCTTGTCAATTTGGCACCCATATGCACCTCCTTAAAGCATACTTCATATCCAAATAAAGAAAATAACAAGGTAATAATTCCATCTACCATGATAAAACTATCTTGCATACAATTGGCAATGCAGTAACCCCTTCCCCAGAAGAGGAGGTAAAGTCCTTGGGTGATGTTTACTTTTCTTCTTGATATCCCATAGCCTAAATACTATGATGTAAAATTAACAATACTTAAATACTGTGATATAAAGTCAATATATTTTATGTTACATGATAAATGAATAAGAGAGGGAAGAAAACAAAAGATATTTGCTTAATATATATTAATAAATAAATATGCTTATATAAATATGTATAGTTGTACACACAAACACACTAATAACAAAATGAGGGTGAAATATTTATGACAATTACAGTCCTCATTTCTGTTACTGGTCACATGGTTCTAGCTGGTACTTAGACCTCCATCCACTACCCATTCTGTATTCCCTTTGCCTTCAGCAAGCACTCAGCTGACTGTGGTTCTTTCAAATGACCCAAACCTGCATTCCTGAAGGGTCTGGGCCTTGGTGGTCCTGCCTGGATTGGGTTTTTCACTGACTTTAATTACAGGGTATGGTAATACTAAGAAAAGTCCTAAGGGATCTCCTATATTTCAGATGTACTCTTTCTTATCTCCATTGTAGAATAGCAACTTAATTTCTTCTTGGTAGTCAGGATCAATCACTCCAGCCAGCACAGTAACTCCCTTCTTTGGCCTGTTTTTTCAGAGGCATGGGGAGTTCAAAGTGGCCAGGGGGTTGTCTTAACTTCCAGTTCAATGGAATCATTGTTATGTCTCCTGGTGGACACATTCTTCCTGGTGGAGCTAAGACCTCTAGACCAGCAGAACATAAGGTTGTGGGAATAGGAAGCAAATATTTTGCTAGTAGGTGACTAGAGATAATAGTGAGTGGTGCCACTCTCATTTTCACCCCTTGATTACTAGACCTGTGAATTCTAGCTGTGGGTGTAGCAGCACTATAGATTGGATGCTGATTCAGAGCATATACAGCCTTCTGGAGAACACTGCCCCAGCACTGTAAGGTATTGCCACTTAGCTGGAACTGTAATTGAATCTTCAAAAGGTCATTATATTAACCTAGCTTATTCAGGACGTTGGGGAATATATTGTACAGAACCATCTGTAAACTAGGCCTGAGTCTTCTTTTCCTCTGATTATAATCTGATTGTAATATTATAATTGGTCAACTGATTATAGGGAACTCCTCATGAGGCCATAGGTGCAGGCTGGGAGACAGAAGGCAATGTAGCAATAGTAGGGACTGAGGGCATTTGAGTCACTTTTTCTTGTGACTCACTTGTGGCTTCAGGGCCTGCTTTGGCCCAATCACGTATTTACCATTGACATTTGATGATGAAATCCTGCTGTGCGCAACTAACTTTATGGCTTGGTGGGTCATATAACAACAAGTTCAGATCAGCAGCTCAGATCAAATGGTAACTTAGTGACTCATGGTTAAGTGTTCAGTCTCTATTAAGGCCCAGTAGTAGGCCAAGAGGTATTTCTCAAAAGGAGAGTAGTTATCTGAAGAGGATGGCAGGGCTTACTCCAAAATCTTAATGTCCTGTGCTGCGATTCACCTATAGGGGGCTATTAATGGCTCCAAACAGCATCCCTATCTGCCACTGACACTTCAGGTACCATTGGATCTGCTGAATCATATGGTCCAGGTGGCAAAGCAGCTTACACAGCAGTGTGGACTTATTGCAAAGCCTTCTTTTGCTCTGGGCCCCACTTAAAACAAGCAGCTTTTTGGATCACTTGGTCAATGGGCTGGAGAATACATACAAATGAGGAATATGTTTCTTCCAAAATCCGAACAGCCCCACTAGGCATTGTCTCTTTCTTGGTTGTAAGAGGGGCCAGATGGAACAACTTATCCTTTACCTTAAAAGAAGTATCTTGACATGAGCCATGCCACTGGAGTCCTACAAATTTCACTGAGGTAGAAGACCTCTAATTTTTTTTTTATTTATGTCCCAGTCTCTGATCTACAATTTTTTTTTTACCAATATGTCTAAAGTAGTTGCGACTTCTTATTCACTAAGTCCAAGTGGAATAATGTCATCAATGTAATGGACCAATGTGATATCTTGTGGAAGGGAAAGGCAATCCAGGTCCCTGTGGACTAAACTATGGCATGGTGCTGGAGAGTTGTTATACCCCTGAGGTAGGACAGTGAAGGTGGACTGCCGGACTTGCTAGCTGAAAGTAAATGGCCTCTGGTGGTTTTTACTAACAGGTATCAAGAAGAAAACATTTGCCAGATCAATAGTTGCACAGCAGTCATCAGGAAATGTGTTAATTTGCTCAAGCAATGGAACCACATCTGAGACAGCAGCTGCAATTGAAGTCACCATCTGGCTAAGTTTATAATACTACACTGTCATTCTCCAAGACCCATATGTCTTCTGCACAGGCCAGAAAGGAGGGTTGAATGGGGATGTGGTGGGAATCAGCACACCTGCATCTTTCAATGATGGTGCAACCTTGATAGTGGCCCTAATCTTTGCAATCTCTCCAGGAATGTGGTATGGCTTTGGGCTTACTATCTTCCTAGGCAGAGGCAGTTATAGTGGCTTCCACTTGGTCTTTCATAGCATAATAGCCCTCACTCCACAGCTCAGTGAACCAATGTGGGGATTCTGCCAGCTGCTAAATATATCTATTTCAATTATGCATTCTAGAACTGGGAAAATAACCACAGGATTGTTTCAGGGACCTATTGGACTCACTGTAACATGGAGCTTGATTAAAACTCTATTGATCACCGGACTTCCCTAAGCCCCTACTCTGACTGTTGTTGGGCCACAGTGATGTTTTGGATCTCCTGGAATTAGTACTAGTGTCAATTTGGAGTTAATATCCAGTAATCCTTGAAAAGTTATATTAGTTCCTTTTCCTTAGTACACAGTTACCCTGATAAAAGGCTGTATGTCTCTTTATGGATGGTTGGGAGAAAGATTGCAGCACAAACTTTTGGCAGTCTTTCTTCAAGGAGACCTGGCTTCTTCATTTAAGTGGTTCTGGGCCTATAAATTGGCTCAATTATTGGAATTGATTGAAGGGTTGTGACTCTCTGATTTATGATTCAAAGTTTTGTTCACTTGACCTCGAACTTTTCTCTTTATACACATCAAGTAAGAATTTAGTAGGCTTCCTATCTATTTCACTTGTAGGTACAGCATGATAAACCCATCAATTGCATAGGTCTGCATGAGTCAAACTACTCTGATTGCTGCTTTGACTCTGATCTCCATTATGATAACCACACCCACTTTGCCTTTGGTAGTTGAGTGCTGCCACTTGACTCCTGCCATCCTTGGGATTCACTTTCTCCCATTACACTTACATTTTCCAGTTCAGTGACTGTAGTTCCCACTGTAAGGTCTGGCCTATGGAAAAGAATAATCACAGAGCTCTTCAAGGATGCCAGGGCTCCCCTCATGGATTTACTTTTCATAGTTGTGGTGAAAGGTATGTCTTCTGGATCCATTCAGTGTGGAAAAGTAGCTGTTATATGAAACACCTACTCTCACATCTCTCACATTCCAGTCTCCCTAAGCTTTTTTTTTTTTTTGAGATAGGGTCTTGCTGTGTCGACCAGGTTGGTCTTCTCCCAAAGTGCTGGGATTACAGGCATGAGCCACCACACCCAGCCTTCCCTAAGCCTTTGAATCTCCTCCGCTGCATTAAACCAAGGCAGATTTGGCTTTCCAGTTCACTCTCTGTGGGCTGCCTTTTGGTCTGTGTTTCAGCCAACCTACTAACCAAACCTTTAGAGCCATCCCTAACTCCCTAAGCTACAATGTTAAATACAGAATTTCTTTTAGTGCGACCATATTAATAAATTCAGCCTGATTCAGCTTTATGCTTTTTCCACCGTTATCCTACACTCTCAATATCCATTCTCACACAAGTTCCCAGATTTCTGTCTGTATAAATTAACAAAACTCAAGTCATTCTTTTAGAGTGTAGTATACCTCATTATGGGTAACACTTTCAGCCTCACCTTTAGGGTCCTGCTGGGCCTTGAGTCTAGTTATAGGTCTAAAAGCAAAGGGAGTTGTAGGGTGGGTCCTAAGGAGAACCAGCAGTTGTCTTGTATGACTATTGCCTCAGGGGAGGCAATTATAATTTCCCTAGGCAATATAGACCTCTTTACCCCACTTCAGATTGGGGTGGAGAGGCCTCTTCTACTGACAAAGAAGACTCTTCAGAATTTAGAGGCTCAATGTCCCCAGCTTCATCAGGGTCTTCCCACATGTACCCATTCCAACATACAGGGTACCATGTTTTTTTCCCAGTCAATGCCCTCATTTTAACAGTAGACACCCTGCAAGGCTGGAAGTTTAACTTGTGTTGTAATTCAGCTAGTTTCAAGTTGAGATTCTGTGTTGGATTTTCAAAAGTCTCAACCCTACAATTACTGAAATAGGAGACTCCTTCAGGGTTCACAGAAGTTTTCAGAGTATTTATGCAGTACTTGAGCTGGCAATCCAAATCCTTGGGTTCATCCTTTTCTTTCACCACTTTGTCTAGTGATGTTAGGAGCAATCAGCCAACCTCATATTTGTTAGTTTTCCAAAAATATTTGAAAGTATCATAAGTACAGTTCCCTATTCTTTGCTTCTTATAAGTGGTTGATTAGGAGGATCCATTGGAGATATCTTGTATATATCCATTGCCAGATCACACCATGGGCTATCAGTGCTCTATTTTATTGCTAGAAACAGAGTCCTTAGCATTTTCAAACCTAATCCGATTAGAGAACCAATTCCAGAAACCCCAGAAGCAATTCAGAAAACTCATCCTTAAAATTCTATTCCTTTAGAAACACTCTTGTTACCAAAATATTATATATATTATATATTCTATTAGTTCTGTTACCCTGGAGAACTCAGGCATATAGAAAGATAAGATAGATAGGTAGATAGATAGATAGATAGATAGATAGAGCAAAGAATAGGTAACTGTATGTATGATACTTTCAAATATTTTCGAAAACTAACAAAGATAATGAGATTGGCTGTTTGCTACTGATGTCACTGGACAAAGTGGTGAAAGAAAAGGATGAGCTCAAGGATTTGGACTCCCAGATCAAGCACTGCATAAATAATCTGAAAACTTATGTGCACCCTGAAGGAGACTCTTATCTCCAGTACAGTAGATACAGATTTACATATATACTTAAATCTATTCTATCTCTGTCACTCTCTATCTATTTATCTAGATTTATTATAAGTAATTTGCTCGTATAGTTATAGT
Organism: Homo sapiens; assembly: GCF_000001405.40. Lineage (NCBI taxonomy): Eukaryota > Metazoa > Chordata > Mammalia > Primates > Hominidae > Homo > Homo sapiens. The sequence goes on from NC_000012.12 coordinate 89,773,307, forward strand.
GGCTAACAAGTCCTAGGATCTATAGTGAGCAAGCTGGAGACTCGGGAGAGCTGGTGATGTAAGTTTTAGTCTGTGCCTAAGCCCAGGGGCAGGAGAATATGATGTCTTAGCTTGAAGACGGTAGGACGGAGAGAGCAATTCTCCCTCGCTTTGCCTGTTTGTTCTACTTAGGACTTTAGCAGACTGGATGAGCCCCATCTACATATGGGATAGCAATCTGCTTTACTCAATCTGATTAAAATGCTAATCCCATCCAGAAAGCCTTCACAGACATGCCCAGAATAAAGTTTAATGAAATATCTGGGCAACACGTGATCCAATCAAGTTGACATATAAAATTAACCATCACCCTTACTATGTGCCAGCCACATGGACATATAGTAGTAAACATGACAAACACCATTGTTGCCCTCAGGGTGCTTACAGTCTAGTGGAGGTGACAAAGATAAACAAAGTTTCATGATAAGTTGTATAAAGAAAAATAAAGCAGAGTTAATGGGTAGAGAGAGACAGGCTAGGGTAGATGGGGCTCCATTAGACAAGATAGTCCTGGGAAGTCCTCTTTAAAAAGGTGACACATTGGCCAGGCACAGTGGCTCACGCCTGTAATCCCAGCACTTTGGGAGGCCGAGGCCGGCTGATCACGAGGTCAGGAGATTGAGACCATGCTGACTAACATGGTGAAACCCCATCTCTACTAAAAATACAAAAAATTAGCCAGGCGTGGTGGCGGGCACCTCTAGTCCCAGCTACTCCGGAGGCTGAGGCAGGAGAATGGCGTGAACCTGGGAGGTGTAGCCTGCAGTGAGCCGAGATCACGCCACTGCACTCCAGCCTGGGCGACAGAGCAAGACTCCGTCTCAAAAAAAAAATGAAAAAATGAAAAAAGGTGACACGTTAGCAAAGACTTGAATAAGTCAAGGTAGCAAGCCATGTGAATATCTGAGGGGAAACCAGTCTAAGCAAAAGGAAGAACAATAGCTAAGGCTCTGGGAAGAGAATGATTTCTTCTGACATCAGTGGTCATAAAAGTAAAGTAGGATTAGTTGGCATGTTTTGGAGTTTTTCTCCAGTTATGTTCAATTGACAGTGTTTGGGCATGGAATAGGTAGAGAGTTGAGTTTAGTCAGGGCTTTGATCAAATGAGGAGTAGCATGAGGGAGTTGAGGGTATTTGTAAGTGGGTAATTGGTGTAAGGAGGGAAGTGAGGTGATGCAAGTAAGGAGACAATGAAGAAGTGCTAGGGATTGTTAATTGCTAGGAGATCTCAACAGGAATGAAGAAGTTTTAGAGGGAGGGTTCCTAAGGCAAGTGTACAGGAATGGTAGGAGGTGGTATTTCAGGAAACAATGCTTGAAAAACTTAAACTTGAGATTTCAGAGGTGTACGCAGTTATTGTAATGACAAGGATAGAATGGTAGGAGTGGGAGCTTGGAATAATTAAGGAAATGGTTGTTGGAAATGGAAAGCCTAGAGGCCCAGGCAATTAGACAGATATCTACTGGTCTGTTGAAATTATTAAGAATGATGACAAGGGTGGTAACAGAGAGAGTCAGTGAGCCTTGTGCTAAATATTCCACATAGTTCTCACTTTTCCCTGAATGTGTTATGGTTTGCTTGTTTATGAGATTTGCATATTTCTGTTTGTAATATTCTTTCCATTCATTCTTCCAGTTTAGATGCCACTTTCTCTGTAAGGCCTACACTGACTTTCCTCATATATATTTATTTTCCTTTGTAATTATTTTTTAATGACTCTAGTTTTTCATGACACCAAATTGTAGAGGAAATTTTTGTTCAAAAATCTGCCTCTTCACATAGACGGTAATGTCTCAGAATGCAGAGATTATATCTTATGCATCTTTGCATCCATTCAATAAACAGTTGTCAAGCAAATGCTTTTCTATTAGAATATTAGCAAATTAAGGGTGTGGTTGTGTCCCAGAACATAGCACAGTGTCTAGTAATCGTTTTCTAAAGGAAAAAAAAAAGCCAAGATTCATTGACAGTAATTACTCTTAAATGTCCACAGTAGTCAAATACTAGGTAGCATGCACAACCCAGTTAACATTTGATTACGATAAAACTTGGACCATATCTGAGCTTTTCTATCTATAAATGTTTAAACCATACCAGCTGACTAATATAAGACAAATGGAAAGTTGAACCGAAGTGAACATTTATGGTTAAACTTTAGGAGAGGGTTGAAGACATTTGGATTCAAAGGCTGGGTCAGTTTGCATTGGAAATATGCTTGGAATTTATTGCAGCTGCTGAAAGTGGGATAGCCTGGAGGTGTACAGATTGTGGAATGACAGCTGTTTTGTGGAGCAATAAAATTGAGGTAGCTCTTCTTAGTGTCAAGTTCTCCTTATCAAGAACGCTGAATTTTTTTTTAAGTCTGTATGGCAATATTCTAACTAACTCTCCTCAGGGAAATCTCATCAAAGAACTATTTATGGATTCCTTACATCTGAATTCTCAGTCTTGCTTGTGCATTACAATTATTTGCAGTCTTTTTTCAGACAAATAAGCCCAGGCTGCACCTTCAGAGGTTCTGATTCAGCAAGTGTTTTTGTAAAGCGTTACAAGTGATTCTGATGCCTGGTCAAGAAGGAGGACCACTGAAATAGAGTCACATTCCAGTGAAGAACTGTATTGTGAATTATTTATTCTCCAAAATCCAAATTGACTGAAATCTTTAGTGCTTATGAAATTATTAGAGAACTGCACATTAAAAAGGAGTCAAGCTCTTTTTTGAGAAGGTCCACATTATGTTATGATTCATCCATTAGAAAGAAGCACTTTGTTTTCTGTAGTGCTGTACGAGCTAAACATTCATTTATGTGGACGATTCCCTGAGTTTCAGTTGTTGAACTTCAGACTAAGCTGTGAGATAATGATGGTTGTACCCTGAGGTAAGCACTAAGAAACGACCTGTTTACTGAAGTAGAGAGGGAAAACACAGCATTTGGCACTCCTAGAAGAAAACATGATCAAACCCAATTTCTAAATATATGGAAACTATTAAATTTCCAGATTTAAAACATTTTATCATTTATTTTAATTTTTGAACCTCAGGAAATACTCCTAATGGTATAGCAGAATACGATATAATTTTTGGATTCTGTGTTAACACATAATAGATTAAAAACAATCTTATGTCACTCTGAGTACCTCTTGCCTTTATATCTTTTTAGCATTTATTTATCTAGCTTATACTTTATTATTTTACCTTAAAATTATTTTTATTTTCTCTGTATATTTACTCTTTAAAGATAGTGGTATCCTTTCCTATCTTGTTCCTTTTCCTTCTTTTATTTCTTGTAAGGACATTCTATAGTAGGTCCTTTTCTTTTTCTACCTGCATATTTTGAGAAGAATCAGGCCCTTTTACAAACATTAAATTTGTACCAGAAGAACTAGATTTGAATCCATATGCTGCCATCCACGTGTGACCTTACTCAGTTTCTTTGAGGCTCAATTTTCACAATGTTAAAACTCCTTTCGATGGTGATTATAATAAGGGCTCCCCAGAAATGTAGGATGATAAGTGCAGAGGCCCCATATCCATAAGGCCTGAGCATATTAATTCTTGAAGTCAATGATCAGATGAGGAGGAGTAGGGCAAGGGAGTTGAGGGTATATTTAAACAAGTAATTTTTGTAAGGAGAGAAGTGTAGTGATATAGGTAAGGAGACAATACGAAAGTGATAGCGACTGTCAGTTGCTTGGAGATCCCAACAGGAATAAAGAAGTTTTAGACTGAGGGTTTCTAAGACAAGTGTAAGAGAAAGGCAGGAGATGGAGTCCCATCTTTCCTTTGTAAGGAATCCTTGGGAATACAGTTCTTTCCAGGGTGCCTGGATCCTTGGTCTTGTTTCTACAGTGTCCAAACAATTGCAATTTTCAAATTTTAAAACTCTGGACATATGCCCTAGGATTGTATTTTAAAGATACAGTGGGAAGTAAGACATTTTATGAAGGATTCAAATGAATCATTTATAAATCATTCTTTTGTCTCCAACTGAAAGAAACTATCCTGAATTAGGACATAGCCTGCTTTCAGTAAAGCATTTTACAATTATTATCAAAGTCACTTTACAAATATTTTATCAAAGGTATTTTACAAAGCCATTTTACAAATATTATTAATTGCACCCCTGTTGACTCTCAAATACATGCTCAACAGTCAGACAGATTAGCTTTCTTAGTCAATAACACCATCAACATACAGGTCGCTCTAATCTCCAGGATCACCTTTGTCTTTTGCATTGAACACATATCAGTCTTTGGTTTCTTTCTTAATGTCCTAGTGCCATCCCTAATACAGGGCTTCACCTTGCTTATCTCATTTGCATGGCCTCTACCCTTCTAGTCCCTCTCTATGGGGTTGGATTATCTTTTCCTTTACTCCAACGCTGGGTGGTTTCTGAATGCTTGCTGCATCTAGGTCAAATTTCTTGCCTGACATAAAGCTCTCTATTATTTAATCTCTTCTGTTTTGTCTACCACTGATATGGTTGGTTGCTGTGTTCCTACCAATATCTCGTCTTGAATTGTAATCCCCACATGTCCAGGGAGGGAGGTGATTGGACCCTGGGGGGTGGTTCCCCCATGCTGTTCTCATGATAGTGAATGAGTGCTCATGAAACCTGAGAGTTTTGTAAACTTCTGGCATTTCCCCTGCTTGCACTTCTCTCTCTTGCCTGCCATCATGTAAGATGTGCCTGCTTCCCCTTCCACCATGATTGTAAGTTTCCTGAGGTCTCCCCAGCCATGCAGAACTGTGAGTCAATTAAACCTCTTTTCTTTATAAATTACCCAGTCTCAAGCAGTTCTTTATAGCAGTGTGAGAGTGGACTAAGACAACCACTATCACCTACTACTTTCCAATGAGAGAGAAATTCCCACCCCCACCACACGCCAGGCTGATTACTATCTCACTACACCCAGACAGATGTCTGACACTACTATTTTACATGTGGAAATATTTACTATGGTCACATGTGGAGTCCAGGCTTTTTCTCATCTGCCTCTGCACATTTTAGAAACACATGAAGGTTCAGGTTAAGTTATAATTCTCATAGGAAGGTTTTCCTTTCCCACCAAAAAAAGGCACAAAGGAACTTTCTTGCTTTCTAACTTGATAAGTGTCTGTTATCTTTTCTCTTCATTTAGGCAACTACCTCTTATTTATTATCTGTCTCATATCAAGAGGTTTTAAGGTAACATTTTTGTAAACCTCTTGCTACATCAATGAATCTGTAGGCTACCTTAGAGCGGAAATTGTTTGAGTCTCAGATCTGCAATTTGCTACCTAGGACCCTAAAGCAAGTACTTAAATTTTTTGTTTGTTTGCTTTGTTGTGATGTTTAATCTCTAAAATGAGGACAATATTAAATAATACTACTATCTATCCAAACTATGACACAGGATTGCTACATATGACTCATGAAACTTTGCCATTGAAAACACTTTGTAAATATTGATCATATACACATATTTAAGGTATGTTAATTTTTATTGTTTTCTGTCTGCCAAAATGCTAGTACAATGGTAACTGAAGAGGAATTACTGTAAAGTCATATATTAAGTTGGTGCAAAAGTAATCGTGGTTTTTGCCATTGAAAGTTACTTAATAACGGAATTAAAGTAATTCTAGTTGGTGTCTTTGATATACTAACAGACACCCATAAAATTATAGCTCTCATTAGCATTAGGGTTTATTTTATTAAAAGGATGAAAGGAGTATTAGCCATTATTAAAAATTCACTGAAGCATTCATGATAATATGGTACACTTCCACTGGTTTTATGTTGTAGTGTAGGCATTCAGGTTTCTATTACTCCAATATAGTAGTCGCTTATTTGAACTGGTAGTTGGAAATCTGAATTTGTCTGACTACCTTAGCAACAATGGCAGGAGTAAAGGTATAAATGGACTCATCTTTACTCTGATGATTCAGTAACTTTCCTGACCCTCACCTCTTTCCTCTGCATGATGCAATTCTTTACATAATGAATAACTACACACTAATAAACTTTATTATATGTTCCCAACTAGCATCTGCAGGAAGTCAGATTAAATCCTAGGTGAAGTTCTCAATGGAATCTCAGCCTTTGATCACACCACCAATGTTATAATTTTAGAAGTGTGACAAGATGATTAGAGCATTTAAAAATCTTGGTACTAGGCACAATACAAAGTTGAAAGCTGCCATGAATTTTGCTGCTTAGGCAGGCTATCATCCTTTGAGGCACTAATTGACAAAGAAGTAGAATGTTAAATAAAGGAGTTGAAATTCAAATAAAGAAGAATACAGCATATTTGGAATGCTGTCAAACATGCTGTGAACTTTATTAGGCATTAGATATTGACCCAAATTAGGAAAAAGTGAAAAATGTAAGGCCTAGATTTAATAGTGGTCTCATATATAACTGCAAGTAGTTTTATAATTATTTTCCCATCTGCCATATTTAATGTTAAATTTAAAAATGAATAATGATATTTCATAATTTCATTAATATACTTGAGTTAAAGATGTATATATATTTTACTGAATAAACATCCTGGGAGAATTGTGGGTCAACATGAGGATAGTTGTTATATCTAAAATAGGATGGACCAAAATGATGTCATAAAGCCACCACCACCATCATCACCAATATGGCATAAAATACCATTAAGGAATAAAATACCATTAAGGATGACATTCAACAAAATTTTAAAGTGGAAGGAAAAATTTTAAAGTGGAAGGAAGGAAGCTGTGTGCTTCCTTCTTGTTGATTCCAACCTTTTCTAGGCTTTGGTGTCCCTTGCTATTCAGTATTTGTCACTGCAGCCCCTCTCCATCTTTATCCAACAGTTAGACTTGCTCAGTGTCTCCATTTCCCTGAGAACTAGTTATCAGTTTTCAGACTCTAGAGTGGGTTATTGATGTATGTTATGTTACCATCCCTCTTCCTTCCTTTATATCATTTGCTTTTCAGTAGGATCTTTTTATTGCATAATAAGAATATAATAACAGTAGCCAATTTAATAGCAGTTACTATGTGGTAGGCTTTATTCTAAGTGCTTTATATATAAACACATTTTTTTGTTTGTTTTTTATACAAGGTCTCACTCTCTTGCCCAGGCTGGAGTGCAGTGGTACAATCATGGCTCACTGCAACCTTGAACTCCTGGGCTCAAGCAATTCTACTGCTTCATTCTCCCAAGAAGTTAGGACTACGGGCTTGTGCCACCACACCTGGCTATTTTTTTATTTTTATTTATTTTTATAGCGATGGAATCTTGCTATGTTTTCCAGGCTGGTCTCAAACTCCTGGCCTTAAGCAATTCTTTGACAGCCTCCGAAAGTGCTGTGATTACAGGTGTGAGCCACCACGCCTGGCCTATGTTAACACATTTAATCCTTATACCAACTTTACCCGGCTACTCGGGAGGCTGAGGCAGGAGAATGGCGTGAACCCGGGAGTCGGATCTTGGAGTGAGCCGAGATCGCGCCACTGTGCTCCAGCCTGGGCGACAGAGCAAGACTCCGTCTCAAAAAAAAAAAAAAAAAGTTACATACTAATATTATATCCATTTTACAGATCATGGAACCAAAGCACAAAGACGCTAAGCAGGTCATAAAGTAAGAAGTGGCAGAGTCAGGGTTTGGAAACCAGACAGTTTCACTCCAGAGTTCCTACTCTGAACCACTAAGCTATCCTGCCTGAACATGGTGGTGGGGGATATACAGGATATAATGAGAAATGCCGATGCACTGAAGTCATAGACACCTATTCAAATCCTGTCTCTGCCCATTGTGGGGCAGACACTGGTTGTGTGGCTTCAGCAATATATTTAATTTCTCTGAAATTAATTTTCTAAGATGTAGAATAGTGACAGCAGTACTTACATTCAAAAGCTTATTGTACATAAATAATGCACATAAAGCATCTACCATGAGGGTAAAGCATGCTTCATATGTTTAAGTGTATGAGTGGGTGGAAATGAGGAAGATATTTTTGTGCAATGGGATTTTGCACAACCATTCAGCTGCCCTTCTCAGTCTGTGTATAGAGCGGCCAATGTGGAACACTTGCAGCAGCAGTGTCAGATAGGTCAGCCCAGTGTTGTCAGTCAGAATTGGGAGAATGTTAAGAGCAATGTGAACTCAAGAAGCAGAGGTGACAGGCAGCATACCTACAGACTAGAGGATACCTAGGTTATAGTGTGCATGAGATCCCCATATTGACAGGCATTTGTTGGTAGCCAACTTTTAGGCAGAGATGATGAAGTTATTAAGCAGAGGTTTATGAAGGAGGTTGTGGCCTGAAACACAAGTATATATGATATACTTACTTTCTATGTAAGGATAAAATTTACTCATACATAGAATATAGAAATCCCTGCAAATGTTTAAAACCGTCTTCATGTTTGATGTATCAGGTTAAAAGTGACATACTTTTGTATACTTCTTCCATGTGGTCCCCAAATATAAAATTTGAGCTTTATCTATTTTTTCTTTATGTGGGTAATACTTTTTAACTTTACTTGCTTAAAGATAAATCTGTGAAGCAGCTCCATTCATTTTTCTTTCTAATTTTGTAAACATCAGGAAAGATGTTATATGTAAAAGATTGTCGCATTTAAGGAACAATGTCAAGAAATTCACATCTGCCAAATGATGTCATGAAGCCTGCTCTCAGAAAAAATAGCTACTTTCCAAGTATTGATATTGAACCAGCAATACTTAAAATGTTTATCTTTCAAAACCAAACTCCAGTGGACAAAATGAGTCTGTTATTTTAAACATTATTTGGAAAGAGTTAGCATTAAGAACATTTTGTAACTGATACATGTCATTAATAGTTTACATTAGCTTCCCGCATAAGGGAAGATACTATCATACTTTATAAATAGGTCTTGTGGGAAAATCGCTTCTTCCTTGAGGTTAAACAATCTAATATACATTTTTAATGTAGGAATAGTTTAATGCAGTTTGAAAGGTAAACCATGTGAGGTTGTAACATGCCAAAACCCCAAAATCATTCATGGTATGTTAAAAACTCATTAAATGTGGTCTCCATAGTTTCTGGGATAAACACAGAAGCTAGAGAATGTATTTACAAGACTAAAAAATACTGCTCAAAGTGAAAAAGCAGACAATGGCTAAGGGAGATAAATTGTCATGTGGGAGAGAATATTTAGGTGTAAATAAATTCTAATAAAGTTAAACATATGAAAGATTATAACAGGCAGGTGACAGTGATTACCAGCTCCTTTCCTAATTCATTAAGGATGGAAAAGGAAGTGGTTTGAAATTGCAGTAGGAGAGATTTAGGTTAGATATCAGAAAGAACTTCCTAACAGTCAGGTTGATCATTTTTTAAAGAGCTCCTTAGAGACATTTAAGAATGGGATACAAACCTTTTCTCCAGGGATTTGTTTTTCTCATTGTTTTTGAGACAGGGTCTCCCTGTGTTTCCCAGGCTGGTCTTGAACTCCTTTCTGAGCTCAAGCAATCCTCCTGCATCAGCCTCCCAAGTAGCCAGGATTACAGGCATGTACCACCACACCTGCCAGCCCAAGGCTGATTTAAAAGCAGTTGTACCCAATCACAGTGACATTATTAAGATCGTGTTCTGAAATCTTTTTTATGTTCATCACTGAAAGTTGGTGTGTGTGTGTGTCTGTGTGTTTAAAGTGAATAGATGTGACTCATGATTACAAAATAAAGCAATTGATTCTACAGCACAGTAATGAAGCTAGGTGGCATGGTAAAACTCAGATACCTTGTGAAGATGCAGAGTGATGAGAGACTGTCAGAAATCCTTAGTTCATGGAAACTAAGTCCTGACTTTGAGGTTAGTTTAAGTGAAGCAGTACATTGGTAGAACCACCTGTTTTTATGAAAATCAGAAAAAATCCCCTTTGCCGTAGAAAATATCCTTTCAAAAACTAAATTTATAAGTAAAATAGGAAATTAGAATACTTCTTAAAACAAACAGAATCCAAAGTGTATCGGTAAGAACTTAGCTCTCTCATTGTCCTTGCATCCAAATAAGGAAACAAAAACATTAAAAGGCTGAGTGGATTGTTCAGGTTCCTGTAACTTCCTAGTGGCAAAACCAAGGATAAAACCTGTAGTGGCTGCTGTGGTGCACTGCTCAGATGCCTCCTCCACAGCCCTCCTCCCCACCACAGTTTTATGTCTGAGACACTCATTCCATCTGTCGACAGCTGGGAGTGTTAGTTGCTGAGACAAACAGCCAATTTCCTCTCCAGGAATTATCTTCTTTCTCTGGGCACTGTCCTCTGCCAAAGGGAGTTGCCTTGCCTAAGTTTATACCTCCTCCCTAGGCTAGGGGCAGCCTCTGTGGAAGGGGAAATTAGAAAAATCAGCCTCTTTACCTCAATTCAGGACAACCCTGAAGGGTCATTTCAGCTCCAGAGCTCCCTCAGATAGCAGCTGAGGTCTTCATTTCAATTACATCACCGTTCAATTTCTCCTGTTCACTCACTTCTGGTTTCATTACTCTGTCACAGGTTTGTCCTGTTGGTACTTCCCAAAAAACTTCCTGCATGCAATCTACATCTGAGTCTGTTTTCTAGGGAGCTGGACCTCAGTTAGTCAGTGCCAGGAACGCTCTGAGGTTTTGGAGCTAGATTATTCATTGGCCAGCTGGTAAAGAGGATGTCAACACTGTAGTAAGTGGAGGACTGAATGCCTCAAGGATGCTTTATTGGTCCAGTTAATATACTCACTGTTGGTGACTGGGAAGGGATACTACTGAAAGATAATGCACAGAGGGTTTTGGAGTAGTAATTATCGTAAGTCAATGAAATCAGATGATTCTTCGTGAGTGTTATCAGTGCATTGGAAAAAGACAAAGACTGAGGGTCGTTAAATTACCAACTTAAGGTCACTGTGGAAGTTAGAGTGTTTCTTAGGCAGGATATAAGGACTCTCTCCTTTTTTATGGCTATAGGAGAGGCATTGTTGAGGATCACATACAAAATTTAATTATAAGGCTAGTGAAATTTCAGAAAAAGTGGAATTCCAAACTCTGGCATGTCTATTCTACCAAGATCAGGGCCCTGAGTGAGAAGGAGCAAAATGCTGAGGCTTGAGATGGACACCTGGATGGAAACCTCTTAAGATCCAGATTGCCCTGAATCCGCAAGGGCCTGCCAAAGTGGGCCACTCCTCCTTATTAAAGGCTAGAAGACCACTTTCCCCCACCCTTTGCTTGAAGATAATACAGAAGGTTTTTTCTTATAAAGCTTTTACATCAGAGTCTACTGCCAGCTTGCTTGCAAAGACAGATGATCAAGAAACTGAAGGAAGACACCCCAATAACAAATCATGTCTTGTTTCTGGATCTATGTCAGAGTTGGAATCTACTGACTAAAGGAGTGTCTGGGTCCCCATGAGGAAGAAATCTACGATATCATGATGAGTATATGTAGCCATACTCCAATTACTCAGGATTGCATTATGGCCAGTAGCTACCATATTGGATACAGCTGAAGTATAACATTTCTATCATCAGAGAAAGTTTCTGAACAGTACTGCTCTGGAGTATGGGAAGACCCCAAGAAGATTTAGAGTATTTCTATATTGGTGAATTTTTTAGGGGTTCAGTAACCTGGGGAATGCAGGGACATTTTCTCCAAAGTAAAAGGAAAATTATTGTATCTTGCATTTCCCACCACAAAGAAGAATGCAATGCTTTGTAGATCTCTTTGAGTTTTAAATGCAGCACATTTCACACTAAAGAATCCTGCTCTGCCTAATGGCAAACTGATATGTACAGTAAAGACCTACAAAGGCCTTGGTCACAGAGGCTTAGGCCTCTCAGAGACTGGGGTGTAGGTTAACCCAAAAGGTAAGTCATGTAGACCAACAGAAGTGTTAGCTGTTGATGAGGAAAATCTAAAATGGGTAAATGACCAACCAGAATCTGGAGTGGCCATTCTCTGAAGGATGAACTCACTATACAAAGTAAGTAGATCCAAACAGTAGAATTAATGCTATGGCACCCTATCCTGAGCCCTCCTTCAGGAGCAAGGCCCTCAGTCTCTCAGCTGTTGGGAGTTGATATGGTTAGGTTTTGTGTCCCCACCCAAATCTCATCTTTAATTGTAATCCCCAGGTGTTGAGGGAGAGACCTGGTGGGAGGTGATTGAATCATGAGGGCAGTTTCCCCTATGCTGTTCTCATGATGGCGAGTGAGTTCTCATGAGACCTGATGGTTTTATAAGGGTCTCTTCCCCTTCACTTCTCTCTCTCTTTCTGGTTGCCTTGTGAAGAATGTGCCTGCTTCTCCTTCTGCTGTGATTGTAAGTTTCCTGAGGCCTCCCCAGCCATGTGGAACTATGAGTCAATTAAACCTCTTTCCTTTATAATATAAATTACCTAGTCTCGTGTATTTATAGTAGTGTGAAAATGGACTAGTACAGTAAATTGGTACTGCAGAGAGTGGGATACTGCTATAAAGTCACCTGAAAATGTGAAAGTGACTTTGGAACTGGGTAACAGGCAGAGATTGGAACAGTTTGGAGGGCTGTTCCAAAGACAGGAAGATGTGGGAAAGTTTGGAACTTCTGAGAAACTTGTTGAATGGTTTTAACCAAAATGCTGATAATGAGGTGGATGATGAAATCCAGGCTGAGGTGGTCTCAGATGGACATGAGGAACTTCATGGGAACTGGAGCAAAAGTCATTTTTACTATGCTTTAGCAAAGGTACTGGAGACATTTTGCCCCTGCCCTAGGGATCTGTGGAATTTTGAACTTGAGAGAGATGATCTGAAATTGGAACTTATGTTTAAAAGGGAAACAGAGCATAAAAGTTTGAAAAATTTGCAGCCTGACTATGTGATAGAAAAGGAAAATCCATTTTTCTGGGAAGAAATTTAAGCTGGGTGCAGAAATTTTCATAAGCAAAGAGGAGCCAAATGTTAATTGCCAAGACAATGGGGAAAATGTCTCCAGGGCATGTAAGAGATCTTGGTAGCAGATCCTCCCATCACAGGCCCAGAGGCTTAGGAGGAAAAAATGGTTTTGTGGGCCAGTCCCAAGGCCTCCCTGCTCTGTGCAGGCTCAGAACTTGGTACCCTGTGTCCCAGGTGCTTCACCTCCAGCCATGGCTAGAAGGGGCCAAGGTACAACTTGGGCTGTTGCTTCAGAGGCTGCAAGCCCCAAGCCTTGGCAGCTTCCATGTGGTGTTGGACCTGCAGGTGCACAGAAGTTAATAATCGAGGTTTGGAGCCTCCATGTAGATTTCAGAGAATGTATGAAAATGCTTGGATGTTTCCAAGCAGACATCTGCTGCAGGGGTGGAGCCCTCATGGAGAACTCCTACTAGGGCAATGCAGAAGGGCAATGTGGGGTTGGAGCCCCCACGCAGAGTCCTCACTGGGGTACTGCCTAGTGGATCTGTGAGAGGAGGGCCATTGTCCTCCAGACTGATCCCAGAATGGTCATTGTCCTCCAGGCCCCAGAATGGTAGATCCATTGGCAGCTTGCACCATCCACCTGGAAAAGCTGCAGATACTTAATGCTAGCCTGTGAAAGCAGCCAAGAGGGGAGGTGTACCCTGCAAAGCCACAGGGGCAGAGCTGCTCATGCTCACGTTTTATGTCAGCATGACCTGGATGTGACACATGGAGTCAAAGGAGATCATTTTGGAGCTTTAAGTTAATAATTACCCTGTTGGATTCCAGACTTGCGTGAAGCTTGTAGCCCCTTTGTTTTGGCCAATTTCTCCCTTTTGGAATGGGAGAATTTACCTAATGCCTGTACCCTCGTTGTATCTTGGAAGTAACTAACTTGCTTTTAACTTTATAGGCTCCTAGGTGGAAGGGACTTGCCTTGTCTCAGATGAGACTTTGGACTTGGACTTTTGGGTTAATGCTGGAATGAATTAAGACTTTGGGGGACTGTTAGGAAGGCATGATTGGTTTAGAAATGTGAAAGAAATGAGATTTGGGAGGGGTTGGGGCAGAATTATATGGTTAGGCTTTGTGTCCCCACCCAACTCTCATCTGGAATTGTAATCCCCAGGTGTTGAGGGAAAGACCTGATGGGAGGTGATTGAATCATGGGGATGGTTTCCCCCATGCTGTTCTTGTGATATTGAATGGGTTCTCACAAGATCTGATGGTTTCATAAGGGACCCTACCCCCTTTGCTCACTCTATCTCCTGCCACCTTGTGAAGAAGTTGCCTGTTTCCCCTTCTGCCATGATTGTAAGTGTGAGGCCTCCCCAGCCATGTGGAACTGGGAGTCAATTAAACCTCTTTCCTTTATAAATTACCCAGTCTCGAGTATTTCTTTATAGCACTGTGAAAATGGACTACTACAGGAGTATTGGCTGCTGTTTGTTCCTATATGATAATTCCCCTTGACCAAAGAAATCTGTCTGTATGAGTCCATTTTCTGCTGCTTATAACAGAATACTGAAACTGGGTAATTTATAAAGAAAAGGAATTTATTTCTTATGGAAGTTGAGAAGTCCAAGGTCGAGGGGCCACATCTAATGAGGGCCTTGTTGCTGGAGGGGACTCTCTGTAGAGTCCCAAAGTGGTGCAGGGCATCACATAGTGAGAGGGCTGAGCATGCTACTCGTGTTTCTCTTCCTCTTTGTATAAAGTCACCAGGCTCACTCCCATGATAACCCATTAATCTGTTCATAAGGGTAGAGCCATTATGACCCAATCACCTCTTAAAGTCTCCACCTCTCAACACTGCCACATCATGGATTACATTTCAACATAAGTTTTAGAGGGGATAAATATTCAAACCATAGCAATGTCATTCAAGAGTGCACCTCTTCCCCTGATGTAGGTCACATCCAGTGGCTGGCAGATGTAGGTGAAAAGGTGCGGCCCCTTTGCCTTCATGGGCATAACTCTGAAGGGCCAGCCCAGCCCCAGAGCTTCCCATGGGATCTGCTGAAGCCTTTGTTGTAACTACATAAAACATCAACTTCTCATTTTGACTAATGTTGTTTCCCTGTCTCCCTCCTATGTATTGTTCTCATGTGTAATCATCATCAAGAAATATCACACTCCCAGCATTTTTCCTGCACACAAATCTTCATCTCAGCATCTCTTTCCCAGGGCAACTGACTTAAGACAGAACCTAAAGCAAGTGACCTGTAGTCTTGGGCTTAATTCTAGCACATCGAGATACATATATATTTACATGTCAACTATGTGTATATTACAAGGTCTTTATGCATGGGCTGAATTATGTAATTTTTTAAAAAGATAACTGTAGTTGCTAATAAGTGAGTAAAAGTAATAGTATATTCACTGTTAACAGTAACAGCCATTTTAACTTCTTTTACTTCTAGGCAAAACCCCCTGATCCCAGGTCTTGTTTTCATATTGCTTCCCTCTAGGGTGTGTTATAGGATACTTAATAGTTATGTTGATCATCATTGCAGCCTACCTCTTTTGAAGGCTTTGAAGGAAGTAACCTATGAACATAAATCTTTTTTTTTTTGTTATTTTGGCAGCAGGAAATATGATAGGTGAATTTACAACAAATATAGAGGATCAAAATATACTATTAGACACTTTTATATTAAAAGATGGAATTGCTCTCAAGACTTTCCCCATCTGGACTCTCAGAGGAGGATTTTAGCATAGAGATATTTGGATGTTTCTACCCTGAAAATATTGGCCTGATTTGGGTGACAGCAGCTTCCTAATAAGGAAGGCATTGAATAAGTAATAGCTACCTTGGAATACTATGATTCTAAGCTCTCTAGTCTTTTGAAAAAGAAAGGAATGTGATTCAGTAGAAACAGCACTGGATGGAAGCTGCCACTGATTTCTTTTATGACCCTGAGTAGGCAACTTAATTTTTTTGTGCTTTTTTTTCTTTGTCTGTGAAAAAGGTAACTGGGGCCGAACATGGTGGCTCACACCTGTAATCCTGGTACTTTGGGAGGCCAAAGAAGGAGGATCACTTGAGCCTAAGAGTTAAAGATCAGTCTGGGCAACATCGGGAGACTCTGTTTCTGAAAATAATTATAAAAATTAGACAAGCATGGTGGTACACACCTTGTGGTCCCAGTTACTTGGGAGGCTGAGGTGGGAGGATCACCTGAGCCTGGGAGGTCGAGGTTGCAGTGAGCCATGATCACACCACTGCACTCCAGCCTGGGTGACAGAGTGAGACCCTGTCTCAAAAAAAAAAAAAAACAAAAAAAAAACAAACAGATAACTGGGAGAAATCTTGAAAAAACCCTTTGTTTTTCCTAGTTCCATAATTATGTGTTCAGTTTATTTTCCAATCAACAAATTATTTCTTGGTTTTAGAGAGTTGTCTTTTGCATGCCACAAAGCATCAAATCATTACTTTTATTTTTTGTTTTCATTATTTAGTAACCTGAAATCATTGTTATGAAAAACATGCGCAATTTTCTTTAGTTTATTAGATTAAATATTGTGCCATAAATATTTTATGTAAAGAAAAATTCCAGGGGTTATTTAATATTTTGGTTTTAACCACTTACATGTAGATGAAGCTAGGTATAGAACATTCCTAGTTACAACAATAGCATATTTAAAAAAATGTGAGTTCTTGGGGGAATAATGAATGTTTTGTATGACTAGAGCTTAGGGAAGTTTTAGAAATCTGGCAAGAAATATGACTAGAATGTAGCCACAGGCCAGATTATGAAAGACAAAAAGACGTTTCCAGGGTGCCCATGTCACTTTCTCTGCTGTCAGTGGAAGAACACAGGGGAGGGAAGCAGTTAGTCAAGGGAGTAAAACTGGAAGTGAAGTAGAATAGATGAAGAAGGCAAAAGGAGGAAGTGAAATCAAACTACTTCCTTTTTCCTTCATCTTAAACTCCACTTGTATACAGAAACTGAAAAGAGGGACCTGAATTTCTTCCCTGATTGGAAGATAATATTTGTGTAATTTATTTAAAAATGCAGAAACTGATAACATTTATTTTTCAGGATTTTTAAAGTAAAAACGTTTATTTTATTGTTATTATTGTATATGCTTGGCCATGGCCAGGCTTTTAGAGCCTTCTATGAACTCTGTACATGAACAATCTGAACTCATTGTCCACCTTTCTTTTAATCTGAGCAGTCCCCTTAAATTTCAGGAATATTATTATTTTCAGAGTACAGCCTGTGTGCCACAATTTGCCATTTAATAACATTCCCTTGAATAGATGAATGACATTTTGTATTTGTTAAAGGACTTACTAAACACTTACTGGTTGCCTGAAATCACACCAAAATAAATGTAAATTTTGCTTTTAAATTCCATTGGCAAGAAAGAAGGCTAAAAATACTATATTTTCTGGAAAATACAAAGTGACGGGTCTTGTCTTAAATAAGTATTAATCATATTAGTATCAAATTGCTAAGCACATCTTTAGAGAAAAATTGTTTAGTGAGATAACTGATATTTGCCATGGTATAAATTTCCATTAGCGCTCAGCCCATCAGGTAATACATTTTCTCTTGCAGCTTTAGCTGAAAGTGTCTAATTGCGGGCAAATAATATTCTCAACATGGTAAGCTTCAGAAGAAATACAAAAAAACCCCAGCAGAAATGCAACTAAACTTTGGCTTTTCCAAGGAAGCTTTGGAAATAATTCTTCAAATATGTCAGCCTTAAATGTTTCTAATGGAAGTGTGGGTGGGAAAGAGGGGAAAAGATGCAAGAGAGTAAATGCTGGGTTACCTTTCAGAAAAAAGATAATCTATTATGAGGAGAACATTGACTTGAGCTTACAGCAAAACAATTTTGGTCCATTCTTTACATGTCTTTTACAAATATCTTATCCTCTTTGATCTTCATTTTTCTCCTCTGTAAATGTGAATAATGGTAACTGTGGAAGACAAAATAATACTCTCCTCACCAGAAGATGCCAATATTCTAATCGCTGGAACCAGTGAATATTACTTTACACAATAAAAGCACTTCTGTAGATGTGATTAAAAATATGCATCTTGAGATGGAAAGATTATGCTTGATTAAGTGGGCCCAATCTGATTACATGAGCCCTTAAAGGTGGAGAATTTTTCCTAGATGGAATCAGAAATATGCTAGGACAGATGAAGTAGGAGAGATTTGAAGCATGAGAGAGATTCCTCCTAATGTTCTGGCTTTGATCGGGGGATGAAGCCACGAGCCAAAGAATGTTGCAGCCACTAGATGCTGCAATGGCTCTCAGCTGACAGCCAGCAGGAAAATGAAGACCTTTGTCCTACAACTGCAAGGAACTGAATTCTACCAATAACCTGAATGAGCTGGGAAACAGATTCTCCCCTAGGGCCTCTGGACAGAAAAATATCCCTGTTGACACTATGGCTTTAGCCTGGTGAAACTCTTGGATTTCTAATTTACAGAAATAAGAATTAAATAAATTTGTTATTTAATCCACTATGGTCATTTGTTTAGTAGCAATAGAAAACTCATAGAACAACTCTATCTCACAGAGTTGTGTGATAATTTGTATAAAGTGTGCAGTCCATTGTAAAATACTATATGCAGGCTAATTGTTATCATTGATGCTCTCAGTATCATCATGTTCTATTCTGCTTCTGAACTGCCAACCTTTAAAATGCCACTCTTAGAAAATAATAACTACTATTTACTGAGCATCTACTATGTGCAAGATATTCAACATTTGCCATATAATTTCATCTGTATGAAATGAGATAGAATGCATTAGGTCATTTTACATATATGCTACCTGACAAAAACTTTGACCTTGTTGGATTTCATAAGATTTATATCTCTATCTGTCTTAAGGATAACAGTGTGGGAAAAGTTTAGAAATGTAGCTCCAGTCAATGACAAAGTGCTAGGAGAAAGTTATAAGTTTGCGTTCTTTCCTCTTTTTTGATTACTGCAGATGAAAATTAAAATAGAAACTATCAGAGAAAGAAATGCAGCATTTGAAGTGATTAAATGTAAGCTATTATCCAGTAGTGTTCATGAAAATATGCAAAGTTTACCTTTAGATATTGGCTTTAGAAGATCTCTCCTGCTGAACTGTGGACTGTGATCAGACACAGGCCCCAGTGAGCTGTCTACTGTGTGAGCATTTTGTTTGATGGGAGGAATTGAAGAAGTATGCTCAGTTTGAAAACGAGTCTTAAGGTACAAGGCTTTGAGTCGTGACATCTCAAACATATCTCCATGGACAAAAATATTCTTTGAAAATTAATTGAAGACGCTCAGCTCCATGCTTGGATATATGCTTCCAAAACAGCTACAGCCTTCAGTGATGTTCTTTCATGTAGTCAGAATAAAACTGTTTTTGGCAGGGAGAGGATGCTAGAAATGGCAGGTCACAGGAAGGTAAGCAAATAAGGAAGGTAAGCAAATATTCTGGATTACTTAATGATTTTGATGCTATTTCGCACATTTAAAGGATGATGTCAGTGGAACATACGCTTTAAGAATTTCTGTAAAAATTTTGAGTATCTGCATCCTTGTTCATCAACTCTCTTTCTGATACAATATGTTTGTCTGAGTTTGTGGATAGAGGCTGTGACTTTGGAATAAAATTTCTTGACTGGACAAAGTTAAAGAAAACACATGCAAACACTCATGACCTTAGTTCCAGGGCTGGCCTTAGCCAAAGCTGTTAAGTAGGCAGATTTTCGTTTTTCCAAGACTCTATACTTCTCTATTCTCTGCCCTCTCCTCCATTTCAAAATCTTCCATTGCCAGACACCAAAGTCTTTGTCTTCATGATGTTTAATGATCTAATTTACCTTGGTCTATTATAGACATAGCTGAGGATGTTTGCATTTTAATGGAGCATTTAGTAGGTGTAGTTATTTCAAAGGAGATTTCTAATGGTAGCATGACCACATTTATGGGTAAAGATGTCTTCTTGGAGCCTCTCAAAAAGATATCAATTAACAACCAGTTGCTATTTCATTTCACTGTCCTTTTTCCCTCAGCCCAGGTGGTGGGTGCAGCTAAGTTCCCTGGGCACTAGTTGCTAGTTGTTCAATAGGAACCACCCATATTTATGTTTTCTAGTTACAATCAACATCTCACTAGGGCTGTGAGTGAAAGAAACAGATTTAACTCATATGTGTTAAACATTTAAATCCGTGTTTACAATTAGTCCCACAAAACCTACACTATTATAAGAAATATGGCAAAAGTGCTATCTTAAGGCCCTTGAGCCACTGTTTTCTGTAGAGAAGTGTGGATTATACCTACCCATCAATATAAGACTGGTTATCAGGCTGATACTAATGGTTCGTGTTTAGTACATATTTGTTGAACAGACCAAGGATTTGGACCCTGGGACAAGACACATAGGAGGATCAGGAAAATGGTGCTAATTTCTTATATAAGAACTATTAGTGATTGATAGAAGCCTATGAGACATGATTTTTCAAGTCTGTGCTGGAAAAAAGAGTGTTTTACATGAGGGCAGAAGATTTGGAATGTTGTCTCTTCACCTATCCGTTCCAGATCATCACTATCTCATAGGTTTGAGTTATTTTTGTATCCTAAATGTCCTTATGCTGCTTTGAAAGATCCTAACTAACCCTACACCTCAGGGAAGACTGGAAAAGAGAGACTGATTTGTCGGGGGCATTCTTTCTTCTCAGGCTGGGTAAATCCACGATTTCCTGCTTTTCCTGGGGGAAAGAATTAAACTCTCATCACTATTGATAAGGTACAAATTTAGCATTCTGTTTTGGATCCACTAATATTTAACTGACTGTGTCACACCAATGTCAATGCTAGAGAAAGCCTTGTAGGTATTTGGATTCTTTAGCCAGGATACAATTAAAATATCACTCAGATAATTTAGCATTTCATGCTAAGTGTGACCACAATGACAGCTGCATTGCATGGTATAAGTCTTAGAGTCATTGTAGACCCTTCACATATCATTCATCACTTAAATATTAATGATTTTACCTCTCACATATTTCTTATATACAGCCCTTTCTCTATAGTCCTGTTGCTAGTTGCTCCAGTTCAAGCTCTTATCATTCTAATTTTTATTTTTTTGACATAATTTCATACATGAAGAAAAGTTGCAAAAATGGTAAAATAACTCCAAGATGCCCTTCATCCAAATTCTCCAAATATTAACATTGCATCTACATATTTTTCTTTTTTATGTATATTTTCCTGAATTATTTGAGAAACAGTCATAGTGTCTTTGTACCCCCAAATACCTCATTGTTTATTTTTTAAAACAAGGACTTTTTAATTCCATAACAATAACACAATAATCAAAATCCATTGTGAAATTAACATTGACACGATACTATCACCTAATTTATAGATCTTATTGAGGAGTCCAGTTTGTCATGTAATGTCCTTGAGGCAGAAGAAAATCCCATGCCATGCCTTGCATTCTCTGGTCATACTTCTTTAGCCTACTTTCACCAGTCTTTCTTTGTCTTTCATGATACTGACATTTTTGAAGCGGAAAGGCCAATTGTTTTGTAGACTGTCCTTCAATTTGGGTTTGTCCAATGATTATTCTTGATTAGATTCAGGTATGTATTATTGGCAAGACTATTGGGGATGTGATGTTGTGTCCTTCTTAGTGCTTCATATGGGGAAGCACATCATGGCCATTTGCCCTATTACTGAGCTGTCAACCTTGATCACCTAGTCGAGGTGGTGTCTGCTAGTTTTGTTTTGTTTTGTTTTTGAGATGGAGTCTTGCTGTCACCCAGGCTAGAGTGTAGTGGTATGATCTCAGCTCACTACAGCCTCCACCTCCCAGGTTCAAGCAATTATCCTGCCTCAGCCTTCTGAGTAGCTGGGACTACAGGCACATGCCACCACACCCGGCTAATTTTTGTATTTTTAGTAGAGATGGGGTTTCACCATGTTGGCCAGGCTGGTCTTGAACTCCTGAGCTCAAGTGATCTGCCTGCCTCAGCTTCCCAATGTGCTGGGATTACGGACATGAGCCACTGCACCAGGCCGGTCGGTGTCTGCTAGTTTCTATATTGTAAAATTACTACTTTCTCTTTTGTAATTAGTAAGTATCTAGAGAGGAGGCCCTCCTCATTTTTCGCCAAAATTATGTGATCCCTCTGTGCTGTATATTGATGGTTAGTCCCACTGCATTTCCTTCCTTCCCTTCTCCATTCTGCTTTGGGCTTACTAGGTTCACTGGGGTGGACTATGTCAGTCTGGTCCTCTGGTGTCTGGTTGGGTTAGTCAAGGGGGAGTCAGTCCTGCAGGAGATCTGAAAAGGGTGAAGAATGAGGTCCAGGGCTATTTCCACTTAGTTTCCTCCCCATAGTTTACCCTCCTCTAGGACATGCTCTGTTCCTCAATGGAAGGTCAGGCAGACCATCTCTCAGGCTGAAGCTCTGGGTTTTGTAACTGCCTCCACCCTTTGTTTGCTTCAAGATTAAGGATTGAAAAAACATCCCTTGTAGTTTCCCTACACTCTTTACATTCTTCCCAAACCTTTGTAAACTCTCTTCACGTTTCCCAATTTGAATGTTGTATTGGGCTGTCCCTCTGTTGCTATAAAGAAATACCTGAGACTGGGTAATTTATTTTATTTTTATTTATTTATTGATTGATTTTTAAAATTTTATTATTATTATACTTTAAGTTTTAGGGTACATGTGCACAACGTGCAGGTTTGTTACATATGTATACATGTGCCATGTTGGTGTGCTGCACCCATTAACTCGTCATTTAGCATTAGGTATATCTCCATTTATAAGAAAAGAGGTTTAGTTGGCTTATGGTTCTGCAGGCTGTACAGGAAGCATACCATTCATCTGCTTCTGGAAAAGTCTCAGGGGGCTTACAATCATGGTAGAAGCCCAAGGGGGAGCAGGCACATCACATGGTGAAAGCAGGAGCAAGAAAGAGAGAGAGAGAGAGAGCATGAGGTGCCACACTTTTAAACAGCCAGATCTTGTGAGAACTCACCCTCATGAAGACAGCACCAAGCTATGAGTGATCTGCCCCCATGATCCAAACACCTTCTACCAGGCTCTGTCTCCATCATTGGGGATTACGATTCAACATGAGATTTGGGCAGGGGCAAATATTCAGACTTCCCACTAAGAGCCTTACCGCGCAGTCTTCTACTGCACTGTTTGGAACTTTCTTTCCTATTTTCTCTCAGTTGCAGATACTGCTCACTGGTCTTCAATACAGTCTCAACCCTGACTACTTCTTGTGTCAGACCTGACCCAGGCAGAAAGAACACTGGATGCCAAAGGCATCAGGGAACTGGATCTAAGATGAGCTGTTCTGCTCTGCAGCTAGTCCTCCAGCATGCCTGGGGATTTTCCTTTACTCCCACATCACTGGCATAGCTTGTGCCAGCTGAATTCTGCCTTGGTTTTCTGCTTTGCATTCTCATCTCCATTTGGGATGGAGTCTTTCACTGACCCAGTATTTTTTTTTTTTTTTCAGTAGGGCTGTAAGGCTCTAAAATATCGCTTCACTCTGCTGGTACCCTTCTCCAGAATGTTGGACCCTCACCCTCAGATCCCCATTTATTTTCTGAAATCATGTTTGGGATAGAATGGTTCTCCCAGGTGGGCCATCTTTCTTCAGTTTGCCCTTCCACACCCCTCCCCACCCAGTTCTTCTTTGTTTTCCCTTCCCCTCTCCATACTGACCCATGTGAACTTATCATCCCTTGCCTTCTGGCTTCTAGCTGGGTTTGGCTAATGGGGAATGCTGGCAGGAGATTCAAGGGAGTGACTGAGTGAGATAGGAATATTTATACCACTAGCTTCCTCCCTTTGGGGTTACCTTGAGCTGCTCACTTCTTTCCACTGAAGGTCAGAGCTCCTCTCCAGGTGGTCCTCTGCTTCCAGAGGATGTTCTTGGAACTGTTCCCACTCTTCACCCTTTCTGGCCTAGGGTAGATTACAGCCTAGCTGAGCACTGGGGTATTGCATTCTTTGTTGTGGTCTAGTCTTACATTGTTAAAAATAATCCTTTTATCAAACCTTCTTCAATTATCCTAACCTGACTGTGATGAATGCTTCCTTCTGTGACCCTGAATGAAGCAGCTTCTATGGACAGCCCTTTCTGCCTTGGTGGATCATCTAGCGTCTGAAACATTTTGCTAGACTCAGTGGATCTGATACTGATGACAGCTGCAACCAAGCTTGAGGATCACTGTGCTATTTTGCAGTGGTCATTTGATTGTAGACTACTTCTTTGGGCACCAGCCCTATACCTGGGTCAGTTTCTCCCAGCTTTGTCCCTGCCCAGTCCTAGACTCATTCCCCTCATCACCTACCCTGTTAAAGTATCAGCATGCCTTGTGCAGAAGCAATGGTTGCGCAAGTGAAAACACAAGTCTCCCTATCTGTAAGCTACGTGAGACAGACTTTTGGTTTAGACCTGTCCCTTGTGATATCAGGACAGACCCCAGAAAAGTCTTCTAATCCCATGCTACTATGGATGTAAGGATGTGTCTAAAATATTCATACATATACCACCAAAGACATGCTTTTTAATATGAAAGTACAATTTAGTATGCTAATTTAAATTTGCAGTTGGTTTAGATATTGAAACATTAGTATAATAAGCTTAATTCTGCTAGCATTTACTGTCAAGAATATCCCGTACCTACTTGATTACCCTGTAAATCTCTCCATCTATGGAGATATTTGAAAGTGTTTTAAAAATTGAGCTAATAGATTACTAGTCATGTTTTAATATTTTCAGCTTATCATTGTTTTTAAAATAATAAAATTTTCACATAGTTCAGCAATGTTACTTTGTGAATATCTTAAGTTGTGTCAGATTCAAAGGATAATTCATAGTGAATTGCTCTAAATTGCAATATGTTACTTTGAAGCCTTTTTTGAGTAAGCTTGCCTTATGAGATCATTACATTTGGAGTTTTCTAGTATGTTATTTTTGTAGCATATTAACTCTACTTGTTGGTAATGTTTGAATTCTGTAATTTTTGGTGGGATATTACCTATTATGATGTTTTAGAATTGCTATTTCTACTTAGTTTTGAGTTGGTATATGCATGATTTGACAGGCTTTGCTATTTGGCTTATGTTAAATGACTGATTGTCTTGGTCATTTCCTAATGAGCTTGTGTTTATTTCTGTTGAGGTTGGCATTAATAGATCTTCTCAGAAAATATGCCAAGGACTGACCTGGAATAGACTCTAAGTGAATTTTCAGCTTTGAGGATATTTCTTCTATGTCAGGATTGAGGCCAGCTAGTACCACCGTGTACTAGGACAGAATTGTCAATGACCACCTTTTTCCTATTCTGTGAATTAAAGGGACCATCGAAACTACTTAGTCAAAGATATTAAATAAATTTATTAGTTAGAAGACAAGCAACATCTAGGATCTCATTTGGCATATTCTAAGGCCCAATGCACTTATAGTAAAGACAGATAGAGGAGGAATTTTCAGTAGAGATCATAAACAATTGTGTGAATTTCTGCTTATAGCCAGTGTTTTAATATTGAGGGCTAGCTGTTTATTTGCTTATTGGTTATTCTTTTGTTGTTGTCTATTTGACCCTTATTTGCTATATACGCAGTTATTAAAGATTAAAAGAAGAGAAAACATTCAGGAGAAAAGCTATAAATAACTTGATAAAGTTAAGTTTTAATTTCGTCCCAGTTAATTTGAGCTGTCAGTATCCCTTTGCGATTTGAAGTACATGGAATATTAGTGTTTGGAGAGACCCTAGAAATGATTGGTTGAGCTCTGATTTATTGATTAGGAAAGTGCTTGAACAGTTTACAACTTTACTAGGGCTTAATTTGCTAATAATTTTATCCTGTTTTGTAAAAATAGCTGTGATAAAATAATGTAATAATTCTGCTTACAGATACATTTTTAAAAATTGTTGGGAGAGGCAGTATAACATTTTGTCTGCTGTTGTTTTACATGACCAAACTCATAATAATAAAATGAGGATAACTGCACAGATATCAGGAGCCTGAAAGAGGTCTAACTAATTAAATACTAGGATTTCTTGCCCCTGCTCCCTGAGTTTTATTAAAATTTCTGCTTCTCTACTGCTAGATTTCTTGTTGACTTGGTCTAGTTTATTGCTAGCCCTTGACCTGGGAATCTACGCTATTTAACTTTGTTGTGTTATACAATATAGAAGGCAAGTGGAAAAATGCAAAGGAGCCTCATGGCAAATGAGATTTGGACTTCCCCAGACATCTTTATCTAGCCGTGCAAACCAACCTGTTAGTGGAAACACCCTAAGTCCTGTGCCCATATCTTAGCTTCCAGATATAATGTGGCTGTGAAGTAGCAGGGGCAGGGAAAAGTAATCAGGTCATTTGTAGAAACATTTCTTCTCACTTTGATACCTGAAAATTGAAAGCTGACAATTTAACCACTGACAATGAGAATGCTGTCACGATGCTAATGTTCAGGCAGGTTCCTTTCTAATAGTCATGTTTTATTAGAGCAGTACCCCTTTATTCCCCAAAGATGGGGAAAACATACAGTGATGCTATGGACTTCTGAGAAATACCTTCTGCTCAGATTGAATACCTAGGTGACAAAGTGAGAATGTATTAATTCATGGACTAGGTACATAGTTGGCCCTTTTGATAATTGAATCAAGAGACTACCTTGATAGTCTACCTTGTCTTCCTTAAAGTAGGTTTATAGCTTACCTTAAGGCTAAAATCAATTTAAGTAAAGATAGTGAGAACCCTGGCTGAAAATCTCTCCGAACTCCTAACATTGACTTAGCCTGCCTAAAGTAGCTGAGCACCAGGTGTTTTCACCCTGCCTCATTTTTCTTATCAGCCAGCCTCCCAGGCTGTTAACTTATGACAGTTGAGACTCTTCAATATTGAGGTCAGAGGAAAACTGGTCCAGGACTGAAGCTGAATATTATTAGCATGCTGCTGATACCATCCTGAGGTACCAAATCACTGACCCCAGCTTTAGAAAACATTAAATAGTTTTCAGGCCTAAGGACAGGACACATGATTTGGGTCTTTGAAGTTGATACTTTTATGTCAAATTTAGCTTTGGGATACAAGTGAACTGACATAACTAATTGCCTTAGTTGCCGAAAATGTGGCTTTAAAGCAGGAAAATATCAGTTACTGTTTAAGTCAAATTATACTATGAAAGCTTTGCACTTACAAAATGATTTCACATGCATTGTCTCCACTGATTCTCCTAATAATCCAGCAGTGCAGGCCAGGAGATAGTTTCATTCTATTTCACAGATGACAAATTGGAGAGCTATAAAGGCTGAGAGATTTTCCCATGGATACTGTGGAGTTGATATCTGATCTTCTGGCTCCTAGTCCAGCACTCTTTCCACTGTGCTACACTGTCTGTCTGAGAGAGATAGACCTTCAATCAGCCAGCCAGCCAGCCAGCCTATCAGCTAAGTGGGCTGTGCACATAGGGGATCCAGAGCTATGTATTAGTCATTGTACACCAGGCACATATTGCTTTTCTCTTTGTAAATCCAAAATGACTAGGTAAAGAATTTCATCTGTTTGGTAATCATGTTGGTTAAAATGTGCACAATGCAACAAATTTACAAATTAATTATCCTGAAAACTTTGGACGAAAATTACATTCCACATTGTGCTTGTTTATTATAATTTAAAAATATATTTGTTGAAATTTTTCTATGGGTTATTCTTTCCATTTCTTTTAGGTGAATGAAACAACTCATTTACTTTGAACTTCTTGAAAGACTGTAAGTATACACACACACACACACACACACACACACACACACTAAATGTCCTATGGTCTGTGTTTCCACATTTTAAAAAAAATCTATTTAGTGATCAGAAAGGCAGTGCATTTTGGTATCTATAATGCAAAGAAGGAAAACATGAATAGACCTAGAGTTTTAAAGTCAATACATTATTATCTAATCCTATATTATTAAAAGAAGGAAGAATAAAAAGAATAAAGAGAGAAGGAAAGGAAGAAAGGGAGGAAGAAAAAAGTGGAAACTGGACAAATAGAAGTCTGAAATAAAGAATAAACAATAAAGAAATAATAAAGCCTGTGTCAACTATTTATTTTGTAATTTCACGTGCCTGCTAATGTAAAGATACTAACTTTGCTATTGTAGAGATCTAAGGCATATATTAGCTCTGTTTTCCTGTATTCTTGTTCATTTTTGCTCTCTGAAAGCTTCCCCTTTTTTCTTCCACAAATGTGGTTTCATATCTGGTGTAGCATAAGTATTACCTGTCCTCCACTTAGCCTACCAGACATTCCACGGTATTTATAAATAGTTTAAATTTTTAGTTTTTATTTTGCCCTATTGCTTTCTCCAATAACAGCCCTGACCTCAAAGATCACAGAGATGAGTTTAAGAGTTGAAAAAATAAACATAGGCATCCCCTAACTAAGGTGGCTCCTAGTACTAAATACATAAATTTTATGCTCAAGACATAGATGTTGAAGAATAAATACCCTAAGGGTGGCAAATATTAGGGTGACTGGCCCTTCTGCCCACATTTTTTTAGTGGTTATGGCTCTTTGGGGGTTCTTAGGAAACAAAGAAACACAGAGACTATTTAGCAGGAAAAATCTTAGGAAATTTTACTTACCATACAGTGCTTATCATACAGTACAGTCAGACACTAACCTGGATTAAATCTGATTCTAAGGAAGTTTCATAAAGATTTTGAATTTATGCTTCCAGTACAGAAGCAAAAGATATATGATTGGCACCTCCAGCAAGAACTCTGCATGTTGAGACATGGTGATATTAATACAACAGTTCAGGGATATTATCAGTTAAGCAGATTTTTGTAGGATGCCACAAGGACTTAACTGTCAGGTAAAACATTGATAGATCATGAAAGGGGAAGGTTGGCAGTTTCTCATGGACTGTATGCTGTTATGTTTGTAAAAGCACAATGGCTGAACACTGAGGGAATGAAAAATTATGGTTATACTGCTCTGGAATTTAAATGAAAGACAGCACTCATAGAGGGGAGGAGGTAGAGGTGAACATTAGGCCTGAATTCCAAATTTCATGGTAGGATATGGGCTGGGGAAACTCACTTGGATTCTAGGACTTGCTGCAGACCATCCAAGAAAAATGTGTCTTTTGGCCATCATTTCAGAAATAGCACACATCAGAAATTCCAATCAATTGGGTGGGGCACGTTGGCAGATACTATGGTGATCAAAACTCTTTTTTCATTTATTTGCTTGTTTGTTTATTTAATTTTTATAGCAGCAGATCTTGGGAGTCTTGGGTTACTTAAAAGGACATGGAAACTGTTAGAATGAAATTTTTCAACCATATGACATTCATTATGTCATGGAAGTCAGGTAAAGCCCTAGTTCAAACTAACATAAAATTTTTACCAAGAATTTTAAAGCTCTAATATTGAAACATTTTTCTGAATATATAATTCCATCCCTCTCCTGGTTATCCAGGCAGCCCATTTAACAAAAAGAGCAATGTTTCTTGTCCAGGGACTTTGAACACTTCTTTGTTACTTACAGACTTTCAACATTATGAAATCTTATCAGAAGCTTACATATCACTTCCATCAGAGACAGCTGGAGATAGCAGAAATGTTCAAAAGTGACTACTTAGGGCAACAGAAACAACCAAAGGAACACAAAAATCAGTATCTGGCAATTCTTGGCCCTTTGCTTTAGGGTGACAGCAAACTTCTGGTAGAAAAGTGGAGACAAGTTGGTTTGCTTTTTCTTTTTTGACTGTTAAAAATTCAACCTTTCGGCCAGGCACGGTGGCTCATGCTTGCAATCCCAGGACTTTGAGAGGCCCAGGTGGGTGGATCACTTGAGCTTAGGAGTTTAAGACCAGCTTGGACAACATGGTAAAACCCCGTCTCTACAAAAAAATACAAAAATTAGCAGGGCATGGTGACGCATGCTTGTAGTCCCATCTACTTGGGAGGCCAAAGTGGGAGAATTACTTGAGCCCGGGAGGAGGAGGTTGCAGTGGGCCAAGAACATGCCACTGCACTCCAGTCTGGGCAACAGTGAGAGACCCTGTCTAAAAAAAAAATAATTCAACCTCTGTAAACCTAGATCTATGCAACCTTAATTTAGCAATATCATTCAATATCAAGAATGTCCAAAATCAATCTATAGTGATAGATCCCAAGTGACTGCTCTGGGCTTAACCTCAAAATACTTAGGTTTGATGCAACACTCATTTGAAGGCACAATAGGCAATGGGCATGTAATTATATAGAAATGTATGCTTTGGGGATTGCTATTTTAACTGGCACTGCAAAGACTGCAGTGCATTTGTGGTACCAGGGAGCAAGAATGTCTGATGGATGTTGAGAGTTCTAAGGAACCCTGCTTGTATTTCACTGTGTTCTGTGTAATGTCTCTGGCTTCTGTCAAACAAGTAAATAGATCAGCATTTTCCAGCTTTTTTTTTTTTTAACTTAAACACATCTCAATGAAATATATAATCTATCAAAGTCCCTTAGAAGTTAAAAAAAATTATTTGTGTGATATATGATAAAGAAGTGATTTTAAAGGCAAGGAAACTTTTCAGATCAGTATGTCTTTAAAGATTATGGTATACATTTACATTCCTTTTCTTCATATTGTTTTTATATGCATTGTGCAATAGTCACTATACATTTAAATGTACCTTTAAGCTTTAGAAAATGTTTAATTTTCCTGAATTTTATTGTAAGACAAAAGGTGATACAGATAGCCCTCGGAGGTGAAATATAAGCAGGGAAAAAACATGATTTACTGATAAATCAGTTAAAAATAATAGTACATCATGTTTCATTTGGGACTAAATAGATATTGCAGCATACACTAAAATTTAACTTCATTTCATGCATCAAACCTTGACAAAAAAGTGCTTTTGTACCTATACTTAGAATTCTTACATTTTGCTTTATAAAAAGCTAGCTTATTTTTGTAATTTTTGTCTTTTGTTTCTAAATGGTAGGGTAAGAGAGAAATTTTCAAGCTGCTATTTCTAAGCACTTATCCACAAATAACATATTGAGGGTTTATAAAGTCTTTATTCATAACAAATTATGAGTCAAATTGAATAAAATGTTATCGTATTTTCTTTTTCAACAATGGTTTTTAAAACGCTAGAAGTACATTGATGTGCCAGCTAAAATTTTTGATCGGATGCATGCAATTTATAAATTCAGTGTTGATTATCTTGAAGAAAATTTTCAGAATTATCATTTTTATACTCCTTAACAAAATTATACATTGCAAACTGCTAAGATTTGAATTCTTCCTCAAAACTCATGATGAAATTTAGTTGCCAGTGTAACAGTATTGGGTGATGAGGCCTTTAAAAGGTAGGTCGTGAGGACAAAGTCCTTCATTAATCCATTAATGGATTAAAGCCGTTATTGAGGGAGTGGGCTATGGATAAAACGGTGAAGTTTGGCCCCCATTTCTCTTTCTGTCTTGTGCGTTTGCTTGCCCTTTTGCCACAGGATAACACAACATAAAGGCCCTCACAAGATGCCA
Source organism: Homo sapiens (assembly GCF_000001405.40). Taxonomy (NCBI): domain Eukaryota; kingdom Metazoa; phylum Chordata; class Mammalia; order Primates; family Hominidae; genus Homo; species Homo sapiens. Next base: position 89,804,776 of record NC_000012.12, read on the forward strand.
GAGCCATGCTGTTGGACTTCCTGGTCTTCAGAACTGTGAGAAATATATTTCTTTTCTTTATAAATTACTCAGTCTTCAGTGTTCTGTTACAGTGGCAGTAAATGGGCTAAGACAGAAATAATAGAATTCTATTCTTAAAAAAGAGGTAAAAAGAGAATTGACTAGACTATTCTGGGGTGACTCACACCATCAAAGAAATCTCAAGGACCAGGTTTGTAAAGGAGTAAAAATCTGGGAACTCTTAAGATCTTGTGAGCAGTAGCTAATTAATAGTTCTATCAGAGTGTCATCACAGAGATGAATCAGCATCTGTGACTTTTTTCCTATCCTTGGCCAATTCACTTTCTTGGGCAAGAATAAGGATTGGCCAGGGGCAGCAGTAACCCAGAATAGGGCAATCCAATTCCCTTTCCTGCTTAGGAAGGGAAGAGGATTGGATTGCCCTATTCTGGGTTACATGCTCACTGCTTGGCTATGGGAGAGAGGAGTGCCTTGATTGACAATCTCTTTTATTGTACACATTATGGAAGAGGTATTGGTATTTTCCCACAAGGAAATTATGGCGCTATCATCAGAAGGTGCTGTGTGAACATGAATAACACGTGCTAACAGGTATGCCTTTTTGTCCCCAGTCATTCATTCATTACAGGTGTTAAGTTATATAATGTATGACTAAGAATAAAAATTAGAATAAGTAATTGAAGAATACGTACAACATTTGATTAATAGTATTAACCTGGGTAATAAATTGACTGAAGCATATCTATCTCATTACCATTGGGTGCTATGAATGTTCCATTGATAAACTTCTTGGAGACTATAAGAAGCTTCTTATTTAAAGAAAAACTATTTTAAAGAAACCATTTTAAAGAAAACTATTATTTTACTTATTAGTTTAACATGCCCCCTCCCACTGCGGTAGTATAGTTTTTAGGCTTCTTGACATTCATTGCACTTTCCCATGGCAGCATTACCCCAGTTTTCCATTTGTCTCAGGGGAAAACAACTTCATCTCCAGCACCATGGTTGGGCCCTGATGAACTGAAGCCAAGATTTTTCACCTGACCTCAAGGATTAGGTCCCACTGGACCAACCTGGGCCAAAGATGAACAAGTCTATATTTTCTGGGGACTTCTGGGGAAGATGAATTCTTGTTTTTTCCTCAGAATTTATGTGAAAAGACACATTTTTTTTTTCCTCTGGGTGGTATGCATGCAATGGTTTGAATGTATTCCTCATAAAGCATGTGTTGGAAGCTTAATCCCCAATGCAACAGTGTTGCGAGGCAGGGCCTAATGGGAGATATTTGGGTTATGAGGGCTCTATCCTCATGAATGGATAGAGGCCAATGATAAAAGGCTCAAGACTGTGAGTTTTGCCTCTTGCTGTCTCTTGCACTCCCTGTCCCTCACCTTCTGCCATAAGATGATGCAGCAATAAAGCCCTTATCAGATGCTGGCCCTTTTATCATGAACTTTCCAGCCTCCAGAACCATGAAAAATAAATTTCTGTTTGTTATAAGTTGTCCAGTCTCAGGTATTCTGTTATAGCAACACTAAATGAACTAAGGCAGTAGCTTACAGATATGAGCCTAACATTGCTGCGGCATTTTGTTAAAATTAGAGGTGTCAAGTCTAAAGTCAAAGTTGAAACAAGAAGGAGAGTAAATACAATAGAAGTACAGAGAAATGGAGTTGGGGCCCATAGAATCAAACTGCACCTGAAGCTGTCATTACTTGTGTGCCTTAAATGAGCCCCAAATGTATTTTGTTTATTTATTTTATTTTTTTTATTATTTTTTTTCTTTTCTTTTTATTATTATACTTTAAGTTTTAGGGTACATGTGCACATTGTGCAGGTTAGTTACATATGTATACATGTGCCATGCTGGTGCACTGCACCCACTAACTCGTCATCTAGCATTAGGTATATCTCCCAATGCTATCCCTCCCCCCTCCCCCCACCCCACAACAGTCCCCAGAGTGTGATGTTCCCCTTCCTGTGTCCATGTGATCTCATTGTTCAGTTCCCAACTATGAGTGAGAATATGCGGTGTTTGGTTTTTTGTTCTTGCGATAGTTTACTGAGAATGATGATTTCCAATTTCATCCATGTCCCTACAAAGGACATGAACTCATCATTTTTTATGGCTGCATAGTATTCCATGGTGTATATGTGCCACATTTTTTAAATCCAGTCTATCATTGTTGGACATTTGGGTTGGTTCCAAGTCTTTGCTGTTGTGAATAATGCCGCAATAAACATACGTGTGCATGTGTGTTTATAGCAGCATGATTTATAGTCCTTTGGGTATATACCCAGTAATGGGATGGCTGGGTCAAATGGTATTTCCAGTTCTAGATCCCTGAGGAATCGCCACACTGACTTCCCCAATGGTTGAACTAGTTTACAGTCCCACCAACAGTGTAAAAGTGTTCCTATTTCTCCACATCCTCTCCAGCACCTGTTGTTTCCTGACTTTTTAATGATTGCCATTCTAACTGGTGTGAGATGGTATCTCATTGTGGTTTTGATTTGCATTTCTCTGATGGCCAGTGATGATGAACATTTTTTCGTGTGTTTTTTGGCTGCATAAATGTCTTCTTTTGAGTAGTGTCTGTTCACGTCCTTCGTCCACTTTTTGATGGGGTTGTTTGTTTTTTTCTTGTAAATTTGTTGGAGTTCATTGTAGATTCTGGATATTAGCCCTGTGTCAGATGAGTAGGTTGCGAAAATTTTCTCCCATTTTATAGGTTGCCTGTTCACTCTGATGGTAGTTTCTTTTGCTGTGCAGAAGCTCTTTAGTTTAATTAGATCCCATTTGTCAATTTTGGCTTTTGTTGCCATTGCTTTTGGTGTTTTAGACATTAAGTCCTTGCCCATGCCTATGTCCTGAATGGTAATGCCTAGGTTTTCTTCTAGGGTTTTTATGGTTTTAGGTCTAACGTTTAAGTCTTTAATCCATCTTGAATTAATTTTTGTATAAGGTGTAAGGAAGGGATCCAGTTTCAGCTTTCTACATATGGCCAGCCAGTTTTCCCAGCACCATTTATTAAATAGGGAATCCTTTCCCCATTGCTTGTTTTTCTCAGGTTTGTCAAAGATCAGATAGTTGTAGATATGCGGCATTGTTTCTGAGGGCTCTGTTCTGTTCCATGTATCTGTATCTCTGTTTTGGTACCAGTACCATGCTGTTTTGGTTACTTTAGCCTTGTAGTATAGTTTGAAGTCAGGTAGAGTGATGCCTCCAGCTTTGTACTTTTGGCTTAGGATTGACTTGGCGATGCGGGCTCTTTTTTGGTTCCATATGAACTTTAAAGTAGTTTTTTCCAATTCTGTGAAGAAAGTCATTGGTAGCTTGATGGGGATGGCATTGAATCTATAAATTACCTTGGGCAGTATGGCCATTTTCACGATATTGATTCTTCCTACCCATGAGCATGGAATGTTCTTCCATTTGTTTGTATCCTATTTTATTTCCTTGAGCAGTGGATTGTAGTTCTCCTTGAAGAGGTCCTTCACATCCCTTGTAAGTTGGATTCCTAGGTATTTTATTCTCTTTGAAGCAATTGTGAATGGGAGTTCACTCATGATTTGGCTCTGTTTGTCTGTTGTTGGTGTATAAGAATGCTTGTGATTTTTGTACATTGATTTTGTATCCTGAGACTTTGCTGAAGTTGCTTATCAGCTGAAGGAGATTTTGGGCTGAGACAATGGGGTTTTCTAGATATACAATCATGTCATCTGCAAACAGGGACAATTTGACTTCCTCTTTTCCTAATTGAATACCCTTTATTTCCTTCTCCTGCCTAATTGCCCTGGCCAGAACTTCCAACACTATGTTGAATAGGAGTGGTGAGAGAGGGCATCCCTGTCTTGTGCCAGTTTTCAAAGGGAATGCTTCCAGTTTTTGCCCATTCAGTATGATATTGGCTGTGGGTTTGTCATAGATAGCTCTTATTATTTTGAAATACGTCCCATCAATACCTAATTTTTTGAGAGTTTTTAGCATGAAGGGTTGTTGAATTTTGTCAAAGGCCTTTTCTGCATCTATTGAGATAATCATGTGGTTATTGTCTTTGGCTCTGTTTATATGCTGGATTACATTTATTGATTTGCGTATATTGAACCAGCCTTGCATCCCAGGAATGAAGCCCACTTGATCATGGTGGATAAGCTTTTTGATATGCTGCTGGATTCGTTTTGCCAGTATTTTATTGAGGATTTTTGCATCAATGTTCATCAAGGATATTGGTCTAAAATTCTCTTTTTTGGTTGTGTCTCTGCCCGGCTTTGGTATCAGAATGATGCTGGCCTCATAAAATGAGTTAGGGAGGATTCCCTCTTATTCTATTGATTGGAATAGTTTCAGAAGGAATGGTACCAGTTCCTCCTTGTACCTCTGGTTGAATTTGGCTGTGAATCCATCTGGTCCTGGACTCTTTTTGGTTGGTAAGCTATTGATTATTGCCACAATTTCAGATCCTGTTATTGGTCTATTCAGAGATTCAACTTCTTCCTAGTTTAGTCTTGGGAGGGTGTATGTGTCGAGGAATTTATCCATTTCTTCTAGATTTTCTAGTTTATTTGCGTAGAGGTGTTTGTAGTATTCTCTGATGGTAGTTTGTATTTCTGTGGGATCGGTGATGATATCCCCTTTATCATTTTTTATTGGGTCTATTTGATTCTTCTCTCTTTTTTTCTTTATTAGTCTTGCTAGCAGTCTATTTCGTTGATCCTTTCAAAAAACCAGCTCCTGGATTCATTAATTTTTTGAAGGGTTTTTTGTGTCTCTATTTCCTTCAGTTCTGCTCTGATTTTAGTTATTTCTTGCCTTCTGCTAGCTTTTGAATGTGGTTGCTCTTGCTTTTCTAGTTCTTTTAATTGTGATGTTAGGGTGTTAATTCTGGATCTTTCCTGCTTTCTCTTGTGGGCATTTAGTGCTATAAATTTCCCTCTACACACTGCTTTGAATGCATCCCAGAGATTCTGGTATGTTGTGTCTTTGTTCTCGTTGGTTTCAAAGAACATCTTTATTGCTGCCTTCATTTCGTTATGTACCCAGTAGTCGTTCAGGAGCAGGTTGTTCAGTTTCCATGTAGTTGAGTGGTTTTGAGTGAGATTCTTAATCCTGAGTTCTAGTTTGATTGCACTGTGGTCTGAGAGATAATTTGTTATAATTTGTGTTCTTTTACATTTGCTGAGGAGAGCTTTACTTCCAAGTATGTGATCAATTTTGGAATAGGTGTGGTGTGGTGCTGAAAAAAATGTATATTCTGTTGATTTGGGGTGGAGAGTTCTGTAGATGTCTGTTAGGTCCGCTTGGTGCAGAGCTGAGTTCAATTCCTGGGTATCCTTGTTGACTTTCTGTCTCATTGATCTGTCTAATGTTGACAGTGGGGTGTTAAAGTCTCCCATTATTAATGTGTGGGAGTCTAAGTCTCTTTGTAGGTCACTGAGGACTTGCTTTATGAATCTTGGTGCTCCTGTATTGGGTGCATATATGTTTAGGATAGTTAGCTCTTCTTGTTGAATTGATCCCTTTACCATTATGTAATGGCCTTCTTTGTCTCTTTTGATCTTTGTTGGTTTAAAGTCTGTTTTATCAGAGACTAGGATTGCAACCCCTGCCTTTTTTTGTTTTCCATTTGCTTGGTAGATCTTCCTCCATCCTTTTATTTTGAGCCTATGTGTGTCTCTGCACGTGAGATGGGTTTCCTGAATACAGCACACTGGTGGGTCTTGACTCTTTATCCAATTTTCCAGTCTGTGTCTTTTAATTGGAGCATTTAGTCCATTTACATTTAAAGTTAATATTGTTATGTGTGAATTTGATCCTGTCATCGTGATGTTAGCTGGTTATTTTGCTCATTAGTTGATGCAGTTTCTTCCTAGTCTCGATGGTCTTTACATTTTGGCATGATTTTGCAGCGGCTGGTACCGGTTGTTCCTTTCCATGTTTAGTGCTTCCTTCAGGAGCTCTTTTAGGGCGGGCCTGGTGGTGACAAAATCTCTCAGCATTTGCTTGTCTGTAAAGTATTTTATTTCTCCTGCACTTATGAAGCTTAGTTTGGCTGGATATGAAATTCTGGGTTGAAAATTCTTTTCTTTAAGAATGTTGAATATTGGCCCCCACTCTCTTCTGGCTTGTAGGGTTTCTGCTGAGAGACCCGCTGTTAGTCTGATGGGCTTCCCTTTGAGGGTAACCTGACCTTTCTCTCTGGCTGCCCTTAACATTTTTTCCTTCATTTCAACTTTGGTGAATCTGACAATTATGTGTCTTGGAGTTGCTCTTCTCGAGGAGTATCTTTGTGGCATTCTCTGTATTTCCTGAATCTGAACGTTGGCCTGCCTTGCTAGATTGGGGAAGTTCTCCTGGATAATATCCTGCAGAGTGTTTTCCAACTTGGTTCCATTCTCCCCGTCACTTTCAGGTACACCAATCAGATGTAGATTTGGTCTTTTCACATAGTCCCATATTTCTTGGAGGCTTTGCTCGTTTCTTTTTATTCTTTTTTCTCTAAACTTCCCTTCTCGCTTCATTTCATTCATTTCATCTTCCATTGCTGATACCCTTTCTTCCAGTTGATCACATCGGCTCCTGAGGCTTCTGCATTCTTCACGTAGTTCTTGAGCCTTGGTTTTCAGCTCCATCAGCTCCTTTAAGCACTTCTCTGTATTGGTTATTCTAGTTATACATTCTTCTAAATTTTTTTCAAGTTTCCAACTTCTTTGCCTTTGGTTTGAATGTCCTCCTGTAGCTCAGAGTAATTTGATCGTCTGAAGCCTTCTTCTCTCAGCTCGTCAAAGTCATTCTCCGTCCAGCTTTGTTCTGTTGCTGGTGAGGAACTGCGTTCCTTTGGAGGAGGAGAGGTGCTCTGCTTTTTAGTTTCCAGTTTTTCTGTTCTGTTTTTTCCCCATCTTTGTGGTTTTATCTACTTTTGGTCTTTGATGATGGTGATGTACAGATGGGTTTTTGGTGTGGGTGTCCTTTCTGTTTGTTAGTTTTCCTTCTAACAGACAGGACCCTCAGCTGCAGGTCTGTTGGAGTACCCTGCCGTGTGAGGTGTCAGTGTGCCCCTGCTGGGGGGTGCCTCCCAGTTAGGCTGCTCAGGGGTCAGGGGTCAGGTACCCACTTGAGGAGGCAGTCTGCCCTTTCTCAGATCTCCAGCTGCGTGCTGGGAGAACCACTGCTCTCTTCAAAGCTATCAGACAGGGACATTTAAGTCTGCAGAGGTTACTGCTGTCTTTTTGTTTGTCTGTGCCCTGTCCCCAGAGGTGGAGCCTAGAGAGGCAGGCAGACCTCCTTGAGCTGTGGTGGGCTCCACCCAGTTCCAGCTTCCCGGCTGCTTTGTTTACCTAAGCACCCCTGGGCAATGGTGGGCGCCCCTCCCCCAGCCTCGCTTCCACCTTGCAGTTTGATCTCGGACTGCTGTGCTAGCAATCAGCGAGACTCCGTGGGCATAGGACCCTCCGAGCCAGGTGCAGGATATAATCTCGTGGTGCGCCGTTTTTTAAGCCCATAGGAAAAGCTCAGTATTCGGGTGGGAGCCACCCGATTTTCCAGGTGCCGTCCGTCACCCCTTTCTTTGACTCGGAAAGGGAACTCCCTGACTCCTTGTGCTTCCGGAGTGAGGCAATGCCTCGCCCTGCTTTGGCTCGCACACGGTGCATGCACCCACTGACCTGCGCCCACTGTCTGGCACTCCCTAGTGAGATGAACCCGGTACCTCAGATGGAAATGCAGAAATCACCCGTCTTCTGTGTTGCTCACGCTGGGAGCTGTAGACCTGAGCTGCTCCTATTCGGCCATCTTGGCTCCTCCCTTCTATTTATTTATTTATTTATTTATTTTTTGAGACAGAGTCTCGTTCTGTCGGCCAGGCTGGAGTACAGTGGCATGATCTTGGCTCGCTGCAACCTCTGCCTCCTGTGCTCAAGCAATTCTCCTACCTCAGCCTCCCAAGTAGCTGGGATTACAGGCGTGTGCCACCACGCCTGGCTAATTTTTGTATTTTTAGTAAAGATGGGGTTTCACCATGTTGGCCAGGCTGGTCTCGAACTCCTGACCTCAGGTAATCTGCCCGCCTTGGCCTCCCAAAGTCCTGGGATTATAGGTGTGAGCCACCGTGCCTGGCCTTGATTTTTTAAGCTAGCTTGAGTTGGGGTTATTGTTATTTGGATCTGAAACCATCATAACTGCTACATTGTCAGAAAAACTTTGTGAAACCAAGAGTCCATAAATTACTGGCTGAAAAATGCTGGATTACATGATATCAAAGGTCATCTCTCACAATATATACTTTGTGATATTAATCTGGTAATAGAAGGTAAAATTGAAGACAAGTTGGAGAAATGCGTGTTCAATGTTAGACATGCATTCTGCAGTGAATCTCAGCCTTATTGTCGAAGTATGTTTATTGTCTAGTTAGCTACTTTTAATTCAGAGGAAGTTTCTTGATTCATTTATCTTTTTGTGTTTTGTGTAACTATATTTTTCTGGCTTCTTCAACTTTTTTCTTTTAATACATCATCTTTATGCATAGTGTCAAATTTTATTAATGGTCTCAATTTTTAATTTTTGTTGGGCAACAGGAAATTACAAAACATAATACATATTTAATAAATGTATATTGAATTAAGGTTATTATCTTATGAGCAATCTATTCCTAAACCAGTAGTTTTCAAATTTGGCTGCCTATGACAATCACTTGGGTAGTTTTAAAATAGTGGTTCTCAAAGTTTAGTGTACCTGGTGGGCTTGTTAAAAGGTATTTACGCCAGTCACAATTTTCTGATTCAGTAATTCCAGAGCGGGGGACCAAATTTTGCATTACTAACTAGTTCCAGGTATTACTGATGCATTGTTCTTGATTATTTGAAACAAAATCTTCTAGGTTGGGATGGTTTTTAAGGCTCCCCAGATAATTATAACGGAAGGCCAGGCTGAGAACCACCAATTTGAACAGAGGAGGATGACTGGCTTTTATTTTCTGTGTAAGCCCTTATACAGGCCCTTTTATTATTCCAGTAAAAAATTCCCTTTCACATCTCAATGAATTATTTGATCCACTCTACCTCACTAGAATAAGCCAGTAAACTTTTTTTTTTTTTTCAAAAAAAGAAAATACTGCAGTTGATTACTCAGGAGAATCATAAGCCAAGTATCAACTATCTCCTGCCCCAAGAAGAACTGTAGACTAACTTAAAATAATTTATGTAATAATTTTTATCATTCAGGGTCCAATCAGGAAAACAGAAATAGTATACTTTAATATGGGGAATTGCTTACACAGGTCATGTAAAAGATTAGCAACCGCTGGAGAGACCAAGGAAGAAGGAGATGTTATCAGAGCCCAGGAGCCTGACATGCCTGAAGAAAGCTGCAGCTGGGATGGGCTTTCCCAGGGGTAGTTGGAGCTAAGGAGGAGGAGATGTAGCTGTTGTCAGAGAAGCTCCCCAAAGTAGAGAGGGAGAATTCTGTCCTCTCTCGTCCTTTTGTGTCTTCCATCAACACTTCTCATTGGCTAAACCCACCAGAATAGCAGCTGACATGGGAGTTTGGGTCAGTCCCTCAGGCGTACAGAACAAAACAGACAATAAAAAGGGGAGGAATGAATGGATCCGAGGGCAAATATGCCAAGGACCAATACATTGTTCTTATTTCTGGGACAATTCAGTCTCTTACTGACAAAACTGAGAGAATGAACATCTGCGGATGTCACTTCACTCTTAAGAACACTTAGACTGTTTAGCTACTTCACTGGAATTTTAATTTAACTTAAAAATGTGTGTTTATGTATGGGATATATGAGTTTGCTATATATATGTGTAGCTTCCTTTGGTCAATTGACAACCTACTTCAAACACTGTACAGCTAACCCTTAAACAACATGGGTTTGAACTTTGAGGATCCACTTATATGCAAATTTTCTTCTTCTTCTGCCATCTACTCAGACTGCAAGACCAACCCCTCCTCTTCCTCCTCCTCTTCAGCCTACTCAATGTGAAGACAATGAAAATGAAGACCTTTCGGATGACCCACTTCCACTTAGTGAATAGTAAATATATTTTCTCTTCCTTATGATTTTCTTAGTAACATTTTCTTTTCTTATCTTTACTGTAAGAATACAGTATGTGATAGATGTAGCATACAAAAAATGTCTTAACTGGCTGTTTATGTTATCATTAAGGCTTCCAGTCAACAGTAGCTGTTAGTAGTTAATTTTCTGGGGACTCAAAAGTTATACATACATTTTCTACTGTGTGGAGGGGTTTGCATCCCTAACCCCCACATTTTTCAAGGGTCATCTGTAGTCACCTTTTAAAGTAAAACCTAAGTCTCCAGAATAACAGTCAGAATGTTATAATGTGATATATACTTATATTAAATATATAATATTATTAACTATTACTAATCATTGACTTATCGTCAAATTCTACCTCTTCTGAGAGGATGAGTTTTAGGAACTCTTTCAACAGTCCCACGTTAAGAAATTAATAACTATGATCGCCTTAGTCCAGACCTGAATGTTTAGATGGCATCATCTGGGTCCTGTTAGTGAATTAGAAACTATAATGTTATTCAGACATACCTTGAGATATTGTAGATTGGTTCTAGACTAGCACCATAAAGCAAATATTGCAATCAAGTGAGTCACATGAAAGTTTTGGTTTTCCAGCGCATATAAAAGTTATGTTTATACTATACTATATTAAATGTGCAATAGAAGTATGTCTAAAAAAACATACCTTAGTTAAAAAATACTTTATTGTTAAAACATGCTAATGATCATCTGAGCCTTCAATGAATTGTAATCTTTTTGATGATGAAGGGTCTTGCCTCAATGTTGATGGCTGTTGACTGATCAGGGTGGTGGTTACTAAAGGCTGGAGTAGCTGTGGCAATTTCTTAACATAAGACAGCAATGAAGTTTGCTGCATTGATTAATTCTTCTTTTGACAAAAGATTTCTCTGTATCGTGGAATTCTTTTAGGTAGTATTTTACCCACAGTAGAATTTCTTTCAAAGTTAGAATCAATCCTCTCCAAACCTGCCAGTGCTTTATTAATAAGTTTATGAAATGTTTAAATTCTTTGCTGTCATTTCTACAGTGTTCACAGCATCTTCCCCAGGAGTAGATTGCATCTGAAGAAACCAGTTTCCTTGCTTATCTGTAAGAAGCAACTCTTCATTTATTCAAATTTTTATCATGAAGTTGTAGAAACTCAGTACCACCTTAGGCTCCACTGCTAATTCTAGTCCTCTTTCTATTTTCACTACATTGCAGTAACTTCTGCTGCTGAAGTCTTAAACCCCTCAAAGACATCCATGAGGGTTAAAATCAACTTCTTCCAAACTCCTGTTAATGTTGATATTTTGACTTTCTCCCGTGAATCACAAATGTTCTCAATGGTATCTAGAAAGGCAAATCCTTTTTAAAAGGTTTTCAATTTACTTTACTCACATCCATCAAAAGAATCACTTTCTATGAAATTACTTCTTGATCCATGGGCTGTGGAATGGATGTTGTGTTAACAGAGAAGGAAACAATATTAATCTCCTTGTACATCTCCATGAGAGTTCTCGTGTGACCAGGTACATTGTCAGTAAGCACTAATATTTTTATTTTTTATTTTTGAGACAGAGTCTTGCTCTGTTGCCCAGGCTGGAGTACAGTGGCCCAGTTGTGGCTCACCGCAACCTCTGCCTCCTGGGTTCAAGCAATTTTCCTGCCTCAGCCTCCAGAGTAGCTGGGATTACAGGTGTGCACCATTACGCTTGGTTAATTTTTTTGTATTTTCAGTAGAGACGGGGTTTCGCCATGTTAGCCAAGTTGGTCTCGAACTCCTGGCCTCAAGTGACCTGCTCGCCTCAGTGTCCTTAAGTGTTGGGATTACAGGCATGAGCCACCATGCCCAAGAGAATTTAAAATTTAAATCACCATAACAAAGGCTAAGAATATGAAATAGTGGAAGGAAGGTATGTGATGGGCTTGTTCCCTTACAGCCAGGATACACTGAGGTACTCATGTGCAAGATTTGGAAGTTAGAAGTGTTGGGGAAGCTGTGCTTCTGTTTTTGCTAAGGGTAAACTTGATCAAGGAACAGTTGGTTTTCTGCAGTAAGGGAAACTGTACTAAATTCTCAGGTGTTGAGAGATGAGACATGGAGCTTCCATTTTGCTGGTGTGGATTGTGGATAGAGTGGTGTGTTCTTGGAATGAGCATTTGCATTTTCCCTGTTCTCCAGATTTCTGTTATATCTGAGGATCGTTTCTGGAATCTATGGCTAAATCTTGCTCCTCCAGCCCATACATTGCTAGGTAAGTTTCTATTTCTCTATATAAATGACTTTTCTGATTAGATAAGCTGGAGGGATTCTATATCGTCAACTTAATCTTAATATACTACTAAATGCTAAAAAGTACAAATGGTAATATTTCCCCTGACTTCCAGAAATATACTTCACATTTGTTAAAAATCTTACCCTGGAAGGTGGCAGAAAATGAACTAGATTCAAAGATTTTGGACTGGTAAATTTGCCTGTGGGTTTTGGTTTATGTTATTTTGAAATGTAATTTTAATAATTATTTATTTTTATCTCTATACACACATACATGGCTTAAGTCAAATTTTTACTAGGATTATAACACAAAAATAGACGCTATGTTAATCTACCTTTCTATACCTCAGATTCCTACTTCTTATAGATGTTTTAGCAATTTCTACTGGAATTTACATTTTTTTCTAAATAGCCTGCCTATGTTGCTATTTCTCGAGTTATTCCACTTTTATTTATTATCTTTTTACTTCCCTTTGTGGAAGATGAAAGCTTATCTTTTCTCCACTCTTCCATGACCAATATAAACATCTTTGCACTTTCCTTTTCTCACCATTTTCTTATCTAGATAGCAAATTTGTATGTCTTTAGTGTTTACATTGTCATGACTATACAGACATTATTACAGCTGAATCATGTAGTAAATAAGAATCACCTTTCCTTTCTCAGACATTGAATTTTTTTCCCCTGAGGTAATAATTATCTTACTTTTGCTTAGCTTTCTATGTACTTCTGTGCTAATTTGGCCAAAAATTTCCTACAGAGGTGTAAATCTCCTGCAAGATATTAAAACACATCAGGTCACTTTTTAATTTTTTTTTCTTTCTTCTTTGCTTCTTGGAAATACTCATTTGAGAGCCCACAGTCTTTCTGCTCCTAGAAGGAGCAGGCTAGGTCTATTGCACAACTGTCAACTGGAGCCCTCTCTTATGTTAAATCCCTGATTTCCTGAATCTTGAGTTTTCAGGTTTCTTGGTTTATTACCCCATTTTGGTAGTACCTTTCCTCTAGTAGCTTTCTGTGGTAAACGTTTTTTGGAGGGAACTTATATTTCTTTGTTCTACATTCATATGAATGATAAGTTAACTGGGTGTTAATATAATGTAATATTATTAAATGCTAGTGTGATATCCCAGCCCTGAGACATGCCTGGTGCATCCTGAACTAGAATTCTTCTAGTTAGTCTTTCTTGAGAGTAAAAACCCTAGCTCTTTCCTGAGGTCAGGAAGGGCAGTTCTGTGAATGCTTGGAATTGCAGAGAAGATAAATTTCTTGTATAGATGATCAGTTTGTTCTATTTTCAGCCCCACCTACACCCACTCTTTCAGAAATACCTCCAGTTTCTGAGCCTTCCTGGGGTCCTGCATTGTGAGTTGCAAGATATTTCTAGTCTGCTAGGTCAATAACCACTCATCCATCTGCTTTCTAGCTTTTAAAATTTTGTTGATGTCATCATAGTCTCTTTGTTCTTACAGGCTTGTGCTTTTTTATTCCCTTCACTGTTAATTTAGAGGGATTTGAGGAGTGGGGAGAAGAGGTTGATATATGTATACAATTTGTCATATTTCATTGGAATTTCTTTGATGATTGGTTTTATTATTTACTTATTTATTTTTTTGAGACGGAGTCTTGCTCTGTCACCTTGGGTGGCATGCAGTGGTGTGATCTCGGCTCACTGAAACCTCCAGCTCCTGGGTTCAAGCAATTCTCCTGCCTCAGCCTCCTGAGTAGCTGGGACTACAGGCACACATCACCATGCCCAGCTAATTTTTGTATTTTTGGTAGAGACAGGGTTTCACCATGTTGGCCAGGCTGGTCTCAAACTCCTGACCTCAAGTCATCCACCCACTTTGGCCTCCCAAAGTGCTAGGATTACAGGCATGAGCCACCGCCCAGTCAAGGATTTTGGTCCTTTTAACAAATTCAGAAACTTAATAACATAATTGTGTTAGATGTAAAAACAGACCAGTTTCACAAAATTCAGTAACTTCAGGAGAATTTTTTTTTTTGAGTTACCTGAAATGTCCCATAATTGTTCCTTTTAATTTTAATTTAGCTAACTAGTAATAATTATCCATGTCATAATTTGCCTGTTTGCCTTCTCCTCTCTTTAACATGATTCACGCATGGTCTTTTGTTGATGGTTGTTTTCTCGTCCTCTTGATATTTGTATTTCAGGTATCTATTATATTAATCCACAAAGGCATTGCAGGGCATTTCTCTGCTAATATTAGCTATACTTTGGGTTAAACTCTCATCTAGGAAACATCCTAACTTAGAAGATGGTTTTCCTTTGGGTCACTGCTTCAGGAATGCCAACTGAGTCTAAGAAGAAAGATATAAATCCTCATAATGTAACATTGTTAAATGCCAGACAATAGGATGCCTGGGTGAGTAGGAGGGTCTTAGGTGACATCTCCAAATACGAGGCTGATATTGACTTTAAAGTGCTTGCTTTTTGTGCTTATAGAGGTAACACATAAAATTTGTAGAAAATTAACTTGAAGAAAAGTATAAAAATGAAAGCAAAATTTATCATGAATTCCACAATTCAGAGACATCATCTTCTGTTAATCATTATTGATATATTTAGGTTTATTTTATCCAGCCTTATTTCACGTCTAAATGTGCATTAAAAATATTTTATTGGCCGGGCGCGGTGGCTCACGTCTGTAATCCCAGCACTTTGGGAGGCCGAGGCGGGCGGATCACGAGGTCAGGAGATCGAGACCATCTTGGCTAACACGGTGAAACCCCGTCTCTACTAAAAATACAAAAAATTAGCCGGGCAAGGTGGAGGGTGCCTGTAGGCCCAGCTATTCGGGAGGCTGAGGCAGGAGAATGGCGTAAACCCCGGGGGGCGGAGCCTGCAGTGAGCCGAGATCGCGCCACTGCACTCCAGCCTGGGCGACAGAGCGAGACTCCGTCACAAAAAAAAAAAAAAAAAATTTTATTATAGAAAACCTCAAATGTGCATAAAAGTAGATAGGAGAGTATAATGATCTCTATGTACTTGTTGTCTATCTCCCACAGTTAGCATTTTGCCAATCATGCTTCATTTATTTCTCACTTTATTATCTACTCACCGCTCACCTCCACTTTTTTGGCTATAGTATTTTAAAACAAATCCCACAAGTCGTTTAATTTCACTCATAAATACTTCAGTATATATCTTATCAGATAAAGTTTTTCTTTTGGTTTTAACATCAGTGCATGCTATTATCAGTCTCATAATAATTAAAATAGCAATTCTTGGCTGGGTGTGGTGACTCACTCCTGTAATCCCAGCACTTTGGGAGGCCGAGGTTGGGGTGGATCACCTGAAGTAAGGAGTTCGAGACCAGCCTGTCCAACATGGTGAAACCTGTCTGTACTAAAAATACAAAAATTAGCCGTAATCCCAGCTACTTGGGAGGCTGAGTCAGGAGAATTGCTTGAACCCGGGAGGCAGAGGTTACAGTGAGCCGATGGAGTCATTGCATGCCATCCTGGGTGACAAAAGTGAGACTCTGTCTCAAAAAAAAAAAAAAGCAATTCTTTAATATCATCTAGTATCAATGCATATTTAAATTTTTCTAATTATCTCAAAGATTACTTTTTTAAAAAAAGTGAAGTCTGTTAATAAGGATCCAAATAAAGTTCACATATTAAAATACATTGAATTGATATATTTTTTAAGTTTCTTTTAGTCCAGTTTCTTCTCCTTTTTAAAAATGCCATTCCTTTGTGAAATAACCCAGTTGTTTTATAGATATTTTATATCTGCATTTGACTAATTGCTTCCTCATGGTGTCATTTAACCTGTTTCCTGATTTCCAATATTTTCTGAGAGATTGGTAGTTGAATTTAGAAACTTGATATAATTCTGGTTCACTTTTATGTGTTATTTATTTTTTGACAGCCATATTTCATAGGCGATACTGTGCATTCTATTGTGTCACATCAAGAAGCACATGCCTGATTGTCCCACCTTTCATGATGCTGAGCTTGATCAATTGGTTTTCATAGTATCAGACTGATCCACCTATTGTAAAATTCCCTTAATGGTTTCATCATCCATTATAAACTTTTTTTGTACTTGCAAAATAGTGAACCTCTGATTCTATTATTCTTTTTGCACTTGTTAGCAAGAATTCTTCTATGAAGCAATAACTTCCCAGGCTGGGCACAGTGGCTCACGCCTGTAATCCCAGCACTTTGAGAGGCTGAGGTGGGAAGATTGTTTGAGGCCACAAGTTTGAGACCAGTGTGGGCAACATAGTAAGACCTCATCTGTAAAAAAAATTAAAAAATTAGCCAGGCATGGTGGTGCATGCCTGTAGTTCCAGCTACTCGGGAGGGTGAGATGGAGGATTGTTTGAACTTGGGAGGTGGAAGCTGCATTGAGCCGTAATGGCACCACTATACTGTAGACTGGGTGATGGAGAAAGAAACTGTCTCAAGAAAAAAAATTTTAAAACCCTAAAGCAATCATTAAATTTAATGTCTATATTATATTTAATAGTAGGAATATATAATAATTTATGTAATCATTATTTTCTTTCAGTTGCTGATAGTCTTTGTTCTTTTGTTATTAATATATATATAAAGCCAACATAGACAACTTCGTACAAATTCATCCGACCAAATGTCTGATAAATTCTGAAAAGCAGAATTATAAAGTCAAAGAATGTGAAGGTTCTTACTATATCTTGTCTGGGTCAATATTATTATTTAATATATAGCCGTTCTTTAATTGTCTTCATTCTTGAGATAGAAAACTTATCTGAAGTTGATGGCCATTTAACTGTTCTTTCTTTAGAATAACTTTTATTGAGTACAACTCTACCCATAATTAGCATGATAATACCTGAGGGATTGAGAAAGCTCAGCTGGCAGGAGAGATTCTTGATGAGTAACTTTCCATAAAAAGAAGTAATATGCTTCTCATAGTGACTTTTGAGTAGAGTATTGTCTGCTAAGTAGGTGCTGTGAAATCATAGCCAGGAGTCCTATCAGCCTCCTGGTTTACTGGGACTGCTCATCATATCTTAGTTTGGTGGAGACTACTGGAAAGACAGAAAAGGCTGCTATGCAAAACAGTACTTGAAGTGAAACTCAGAGGAAGTTACATAGACACTTGAAAACTTTTGCTCAAAAAGAAGCAGTTTGTTTTTTGCTTGATTCTCTTAGAAAGACTATATATTGAGATACAATTTGTATACCACAAAACTCATCCATTTTCATTGTAGCATTCAATGAGTTTCAGTGACTTTATATAGCTGTGAAATCATCACCAAAATCATGTTTTTGGAACACTTCCATTATTTATGTAGTTTAAAAAATAAGATTATCATAAATCTCAATGAATTCCTTGCTTTTGATATAGTTATTTTATGTTCACAATGTTATACAATCATCATTTGTTATTTAATTCCAGAATATTTTAATCACTCCCCCAGAAACCCCCATATTCATTAAGGAGTGACTCATTGATGGACTATTTAAAGAAAATGTGGTACATATACACCATGGAATACTATGCAGCTATAAAAAGGAATGAAGTCATGTCCTTTGCAGCAACATGGATGCACTGGGAGACCATTATCCTAAGCAAATTAACACAAGGACAGAAAACCAAATACTGCGTGTTCTCACTTATAAGTGGGAGCTAAACATTGAGTACACATGGACATAAAGATGGGAACAACAGACACTGGGGCCTACTAGAAGGGGGAGGGACAGAGTGTGGAGTGGCCTAAAAATCTTTCTATCCTGTACTATGCTCACTATCTGGGTGATGGAATCATCCATACCTCAAACCTCAGCATCATGCAATATACCCATGTAACAAATCTGCACTTGTACTCCCTGAATCTAAAGCAATAGTTAAAATTAAAAAATGAAACTTAAAAATAAAGCAATGGAACAGCATCTGCAAAGTGACAATGAGGAAAAGAAAATGGACCCAAGAACATTTATACACAGTGAGGTTGTTATTTGTTGCCTTTTTAAGACAGTAGGCATACATGAAATAATCAACAGACACACAATCTGTTCTCTATATCATGCATATTCTTCATCTGCAGGTTCCAGAGATTAAATTTTATTTATTTATTTATTTATTTATTTATTTATTTATTTATTTATTTGAGACGGAGTCTCGCTCTGTCGCGAAGGCTGGAGTGCAGTGGCACGATCTCAGCTCACTGCAACCTGTGCCTCCTGGGTTCAAGCAATTCTCCTGCCTCAGCCTCCCGAGCAGCTGGGACTGCAGGAGCACACCTGGCTAATTTTTTGTATTTTAGTAGAGATGGGGTTTCACTGTGTTGCCCAGACTGGTCTCGAGCTCCTGAGCTGAGGCAATCTGCCCGCCTCGGCCTCCCAGAGTGCTAGGATTAAAGGCGTGAGCCACCATGCCCAGGCTAAATTTTTTAAAAAATAAACATAACACTACAATCATAAAAGTAATATAAAATAAAACAAATTAATGTAGTTATTAATGAAAGTCAATTTTGGATTATAAGAGACCAGATGTTCCAAATGTATATAAATATAACACAAAAATTTTGAAGGCACACATGTTTATTGATAACTCGCAATAAATGCTCACAAACTGACAGCTCTACTATGAAAGTTATCATAGCTTCATACGATGAAGTAGGTGCAGAAATTTCACCTACTGAAATTTCATCAAAGACATATGATGCTTTGAAGTTTCATATATACCATGGGGATAGCTTTTTCTTTTCCTTTTTTTTTTGGGGGGGGGGGCGGGCAGGGGTAGCTTTTTCTTAACAAAAATATCCTCCTTCCCCAGAAATGAAACTCATTGACAGTATCAACCGTTCCACAACAATTTTTTTCTTTTCAGCCTGAGATTTCCACATTAACTTGGATTGATCATGAAACTTCTATTTTTCTAGAAAATAATTTACTTTTTCAAGATTTTACAAGCAACTAGTAAAGAGTTTTGCATAGTATACTGCAGTTAAAAATATTCTCTGCAATTATATCTCCTTTGCATTACTTATTTTGTACACTTCTATACCTTTTATTATATCCATAAGAAATTAGTCTGTTACTATTTTTTGAATAATTTTGAATTGATTATTAATTTACTTTTTCTTATTTCTATGTTCTAACTTCTTTAATTTGGAGTTTAGTTTTCATTCTTTTATTAAATAAATTACAGTAATAAATTTACCTTGTGGTAATTTTGATATGATAGGTTCTCATTTTCATTATTTACAAAGTGTTTATTTTAAAAGTTTTGGGTTGCTAACCTTAATTTTTAAAAATAGAAGACATTTAAAACAATCTAAATGCTGATAGCTTGGAAAAAGTAGGTTTTTCCAACTTTATATAATGTGTTAAATAAAGTCTTGAAAAGATTCTATGAGAGTTTTCTGGATCCTCTTAAAAATTTTGTTTATGTAAATTTGTTGTGCATTATTAAACATTTTTGATAAGGTAGAAAATGACTAAGCAGAAGACAGAATATCTGTATTCTGCTAAAATACTGTTGACATTAACATGGAATGTTCTTTTAACATTCCAATGCATGGCTATATTATAATTTATTTAACTGTATCTTTATTGATAGATATTTAGGATGATTTGGGTATTTTAGTTTTATAAACAATAAAACTGTGAATATCTTTGGATGTATATTTGTGACTTGTCTAGTTTATTTTAAGGGTTAAAACATGAATTATTGGATGCCAGTAGAGTTGTTTTCTATTAATAATTAGTTCTGGTATTTGTTTTTACTTTTGTGCAATGATAATTATAGTAATTATTTAAATAATTTCATGTCTAACTGGATTTAATGCTCATTGTCAGCCCCACCTCTTTTTTTTTTTTTTTTAACAAGGCTTGTGGTTTCTATATTTTCTGATTTGCCTCTGTGTTGCCTCTGCATATGAATGAGCCCTTGGCTGATATGCTTTACCTCACAAAACTTTATCAATATCACACTGTTGTCTTAAGATATTTGATATTGCAGAGAACTCTGAGGCCAGAATGATTTTATTTCGTAGTTATAAACCTGTTTCTTTCTACATGAATAGTTACAGGTTTTATTTATCTTTGGAATAAAAACCTGCTACGATGTGTCTTGTTATGATCTTTTTATTATTTTTGTAAGACAAGTAAATCCTTTATATCTGAAGACTTAGGACTTCATTTCAGTCAGTAAAATTTTCTTCAACTATATTATCATTGTTTTTGCTCTATTGGTTATTCATTTATTGAATTTCTGTTTCCTGCAATTTATATTTATCATCTTCACTTTTATTTTCATCCTTTAAACTTTCTCTGCATTTTCGGAAAAAGCTTCTAAATTTTGACCTTCAAGTCACTAATTCAATCTTTTTGAATTAGCTTTATTAATGATTAAATTTTATTATAGCCTACTTTAATTCTGCTCTTTCATTTTCGTCTCTTAAAATATATTAAAATGCAGTTTAAATCTTACCTTATTATAACCGTTTTCACTCTTATTTTGTTTCCCCTTTTGAAATCTACTCCCATTTCAAAGGTTGCTTATTTTTTGCTATCTTATTGAAAAGTACCTAGATGTTTTCTTATCTTTTGTTGTGGTAAAAATTCCCCTTGTGCCAAAGAATTTGTTATAAACCCCATGTTTGCTTGTTTGGTTGCTTCCTGCTTACTCATCCCATTACAAGATGTTTGCCAGTAGATGGGGTCTATGGCTGGCTTCTCATCTGATTTATGGTTTATTTGCTGTCAGTAGATTTCCAGTGGGGGAACAGATTAATGTTCACAAGTCCTAGACTATTTATTAGTACAGGCTTGCTGGATTGAGATGGACTCTGTGCCACCCACAATTTCTGTTGTCTGATACTTTGAAGCAAGGGAGTAAATGCGAAACTGGTTCTCTATGATTGGCAGAATCGTCCTCATTTTTATTTCTGCCAAAGGTACTCTACTTGTTGAAGATGTGTCTCTAAGCACGCAGTACATTTACTGTTACCACCACCTTCTCCTCCTCCTTCACCCTGCACACATACATGCACGTGCACGTTTACTTTTTGTGTTTTGAAAGTCTCATTCTCCGAAGAAAGAAAGGTAAAGATGAAGGCCAGGTTGGGGTAATAACACTCTCTCTGCCTCCAAGGTAATTTGTGTCCTGGATGGGATAAATTGCCTGGTCTTCTAGTTAGTACTGATCCTGAGTCTTTGATCTGTATGATAGAGAGTGAAGGATGAAAGACAACTCTTCCTGTATTCTTTCATGTTGTCAGTTTTCTCTGTTTCAAGTAGCTGCTGATTATGACTTACAATTCATCTCCCTAGATCCTGCAGCTAATGGAATTTTCTCTGTTTCTGGTGGATGGAAGACTGTCAGTTACAGTTTTTGGTGTCATTAATTTTTGTTTTTCCTCTGCCTTTAGAGGTATTTTAGCAAGCAGTTGGGACAGTCTGCAGCATGGACTGCTGGTTAGGTGCCAATTTTTGAAATATTCTCTTGTATTCCAATTTTAAACATTGCTATACAGATCATGTCCTAGCATCTCTTAATCGCTTATCTAAATACCACTCTGACAAAGTGGCTACATATCTTCCTGTCTTAGCAAACAGGAGACAAGTAGCATCCTCCTCTATTCTAATGACATGGTTTTACTCTTATCCAGGGCTAAGAATAAGAACCAACTGCAATTAGTGACTAATTACTGTCAGAAAGTGCATTTTTCATGTAAACTGTGCCAAAATTAGAATCATGATTTTTGACAGCGATTCTACAGGATTCAGATTGACCAGACTAACTCTATTCAACAGGTAGATTCTTATAGTTTTCTGAAGTATATTTTAAAACTAATTCATCTTTCTCAGGCAAAAGGATGTAATGTCACTCAAATTTGTATTTAGTTTTTTATTCCTGAGTTACTTCACTTAGAATAACGGTCTCCAATTCTATCCAGGTTGCTGTGAATGCTGTTATTTCAATTCTTTTTATGGCTCAATAGTATTCCATGGTATAACCAATCATCGTATGTTGTCAGTCATAAGTGGGAGCTAAGCTATGAGGATGCAAAGGCATAAGAATGATGCAATGGACTTTGGGAACTTGGGGGAAAGGGTGGAAGGGGGGTGAGGGATAAAAGACTACAGATTGGGTATAGTGTATACTGCTCAGGTGATGGCTGCACCAAAATCTCAGAAATCACCACTAAAGAACTTATTCATGTAACCAAACACCTCTTGTTCCCCAAAAGCCTATGGAAACTTAAAAAAAAAAAAGGAAAAAATTGTATTTAGCTCTGTAGAGGTTCCACTAGGAAATGGAATAGTTGGCACTCTCTCCAAGTGAGACTCCAAACAGTTCTCTTTGTTTTTGGAGGCTCTTCTGATATTGTATGGGAGAATAAAACACATGTAGAAGGAGTATGCCCGATGGGACTATATCAGTTATCTATTGCTGCATAACAAGTTACTCCAACTTTTAGTAGAAAACAAACAAACAAACACAAAAAGCCCATCATTTACTGAGCTCACAATTCTATAGGTTGGCATTTGGGCTAGGCCAGGCTAGGCAGTTCTTTTTGTCTCTGTGGAGATTGCTCCTTTGTCTGCAGTCAGCTGTCAGTTCACTTGGGGGTTCGTTGGTCTAAGATGATCTCATTCATGTGCACAACGGATGGTTCACGCCAGATAAAGCAGTGGAGGGGCACTTGGGTCACTTGTCTCTTATCGTTCAGCAGGCTAGACCAGGCTTATCTATATGTAATCTCAGATAATTACAGGTTAGAAGAAAAAGGCATGCAAGGCCTCCTGAGGTCTGGCAGAATGCTGCTTCTGTTAAAACCCTGAATGAGATAATTGATATTGGAGAGAAAAAAATGTAACGGAGATTTTAATAATGTAGTTGTGTGAACTTGGCAAGTTATTAACTTTTTTGCATCAGTTTTCTCATTTGTGAAATGGAATAGTAGCAATCATACGTTTGTTATGAAGATTAAACAAGTTAATGCACGTACATACATTCTAAGTGATATGTGCTAGCTATTACTAGTCTTTATTCCATGTCAGGTTAGAGCAACAGAGAGATGGGTACATACTAATTGAATTACTTATAGAAATGCCTTCATGGGAAAATAATTAAATATGCTCTCAGTTTCATCAGTGGTTGCTCTAAGAATGGGTTGTGTGATGGTATATCTGCTTTTTCTGTTAAGCCATTTTGTTCTACTAGATTATTACACATTCCTTGTATCAGATATCATGTAAATTCTTTTTCTGAGAGTTTAGTACAAAGAAAATATATATCCTTATTAATTATTATATTCATTTTGTTAGACAATGTGAGGTTAAAAAAAGTAAAACAAGTAAAAATAAAAAAAGAAAAAAACCTCATCACTTTCTCCCTTTTATATTGTGTTGGCTGACAGGATTCTCAGAGTTAAATTACTTCTTAGTTTTAGTTTAGTGTGTAGGTTTATCAGATTCATGATATAATTACTTTCCATCGCCCAGATATATTGTTATAGGCCTTCTTTTCATTATTTAAAAGCTTATGACATATGTATTTTATTATATACTATTTCAACTCATTTTAAAAATAGTTTAAGTCTAAATTAAATTAAAAAAATTGTTTCTATGAGAAAATGCATTCCAAGTTTCACAGAATCAAATTATAAAAGAAATTTTGGAACATAGCCCATTTATAAATTCAGGAATTCCTCATATGTTTTTCCGGGGGGCATTTTTCAGTATCTTATTAGATGTTCCCCTTAGAGGACATATTTCCTAAAAAGAGGAGCAAAATTTAAGACCCTATTTTTTGATAATACATGTTAAGCTTCACAATAAAAGTGCCATGTGAATTTATCTTTGTATAGAAATCATTATTTGTTGAAGATAAATAGGAGCCGTGTAACTTTTTTTTTTTAAATCTAAGGACTTCTTTCTTAGAATTCCTTCATCCATTTATTGATTTATTCGATGCCTGTAGAAGACTCAGTTCGTACTAGAATTGTAAATATAGAGATTAACTAACATGTCTGTGAGATGAACCAGAAGTGTTCTGGAGCCACATAATTAAGAGCCTTGTAAAACAAGCATGTTGTGAAGTTAGAATTTTATCCTGAAGGCAACGGGGATCTACGGAAGCATTTTAGACACCAAAATAACATGATCACGTTTGCTTTGTAGAGTGACCTTGGACAGTTGTTTGGGAGATGAATTTATGGTGGTGATGGAGAAACAGAAGCAAGTGAGTCGGTAGGACTGCACGTTGGAATATGAAATAAGGAGCTTTTTCATAACAACCAGAAGAAATACTTTGAAAGTGGCCATGAGCATGGGAAAAATGGGCCAAATCCGAGAAACATTTAGAAGACTGACTTGATATAATTTTGCAGAATTGAGTGGGATGATTTAGGTTTCCAACTTGGGCAATGGAGTAGATAATATTGGTCTTCATGGGGACAGGGAGTAAATGACACAAAGATTGGTGGGATTTAACACAGTGCAGCTGGTTTTGGGCATGTTGAAATGGAGAAAAATGGAGATGCCTGTGGGACAGCTGAATTGTTTGTGGATTTATTGGTCTAAAGCTCAGGAATGAAGGCAGAGATTCCAGAGATAGTAAATCACTGATAACCATTGAAGGCATAGGTATAGATAAAAATTCCTGAAAAAGTGTGTAGATAGAAAACATTGTTGACAATGGAACCCTGGGGGAATAGTAGCACTTAAGAAGGAGAATGGTATGGAGGAAGTTAATCTAAGTGAGAATCAGTAAATAAGGGAAAATCCAGAGATCGTGGCCTTGAGAGGCAAAAGTTGAAGGAGGGAGTAGTTTATAATGTCAAATGTCAAAGAGAGGTCATGTAAGATATGGAATAAAAAAAATTGGAATTTCAAATTGGTGTATGGTATCAGAAACTGGCAGGAACAAGTTTAGCAGAATTGAGGGTTAAAACTGAGTCGCAGTATGAAAAATGAATGAGGGATGAAGCATTGGAGACAATGAGTTCAGACTTTGGGCTCTGAAGGGAGGGAAAGAGAGCAGTAGTTATAGGGGAGGGGGACGCAGGAAAAAAGCAGGATTGCTTTAATATTTGGCAGATGACTATCATTTTACATTGAATAAACGAATAAGTGAAGAGTGGATATTTGATGGCAAAAAGCCTCTGCTGTGGGAGGGGGTGGGAATCAGAGTGGTGAGTCCCCTGGTGGCATGAGTAGCACCGTTTCATTTTAATTCTGTTGAAACTTTATACAGCTCCACAACAATAGGGTAACTTATATGTGTCCTTCATCAATTAGTAATCTTCATTTATAACCAATGGGAGTTTTAAGAAATGATTAATTTTCATTGTACTCTCAAAAAGAGCAATATCTATAGTCATGACACTCATAAAGTCCCCAGAGTTCCATTTTTCGCTACTCATTCCTCAGATTTTGTGACTCATTAGGACTTGTTCTTCATTAATTCAACAAAAATTATGCTCAGTGTCAGGAACATCATGATGAACAAAACACAGTGCCTGCCCTTGAGACACTGTAGTTGCACACAGGGCCTAGCTGGAAATTAATCTCAAGGTACTTAATGTTGATGATAGTGACATGACAGTAATGTACTAGTGATAATGATATAATCCTTGATCCAATTGTCCACTTAATATGATTGTGACAAAAACAATAAGTGTCAACCCCTCCTCTGCACAAGTTTTTAGTGGAGTTCCATGAAATAGTCCTATGGAATTCCTCTCATGAAAGTAAAATAAATTAGTACTATTAAAGAACTAACAAATTTTTCACAAAAATGTGCTTTCAAGGTTGTCACTTTCTTTTTGTATTTTATTTCTTTTTTTCACTATGAACTGAGTATCCTGAGAATAAGGAGCTTGCCTAATACTTTGCCTTCAAGGTATATTATACCGGGAAAAGCATGGTGTTCAGGATTCAGAATGCCTCAGGTCAATCAGTAATGAGCCATGTAACTTAGTAGCTGAGAGAGCTACTAAGCAAACCATTTAACAGCATCCAGAAAATGAAGATAACACCTGTTCCGTTTTCCTCATTTTGTTTCTTTTTTAAAGAAATAATTCAATAAATGAATCACTTTTGTAACTTGAAAGTGCTGGGCAGATTATTTGGGAGGATCCTAGGAATCCTAATGTACTTTGGTGCTCTTTGTGCCTAAAATTTTTCATTTAGGTAAGATAATAACTTCTCAGTTTTGCTTAAACACATTTAAACTGAGTTTTTATCTTTTGCAACAGAAAGAATCCTGACTTAGGCAGTCGTTTTCTTTGGAATTCAAATGCCTACATCATCTGAGGCTTGGTCTCAATCAGGTGAAATGCAGCAACATAACACAATAAAATTAACTTGTGTAGAATGCCTTCTGGGGTCCAGAGCCAGGTGCTTCCTCAAGGACTGCCTCTCAGAGCACAATGGTGATGTGGTACTGACTGTGGAAGCTGAGAGCAAAACTATAACTGTGCCCTGAATGCACATGCTCAAACTGAGCCTCTGGTTCGATAAGTGCCAGATGTTTTGGACCCTATGGGAACACTGCTGTGTTCTTATCATTGACAGAAAGAAATGTTCCTCACATTATTAAGGTTCGATAGTATTATTTAAGGAAGTAAATACAGTATATGTATCAAATAGTAAAAGTTAAGAATTTTGGTTGGTTTTGAGGGAGCAGAGTAAAAGCCTGAGGGAAATGAAGCCAGACTTCCTAGTAGTAAATTACAAGTTACAATCTTGCCCATGGTCAGCTGAGAAGGAATCATCCACCAGCGATGGATCTCTTGAGAAACTAAATACCTTCGCTACCCAGGTTACTCTTTCAGTGGGCATTAATGATTGACAGTACATGTAGAGTGATCTGAGTTATACATCACTCCATAATTAAAGTTTTCTTTTGCCCTCTCTTGACTTCTGTAACTTGACACATATTACTCAACCTTTCCTTGTCTACATTTTTGGTCCAGAAATTGGGAATAATATTAGCAGCTTTAGTATTTTGAAAAAACCTAGATCCTAGACACTAAGTAATTTGGCATTAGCTTTTTGTGAAGCACTTGGCAAAAATATACCCATACAGATACTTCATGGAAAATAGTATCAACTTATCCTCATCAATTTTACTTTTTACTGTTTGCTTTTGGACAGCTTTATCTCTTTTCATATCACTGAATTCAAAAAATATAAATCTTTACAAAGAAAATGTAATATTCCCACAAAACTGGGTTTCTATGGAATTAAATGATGATTTTGTATTAATATGTTAGGAATTGCCACCTGTCTTCTTTCAGACATGACTGATTTTCTTTTTATGCCTTGGCTGGTTCCACAGCTCATGTAAATAATATTTATCAAGTAGCTCCATCCCTTGAATAGCTGTGTGCTTTATCCTTCTGAGGTCTAAAGTCCAGTTCATCTCAACAAGTGTTGTCTTACGTTCATCCGAGGGGCTATTTTGATCATCTTATGTCATGTAAGGAAGCACAGCAGGAGTGGTTAAAAGCAAAGGTTCTGGAATCCTACAGAGGAGGATCCAGACAAAAGCTGTGCTCTATCCTAGTTTTGAACCTGGGAAAGTCACTTCAACTCTTTAAGCTTCAATTTCTTCATTTTTAAAGTGAGGATCAGTTGAACCTCCTTCTTGTAGGATTAAATGAGTTAATCCATGTAAACAGATCAGCGGAGTGACTTCTGCAGGATAATCACAAATAAAATCACAGTTTATTTTATAATCACAAATAAAATTGGCTCTCATTTGTGATTCAGGGATAGAGAAAACAAAACTCATATGGCTTTTTCAGAATATACTACTGAGATTTGGTCTCTAAGTTAAACCAGTTCTTCTCAACCGAAGGACAATTTTGCACCTGCACCCACCTTCATGGGGACATCAGGCAATGTCTGGGAACATTTTTGCTTGTCCCAATTCATGGGAGTAGGGTGGGGCGGCTGCTACTGGCATCTAGTGTGTAGAGGTAGTAGGATGTTCAGTTTCTGGACATTCTACAATGCACTGGTGGCCCCCACCCTACTCCCCAGCAAGGAATCATCTGGTTTAAAACGTCAGCAGTGCTGAGGTTCAAAAACTCGGAAGTAAATGGAAAGGTAGAGGAGGCATGAATAAATTCTTATCAAGAAACCAGTCTATCAACAGGTATTTGTCACCTTACTACTCCAGGTGTAATATCTTCACCTTCCAGCTGTGGACCCTTTTTACAGTTTCCGTCCTGTAGTCACATATATTGACTTATTAAATGTCAACAACAACAACAACAAAAATAACTAGAAAAACAGGCTGCCTTGGCATTATCCCTTGACACTGCCCCTCTTTTCTTTTGCAGATGAGGAGTTGGGCTAAGGGGCTGACTTTCTCACAGAAACACAGATGATAATTAAACTCAGATGTTCTGAGTCCCAAGCACAGTGCTCTGCCACTCTCACATGCCAAGCATTGCATTTCTGTGGAGAGTGCATGAGACATTTTAGACATGGATCCTCCCCTAAGATTCTTACTCAGTTGTTAGAGATTTACACCCATGAACAGTTATTTTTACCTTTTGGGCTATAATAGATGCACATTCTGCCCCTCCTCAGTGTTACAGAATATTGAAATGTAGCTAACCTGAAACAAGCATTTTCTTTCCCAGTAATATCAGAGGGCTCTTTTGTAACATAAATGTAGTAGCTAGTCTGCAAAACAAGGGTGCTACCCTTTCTTTACAATCTGTACTTTCCTAGCATATGCCATCATGTTCCTTTTCCCCCACCAGTCCTCCTACATAGTCCAGATGGTGCCTGGCCTGCTCTTGCAAACTTCTGATTGCCTCTATTTCTTTTTCATGCTCATCCTCTTCTGAGTACTGAGTGTGAGGAGTTGAGGCTTACCAGTATGATGATGTGACATCCAACTCAAGGCCCAGATGTTAAAATATTCCAAAATGCAACCAGTTTCAACACGTTAACTTTGTTCTTCTCTGCTTAGCAGCTGTGAGCATGTTGGTACCTGCAGATTATTTCATGAAGTTTTGGAAAGCACTGATTCTTAATTCAGGTTTTATGAAAGTTGCAGGAATTTATTTTAGAAAAGAAATTGACAGGCAATGCCTAGTCATTGCATAGGTGCTTGATATCTCTAAAGAACAATGTAGACCTTTCTCTTCGCACATGCTGTGTTTATGCTGTCAAATTAGCTTGATATTATTTTGACAAATGAATAAAACTGATTCAAGTTGATACTTAGCCATAAAGGAGTTTTAATACCTAAGCTATTAAAAAAGCAGCCCAAACATCAAGTAATAATCTTGTCCACGGAGGAAATAAACAGATTCATGATGAATTTAATGCATATTTATTAATCAAATGCTATCAAAAGACTTTTAGAAAACTTTCTTCAAGAGGAGTTCTTTGAATATGTTCATAAGATTTTCCCTGGCGTTTCTTATTCAAATACATGTAACCATTACAACACAAAATTAGCAAATATTATGTTAGTATACAATGTTTCCACAAATAATATAGAGTTCAGAACTACTTGTACTTAAACACATGGGGTTTTGTTTGTTTGTTGCTATATTAATGGAAATCATTGAACATTCAATGATACTTCACAGACAAATGACTTGGAAAGATGTATACCCAAGCTGGCTTTCTTCCTGCCTAAGGACATGGGGGAAGTGGAGTGTAAAACAGAATCCTTCTTGATTTATTTTTACTTGGGTGGCTTTGGAAGTTACTCAAAACTTATGTGCTCTATAAAAGACAGAACTGAAAGATGCAACTTAAGCAGAAACTACCAACTGGAAATATTTTTTAGAGTATACTCCCACCCCTTGTGGTGGGCTAAGTCATCAACCTCCCCTGCTTAAAGCTTTTCCACAGATTCCTATTATTTGGCCTGGTGTGGTGGCTCACACCTGTAATCCTAGCACTTTGGGAGGCTGAGGCAGGCGGATTGCTTGAGCTCAGGAGTTTGAGGCCAGCACGGACAACATGGTGAAACTCCGTCTCTACTGAAAATACAAAAAAAAAAAAAAAAATTAGCCAGTATGGTGGCACACGCCGGTAGTCCCAGCTACTTGGGAGGCTGAGGCATGAGAATCGCTTGAACCCGGGAGGCGGAGGTTGCAGTGAGCTGAGATTGCACCACTGCACTCCAGCCTGGGTAACAGAGCAAGACTCTGCCTCATAAATAAATAAATAAAATTAAATGAAAAAAAATAAAAAAACAATAGATTCCCATTACTTTAAATATCTTAATTCCTAACATGTCCTATAGAGATGCTCATATTATACATCTGGTCTCTTGATTAGCTCTCCAGCCTCAGTTGACACACCAAAACAGGCAGGTGTGTGCAAGGAACTGCCAGCAGATGATTCATCAAATATTGGTGGAGTTCCTGCTCTGTCCCAAGCACAAGGCTGGGCACCACTTACCATTGTCAGAGCTTGAAGAAGGAGGCAGGGGATGGAGGGAAATGGCACTGAGCAGGGCTGTGGAGACTAATTTTGAAGGCCTGATGTGCTGCTTTTCTAAGAAACTCTTCTCATTGGTGATAGGGAGTCCCTAAAACATTTTAAACTAATTTTTATAGAATGAACTGCTTCAAAAGGCCTTAGTTTTATGATGGTAAAGGAGGCCAGTGTCTAGCATTTAATATTTATTTGATTAAAAAAAAAAAGACATGCCAGCATAAAGAACAGAATACTTTTCCTTTATGACCTCTTTTGGGCATCAATTCATTCACTGAGCAAATGTCCACTGAGAATTTGCCCAGGGCCAGGCCCAGTGATATGCACTGATGAAATGAGATAGAATAGGACATTTTAATCCTTTTCCCATAGCATGTGCAATCCTATGGAGGATCAGTAGGCAAATAAATAGAAAGTTGCAAATTATATGTTAAGAAATATGCAAACAAGAGGCTGAAATAGAGACTAACAAGAAGGGCTCCCACTTTTTATAAATTGCTGGGAAAGGGCTAACTAGGAAGTTTATTATATTTAAGGCTAATCCTCAGAGTTGAGAAGTAGCCAACCATGAAAGAGGAAAGATGAGCATATCAGGAAGAGGGAATGGCTAGGGGAGGGTTAGATATGGTTGCTCAGCTGAAAGATGAGCGTGGCAGGATTCTATGGGGTAAGGAGGAGTAACACAGGAAATGAGATTGCAAGGACAAAAGCCAGAACTTGCAGGGAGTTGTAAATTCTGCTAAGAAGTTTGGATTTTGTCCTCATTTCTTTGGGAACAGGATTTGGTGTATTTTCAATGTGGTTACATAATTTTTTTAACATGAATTACCTGACATATATTTATTTGGGTACTAAATCTTAAAAAATATTTAAAATAGATTGATGATGCTTACAATGAATTTTTCTGTGAAAAAGAGCCGAAAATGCCTATATTGTTAAAATGAGCCAATTTATCTCTTAACTTATTGGACAAAAATGGAAAAAAATAAACACCATTTTGAGTGGTCTTATAGGACAACGTATTCACATCTTAATCTTCCAGCGATTATTGAAATGTCTGTTCCAGCGGCAATTCAATGGTTGCTGAGACTATACAGTGGGGATTTTGACATTCAGAAGAGAATTTCTGAGAAGATTTCAGTTAAACAATCTGAAAGTTATATCTCCTGCCTTTAAACCACCAATCAATTATATCCCTCAGTGTATGTCATGCTCAACAGAGAAAACAATTCAGTTGAGCTGTATCCTAAGTCAAGGAGGTTGATATCAGTTACAGGCCAACCTCTTAGGTAAGGTTTCATTCCCTCTGGTGCAGGAAGATGTTAGGTCTCATGCTGCAGCCTGGACCATTGTGATTTTGACTACAGCAAGGCTCTAAAAACAAGTTGTAAGTAGAGTACAGATTCCCATTGGAAATATCTAAAATAGAAGTGTTACTTTCTTAAATATCACTCCCCTATTTAAAAATATTGGTTATTTTTTCTATTAACTGAGTTAACACTATGCAATGATTCAAAAATTAAAGAGTAACTAGGGCAATACTAAAGATTGTTCAAAAACTAAAAGCCTGTTTGTACAAACTGAAAACTCATTTACTTAAGTCTTGAATATCAAATATAGAGTGAAAAGGAGCAACGACTCCAGTTTATCACTAAGAGGTGAAAAAAATTTACCTGATATCAGGTTTAAAGCTGTGTTAGTGTCCAGCTGAATTTATAACTAAGCCATTAAATAAAATGATAACATGTTTGATCCTCTTTTATTCTAAACTTCCAACTGCAATTATTTTCTCTTTCTTCCAAAAATGACCAATCATATACTGAGAAAATCTTATTCCATTATTATTTCCCTATTAGTGGATTTTCTGCTGAACTATACAGTAAAATTATAATAAATAGTAGAGTTATTACAAGCTATCCTGTGAGTTATGTAATATGCTGAGTAGATCCCTATAAAACCATACTTATCTAATTATAATGAGGCCAACTCCTTGAAGAACACATGTTTGTGTCTCTTATAACTAATTAATGAAGACCGAAATAATTGATGGTGAATGTAACAGAAGTATACCAGTAGATACTGAAGTTTATCTCCTTTGTCACCATTGGTTCTTTATCTGTAGTCCTAATATTAATTGATTAATTTGTCAAAACAATGGCTTTGTTTGCTTTCTATCCTAATGGTGCAACATTCTTGTGGAATACATAATGTAAGTTTAAAAATCCTAAAATAAATTATGAATGGTGGAAAACAAAAATTAATATCAAAAACTTCTTATATATTAATTTTCTTAAATTTTTAGATTTTAATGGTCTATTTTCATGACTAAGAAAGTAGTCTATTAGTTTATTCACTCATAAATGATTGAAGCTTTAACTTTCATTAAATATGACAAATAAGAACTGCACTGATTCATTCTTCTAGAAGTGAAACAATACCTATTTGCATGATTTGAAATCTGAATAAATCTTTACACCTATCTTCTGTAGCAATACAATAGCATCAGTTGCTTAGCCAGGCATTTGGGCATCTGTACAACTAAAATGTTGAATAAATTTATTTTTAGTAAACTTGAGTATAGAAGATAAAAAGAAGAAAAATACTGTATTAAAATATGTTTCATGAATTATGAGCCCTTTCATAGTAAATAATAAAGCTGAGTTAGCTGACAGACAAAGCACGAAGGTGATCCCATAGCCATAAAGATGCTTTGTAAGAATGACATTATAGTTTGTGCTTTGAAAGCAGTGAGCTATCAATGATGATTTGTATCAGTCCTAGATCCCGCAAGGAACCCTACAAAGGTCAAGTGGTTTTGGATGAAATTAGCTTTTACCCCTATATTTTAAATCTTTCCTTTCCTAGCTTACTTTATTAATTTTAAAACCACACCCTGCCCACCCACACAGAACAATTGGAGTTTACAAATTCTTAGCTAATTCATGTCGCAAAACTTCTAGGCAAAGACTTCACCCTGTTACTAGAAAATCCAAGTGTCTGTCAACACTCAAATAGTTACATGTTATGTCAAGATATTATATTTTTAAATTATTCCATTCACTTGGGTTTTCCAGATTTTCCCAGTTTTTTAGAGAAACCTCATTGGATTTATGCAGATAAATTTTCCAAAAAGGTCTTCCACAGTCCCTTTGTACTATGCTGCTTTATTGAAAAGTAATAGGAATTTAGCTTTTTCTCATTTTGAGCTACTGTGTATTTTTCACTTTGAGGAAAATGGGACAGGCTGTAGATGACATCAATCTTCTTGGTCTTTCGTCTCTTTTTTGATGAGTGAAGAGAGAACTATGTGAGTTTCCATATCTGTCTTTTGCTTATAGTACAAAGATAATAGAGCATCTTTTCTGAAGGATCTGACTTCCACTTTTCAAAAGTGGCTGAGAATAAGGAGTCAAGGAGGTTTTACATCTGTTATTCATTGAGATATATGGGGCTGCATTGACACCTGCTTTGTTGAAAGGGAGAGCTAAATTCATCTACTAACCTCTTGTTAGAGCAGCTGTGACTGTGAGGAAGAGGATTGAGGCCAAATACTCAATGTTCAAACAGAACTACTTGAACAGTAAAATTAAGTAGAAATGAAAAGCTTGAACAGTATATAATTCTTACAGGGAAACTAATTTGAAAGCAATGCAGATTTTTAACTTAAAAGTTTCAGATTTTACTAGAAAAATTTAAGAGAAAATTGCAAAGCCACAAGGTATTTAAAGTTCTTTTCTTTATTGACAGAGTTAAGGAAAAAAGCAGCTCTAAAAATTTGACATTTCTCCTTACTTCATAATCTGAGACTTAAATAACAAGCATCATGAACTTTTGATTCTGTGTTGCTGTTAAGCCCCGATTTAATTACAAGGGCTATTTAAAAATTCACACATTTATGCTGAGTATGAATTACATATGGTTTCTAGACCTGAGAAAAATGAACACAAGGACTATGTACAGTGTCATGGTAGGTAAACTGCCTGTTAATTTTTTTTCCAGATCAGTTTACGTAGTGTAACTATAGCTTTGTTTTATCTACCTTTAAACTCAATTCACCCAACAGTAAAGGATCTGAACTGGTAACACAGTCTAGATGACTGATAAGATAGGATCACGTGGTACAAATGGAGGATTCATTCTCTCTCTCTTTTTTTTAAAAGAAATCTCTTTAGACAGGCATTTGACTCAAAGATACTTTTGCACACCAGAAGCCTAAGGCACAGTTTATAACCCACTGATGACAAAAATAAATTATTTCAAGCTGAGAAACATTTTCTCCCACAGGATAAAGACATTTTATTCATGGACAAAATGTCCTATGGAGGGGATCTTATAATCACATCACTCATTACCATAATCATCAAATATATACAACATCTAGGTCCAATTAATGGAAGATGGGACCATATGGATGTCTGTTACAGTGACGTGGTGAGAAGATTATGGTTTGTGCCTTCAGTCCAAGTGCTTTACAACCATTAAGCTTCTCAGTACCTTTGTGAAATAGGTAAGCAATTTTCTATACCCTGCTTTCCTTTCGTGCCTCAATCTAAGTAAGACTGCTGCTAATGATTATCCTTAAATATATAATGATAACTATGAATTTAAAATGTCTAAGTGTCCTCAGGAGGGACTATATAGCTAATTGTGTGTTTTATGGGATGTCTTAATGAGGAAAAGCACCACATCTCGTCATCATGTCACTTCTGTTGTGTCTTGTTAAAGTGACCTCATTCACAAAGCAAATGCTGAGGCAAAGACAGTTGTTAGTATGAACATACATGAGGATGGCTTCAGTGTCCTCTCACCACCTGCTGCTGAAAGTGGGAGAGAGGAAGTACTTTCAACACAATAGGTCAACTCTGGTGGCTTTGCCCTTGCACTTTCTTTATAGTGACATGTCTTTGGAGTTATAGCCTAGGGAGGAGCTGGCAAGGACAGATAGATGTGACATAACATTAGTTTTGTATTTGTATTTATAGGGATGTCAGGTGTATAAGGGAAGGTGTTGCAAGACAACCAAATAATGCTTTGTTTGGACGTATAAATAGCTGGTGGGGTTTTTGAGTTCAAAGAGAAGATGGAATACACGGTTTTTGTGTAATTTTGTACAGTATTGTGCAATTCAAAGAAATATTGAGACAATTTGGACAGTAAGCATCTGGATGACTACATATTTTGTGGCTTGAGTTTATCTAAAATTTCTACATCTTATACACATAGTGCTCTGTTAGCTAAATTAAATTTGATTCCTGTAGATGTTTACAGCTTTTAACTGTGAGACCTCTGCAAAAATTACTTCTGCCAAATTATACTTTACTGTTGCTGAATTATACTTTACGATTGCCTTGTCTTTCAGAGGGGCATAATGCAATAAAAAGGTGGATAATATCACTTCTGTTTTCTTTATACGACTGATATTTAAGACATTATTAATTATGTTTCTTCATGTACCCAACACAATTTTAATATATTCATTTTATAATTTGGTACCAGAAAAATGTGTTTTTTTCAAAGTTTTAATACAAGAATCATGCAGCCTATCATATTTGATTTGTTACCGTGGTTCTCAGGAAGCTTAAAGATAAATAATGATAGTGATGATATGCTCTTTACATAATGAAACAATTTGTTTTATCATTTTTATACACCAGTCAAATCAGGCAGAACTTGATATTTGGGTCATGCAAGACATTATGCTCACTTACACGGACGTATTGACTGTATAACCCATATGCTAGTAAGACCTAAAATGTCTCTTGATTCTGGAAAATAGGTTGGGAAATCTTTTGGCACCAATATGATTAAACCCTACCTGAAGAAAAATGTAAGACAAAAAGAATGAAATTATGGTCCCCTTGCTCATTGATACGACGCAGCGGAGTGTACCCTGGTGGAAAAAACCCTGGATTTAGACACAGAATGACTTGAAATAGCTCTTCTACTTTTTTATCTGTATGATTCAGGGCATGTTGTTAGCATTCTTGAATTTCAGTATTCTATTTGTGGATTATGTAAAGCTCTTAAAGAGGTGCCTAGCACAAAGTAGGTATTCAATAACTTGACTTGAAGCATTGACTATTATTATTTTTAATATCCTTTTAAATAATAACTGTTTGTTGGCTTAAACTAGATAATACTAGTTAAAACCTGAAAACAAATACATCTAAATAATTCCATAAGATGCAAAAAAAATTAATGAACTATTGAACATTTTCTATTTGAACGTAGAGGTTTTACAAACATTCCACTATGTATATTAAAACATTATAAAAAGGGACTTAATAATTTTTTTTTTTACTTGGATAACATGGAAGTCTAAGATATGTGTAAAATTTCATTTTGAGTTTAATACTTTTTTTTTTAAGAATGCAAAAACTATGATCCCAGTTTTAACAGGACAAAATTTTAATATTTAAAATTGATAGAAGTCAAACAATGAGTTATAATTAAGGAATATCCTAAGGTTTAATAGTTCTACAAATCCAGAAACTACAGTACTAATTTTTGTTGTTTACATGTCTATATGTAGTTAGAACCACCAATTTACAAATATTTTATCCTCTAAAACTTTGCTTGTAACTCGCTTGTTTGAAACCCAGAGTGAAATTTCTTATAGAAAACATATTGTAAATACTGGCTTGTTTTCAGTTTATCCCCCTTCCCAAAGCTGATTTAATCTGTAATAATAAAGCTGAAGTTTTATGTTTTCAATAAAAGGCAGAAAACAATACTCTGCAACATCTTTTAATTTTAAAGCTAACAAAATACATTTAAGCATACAGAATATTCATTAAGCTATTTAATTGAATATTTTTCCATTAGGTAACCTATAATTAAGAAAGATGGAAAGAGAAATACTTATAAAATTTATCTTCAACGTGTTTAATTAGATGTGGGTAAGAAGGCTGGAGGGAAGTTCAGGGCATATTCTGGAGAATTCTGGGCCATTTAATGGTTTTGGAGGTTCAATTCAATGAATATGCTTTTCATGGAACCTGCCTCCAGTGAGACTTTGTGTTGCATATTTTAGTGAAGCCAAAGCTGAATAAAACACCATCTCTGTACTTACACAACAGTGAAGATCAAGTCTAGCTGCATAGCACAGGAAAATTAAAAAGAACATTAGGTTAAACAGAAGTCTATTTCCCTCCTATGAAAGGAGTCTGGAGTGAAGTAGTTGACTGCCAGCTAAGGACTTCAGCTACACCTCCCTTTCTCTTCTGCTGCCTATGGCTCGTCTTCTGTTCCCAAGCCCACCTCATGGTTCAGGATGGGTTCTGGAAATTTAGCTGTCTCATTTGTATCTCAAACAGCAAGAAGACAGAAGGAGCAAGAGATGGACACACTCCTCCTTATAAAGGAAATTTTCTGGAAGTCTTAGAAATACTTTGATTTGTTTTTCATTTGGCCAGAACTTAGCTGCCTGGGTCACTTATATGCATGAGAAACCCGGGGAAATGTGGTCATTTAGCTGCCTGCCTATGTCTCCAGCTAAAATTCGGATTTCTATTTATTGCAGAAGAAAGGGAGAATGGATTTTGAGGGCAACCAGCAGTATATACTGCATTCTCCAGGCTGATTCAGTATAGAAATGGGTTGGTAAATGTAATGAGTATTACAACACTGGTCACTGTGAGTGAAGGGTCACAAGAGAGCTACACAGAAAGGATAGTGTGAAATGATAAGAAATTAACTTTGCCTAAATTTCAGTTTTGATCTTTGCATAATGTCAAAACTTCTCTTTGAAAGATAATAGTAACCAATGGTTTTTATTTTGCTTATATTAAAAGTATACCATTTACAAGAAAAAACCTTAGCCAGAATTCACCTCCCAGTCATCAGAAATTCTCCCTCTCACCTCCTCACCTCCTCAGCTACAGTGACTTCTCTTTGATCCCAGCTCCCACTTATTCCTGTATGCTTGGCAGCTGACATGACAGGTCATAGTCTGACTGACTTTGGGCGTCATGCACAACACCTAGACCATGACACTTTTAATTCTATTAATAACCACAGATGTAATTTATTGAACACATTCAGAGAGCAAATATGGTTGGGAGTACTAAAGATGTTTTCATGAAAGGACCAACACCTGAAGGAAACATGGAGGGGTGGGTGGTGGATCATATATTGTGGCCCTCCCCAGTGCACAGTGCTCTTTCCTTCTGGCTGGCACACCCCAAATTTGATGTCCTTCTTAACAATCAGCCTTTACAAAGATGGAAAACTCTTTATGTCATTTATAGCTTAAGCTTCCCTTAAACTGAGGACTAAACATAACATTAAAGAGTTCTTGACGAGAATCTGAGGGCCTCTTTGAAAGGGTTTGAGGGTCCCAGGGGATCTTGGACCCTCGAATGGGAAACACTAGTTTGAGCTCACAAAAGGAACATGCTATTTTCCTGTCAGGGGCAGTATATTATAGTGGTTAAGGGTTTGGTCTAGAGCCGTGCTGACCAGGTTTGAACCTTAGTTCTGTCCCTTACCAGCAGCATGGGGAAGTAACCAATCAACCTTTTTCTACTTCAGTTTCCTCATCTGAAAAGTGAGGATAATTGTAATAACTATTTTGTAGGTTATTATAAGGATTAAATGAGTTAATATTTCTGAAGTGCTTAAGCAGTGACTGACATACAGTTTGTGCTATTAAATAAAAAAAACAAATAGTTTCTCCTTCCATATTATCAACAATTCTCAACATTTTGTGAAGTATAGTCCCTTTACTTGATTTCCCATCCTCTTTTCTCTTTGTGCTTGCTGAGAATAAAAGAAAGGTCCCTTTGCTGGCTTGTGTTTCCTTAAGGTCTTACTTCATTAGTCACACAAAGAGAACCTTGGGGACCCATCATTTAGCAAGGACTCAACTCGATTCTTATCAAATGTCCCTTGTTCTCAGATTCTACTGTGAGGAAGGAGTAGAGTGGTTCATTCTTCCTCTTACAATAATGAACAAGTCTGGATTTGAATTCAGGTTCTACCACTTTTACCTGCATGTTCCCTTAACCTTTCTAAACCTTTGTTCATATGTTAAAGGGAATAGCAATATCTTACAGGATTGTGATGAGAATGAAAGGAAATGATGAATATAAAGCACCTATCACAATGCTCAACACATGGTAAGTGCTCACTAATTTACATCCATGGTTATCATTAGAATTAAAGACGTCATGGTTTAGGTGCTGTACATGAGCCCCAAAGTGAGTCAGATGATGACCTGTCATGTCAGCTGCCAAGCATACAGAAATAAGTGGGAGCTGGGATCAAAGAGAAATCACCATAGCTGAGGAGGTGAGGAGGTGAGGAGGTAAGGGGAAGTTCTGATGATTAGGAGGTGAATTCTTGGCTGAGGCTTTGCCTTATAAATGGTATACTTTTAACTTGAATATTAAAATAAAACAAAAACCATCCTTTTTTATCATTTATCATTTTTCCTTTTTAACTATTATCTGATTTTTTAAAACTTTTATTTCAGGTTTGGGGGGTATGTGTGAAAGTTTGTTACATAGATAAACATGTGTCCTGGGGGTTTAGTGTATAGATTTTTTCATCACCCAGGTATTAAGCCCAGTACCCAATAGTTATCTTTTCTGCTCCTCTCCCTCCTCCCACCCTCCACCCTCAAGTAGACCCCAGTGTCTGTTGTTTCCTTCATTGTGTTCATAAGCTCTTATCACTTAGCTCCCACTCATAAGCGAGAATGTGATATTTGGTTTTTTGTTCCTGTGTTAGTGCTAAGGACAATAACCTCCAGCTCCGTCCATCTATCATTTTTCAAAAAGAAATTTTGACATTAGGCAAAGATCAAAACCGAATTTTGGGCAAAGTGACTTTCTGATCATTTCACTAAGTGGAAGCAACAATTGCCATGAAGCATAATATGAAACCTCAATGTAGAAATGGTGGACTGTAACAGCATGTGAAAGTCAAGTTTCAACTTATTTCTTGGAATTTCTGGGCAGAAGTGAGAATCCTCTCAATAATAGCACATGTTAACATAGTCATAAGCAATTACTTTTTAAAATAGAAAAGGTCCCTTGAGATCTATTTATTCAAACTGCATTGCATATAGCTAGGGAATTCTCAGAACTGCAGTGATTAACTCCGTAATATGGTTCAGCTTTCTTTATTGTTTGGGGCTCAGCGATTCTTGTGCTATACAAACAGGCATCATTCTCCTTAGCTGAAACAAAATGATTGGTCTGATACTAGATATAAGTTTTTCAAGATGATGTAGGATAATTAGAAGTGATTCCTTTAGATCATATTGTCTAATTATTATTTCTGTCCTAAGTGCAGATGAACCTTTATGAAAATGTCTCTCCAGAAAGATTCATCTTCATGATGAAAGGCTGTCACCACGGAATTTCCATTACCCAGTGAACCTGCATACATAATAGCCAGAGGTAGAGGCTCATTATTTTCTTTTCTGCTCTTTGATCCACTCTAGAAATTTTGGAAAGTTTGAATAATATGGAATCATCTGAATCTTATTTAAATTTAAATGTTTTCATTTCTGGGAAGTTTAAGTAATAT
Source organism: Homo sapiens (assembly GCF_000001405.40). Lineage (NCBI taxonomy): Eukaryota > Metazoa > Chordata > Mammalia > Primates > Hominidae > Homo > Homo sapiens. Next base: position 89,846,110 of record NC_000012.12, read on the forward strand.
TCATTTGTGTTCATTTTGTTAGCAAAGCCAAGATTTTGTTGATACAGACATGTATTATATAATCTTAAAGTTTTTTTCTCCCCACATTGTCTCGAGTTATTTTTTGACAAAGTTAAATTGATAAAAAAGTTTATTATCTTTTTATTGTATAAAGAGATAACTTCTAAAATGCTACATATTTTTGGTACAAAAACTCATGCTAATTTGTTTTGAGTAGTACATCTGAACTTACGATGGCCTTTGGCCTATAGAAAACAGAATGCCTGACCTATTCTTGGATTTTATTATGCAGTAGACAGGACAATGTTAGTATAAAACACATGGTTAAAACTGGACAGAAACAGTCTGAATAAACTGTTGCAAACCTTCAATGAAGTGAAGAGGTAACAATTTCTACAAAGGGATTGTTCCATTTTGGGCCAAAATTATAGCTCTGCAAGGGTATAAGAAGTTCACCAGATGGGAGGCCGCTTGAATTTGCAACCATATATATCTTTTTCTGCTGAAAGAAAGAGACATTTTTTCCCTGACATGTTATCAGGGAAATTGTCATTTTTATTCTTTATCTGTCACTCAAAGTTGTCACTACATTTAGTGGCTATTTATTCTGCACATTATTCCTACCTCTAATAGTGCTGTCAGCCTATCTGGTATTTGTGTGCCAGCAACACATTTCTTTCTACTTCAAACACAACTTCTGGAAAGTAACTTCCTCCTTCTGTTATAAATCCCAAGAAAATCATTGCAAGAAGCTCTAGTCTGTCCAAACTCCTTTCTGTTCCTTATTTTTAATCAAAATAGGAACTAGTGACATTTTTCTTGATCAGTGGAGCATTGTTTTGAATTATTCCTTGAGTTGAAGTGTTCGATTCAAGAAGATAGCTTCATGCATTTCCACTGAACCTTCTTTGGGGTAAATGGCACAAATTCAAAGTTGAATGGTGAGAGGTAAAAGTGCAAATTGATCTGTAACCCTCATATTATAAATATTTCAACAAACTGAGCTCAATAGTATTAAGAAATAATGAAATCAATTTTTATTATTATTTTTTTTTTCACATTTGTCATAGAACTCAGAAGCGAATCCCCACTCAGACACACTGTAGCCTGAACAACAAACTGGGAATTCCAACTACTTTGTGATTTTGAGGAAATTTTTTTTTTTTGTAAAATAAAACAAAAATCAAACCAAAACAAACCAAAAAAACTGAGTACTCTAATCTTTTCTTTACCACAGATGTGCTACATGATTATAAAAAAGTTAATTAGCTTCCCCAGTCCAGTAATTCCCTTGTCAATGAACTGAAAACCAAAGTTATTGCACGGGACAAAAATACTAAGATTGTTCTTCAAAGATTTTCACTGTGATTCCTTATTTAAATGTTTATAATAACAATCTATTTATCAAAAAAGTTAACTAATATCTAACAAAGAAGATAAAGACTAAAACATGATTCTTTGAAGCAATCATGAAAGTATTCTGAAATGTATTACCTAAATGAGCTTAGAAGCAAAAAATGCCAGATGGCTTTAGAATTTTCACTTCCAAAAGGAATTTTTGTACTGGATCTTGTCTCCTCAGGGGACAAATATTTCATCCTATATGACTGTAGCAATTATTTTCTAATGTATGATTGGTGAACCTAGTTATGGAGCACAGTTAATCCAGAAAGGCTAAAATACGTCAATAGAAAGAAATAATCTCCCAAAGAAGAATCTATCCCCTTCACTTAAATAGTGGTTGCATCATGTGATACTGGATAAGTCCTGGGATGTCGATCAGGACACTTAGGATCCAGTCCTGCCTCTTCTACTAAGAAGTCTCCTGACCACGTTGGGCCTCAGTTTCTTCACATATAAAATAAGAGGGTTAGGCCAAATAATCCTTAAGATCTCTTCCAATTCAAAGATTTCACTTAACAATTTAGAAACTAATTTATATTGCATACACGCATGGAAAAGTTAAAAAATCATTTTAAAAGTTGATATAACCATTTTGAAAGTGGAGAATAAACAGGTTGCAGCACACTGTATTTAGTTAAAATGACTGAAAGGCTGTGATTGAGAATGGTGGCATTCTCATCTTAAAATAAAATCTATATACTGCACATTGGACAATGAACAACCCCTAAAAACATCGGGAAATGCTAGCTAGCAATTTGACTTTAGAATAGCTTTGTTTTTTCTGAACCAGGGTTTCTTAACCTCGTCACTATTGACATTTTGGGATGGATCGTTATCTGTTGTTGGTGGGGAGGTGCTCTGTTGCTCATTTTAGGGTGTATAGTAACTTCCCCAGCCTTTATCCACTAGATGCCAATAATATTTTCATCTCCTACATTGTGACAACCAGAAAAGTTTCTGGACATTTGTCCCCATTGAGAATCACTGCTCTAAAGTGAACGAGCCTTCTCTGGCCTCTTGTTTTAACCTTGCACATGGTACCAGAGTTGTGAGACTCCAATACCTTTAAAACAAGTATCCAAGGCCCATTGTGCCTTGAACATAGTTCTATGAAGACAAGCACTAAAAATAAGACTTGTTAATATTAGTATGAAAATTGTAATATATGGATACTTACTTGTGCCAGGCACTGCACAATCTATGTTTCCTGAATTCATTGTTCATGAAGTTAATGCCCTCATTATATGAAATATTGAAATCCATCCTCACAGTCCTTGCTTTCTGGCTGAGGACACACATGATCCATAAATCTAAAATGGGCTTTAGAACAGTTACAAAGTAGTCTGCCGATGAAGTGAGTGTGAGTGAAGAGAGCGCTGAGTAAATGGCTGATAAGGGAGGCGTGGGGAGAGGAGTGACGAGTCCGAGTCCTTGCAGCCAGAGGTAGGGCACAGGCGGGAGACAAGCTGCGGGTGGGGGACAGCAGGCACCCCAGCAGCAGTGAGAACTCAAAACTAGAGCAGACGGCTGTGAAGACTGGGAGCAAAGGTTCAGTTTGGCAGGAGGAATAAATTCTGAAAATATATTGTAGAGCATGGTGGCTGTAGTTGAAAATGTACTGTGTACTTGAACATTGCTAAGAGAGCAGATTTTAAATGTTCTCACTGCAAGAAAAAAGGTAAGGATGTGAGGTGATGGATATGTGAATAGCTTGATGTAATCATTACACAATGTATGCATATATCAAAACATCACGCGACACCCCATAAATTTACACAATTTTTGTCAATTAAAAATCACTCAATCAATCATCAATCAATAAGATAATTAAAATAAAAAGACCGTGGGAGGAGCTTGCAGAGTCCTGAGGTCCAGCCAAATTGCTTAGCTTTAATTTTATTAATAAGCAGTGGGATGTCCCATCTTGAGAAAGGGCAGTGAAATGAAAGAGAGTCTTTGATGGAAACAATACCTTCAATTCCTCTGACAAGGGCTTTGGAGGCTGTTGAATGACCACTCAAAACACCATTTTACTTCTCAGAATGGCAGTCAAGGGATGATTTTACAGTTTTTCTTTTCTATTCCTACCTAAAAAGGCTTAGCCTAGCTAGCCTTACACACAACCATTTTAGACCAGCTAAATTGTTTTGTGACTGAACTCTCATGTTGTACGGTGGCTGTATGTCCTCATTGCAGGATGTTGACAAGTGCCACCCTCCCTGTCAAACGAATGCCAGAATTATCCAGGGCAAAAAACCATATAGAATGATGGCAACAGCATGGATGTTGGAGTCATTGGTTTGGATTTGAGTCCTGACTCCATCATGTACTATTTGTATGGTCCTCAGTTTTCTCTGTAAAATGGGAATAAGTGCTGTATTGGAAGGAATCAATGCTATGTTGAATATATTGGAAAAAATCAGTTATATAATATTTGTAAAGCACTTAGTAAAGCATCTGGCATCTAGCAAGGACTCAATAAATATGAATTACATTATTATTCATGCTGAATTGTGAATACTTACCCTTAAGAGTCTTAAGTATACACTGGAATTGCCTTGAGGTTGCCGTTCACATGTAAACATCTATTGTCAATGCACAAAATGATAATTTTTAAAATACAAATATGGTATGAAGAGGAAAGCTTTAGCTATATATATGCCTGGAGAACAAGGAGAGAGCAAAAGTGCTTTTTGTTATAAATAAAACACTAGATAAAGAATAAACAGGTACCGAGTATGTAGGAAGGGTTATGGAGGGAGGTGAAGCTCAGCAAAGCTGACATCCTGCCCAGGGAAAGGAGCATTTCTTGGAGGGTTTCTGTGCTTTAGGATGTCTGTTAGAGTATGTGTTTCTCTATATTGTTTCCTGTATTTCCCTCTCTGTCAACTCCAAGAGAAATAGGAGGAAGAGTCCTGAACGGCTCAAACTCATCCCATTGCTTCCAACCCTAAGAAGGAATGAAAAGGGACATCTGTCTTCATCTACAATGAGCTGAGGACATATAGATCTTGTCTCAGTCCTGCACATAATTCCTTCCTAACAAAAAAGGAGCAAGATGTCTCTTGCATGGGTGAAGGACGTAGCTACAACAGACAGTAGTTTTAACCAGAAATCAAAGGATCATGTGGAGCAATGTAGCTTAAGCTGAAACTAGCAATCAAAAAGGAGTCTGACTTGCTACGAGGCTGGAGAATAGAAAGTAGGGAAGTTAAGAGAAGAGGACCCTAATCGCAAAGCTAGACAAATTGCTGGGTTTCAGGGGGATTGAATGGGGTCCTAATTTACTAAACCCAATGCAGTCATCTTAACCTCTTAGTTGTGTGTCTAGGATGCCAATCTGTGGATTTTGATTTATTACAAGCAGCAAATAATGTCCTCCCATTTGAGGCTGTCCTAACTTCAGTTTTAAGGCACTGTTTGTCTTTGAAACTCTGCAATGGTCCCTGGTCTTCCAGTGTTGACTGAGTGTTGGCTTCTTTCTACCCTGATGCCTTATCCTGATCTGATCTCCTTGGTTTACGATTCTTTGGCTTTTTCTTCCCATTTTCTTCTTTCTTTTAGCTTTTGTTTATCTCTGTCTCCAGGCTTTCTGTTCAACATATTCCTACAATGTCGTTCCTTCTCCCTTAGTTCATTTTCTGCCAGAGTTCTCCTGGTGCTGGTTAACAATCCTTCATTTCATAACTACACAGACAGTAGTTTTAACCTTTAACTGCTCAAGGTTTGCTATAACAAAGGAAGAGGGTCTGACATCAGAATGACATGAGACATAAGAAAGGACTGATAGTGTTTTGTAAAAGAGGAGTAGAGGGATGACAATCAAGAACCTTGAATTTATTCTTTGACATGTCCTTATGCTGTTGTAACGCTAAATCCAAGAACTGACAGTGTATGCCAGCCTACAGTGTGTCAAGCTTGTGCTCAGGGGGGCCACTGGAGAAGGAGGCCACTAGAAAATGCTTGGTTAGATGGGATTATATGGCTTTGAATGGAAGAATCTTCCCTTCAGGCCTTCTCCCTTCTGCCTACCTTCCTTATACTCTTTGAAGGCTATGCTGGAGATTGCTTGAGATCAACCTGCTCATGAGATGGGCTCCATATCTGCTTTATTACTCAGATGTCATCCTGCCAACTGATGTTGATTAAATATGGCATCTTGTTATCACAAAGGCCACTTTCCAGAGACCAAGTATGACAGCAAAAGCCAATTCACGTCACAGATTCATCAGTTTTGGGAAGAACATAGCCTTTTTCACTGTTTAATTCCCATCTATTCCTTGGTGTAAGTAAATTCTCTCTGACTTCTTTAAGATGGTTTTGACTTACTTAGAAATACAGTTGCATTGTTATCCTATCTGACAGTATATTAAAGATAACATAATTCCATCCTGGCTTTCTATTCTGAGCTGTTCCCTTTCATCTCTTTCTCATCATTTTCTAGTATGTAAGGTTTATATCATGTTGGTTAAAATGTTATTTTTAACTAAAATACATTTTTTTCATCATCTAAAATTCTGCTCAAAGTAAAAAATTTGGGATGACATGAAAGACTCATAATAGATCAGTGGTTAAATTCAGAGTGTATCTTAAGGATAAAAGGCAACCATTAAACATCATGGTTTCAGAAAATGTTTAACAGCATGGAAAATCCTTACTATACAACTGAAAAGCAAAATACAAAGCCATATATATAGTATAATTCTAAGTAGGTAAAAAAATAGATAATATATACAAATAAAAATATCAGAAAGAAAACACCAAATGTTAACAGAGTTTATATCTGGTACAAGTTTATGACTTGTATTACATGTTCTTTTTTTGTGTTTCTATGCTTTCCAAATTTTCTCAAATGTGTGTTACATCATAATTAAAAACATAAATATTGTGAAATTTTTGCTTAATGACCCCTTATTTATACTACCTTTTCAAGTTACATCTTCTAGTTCTGTGATCTCCCCAGAAACCTCCTCTCCTTTCTATTTATTGCCCTTTGTATCTTTAAATACTAGGCATTTATATGTACATATGGACAGCTCTCATTAGTGTTTATGTATTTAAGCTACTTTCTTATTACTTGTGTGTATGGTTTCATGTTTTTATAAACAATATATAGAGTTGCTTGGTATATAGTAATCAGAAATATGTTTTTGTTTTGTTAAATCTTGGTGTCCAAGAAGCAGAACTGCCAAGAAAGTGTAGGTTGGCAGTCAGAAATCAAAGTAAAATGCAACATGGAAAGAGGATGAGTGGTTATGAAACGCTCTGTGCTAGGCACGTTTCTGTTACCTCATTTACTCTTTACAACCTACCTGAGACGAAGATGGACTCCTTTCCACAGAAGAAACAATGGCTCAGTTGAGGGCGTAGGACTTGTCATAGGTCACACAGCCCAGTAAGTGCTACCTCTTTCAGGTTTGTCTTCTTGCCTTGACTCTTCTACTTGGTCACAAACAAGTTCATCTGGTAATGTGTGCACGTGTAGAGAGCAACCACACAATTTACAATGTAAGTTTGGGAATGTGTGACAGAAATATGTGTGTACATGCATTCTTTAATGTTTGTTATTTCGTGTCACAGTGACGTTTTATGCATATTGTATGTAAGTTCCTTGTTGTCAGAGTAAAATGCTCTTACTCCTTTTTTGTTGTTTTTTTTTGGAGACAGTCATGCTCTGTCGCCCAGGTTGGAGTGCAGTGGTGCGATCTTGGCTCACTGCAACCTCTGCCTCCCGGATTCAAGTGATTCTCCTGCCTCAGCCTCCCAACTAGCTGGGATTATAGGCATATACCACTATGCCCAGCTAATTTTTTTTTGTATTTTTAGTAGAAACAGGGTTTCACTATGTTGTCCAGGCTGGTCTCAAACTCCTGGCCTCAAGTGATCCACCCACCTCAGCCTCTCAAAGTGCTAGGATTACAGGTGTGAGCCACTACGCCGGGCCTCTGATTCCTTTTTAACTCCCTACAGTTACTAGAACACAGTGCCTTCCATCCAGATTCTCAATATGTGCTCCTACCAAGCCATTAAATCTTAGTGTTATATACCAGACCCAGCGTACTGCTATTTTGGATTCAGAGATGGCTTGGTGTGTTTCATTATGTTAGGATTATATGTAGATGGATAAGAGATAATGAGACAAAAAGGATTTCCAGACAAATGAAACAATGAGTGTGAAAGCTATAGCTATGATCTCATGTGTATTTTTATAAAATTGAGAGAATTAAAATTGGCCTATTTGGTAGTTAATTTTTAGACAAGAAGATTGGAAAATGCATGTATTATTAATGCTACTTATATAACTGCTACTAGCAGAAGAGTCTCTTAGTGATATTTTCTGAAGTGTGAAAGTATAGTAATAGTCAATGAGTTCTAAATATATTGCCACAGTGAAGACACTTTGGTAAAGTAAACAAGAAAAGTTGTAGTTCTTAGATTCTAAGTATATTGTTGAACCAGAATATTTGATCAGATCAATAATGAAATGATAATAATGGGAATGCCAGCAACAAAAACAAATCTACTGGGCTTTCTCTCATTTAATTTTTAATTTTTTTTTAATTTTTTTAATTTTAATTTTAATTGTTTTTGAGTCTTGCTCTGTCACCCAGGCTGGAGTGCAGTGGCAGTATCTTGGCTCTCTGCAACCTCCACCTCCTGAGTTCAAGTGATTCTCCTGCCTCAGCCTCCTGAGTAGCTAGGATTATAGGCATGAGCCACCATGCCCGGCTAATTTTTGTATCTTTAGTAGAGATGAGGTTTCACCATATTGGCCAGGCTGGTGTTGAACTCCTGACCTCAAGTGATCTGCCTGCCGCAGCCTCTGAAAGTGGGCCTCTCATTACATTTTAACTTGCTTTATTTAGTATAACTTTATGTGTATCCTAGAATGAATTGATTGTTCAATTAATTGAATATCTAATCACGTGCCTGGTGTTCTGCTGGATATAACATGGAATACAAAGATAAAAAAGACCACAGTTATTGGCATCAAGAACCTTAGTCTAGTAAGTTGTTTGTATACCAACAAGGACACAACAGTAAATGAAAACGGGAAAAGGAGGAGGAAGAATGTGCTCTGAGTATAGAATGAGTTAATGTAAAGACTCCAAGGACTTCTACCAAGTCCTCCAGAGGCCTAAAATCCTACTAGGATATGATGAAGATGGTTTTCCTAATAACTTCACTGTGCTCCTTTTCCAAAAGATGTGTAATGTTAATAAAGGGATGAGCCATGTAGTTCTGATCCAAGGCAGTGTCACGTTCAAAGGAACTCAGCCACCAATAATAATTTCAGAATATCTCAAATACTTTACATGTATTTCTCACGTATCATGAAGGGGATTGTATTAGTCCATTTTTGCATTGCTGTAAAGAAATACCCGAGGCTGGGTAATTTGTAAAGAAGAGGTTTAGTTGGCTCCTGGTTCTGCAGGCTGTACAAGCATGGCCCTAGCATCTGCTTCTGGCTAGAACCTCAGAAAGCTTACAGTCATGGTGAAAGGGAAGGGGAGCCAGCACACATATGATGAGAGCAGGAGCAAGAGAGGGGGGTAGGCGGTACACTCTTGTAAGCAAACATATCCTGCGTGAACTTTGAGAGCAAGAACACACTCATTACCAAGGGGATGGTGCTAAACCATTCATGAGAGATCCGCTCCTGTGATCCAAACACCTCCCACCAGGCCCCACCTTCAATATTGGGGATCACATTTCAAAATGAGATTTGGAGAAGACAAACATCCCAACCATATCAGGGACACATAGCTCTCAGAAATTTTCCTAAAAAAATGTTCTTTTCTCTTTTCTACAAGCTGCCTTCACACCCCACAGCTATTCTCACTCCTAGCTTCTCCCCTGAGCCATTTCCTCTGCCTCCAGCTTGGGCTGTTTTTACTTTCCTCTGCCCACCCTCTCCTGTGAAGTCTTTTTCTTCTTCCTACCACCTTGCAGGCATTGCTTCTTTCTGTTGGTTCTCTGACAATTCTCCATTACTGATGCCAAAGCATTGCTTTCTTTTAACATGTCTTCTCTTCTCAGAAGATAGAGGAGAGGAAGAAGCTGAACAAAGCCAGAATCTTGTTTTGCAGACTTGGCAAAACTCTTAAAGGAGTAGTTTTTCTGTCCTTAAGAGGTAAAAATCTTTCTTAAAGCCTACCAAATATGAGGTTCTGCACTTTATTCTGTTCACCTCTTGCCCATTTAATTCTTCAATTTGAGTTCTGTTGCCTATTCCTTTTTGTATGTCTGTTACTGCACATTTCATTGTAGCTGATTTCACTCAGAAAATAGCCTTCAACTATAGAAATGTAGGTCAGCATCATATATATTTAGGATGTCATTCATATGGAAGATAAAAGACAAGAATCCCTATTGCAAATTTCTTCTTTCCTTAATCCATTCTAGTACATTTCAGCATTGTAGGTTTTGGTACCTTGATTTTTCTTATCTCGTAGGAAAAAAAGTGGGTTCTTTCATATTAATATTCAGGACCATGTATACACGTGACACAATAAACCACCATTAAAGAGATTATTTACCCAAACATAATATTTTCTAAAATTGATCTAATAAGTAAATAGCTATGACCATCAGCATGTGTATTGTAGGAATGAATTTGATGAAGTATTCATAAATTACGGGTTGAGGGATGAATTTTTGAGTAGCTAAGGGGCTCTGCAACTATGCTGGTTGACTGCTTATACACACATATACACACATACAGTTTAATAATTACATGGGGTATAGAAAAAGAGTTGGACAAATAAGTCTCATCCAAGTCTTTTCCCACCAAATTTGTCTCCGAACTAGGAATGCTAAACAGCTCAAAACTAGTGGACGTGAGCTTTATCCAGTTCTCTGCTTCTTCCCACTCTAGTTGGAAGTGCTAATGAACTGACAGCTCGAACAAAAGCCAGCACACAGTAGTCAATCACATTTTTATTGCATAAAAAATGAACCCCCCCCAAATCAGAGCACAAAATGATACAAGATAGAAGGGACTTCAGTGTATCCTGTTCATTTCTATACTGCGTATCTGATCCCTGCATAATCACAGAGTGGCTAAAGATGATTCATCTGAAAGACCTATTTAAGGAAGGAAGTGAAAGTCATAGGCTAAAAAATGGCCCATAATCAGGTGCTGACAGTTGTGTGTTGAAAGGTTCTATGTAAAGCCAAACTTTCCAACCACAAAAAGGGACCTGTTTTGTTCAACATTCTGGAGCAAAGAAATTAAGGGGAAAGCCAAGCTAAGATGAAAGGCCTAGAAATAGTTTTAACTTTCATGCTTGACACAGGAAAATAAAAGAAACCTACTGAGTAGATTAAACAAATAAATGTCCAATCATGCATTTAATTTGAATTCCCATGAAAATCTGTCAAATTTGTAGAAAGACTCCTAAAGTTTATTTTTGATACTAGATAGGCCATCTCCTACGCCAAAAATGGAAACGCCTCATAAAATTGTATACAGGTGACTTGGCGATTCAGTGGCAGACTGTTCAGATTGTTTGTTATTGATGTCCCTTGCTGCTTGCTTGTAAATTCATGTACAGATTCATTCATTCATGCATTTATTCTTTTTTTTTTTTTAAATTCAACACATACTTAGTTACTTATTCATGCTGGGCATTGGGCTAGGCTTTGGAGACACAACAAATATCTCTTCCTCTGTTAAGAGACTTAGTCTAGGCTGGGTGCCGTGGCTCACGCCTGTAATCCCAGCACTTTGGGAGGCCGAGGCGGGTGGATCACCTGAGGTCAGGAGTTCAAGACAGACCAGGCTGGCCAACATGGTGAAACCCCGTCTCTACTAAAAATACAAAAATTAGCTGTGCGTGGTGGTGGGTGCCTGTAATCCTAGCTACTCAGGAGGCTGAAGCAGAAGAATTGCTTGAACCCAGGAGGAAGAGGTTGCAGTGAGCCGAGATCACACCATTGCATGCCAGCCTGGGTGACAAGAATGAAACTCTGTCTCAAAAAAAAGAAAAAAAAAAAAAAAAGAAAGAAAGAAAGAAAAGAAACTTAGTCTAGTTTGTCAGAGAAGAAAATGAACTTTTTTCTTTCTTTTTTTTACTGTACAGTACTGTAAGTGCCATGACAAAAATAAGCCCATTCAAAATGCCAATTCAGACTGGGAAATCAAAGAAGGCTTCTGGGAAGTATTAATTGCTGAGCTGAGATTTGAGAAAGAGTGGGTTTAGCCAGATGAAGGAGAGGCACTAGAACATGGTTGCTAAATGCGTGGATTCTACAGCCAGGCTCTCTGGGCTCAAGTCTTGTTTTTTCCAGTAACTATGCATGACCCCAGGCAAGGTTCCCAACCTCAATTTCTCAGTTCTTCAATTTCAACCTCAATTTCTCAATTCTTCAACCTCAGATTCCTCAATTTCTCTATGAGTGGGGGTAACAATAGTACCTACCACTTACCTATCCCAGGTTTGTAAGGATGAATAAATGCATTGATATTCCCAAAGTACTTGGAAGAGTGTGTCTCACTTAAGTGTTACATAAGTGTGTGATGAATAAATACAGGGGGAGGATGGCGAGTGTCTTGGGTGGCAGGTACGGCTGGTGCAATAGCTTGAAACGGCATGCATGCTGCATTTAGAAGACAGTAAAGAATAGAACGCAGGGTCCATGACTGAGGAGCATCAAAAGATAAGGCCGGAGAGACTTGAAGGCTTTGGTAAGGAATGTGGTTATTTTCCTAGACACCATGAAGAACTCTGGAAATATTTTAAGCAAAGAAGTGAAAAGATTATATTTGCATTTTAAACAGGTCAGTCTGGCAACAGTGTGGAGAGTGGAGTGCATGATGGCAGGCAACTCTTGGAGGCAGGGAGGCAAATAAGGACAGTGTTTCCAAAAATTGCCTGATAACCAGACTCGTCTGGGGTGCTTCTAAAATATGCAGATCCCCAGACCCCTTTGCACTCGATGCTGACTCAGATGATTTGGAGCAGGTTGGGTAATCTATGTTTTGAACAAGCAACTCTGGTGATTCCTGCCTTTTCGGATTTTGCACTGAGTTAGGTGGAGGTTGTAGGCATCTAGGTGAGCAATAATAAGGATTTAAACAAGAGGAGTAGAAACAATGTGGTTGGAGAGAAGGCAGCAAATTAAAAAAAAAAAATTAAAGCCTAGCACGTTGGGAGGCCAAGGCAGAAGGAGTTTGAGACCAGCCTGAGCAAAATAGTGAGATCTCGTCCTTCCAAAATAAAAATTAAAAAATTAACTCGTTGTGGTGGCTCATGCCTGTAGTCTCAGCTACTCAGGAGCCTGAGGTAGGAGGATTGCTTGAGCCCACAAGGTGGAGGCTGCAGTACATACCACTGTACTCCAATCTAGATGACAGTGTGAGACCCTGTCTCAAAATGAAACAAAACATAATGATAAAGCAGTAAGACTTGGTGCCACATAGGAAGGAGCCTAGAATGACACTCAAATGTTTGGCTTTGGTGACTGTGTAGATCGTGAAAGAATTTGAAAGAAAAGCAGATCTGGAAGTGAGGTTAATGAGATCAGATTCAGATAGGTTGAGTTTGAAGTGTCAGTGAGAAGAGTCTATTCAGAGGCTGCATACATATGCCTGAGTGCAGAAAAGAGACCTGGGCTGGAGACTTGTAATTGGAAGTCGTTAGCACATAGGTAGTAGCTGAAGCTTTACAAACTCCAACATTTAATCAGTGGGTAGAACATAATCCCATTTTATTTGTTCATTAATTTATTCACTTAATCATTTATTCAACAAATCAATTTTAAATGCATATTTTGTGCTAGGTGCCCTGCTACCCACTTTTTCTATGCAGGAGACTGTGAAGAAACAGCTAAGAGGAAAAGAAGGAAAAGAGTAGTACTATCAAAGTCAATGGAGAAGATTGCGTCAAGTGACACTGAGACTCCAAATGAGACAATGAGAGAAAAAGGTCCCCTGGACTTAGCCAGAAACAAAGAGGTCATTAGTAATTTGGGAGAGAATAGAATAGATTCTGTTGAGTTACGGGTAAAGAAATTGGATCAGAGGTGTGGCTTGAGGCATGAATGGGTAGTGAAAAAGTGAAGTTAATGAAGGAAGAAGAGAGAAAAATGTGGCAGACTGCAGACATGGTTATAAAATCTTCTACCTGTTTGCCTGTCCCTTTGCAATATTTCTTTGCAGCTACTCCCATCAAGAGGTGGAGTTTATTTCCTCACCCTTTGAGCTGGGCTTGGTGATGTGGCTTTATTGTGATCAATGGGCCATTAGCAAATGTGATACAAACAGAAGCTTGAAATATGATTGTGTATTGGGGCTTGCCCACTCTTGCTGCTTTTGGGAGCCTTGTGACTGCAACCAGGTAAATATAAACCTGGAGCAATTTGCTGGAGACCTGTGGCCAGTCACCTCTGTCACTCTGCTGGCAGCCAACAACAACTGACAGTACCAGCCACCAAACATTGAGTGAGATGTTGAATCACTCCCTAGCTGATCTACTCACTGACTGCAGCTGCATGGGTGAGCCTTGCCAATTCTAGCAGAAGAACTTCCCAGCAAAGTCCAGCCCAAATTATTGATTCACAGAACAATGACTATTATTTTAAGACACCCAGTTTTGGGTGTAGTTTCTTACACAGCAAAACCCAACTGATGTAATAAGACCTTGTCTGAGTGTCATGGATTTCAAATGTCTAAGTTCTCTGGAGGTTTGTATGTGTCTCTGGGACTTTTGGCTGCAGTAGAAGGTCAGAAAAGCTATAGTTGTTCTTAGTCTCTTTTCTCTTCCTAACACATTGTTCCGGATAGAAACAAAAACAGAGTAGTATCCTAGAAATAGAATAACTGGGTTGCATAGCATTATTGATTCATGCAATGATATGGCTGAATCTTAAAATAATTATGTTGAGCAAAAGAAGCCAGACCAAACAAATAAACACAAGGAGAGTATGTATTGTATATTTCCATTTATTTGAAACTCCAGAAAATGTATAATCATCTATAATGAAGAAAGCAGATTAGCTGTTGCCTGGGGATGGAGTGAGGAAGGGAGGGACAGATTACCAAGAGGCATGAAGAGACTTTTAGGGATGATGTATATTCATTATTTTGACTGAGCTGATAGCTTTATGGGTGTATACTCTGTATATATGTCAAAACTCTTAAAATGATACATTTAAAAAAGATATATAGTTTAATGTGCAGTTTACCCTTGAACAACTCAAGGGTTAGGGGTGCTGACCCACTGTGCAGTCAAAAATCTGTATACAACTTGTAACTCTCCAAAAACATAACTACTAACAGCCTGCTGTTGACTGGGAGCCTTACGAATAATGTAAAGTCTATTAACACATATTTTGTATGTTATAGGTATCATATGCTGTATTATCACATTGAAGTGAATTAGATAAAAGAAAATGTTATTAAGAAAATCATAAGGAAGATAAATATATTTACTCCTTTTTTTGTTGTTGTTTTTTGAGACAGAGTCGTCTCGCTCTGTAGCCCAGGCTGGAGTGCAGTGGTGCGATTTTCGCTCACTGCAACCTCCGCCTCCTGGGTTTAAGCCTAGCCTCCCTCGTAGCTAGGATTACAGGCGCCCACCACCATGCCCAGCTAATTTTTGTATTTTTGTAATTTTAGATTACAGGTGCCTAGCACCATGCCCGGCTAATTTTTGTATTTTTAGTTGAGTCAGAGTTCCACCAAGTAGGCCAGGCTGGTCTTGAACTCCTGACCTCAGGTGATCTGCCCACCTTGGCCTCGCAAAGTGCTGGGATTACAGGCATGAGTCACTGCATCTGGCCTGTTTACTCTTAAGTAGAAGTGGCTCATCATCAAGGTCTTCATTCTTGTCATCACATTGGGTAGGCTGAAGAGGAGGAGAAAGAGGAGGGGCTGGTCTTGCAATCTCAGGGGTGGCAGAGGAGGAAGAAATTCACATATAAGTTGATCCTTACAGTTCAAACCAGTATTATTCAAGGATCAACTTTAAATCAATTATACCTCCATAAAGCTGCTAAAGAGAAAAAGAGAAAGAAAATCTTTGAATTGGCTTCTTATTCACAAGTGTGGAGTCAGAATAATGATACCCCAAAGATATGCATGTCCTAATCTCTGGAGACATGAGTATGTGCAACTGTGTAGGACTGTGAACATGTCACCTTACATGGCAAAGGAACTTTGCAGATGTACAGTGATTAAAGGAGTATACTTGAAGATCAGGAGAGTATCTTGGATTAATGGTGTGGGACCAATGTAATCACATGATCTCTTAAAAGGAAAGAGCATTTCTCAGTTGGGTCAGAGAGATGAGACGGAAGAAGAAGGTGGAGAGATTTGAGGGAATCAACCTGACATTGCTGGATTTGAAGATGGAGCAAGAAGTCTACTTGCCAAGCAAAGTGGTAGCAGCCTCTAGAAGCTGGGAATGAGCCTCAGTTTACAGGAAGCAAGAAGACAGGGACTTCAGGCCTACCTCTACAAAGAAGTAAGCTGCAAATAACCCAAATGAGCAGGAAATGAATTCTCCCCTAGAATCTTCAGGAAGAAATGCAGCCTACAGCCTCTTGATGAGACCCATGCTAGATTGCTGACCTAGTGAACTATAGGATACTCAATTTGTGTTATTTTATGCTACAAAGTTTGTAGCAATCTGTTCCAGCAGTAAAAGAAAATGAATACAAAAAGTTTTCATGGGCAGAAAGTTGGAATTATTGACTCAAGTAGCTGTTTGAATGACCTGTGCTCCCAGTTATAAATCACAAATAATCGAGTTGATTGTATTTTGCCATTGTTTACTGCATGTTCCTTTCTCAACAACTTTAGGTTTACTCACTTTTTAAAATGCAGCTCTAGCCACACAGTTGTTCTGCCATAGGCTGGTTGGGGTGTAGGGGGTGGGTAGTTCTTATGTCCTAGTCTGAGGCATACACAAGTTACGTTTTCTGCAAATATAGAAATATTTTCTCATTAAACACTGGTCACATCAAACATCACATTGCAATTTTTTGGGGTGTGTGTGTGTGTGTGTGTGTGTGTGTACAGATTTTGAAAGCCAACAAATTTCAAGATAAAACATTGTACACTTTTCCAGACACCTAAAAACTTCTCAGGTTTAATAGTCTGTAACAGGCTGTTTGAATTTAAATACTGGCTCCACTCTATACCTCGCTGGTTGCTTAACACTCTGTGCCTTAGTTTTCTTATCTGTAAAATGGGATGACAGGGCTACACTGAACATAAGGATTAAATGAATTTGTCTCTGTAAAGCACTTTTAACAATGGCTGGTACATTGTAAGCACCAGTGAGTGTCGGGTTGTTAATTGTTATTATTACAATGATGTCTTTGCTGCCAGTTAGGACAATTTCCAACTCAACAGTGGATTCACCTAACTTCATGTGCCCTAGCAGAGGAAACCTCAATTTGCTTGTGTGTCTGTCCCGCCAAGAAAATGCAGGTCACTTCCTCTGGCTTTCTTGCCTTAAGAGTTCCTGTTTCTGCCGAAGCAGAAGCAGGAAGAGAAAGTGACACAGTGATGTTTGCTGAGCAGAGCAGGATTCTGTCCAGTGACTTCTTTTTCCCCAATTAGGAGGCTGTGTTGGCAAGACATGGATTGTTCTTTACGCTTTCCCTATCTTTTCAGCTTTTTCCAAGAGGCCTTGGTCTCTATCCTGAGGCTTTCCTCATCAGCACATGACGGTGAGCTGAAAGATTCCTAAAGTTCTGTTGTCTCTCAAAACAAAACAGAACATTCCAACCAAATTTAAACAGATCCATTTACAATTTTATTACATATCAGCTTTCCTGTGTGGCATTTATTTGAGGAAAGGCTCTCTCAGATATGAGGGAGTTGGTTTTAGAAAATTAAATCAGACAGACTAAAATGACGATCTGATTCATGAGAGGAAAGAAGATACACTATGTGATAGAAGAGTTATTTTTGGAGAACTTATTTTCGTGACTCTGAATGCCCAGAGGAGAAAACATATGGATGGTATTGCTAATTTAGTACCATGTCTGCTTCAGGCTCTATGTGCAGTTTTCTACAGACTGGGCAGCCGACTCTTTGGTCTCCATTTTTGAATGGAGTGCTGCAAGAGATGCTGTCTGACATACGAAACAGTCAACTGAAAATAAAGTAGCAGAGTTAACGTAGGCAGTTTTCTTCACTGTGGTTACAAGATGGCAGGGCCTTCCAAATTTGCACACTGTACATTGAAGTGGAAGTGGATGCTAGCTCTAAAAGCTCTGTGTGGGCGGCGTTGAGAGTGGGTATTTTGATTTGAAAATTTTGTTAGTTGCCATAGTAATTGTCACAATTATGTGGTTTGTTCGATCTTTGTGATACTGAACACCTATTAGCAGCACCCAGAAAGCGGTGTGTTTTAGTTTTTTTTCTTGTGCATACTTACAGAGAGAAAAACAATAATGTGTGGTCAGATTTTAAGATGAAGTAAAAACAATAAAAAAGTATCACATATCTTTATGTAAAGTGTGTTTATTTTCTTAATTATTTTTTAGTCAGATTTCTCTTCAGCAGAAAAGTCATCAGGAAGTGATTTTGTTTTTCTTTTTCCAAAACAAGGAGACCCAGAAACCAAGGTTACAAAGCTTTGTAAAAAGAAGAACAGGAAGCTCTCCTTTTGTTATTAATGTGTTGTGTCAGCAATGATGCTACTTAAGTTCAGGCTGAAATTTAAGCTGAATCAAAAGAGAGTGTGTGTTTCCACTCCCTTTGCATTTGTGGTGCTCACCATGGCCACTGATTATTTAGTCCTTGATTGCTTTCCTGGGGCTGTTTTGCAGGTGACTTTTGAAACATGGAGAGGCATTATTTGGCTAAACAAACTATTTGTGTTGCAATTGTTATAGAAACTTGAATGCCTATAGCTAAATCTTCACAGCCTTCTTTATTTTTGCCTCAGAAGTATTTTTTTATCTATCTGAATATTATTTTCTAAATTAATTAAATGTAGAGATATAATGATAAAAAATAAGAGTATCTTCTTTGGGTTATTTCTGATTTTTATCAGAAGGAGATAAGGCCGGTTCTGATCTTTGACAGAGCTCTATGACATGGGAACTGAAGTGGCTCCATTGGTTGGCTGACTCATGAGAGAAGGAGAATGTGGGAGAACTGCTTAATCTGCAGTCTGGATGGCCATGCATGTGGGGATGGGAACAGGAGGAATTGACTACCTCTTACTGTTTCCAGTCAAATTTCCTGAAAGACTTTGTGATGAGTGAGTGATAAATGGTGTTTATTACTTTTAATACACAGATATGAGGGAGTTTATTACATTTAATACACCTATGAAGTGATCATTTAAGTATTAAATAGCATGTCACAACACTGAAATCTTTTTATAACTATTGATTTAACTGCCTTTGATACTTATTGTCAGTATTTGTGCTCTAAGTGCAGTTTTGTTTATTATTAAAAACACTTTGACCGTGCAAATTGAAACGATGAAATACCTCTACACACCTATTAAAGTGGCCAAAATTCAGAACACTTACAGCACCAAATGCTTGTGAGGGTGTAAAGCAGCAAGGACTCTCCATCATTGCTGGTGGAAACGTAAAATGGTACAGCCACTTTGAAAGACAGTTCAGCAGTTTCTTAGAAAACTAAACATACTCTCATATAGGTTTTGATACCAAGGAGCAAAATTGCTGAATTGTGCTCCTTGGTATTTGCCCAAGGGACTTAAAAACTTATGTCCAAACAAAACCTGAACACGGATGTTTATAGCAGATTTATTCATAATTGTCAGAATTTGGAAGCAACCAAGATGTCCTTCAGTAGGTGAATGGATAAATAAACTGTGGTACATCCAGGAAATGGAATATCATTCAGCACTAAAAGAAATGAGCTCTCATGCCATCAAAAGATATGGAGGAACCTTAAATGTACGTTACTAAGTGAAAGAAACCAATCTGGAAAGGGTGCATACTGTAGGATTACAACTATATGACATCCTGGAAAAGGCAACACCCTGGAGACAGAAAAAAGATTAGTGGTTGTCAGGGGTCAGCAGGAAAGGAGAGATGAAGAGGCAGGGCACAGAGGATTTTTTAGAACAGTGCAACTACTTTGTTTAACACTGCAATGATGGATATATATCATTATACATGTGTCCAGTTCATGCAATGTACAACACCAAGATTGAACCCTAACATATGCTGTGGACTTTGAGTGATAATGATGTGTCAATGTAGGTTCACCAATTATAACAAATTTATTACCCTGGCAGGGCAAGTTGATTTATGGGGGAGGCTATGAAAGTAGAGGACAGGGGTTATATGGAAAATCTCTGTACCTTTTGCTCAATTTTGCTGCAAAACTAAAACTGCTCTAAAAAAGTCTTTTTCTAAAAAAATTCTTTGATCCTAGGAATTCTACCAATCAGAAAAAATGGCCGGGAAACTATACACTCTTGGCAAATTATTTTAAATGAAACCATTTGCTGTTGAAAAGTCATCAGTTTTATGGTTGGGCCTTCCTATGTAATTTTCTGTTAGAAATGTTGAGGATTATGCAAATGTACAATTTTATTAAAAAGGAAATGATGTAGAGTGAGATGTAGACTCAACTAAGGCTTCAAAATTTTATTAGATATATTAAATAATGCATAAACTTAAGAAAAATGAAAAAGTCACAAACCAGTATTAGCTTCATAATAAATTGTTTCTTTTTTATTTATATATTTTAAATTTAATTTTTAATAGCTAAGACATTATTGTGGTTCAAAAACCCATAAGATGTTATACAATGAAAAGTGTTATTTACATCCAAATGTCTTCCTAACTCAGCCCCTAGTTCTAACTCTATAGGTAACAGCTATCATTGAGTCCTTGAGTAGTATTCTAGAATTTCTTTATGCATATACAAGCAAATATATATATATATATATATATATATAATTTTCTTCCTACTCAAAAGATTACATACTATACACACTCTTTTCACTTAACAAGCACTATTCTATACTGTTTCACTTAGTTACACTATTTTCATTTATGATAACTTGGATACCACTTAATTTCAGTACATGGAGACTTTCTGCATTCAGTATTTAATAACCACCTACAAGTATGGATATACACTATTTATTTAGCTAGATATATATTGGTGGACATTAGGATATTTCCAAATTTTTCATTGCAATGAGTAATGCTGTACATACAATATTTCACATATTCCTTATGTATGTCTGGGATTTGCTAGCAGTGAAATTTCTAGGCTGAGAAGTATATGCATTTGTAATTGGTAAAGATATTAGCACAATGCCTATTTATACTCCAATCAGCAATACGTGAGAAAATACTTTTCCCCTCAGAGTCCTATCAACAGATTATGTTAGCTAGCTTTGGATTTTTGCCAAATGAGAGGGTCAAAAATTATATTCATTTGTGGTTTCAATTTACTTTTCTTTTTTTTAAGAGTGAAGTTGATTATCTTGTTATTTATTTAGGAGAAATTTTATTTCCTTTTCTATGTTCTGAATGGGTCTTACCAATTTTTAATATTAGGGAGTCTAGCCCTTTGTTTGTGATATGAGTTGCAAATATTTCTCTCAGTTTTTCTTTTTTTTTTTTTTTTTTTTTTTTTTTTTTATTGATCATTCTTGGGTGTTTCTCGCAGAGGGGGATTTGGCAGGGTCATAGGACAATAGTGGAGGGAAGGTCAGCAGATAAACAAGTGAACAAAGGTCTCTGGTTTTCCTAGGCAGAGGACCCTGCGGCCTTCCGCAGTGTTTGTGTCCCTGGGTACTTAAGATTAGGGAGTGGTGATGACTCTTAACGAGCAAGCTGCCTTCAAGCATCTGTTTAACAAAGCACATCTTGCACCGCCCTTAATCCATTTAACCCTGAGTGGACACAGCACATGTTTCAGAGAGCACAGGGTTGGGGATAAGGTCACAGATCAACAGGATCCCAAGGCAGAAGAATTTTTCTTAGTACAGAACAAAATGAAAAGTCTCCCATGTCTACTTCTATCCACACAGACCCGGCAACCATCCGATTTCTCAATTTTTTCCCCACCCTTCCCGCCTTTCTATTCCACAAAACCGCCATTGTCATCATGGCCCATCCCCAATGAGCCGCTGGGCACACCTCCCAGACGGGGTCGTGGCTGGGCAGAGGGGCTCCTCACTTCCCAGTAGGGGCGGCCCGGCAGAAGCGCCCCTCACCTCCTGGATGGGGCGGCTGGCTGGGCGGGGGGCTGTCCCCCCCACCTCCCTCCCGGACGGGGCGGCTGGCCGGGCAGAGGGGTCCTCACTTCCCAGTAGGGGCGGCCGGGCAGAGGCGCCCCTCACCTCCCGGACGGGGCAGCCGGCCGGAAGGGGGGCTGACCCCCGCACCTCCCTCCCGGACGGGGCGGCTGGCAGTTTTTCTTTTTAAAGCTTTGTTTACAATGCTTTTTTTCATGAAAAAATTTGATTTTTTAAATGACAAAATGTATTAATATCAACTTATGACTTTGGAATTTTGAGTCGTAAAAGTTTAGACAAAACTTCTTAACTCAAGATTTATAATGAAAACTTCCAAGTTTTCTTCTTCTTATTTTATTGTTGCACTTAAAAACATTTCCATCTGTGATATATTTGGAATTTATTACAGCAAATGAGGAAAGACATGGATATTACTTCACTTATCCCTAGACCATTTATTCACTAGTCCTACTTTTTCCCAGTGATCAGAGATGGTGTCTTTTTTATACATTTAATTCCTGAATTATCTGGGTACACTTCTGGGCTTTCTATTTGGCTAATGAACCAGTATGATACTGTATTTAGGCTTTTAAAACTATTTTTATAACCTTTAGTACTAGTCCCTCTTC
Source organism: Homo sapiens (assembly GCF_000001405.40). Taxonomy (NCBI): domain Eukaryota; kingdom Metazoa; phylum Chordata; class Mammalia; order Primates; family Hominidae; genus Homo; species Homo sapiens. Next base: position 89,868,344 of record NC_000012.12, read on the forward strand.
TATGTTTATTTTTCTTATTAAATTTAGCATCAGGTGATGTAGCTTACTACTGTAGGATTTTCACTGAGATTATGTTCAATTAAAAATTAATTTAAGGAGAATGGGCACATTCACAATATTGAGTGTTCATAACCAATAACATGGTCTTTCTATTTGTAGAAAGACTATTTTGTGGCCTTCAGTAGTATTTTAAGTTTCATTTTTAATAGAACTTACATTTTCTTGATAACGTTTATGTATTTTTTTCTTTGCTATTATATATGGAATCATTTCATTAAATACTCTGACGTTTGATGATATGAAAACTACTGATTTTTGTACATTGATTTTGTGCTTGATTATTTTACTGAATTCTATTACTATTTGTAGTAGTTACTAGTAAAACTTCTGGAATCTTTCAATTATACTACCATGTAATCTACAATTAGGGAAACTTTTATTCATAGGTTCATTTACATAAAATATAAAATAAATAAATAAATATATACATATATATATCTGTAATCTCTTTCTCTTGGGTAATTGTGTTGACTAGTAGCTCTAGCACAATGTTAAATATTAGTAGTATTAGTGAATATTAGCCATAAAAGTCTGATGGCTTTGAATGGAAAAAGATAATTTAATCATGATCACATAGCCTCTGTCTACACTATTTCAGTAAATATTTTCTTTATTGTTTTATTTATTTATTGTATCAGAAAAACGTGATGAATTTTCTCCAATGCTTTTTCAGCACTTAAGGACAGATCTTATGGTGTTTTCTTTAGATCTGTCAATATGATGAACTACATTAATAGAGTTTCTAATATGAACAGTTAGGACTCCATTTGGTGATAATATTGTGGTGGTTGTTTTTAATGAGCTCCTGAATTCAGTTTGCTAATACATTATTTAGAATATTTACATTATTATTTATAGTATGATTAGTCTCTAGTTAGTGTGATCAAATACTATTATTTACATGATTATACTTTTTAGAATTTATGAAAGATTTTAATTGGGCCAGTCTTTGAAAGGATGGTGTATTCTTTATTTTCAGGTTATAGGGTTTATAATATATTAATCATTTGTATTATATCAATTCTGATACTTAAGTCATTCTAGCCTTATTTACTTTTTGTCCACCTGATAAGTTGTGTACCAGACAGATGAACCAAAGTCTCCCAAGATTAATGTGATTGTATTTACTTCTCCTTATACCTCCTGTAATTTTTGCTCTATGAATGTCATTTCCATATTATTTGGTGCTAATTTAATCATTATATCTTCACTATGAATTGCACACTTTGGCATTATCAAGTACTATTCTTTGTTTTATTTAATACTATTTGTTCTGAATTTCACACGGTCTGGCATAAAGATTGACTTCTGCTTTATATTATTGTTTTTGTTTTGTAGATACATGACCATCCTTTTATTTTCAGCCCTTGTGAATCACTTTATCTTAGATTTTCCTTTGTGTTTGGCTTACAGTTGGGTTTTGCTTCATGATTCAATGTGTAAATGTTTTCCTTTAGATAGGTAAATCAAGGCAACTTGCATTTACTGGTATGACAGAAATATTGGTCTTTGTTCTGTTATATTAATTCATACTATGTTTCTGGTTTATAACTTTTAAAACATCTGTTACTACATGGTCTGTTTGCTTTGCCTGCTTATTGTATTTAGCATGGAGTTTTCCTGGTATTTGGGGAGGTTTACATTTTTATTTTAGTATTTTTATAATTATGTCTTTATATAATACCGTTATTCCTAATCTTCAGATATTATCCATTAGTTTCCTTTTATGAACAATGATAAAGGTGGTTTGTTTACTATTCTTTCCTCATTTCTCTTTCTTTCCCCAATTTTAGTTAATTATCTTTCTTATTGTTTTCTAAAGTTATAATGATTATAAGTCAGTTTTAAATAATAGCATTTGACTCCTGGCTATTGCAGACGAAAGAGCTTTCCATTCTACTCACATTTTTCTCCAATTTTTTATAAGTTGAGTTCTCCTTGTCAGGCACATAAAATTTACACTGTATTTCTTCATCATAAACTGCACTTTGCATTAGTCTTAATTGTACAGTTACATATTTTCAATAATCACTAACAGTCATTTTGCCATAGCTTCCCTAGTTGTTTATTGATTGGCAAAAGTTTTTCTTCAAGTAGTTTCCTTGAGAAGTGTCCATGAGAACAGTATTCCACAAATTATTGTGTATTTAAAATCATCTGTAATTTTTATTCCTGAGGAACAGTTTGGCTGGGTATAGAATTCTTGATTCACCCTTTCTTCAGAGAATATTTTGTAAACATTGCTTTTGTTTCTGGTATTGATAATTGCTGTGAAAAAACCTGATTCCAATATGATTTCCTTTCTTTATAAGTAACTTGACATTTTTGCCTCGTTGTCTAATTCTTTATTGTAAGCATTAAGTAATTTTATTAGTATATGACTACTGATTATTTTGGGTCAGTTTTTTTCTGTCCTAGCACAGTGTATCTTTGTGATACAGAAATTCAAATCTATATTTTAAGAAAATTTTCTTAAATTGTAACTTTAAATATTCGTTTGTTAAAATGTTGTATTTTCCTTTTTGGGTACTCCCTGTATGCAAATATTGGATCTTCTTTGTCAGTTTTTCAGTTCTGTTTTTTGTCGAATACTTTTTTTTTTTTTTTGAGACAGAGTCTTGCTCTTGTCACCCAGGCTGGAGTGCAATGGCGCGATCTCAACTCACTGCAACCTCTGCCTCCTGGATTCAAGTGATTTTCCTGTCCCAGCCTCCCAAGCAGCTGGGATTACAGGCATCCACCACCATGACCGGCTAATTTTTGTATTTTTAGTAGAGATGGGGTTTTTCCATCTTGGCTAGGCTGGTCTCGAACTCCTGACCTCTGGAGATCTGCCTTCCTTGGCCTCCCAAAGTGGTGGGATTAAAGGCGTGGGCCACCATGTCTGGCCTGTCAAATACTTCTTTGATCTTTATTCCTATTCATTTTGTTTGCTTTCTTATCTGTACATCTCTTACTATACTTTTTGCTATGTCTGTTCTACTTGCTAAGTGCAATTTTATATTAATTTCTGTTTGATTTAAACATTCTACTTCCTTCCTAACTGTAGCAACATGAGTGGAACTGGTGGAGAAGGAGTCAGGCATGCAGAAAGGTGGTACGGTGGTACCAGGAAACAGAATGGTAGAAGATGAGTTTGAAGAGTCAGGCAGGAGCTAGATCATGTAAGCCTTATGTCATGGAAGGAGTTTGAACTCTCTTCCAAGTGTGATGGAGAGTCACTGAAAGTTGTTAAGCAAAAGAATGACTCCATCTGATGTGTTGATATGATTACTCTGACTTTTGTGTAGAGAATAGATTGTACGGAGGTGACAGTAGAAGGAAGATCTATTAGGAAGCTACTAAAGTAATCCCAGTGGCTTGGCCATATTAGTGGTGGAAGAGTTGGTGAGAAATGATCAGATAACAATTTTTCTTTTCTTTCTTATGCCATGAGTTACAGCAAATTAACCTATATTTGTTTAAATTTGCATGTGTATTTATGAGTACCTTTTCATCAGAAATGTATGTTGCCTGTTCAGATATAATTTATTCATTTAGCTAACATTTATTGATGACTTAGCACCAGCATAGTTCTAGGAAGTAACAATACAGTGATAAATAAAAACAGATGCAGTCCCTGCCTTTAAGAACCTGTATTTCAACAGATGAAAATAACAATAAGATAATAAAACAGTTAATATTAAGTAATTACATATTCAGGTAATGTTCAGAACTCTTTCCACATGATATCTCATTTATTCATCACAACCCTGTGAGGCTGATATTATTATAACCTTTATCTTACAGGTGAAGATATTGAGGATAATAGTGGTTAAGTACTTGTCCAAGTTCCCATAGCTAGCAAATGGTGGGGCCAGATTTTAGTCTAGATTAAGAAAGTGAGCAAATACATCAGGACTATAATGAAACATAGTAGAGAAAATGCGGTAATCAGGAAAAACCTTTCTGACCAGGTACAGTTGAGCCAAGACCTAGTACATGTATGAGAGCCATCCACACAAGAGCTGGGGAAAAGCATTTCCAGAAAGAGCTAATAATAAGCATGAAGATTTGAGACCAGAATAAACTTGATAAGTGAGGAACAGAAAGGAGGTTTGGATGGTTGGAGGGTGGGCAAGAGGGAAAATGGTACAAGACAAGACTAGAGATCCAGCAATGGACTGTAAAGGTGTGATGAAATGGGAGAGAAGACCAGTTAGGAGGCTATTGCAGGAGTCCATCTAGGAGACCATGGCTTGGATTAGACGGTGGCAGTGGAGGTACACAGAAGTGGATGGATGGTTTTGAAATAAGTTCTAGAGGTTAAATTAACAGTACTTGCTAATGGACCTGATAAGGTGATTAAGAGAAAGGAAGTAGTCAAAGATAATTCATAGTGGAAATGTGTAAGAATATCTGAACATAAACCTATAGCATGATTTTAAGTCAAAAGAATTCAGCATTTAACATTTGGATTAATATGGTGGGAATGAACGTGGAGTCAGATCAGGATTAATGAAAGACACAAAAAACTTGGATTCCTTGTTCTCATGAAGTTTACAAAATGATGGTAGATTACATTTTCTATTATGCTGTAATACCTAGGTATAATTTTCCCTCATTTTTCAGATGGTGTCCTGAGGCATAGAATGCATAAATGATTTGTCCAATGTCATATGAAATGATAGGGCCTAGATTCTAATGTTTATATTTATTCCATTACTTCATGTTGATTATGCAATATCCAGATATGGACCTAGATAGCTATCCATATACATTGATGTAGATAATCTAGGAAATTGAAACTTTACCTATCGGGGTGCTTTTGAATTTTTTCTTTGTTCGCTCCTGTTTAATTAAAATTGATATTTAAATTTGGCATTTGCAATTACAGGATGCTGATAACAACATTCTCAATTAGGACTGAAGAAGTGTGTCTAACACTCTGGAAAACACACCTCCTAACCGCCAAAGTGCCTGAGTTTATGTAAAATAGAGAGATTTTCTTCGCTGTCAGGTTTTCTGCCTCTCACTTCACTCCCACAGCTGTGTTTGAATATTCAGAAGCAAGGTTGGAGGGAGGAGTCAATTATTTTGGGTGGGCGACTATACCTGAGCTTTTTATTCAGTGGTGAGGGCAAAACACCGTGTAAGTAAAAACAGAGATTTCTGAAATGTTTGAGTTACTATTCTGAAACTTCCAATAGAAAATACACTTATAATGAATTATCTTAAATTAAATTTTAATAGCCTCTAAATTGTATATAAAGTACTAGCACAGAAGCAGTCTTCTGTGCAGATAAACATCATTAGTGTGTAAGTAGGGAAACTTCTCTGACTTCTATTTCCCTCTGGGTTTTCTAACATCTCTGTGGATTCTTTAATGCCTAATGCAAATGCCAAATATGCTTTTCTTCTGGACTCCCCTAGTGGGCCCCCTGTGTTAATAGCTAGCTTTTGACTTGTCACTCCTGAGAAAAAACAAAAGTGCTAGTTCTTTGCTGAGGTGAAACCTTACTGCCATCTGCACACGCTCATTCTGGCAGTTCCTCGTGATCCTTCAGCTCACAGGAAATCCTTAGAGGAATGAAAAGGACAGGCCCACCCCCACAGCAGAGCAAGTTCCCAGCTTAGTCACATCAGTGGGATGAAGGCTGACACGGTGTATTGACAGGTCAGTTTAATACCCAAGTGCTCCTGCAAACTGGCGCATGGCTGCTTGGAAGCCTGGCATGCCCCCAGATGGCAAGGAATTTTGGCTCCTCAACTTGTTCTTCTGCTTGGAGTGGAAGGTTCCCTCTATCCACTCAACCCTTCTGGATTAAGCAAAGCATTTGAGGGGGTTGGGGGAGAACGCAGAGACTTCCCTTGACCACCTGGATTCTGAAAGGGCCATTACAGGAACGTGGTCCTGTGGTCAGCGCACTTTTACCACCACGCCAGTCTAAATGACCACACCCTGAGTGGGCTGGTCCCAGAGCAGCTGTTTAGACTGCTTGTGTGGTCATACCAACCCTCAATAAGAGACAGCCTGCCAAACCCCAGGAAACTTGGAGTTTAGGTCAGCTTAATGCTTTCCCATTAGGCCCTGGGAAGGAAGAAGGTGTAGAGTGACAGGCATTCAGGGCGGCCAGTGTAACTCTGGTTCAGACATTTTCTGTTTTTGCTGGATTGGTTTTCTGAACAACTGCTTTCTATTTTTGTTTCAAATCTGTTTTATCTTCAAGACAAAATAGGGTATATTACGTAAATAAATAAAACCTTTCCACTGAAGAAAGTCTACAAATACATTAACACATCTTGATTTTCACATATAGTTCATGTAGAGTGCCCTACAGTAGTCCAGCACCTGTTTTCAAGTTGGAAATTCTCATTTCGAGAATTGAGAGCTCAGAGCATGATCTTTTGGTATCAGACAGACCCATGCACTTGATGCTTGCTGTGCCTCTTACGCTGTGATCTTGGGGGAATTAGTGAATTTCTTGAAGCCTTAGTTTTCTCATCTGGAGAATGGATGCAATTATTATACAGTACTAGGCACACTGAATTGTTGAGGGACTAATTGAGGTCATGCATATAAAATACTTAACATGGTGCCAGGCGCATAAAAGGCTGTAAGTAAATGCCAGCAGTGATGTTGTTATTGAAGCTGCTAACACCAGTGCTACACTGAGTTTTTACCCATTTGTATAAGTTGAAAACCATTGAGAGAGCACAGACTATTCAATGATTGAGCCTATGAGATTTTGGTCATTAGGCCAATTTAAAAAAGGGAAAAATATATAATGATCAATGAATATGTAATGTTCTTCATAGACCCATTTATAATGCTGCAAATGGATTCAAGGTACTTTTTTGGTAAAATACTCAAAAGTATGAAAATTACTTTTCTTTTCAGGCCCACCTTAAGTTCTTTTCAGGCCCAAATCAGTTGCGTTGTGTGTGGGTGGGGGGGTGGAGGTATGTTTTGCTTTACTGATATTGTGAACTTCTTTTCCTTGTAGTTTATTTAGACTGATGACTCTGAAGAAGAGGTATGCTGCATATAAATATGTGGTTCTCACACATGGGTAGAATAGTGTACGACTGTCACATGATTGCAGTTTTCAGGATGATTTTATTGTCAATAACAAGGAGTGCCTTCTCACTGTGCCACAATGAGCACTGTTGAAATTTAAGAGGAATTTATAGAATAACAATTAATTTTTATATTGGTTAGGGAAAAATCTACTTGGTGCTTGAAAATTTAAGGTCATGATAATTTATTGCATCTTATGATATCAAGTTGACCACTTACTAAACTTTTTACTAGAAACAAATCCTTTATATCTTTTTTGGTATTTCTGTAGATAACATACTTTTTTGAATCCTCTGTGAACATTCAGAATTAGAAATGTAGCCAAAAGACTGAAAAACTGGCATTGAAAAAGTAGCTTCTTTGGAAATGGAATAAAAGCAAAGTTATCCATATCAACCTTGGTACCTCACTTTGCAGGAGCTGATAAAATTCTCTTTCCTTTGGCTGCAATTTATCTCTTGCTAGTTGTACAATACCAGATTGGTATCTTTGCTCTCTAAGAAACCCTATCTTGGTTCCCAAGTGCTTTATTGGTACGGATCTATTCTGACTTTGGCATATTGCCAACCAGTTTGACATATTCAAGAGTCTGAGTGAAAATATTCTAGGAACATTGGGAGATGTTTTAATTGCCTAAGATCCACTAGTAGGCATTTCAGAATGTCTCCTAGCTTTTGATTACTGACCAAATCAGGAATTAATGATCTGCCATTTTCCACATTATTACTTACAAATTAAGAATTGACATTTTATGCTAATATATTCCTGATAAACTTTGCCAGTTATTTTTCTTTCTAACAAATCAAAAATACATTTTCAATTAAATAATGACTTGAAGATGGGAACTACCAACCCACAGACCTAGGTAGCTGGGGTTTGTCTTTGTTGCTGTTATTCAGAGGCAAAAAGACTTGTTAGGGTGTTTGTTGAGAAGGATGTAACTATGACACTTTTGGCTCAGTCTACCATTACAATTACTAATGAGAGTTTTGGGGCGTGGGGAGCAAGCCTAAGATTGTCCTTAAGTAACAGGACAAGAAGCCTTCAAATGGTGGTGTTGGGGGTCAGAGTTGAGGATATAAAAATAATTCAGCACAAATTATATTTTATGATCTTCCTTGTTGCCTTTCCTTGCCTGAAATTTTGTAAAGATGATATCAGATTTAACTGAACTTTAAGGCAGCCTAAAGGGGGGGAAGATAAATTACATATATGAATGAATATGACCAGCCTTTCCTTCATACTCCCAGAGCTTCTTAAAAAAAAACCATGTGCTTCACTGTAACATATTTCACTTTACAATTGGGCATGTTTACATTTAAAAAATTGTAAATTCAAGAGGGTAGAGCATGGCCTCATTTGTTTTTGCCTCCCATCTATGCCCAGGAGGGGTTTGTTGACTGTGTAGGAGTTAAGGGGGCAGTACCATACCTTTACCTTGGTCATGGTAGAAGTTATAGGATTATGATCACGTTCTCCATATAAAAATACCCACCACATATCTGCAACCCCTCTCTCCTATTCATCAGGCATTGCTTCCCCAACTCCCTTCTCCACATGTATCAGGGCATTTTGCATCCTCGAATGTGTTGTTTCACATGTATTCATCCACATTTGCCATATTTTAGTGGAGCAGACACCAAGATTTAGGGCAAGGGTTGAAACTTACGGCTTGTATAAGATAAACTGTAATAGGACAATTAATATGTTCCAGACAAGATAAAGGAAAATCAGCTTTGCCAAAGATTGATTGATAAAGCAAGTAAGAGAGGAGATCCAGTTAGAGAAACATAGAAACAGAAAAACCCTAAGATATAGAGAAGCAAAGGCAGAAATGGAGACACATTCGTGTGCGTGCATGTGCACATGGACACACACACACTCACACCAGCATTCTATGCCAGAGCTGAATCTTCATGAGCATTTTCCTTAACTTAGCCTCTTCATGTTTACTTTTTACGCTAGCCTTTAAAAATTGAGATATCTGACTTATGCTCTTTTTGCAGGAATGTTTTTAAAGATTATTTATTTAAAAAATAAAGACCTGCAAAACACTGAGAGATCCTCATAGACAGTAATCATATCTGTCACATATAAAGCATGTACTTATATTTATTATTATAAGTGTTATCTATAATAAGTGTTATATATTCTAAGTTTTTTATAAGTTTATAGATCGTGTATGGGAGGAAAACATCTAGAAAGAGTCTGGTCACTTCTATGTCAAATAAGCAACCACCAGCTGCTGGATAAACTGCTTTTTTATTCTTTTAGGCTCCTTCCAACCCCAGCTATTTCCTCTGACCCTTTCTTTTTAAATTTTTTTTTTAAATGACGGAAGTGAGGGTAGGAGGAGGCCAGATCAAAAAAGGAAAAAGTTCTTTTCATGATATAGACTTACAAGTAATACATCTTTTTATAAAACTGTTTATTTAAGGATAAAAGGGCTCATGGACATCTATGAAATGTAAATCTCGCATAAATGAATAAACAATGACATGTGGCTGCTCTGGCCAGGCGTATCATCATATGTAATGGAAAAAGAAATCCTATTGTTTGGAAATAGGTCTTTATATGTGATTTTAAAGATTTAACAAGTACTTATTCATAGGAAGGAAATGTTAGAATTCATTTTAGAAATTTTATTTTAATCAAATTTATAATTGATCACTTTTTGTCATATTAAAACACAAATATTTGATTGGAAAAAAGGAACATGTGACCAAATACACAAACAGCAGTAAATCCTGTAATGCAAACACTAATAAAACTATTACTACATATTTAATCTTTCCTAGGTAATTGCCAAATAATCTTCATTTTAAATGCTTTAAGACTGTCATTCTGTAAATCAGACTCTCTCCAACTCTAATTTGAAGTGATCCTTCTACTGCTATCAAGGAGTAACAGTTTCTAAATGTCCTCTTCAAACATTTGGTGAAGGAGAAGCAAGTTTCTATGTGTGTTACTTAGAAGTGGTAAGAAAACTCAACTGCAGCACTTAGGGAAGCAGAGGCAGGCAGATCACTTGAGGTCAGGAGTTCGAGAACCCGGGAGGCGGAGGTTGCAGTGAGTAGAGATCGCACCACTGCACTCCAGCCTACGCGACAGAGCAAGACTCTGTCTCAGAAAAAGAAAAGAAAAGAAAACTCAACTGGAATGGATTGAAATATAACTTATAATTGATTATGGTTTTTAAAGTGAATGAAAATAAGTCAAATTAGGGATTTTCCTAAGAGTTACAAAGCAATTACTGATATTAGGATATAACCTTGGAAGTCAGTCCAGTTTCAACTTGACTCTCTCTCACTGCATCATCTTTATTACTGATCAGTTAATAGTTAATTCACATTAATAATCCTGGGAAGGAAGCACTGAAGTGTCTTCCACCCTCACACACTTACACACACACTCACACTTACTGAAAGTCATTGGTTCAAATATATACAGTGCAGTACTCTTCAATTTAAGGTCCAGAAGTTGTTAAGTTTGAAAAGTACTGCACTATTCTAAGACTATAAAAGAGTGTTAAAAGGAAAAACAGTGGCTTTTGTAATTAGAAAGGCTTTATGAACAAGGATATTTAAATAAAAAATTCCGGATATATGTAAATGTACCAGGACATGCCCTCTACAAGCATTGAGGTTTTTCTGGTTTCAATTCAAACTTCTGATTTACAAAGTAAGATATAAGCAGAAGTAGTAGCAGTATCAAGAGCTGTCACTTTTGGGGGGCTTACTACTTAATCTTCCTTGTACAAATTCCATGTAATTTTCACATTATGCCTGTGAATTTAGGGTTATTAATCTGATTTTATAGATAGAGTCATGAATCCAAAAAGGAGCAGAGCCGAATTTGAACTAAGCTCTACTTCACTCAAAGTCAGTGTTTGGTTTCAGAATTGTGTCTCTAAAACAGCACAGGCAGTTATGCCCTATTTACTGGAATATTTGTGTTTTAGCCAAGTTTGCTATAAAGTACACTTTTTTCTGAAAGCAGAACTCCATTTTGCCAATGGTTTATATTATACAATCTGAGACTGTTTACCAGTATACAAGTTTTATAAGGGCTGGGACATGTGTGTTTTTTTCATTGCAGACACAGTACCTGGCAGATAGGGGGTATTTAATAAATACCCATTGACTGAATTAAGTGGGGTAAAAATTATCTTGTAGATAATAGAAGCATGCTTAAGGGTTCAGAAAAAACTTAGCATGCATTTTAGGTTAAAGAGAAAATTTCTAATGAAAGCAATATTACTCAAATATGGTTACATGTTCAAAATATTAGTAAAATTTGACCGATTCTCCAAATTCTAGGAGATACAGTGAATTTTTGACCAGTTTTAAGTTCTGTTACATTAATTTTGACTCAATGTTATATACTCATGCTACATGCAGTTTGGTAATAATTTATTCATATCCATGTTAAGTACTCATATTTTTCCAAACATGAACTTCTCTATTTTTTTTATTTCTTATTCTAGCAGACATAAGAAAAAAAAATGAAAGGGAATAAAAGCAGAACACAGGGTGTGTGACAATCACTTCTTTTGTTCACACTAGTGAGAGAATCTTTCTATTCCTTAAAGTTAATCAAGCAGCAAGTATTTATTAAACACCCAAAGAGTGAAGTACACAAGGCTATTGAATAGCAGTAATCTTTAGGATTATCTTGTGTCAGCGCTTATTTTCCATGTTACTCATAAACGGAGAAATGTATTTATGATGGCTTTCCAAAGAGTTGATTAAAATGCTTAACACGATTCACCTTTTATTTAAAGATAAAATAATTGAATGGGGAATTCATGAAGAGCTCTTCTCAAATTTATATTATATAAGTGATGAGTATGCTGATTTTTACTCTCAGAACGAAAATAAATAAGAAATTATTAAAGAATCCCTTCCTTTAAAAATCAGATTACTATGTAAATTTTATATCATTTGTTTATGTGGTCAGAAATTTTGGGGAAATCCTTCAAACTATTTATCTGTAGCACAAACTAGAATCTGTCTTTTGCAGATTCTTATTGTGCACTAACTTATTAAAAGATTTGGGAAAATCCACTGTAAGGAAACTTGTTTATCTTTGTTGACCACAGTTTTCAATCTTGGTTGATGATGAGGTCTCCTGTCACCCAACACCTATGAACGTATTTGGGAGTGGGATACTCTGGCTGTACTCAGAAGAGCCATGGGGGTGGAGTTCCCTAGAGTCTTGGGGACAAATCCTCACAGGATGTCCTGCTAGGAACATGACCAGCAGAGTCATGGGAGTGGGGAATCTTATTGTTGAAGATCTCTGAGATCTTAAAACGGTAGAGCCTCCAGAATGCTGTTTCAGCCTGGCAGAGCTGAAGGCATTTGACTCAAACATATGCGAGCTATTGCATAGGCTGCACTCGGAAGAGCCATGGGGGTGGAGTCCCCTAGAGTCTTGGGGACACAAGCCTCACAGGATGTGGTCAAAGAAGGTTGTTTTCAGGCCTCAAGATTTAATGTTATTTGCCTGTTGGGTGTTAGACTTACTTGGGACCTATTACCCGTTTCTTCTTTCTTACTTCTCCCTTCAGAGATGGAAATAATATCTGTTTTGTACCTGTCCTACCATTATATTTTGGAATCATAGAACTTGTTTGATTTCATAGGTTCACAGCTTGAGAACAATTTATCTCAGGATGAGTCATACCTTGAATCTCACCTATATATGATTTAGGTGATATTTAGATTAGATGTTAGACTTAGACTTAAAGTTTATGCTGGAATGAGTTAAGACTTTTGGGGCTATTAGGATAGAATGAATTTATTTTTTATGTGAGAATAACATGAATTTTGGGGGATGAGGGGCAGCATGCTATAGTTTGAGTATTTGTGTCACCTCCAAAATTCAGTTTGAAAGTTAATCTCCAATGCAACAATCTTAAGGGGTGAGGCCATTAGTAGGTGATTAGGTCATGAGGGCTCTGCCACGTGAGAACAGGGTTCAAAGTGCCATTTTGGAAGCAGAGACCAGGCCCTCACCAGACACTGAACCTGTCAGTGCCTTGATTTTAGACTTTCCAGGCTGTGGGTCCATGAAAAAAAATTATGTTCCTTATAGATTACCCAATATCAGACATTTTGTTATGGCAGCACCAACAGACTAAGAGAGAAATGAAGTCAGGAAAAACCACTGACATATTAGAACATGGCAGAGGGAAGGACCGGCAAGTTATCGTAAGCACCTTAGAATTTGCCATTTAAAGAGATGGTAGATGTCCACCATCCTGCCCTTGTGCAGTGGGGATATAGGATGCAAAGGAGGATGAACCTCAGCTCCCTACTCATTTAGACTTGCTCATCTGATAAATAGGAGACTACTTCACTTAATGGCTTTCTTCTTCTGGAATGCTGCTGGAGTCAAACAAGAGTGATCAGCACATATTTTTTGACAATTCTTTTTCCACCATGCCCTAGATGAGTATCCCACTCCCAAATATGTTCATAGGTGTTGGGTGAAAGGAGGTTCCATCATCAACCAAGACTGAAAACAGTGGTCAACAAAGATAAACAAGTTTCCTTCCAGTGGATTTTCCCAGATCTTTTAATAAGTTAGTGCACAATAAGAATTTGCAAGAGAGATAAAGTTTGAAGCATTTCCTCAAAATTTCTGACCACAGTCTCTGTATAAGTCAGGGTTCTGTCTGTTTTTAAGTAACAGAAATCCAGCTCTGACAGGCAAAGGCCATAAAGAGAGCTTAGTGGCTCATAGAACTAAGAAGCCCAGGCATGGTTGAATTCTGAGGCCTCAAATGATGTCACCAGGGCCTGTCTCCCTCAGTCTCTTGGGCTCAGCTTTCCTCTGAGTTAGTTTCATTCTCACACAATCTTTCCTTATGTGTTGATCCTTGGCAGCTCCAGGCTTACATCATTTTTAAATCTACAAATTCCACTTGGGAAAAATACCTACTAGAGAATGGAACTTTTCTGAAGTGAATCATTTTTGAATTTAGAGATATTTAAATTGATTGGCTTCCCAATTCCCTGACATTCACCCTACTCCAAGTTAGTGCTTTATAATTTACACAATGTGTTTTTTTTTTATTACTTCCGAAGTCATAACCCAAAGTGGGTACCTTGGGTTAATGAAATAGGTTATGGATACATTGAGGTGAACATATAATTTTACAAACTCTATAGTATAGTACTTAAAATAAACCCTTAAAATATCTTAAGCTATTACTCTATAACCACTGACTATGAACCAATTTCTATTGAATTTTGTTAGAAAACTCCAGAAAATATATACCTATTTGAAAATTTTTAGTAGTTTTCAACTTATTGAAAATTTATGAGTAGACTCCAAATATATTTCATTGAATCACAGGATTCTTCATTAGTTTCTCAAATTGGTACTAAATCATCAGCATCACAACACTGGAAGGAACTGGTGAGTAGTCAATATGAAAGAGGTTTCACTTTAATTGGCCAACTAGTAGTTATTTTCATTTTGAAATGTATAATGATAATGACTTTATTTTTACATATGGGTTATTTTGGGGGATTTTGAATTTTTCAACCTAAGGAAATTGTTCTGTCAAGTTACAAATTGAATTCCCCAGTGAATGCTCATTTCTCTTCCTATGTATTTATTGTGTCCTTCTGGCCAGCTAGGAAAAGAACCATAATGAAAGCAAAATCATTTGGGAGTTTTATAGCTGGAATCTCCAACACTTTTGTCAGTATATCTTATGATACTACTTGGTAGTCACTGATGACAATTTCTTGAGAGATTTCAAGGTTCTTCAGCAGTTTCTAAATTATTAAAAGGAGGTCATCTATGCCTAACAATAAAACAACTAAATATTATTTATTTCATTGCTTCTAAAACTTGTTATTCACATAAAACATGTATGTATACTTCGGATTACTTGATTAAGCAGAACAGTCTGCAAGACAATAGAGTTCGCAATGAATTTCTTTGTGTCAAGCCTTTTGAATAAAATGCGTAAACTTTCTTCCACATTAAAGACCCTTTTAGGTAAGAGTGAACATTAATTGCCAAGGCTCTATTCAGATAATCTCATTGAATCTTCAGAATGACTTTATGAAAGGGGTAGCATTTTTTTAACCCCAGTTTTACACAGGAGGAAATTGAGACATAAAGAAGTCAAGTAACTAACATTACACAGTTTGTACATGGCATAGTTGGCTAGGCAGTCCAACTCCAGACCACTGATATTAAACACTGTTAATATAATGATTGTGTGTTTTACCTTTGAGCAGATCACTTGACAATATTACTTAAGGCACAACAATCATGGAAACTTTCAGATTTGCCTCAAAGGTAGGAGAACCCTACACACACATACACACACACGCACGCACACACACACGCACGCACACACACACACACACACAAAGGATTGCCTGATGGTTTACCACATTTTGGTTACTGCATGCCTTTTATTTTCTTGACTTGGGTTAAAAAGACTTTAACAAAGCTCTTATAAATAAGATACCAAGTAAACAAAAATCTCATATTTGTACTGTTACTCTAATAAGCTTAATAACAATAATCTACAAACATCTGCAATCATAAAATAAAAACTTCATTACCATTTCAATGCAGTCACTACAAATCCTCAGGTTAGCCAGTACACCAGCTGTGTCCTGGTGCTTCACAACACAAAACAGCAATTCATTCCAAATTACCACTCTCTGTTAGTGACTCTTGCTCACTGGCTCCCATCCCAAATACTCCTGCTGTTCAGGTCCATTGTTTCCCCTCACTGGAAGCCTTTTATTTCCTGGGAAAGATTAAAGGATTGTCTCTATGAAAAACTAGGCTAATCTTCTAACTTTTGATTTCCCACTATTTGTCCTCCAACATATTGGATGTACTCAGCTTTTCTTTTCCTCCATCCAGTGGCATTTAATATACTTTTCTGGAAAGTGTTTAGAATTCTTCACCCAAAGAATAAAATTGAAGGAGTTAACAAAGCTTATGCTAGTTTCTGGCTTTGTAAAATAAACTAGTCCAAGATTCAGATAATGAGCTTTGATCTCCCTATAGGAGCTTTGAGTTGAGAAAACTCCCTTTCCATCATTCCTGCCGTGGGCCTCTAAATCATGAAATTCCATATCAAATTACAGAGAGCTTCCCTCTGAGAGTTTATGGCCTTGGAACAGCCAGTTAAAAACCAGACTGGTGGAAAATGCAGGATAGTCTTTGAGCCACATGCAACATGTATACCAGCTTATAGAAATTTTATACTCCTTAAGAGATCATACTTAACAGGCAGTTTATTTTTATGCTGCAAAATACTTATCTATTCCTTTTCATTTGGAGCTTAAACTTTTTTGCAATCCAGAACACAATTGAAGAGAGGGAATAAGAGGATATTTGATCTTAGCCCAACTGATGATATATAAGATCTCAGAGAAACATTGGCTTTCGGATTTAACTACTTTAGTGCAAAAACGTAGCCAAGAAATTTGTTTCTTCTGAGGATGTAGAATGCAAGTCTATTAACTGTCAAAATAGAAGTCATTTAAATATTTCTTTTATTTACCATTTCTAATCAGGTGTTAGATAATATTGGGAGAAGTATTTTTTTTGGTATTATCTTCTGTTATGTTGTCATAACCCATTACCTTGTGTAGATGAACTCACACTGTTTTCCCAGGGACCCTGGGGATCAGCTTATAAAAGCCTCTTCAGATCTTAATCTGGGAGCCTTTTATGAGGGGGTGAATACCCTGTTGGATCTGGGAGCTTACTTTGGAGTCCATTTTCCTCTTGGACTATAGTAGCTGATTGAACCTGAGGTTAACCCTAATAGCATGCACCACAGATGTCTTAACTCTTTGAGGATGTATCTATTTTGACACTGTCAATGAAAGAGGACTGCTCTGCCTGCTAACATAGAATGGAACTCTGCTGAGATAAAATGTGGCAGCCATTCAGGACACCACACATACTTTTCTAAGCAGCCTTCTATATGAATAAATGTTGTTATTACATGGCAAATTTACAAAGGCAGAAGGTAAGAGGGTAGAAGAATTTGTCTGCAGAGTTTTATTATATATTACAGAGATAGCTATTGGGGGAAAAATTGGTGATAAACATGGTAATGGCTCATTTTCTTAGATGGAGCTCATTAATCTTATCAACGATGGCCTCTTTTAAATCCTGACAAGAAATTTTCTGCAAGGAAGTATAGACATTGTGATATGAGGAATGTAAATGGGACACTCTGTAAAGCTGATTGACTTTAAACACACAAGCTAAGGATGAGCTGATGTCTTATGGGTCCTGTTTCTCCATCAGTATTTCTATGTAATCTTTTGTTTGGCAGCTAGCAGACACTACTTGATGTATTTTTCAAGACAGAAAAATATAGTGACACCTGTTTATGGAGTTCACCCACAGATCCACACATTGTGGACTGTTTTGACAACTGGTTTCTAAAAGTAGATTTAAGACAAATGTAGGCATTCTTTGGCATAATTAAACTCATCACAGAATGCCTACATGATCAACTTCTGGTACCTGAATGCCTATTTTAGGAGATCCCAATGGGTAAGTTGTAGTAATTTTGGAGACATCTATGAGGCTGCTATTAATTCTTAGATGATAGATTTCCATTATGAATGTGAACTCTCAGAAATGAGATTCAACTTAAAGAACTGAAATCATTTATTATGAAAGCACTACAGAGAACCCGGTTTAATCATTCCAATATACTGTATTATAAAACACGGTTGAAAATTCACCGTACTAGCATAGATGGTTTGCATAGACCAGGTTCAAAGTGCACCATTCTTTAAAGGGAATAGGAAAGTTTACCGATCACACCAGTGGTCTGTGCACATCTGTGTCTGAGTGTGATATGAAAGGTCAGATTCTTGGAGGCAGGAAAACTTGGAACAGGGAGTCAGTCATGAAATTTGGTGGCTCCACTGTAGTCCCAGCTACTCAGGAGGCTGAGGCAGGAGAATGGCGTGAACCCGGGAGGCAGAGCTTGCAGTGAGCCGAGATCACGCCACTGCACTCCAGCCTGGGCGACAGAGCGAGACTCCATCTCAAAAAAAAAAAAAAAAGAAAGAAATTTGGTGGCTCCAATTTTTTACAGGGTGTGACAATCAGTACCTGTGTAGACACAGAATAGAAATAGTGGGTAGCTGGATAACTCTTGTTGAGATAGAACATTGAATTAAAAACTATTGGCCTCTTAGAAAAGAGGCAGAAGCCTCAATCAAATTTTTGACTATATATATGTGTGTGTATGTGTGTATGTATATATGTGTATATAAAGACACACACACATCTTTATATACACATATATACATACATACACACATACATATATATATAAACCCCCACATATACATATACAAAGAGATATAACATTTCCTTTGAAAATGTCTATATACTTGAACTATACTAATCATCTACATGTGCATGGCAATATTGTAGGAATCTTGTATAGCATACCTACCAAATAAAATCTATACTACTGAGAACTATGCATTTTAATTCAGAAAACAGGATACTGTTAGACATAAAAGTGAGTGAGAGAAAAGATCCTTTTGGAAAACAAACCTTGATTAAATAAGCAAATAATATTAATGTTTTATACAAGATAGGATGAGATTCAAATTTCTTGTTTTTTTTTTTTTTTTTTTTTGGTAATGGCTATGTCTTTCTATAGTTTGATGCTTGTTTCATCCTTTCCTTTTCTTTCTTCACATGCTATCTTGTCTTATATCCTTAAAATTGGTGAAAGATCTTCTGAACACTTTTCATTCTGACTTCTGGATAAGATTTCTTTAGAGTGATCTATTTTTTAAAGGTCAGATAAGTTACAATATTATTAAAATGCCTTTTGATTTCCAGTGATGATTCATTCTGATTTGAAAATCTTTCTCAACTTTAACTCAGGGGTAGACTAAATGAACAATTATTGTATAAAGGAAAATGTATAGATTTTAATCATCTGCCAAAGAAAATTTGGGAGTTAAGGATAAAAGCAGAACTGGAAACAAGGGGCAGAGGAAGGGGATAATTAAAACCATGCTGATTAAATTCAGTATATTGAAATATTTTAACAAAATGAGAATGATCATTCATGTCCTGAGGGAAAATTGCCATTCCATTCTAGATGAAATTCCTATTTTTGAGAAGTGCAAATTTGCTAAAGTAGTACATTCATCCAAAATTAGCTTGTAAAATGCTTGCAATAAGCAACGTCTCCAGCTCATGGTCAAATGGCATTTTGTACGAATATTCAGTAATAAGATATCTTACATAGGTTAAAGTACAATTATGAAAATGTCTTCTATTTCTTCAGGATTTCATTACCATGTTTTGCAAATTTAATATCATATCTGAGCTGATATGAGCCAAAAAATAATATATTTTTGTGCCTGGCAAGGATACTCAGCTTCTGTACTTGAGAACCAAAGGAGGTTGTCCTCAAAAATATGTGAGATTTTTTCATGGGGTGAAACACTGCTGATGCCGTGATTGATTACCAGCCACATAACTTAGCAAGTCAAATGAGAACTTTTTATTAAATACCTATGGTGTGCAAAACTCCAAATGGTAATAATTAAATTACATGATATTGGTTTAACAAAGAAGAAAATTGAAAAAAAAAGCTAGTACAGTGGGTGACACACAGTAAGAACTAAATAAATATTAGTTTTCTTCCTGACTTTTAATGGGGGAAGGAGATTGAGATAAAGAGAAGTAGAAAGAAGTTCAATATTCAAGAGAAGACCTGCTGGTTTATGTGTTCTCAATGTCAAGAATGGAGGAGCACTGACCTGTCTCCTTTCTTCCAGATCCATTGGTAAATCAAGATGCAAGTTTACGAAATGACCAGTCTGGCTTCGGGGTATGGTAAATGCAAACCTTGAGTTCTTTCATGGGAACTGAGTTCATCATCTTGTTCTCTCTAGTCCTAGATATATATTATAATATATTATATATTTATACTTATATATGTAAGTATATATTATAATATATATTTATATCTATATTTATACTTATATATATAAGTATACGTATTATAATATGTTACATATAGGACTAGAGAGAAAAAATTCATATATATATGTATATATATATATATGATTATATATATGATGAGAGAGAGTCTCACTCTATTGCCCAGGCTGGAGTGCAGTGGCACAAACATGAATTACAGCAGCCTTGAACTCCTGGGCTCAAACAATCCTCCTACCTCAGCCTCCTAATTAATTAGTACTACAGTCATGCACCACCTTGCCCAGCTATTTAAAAAAAATTTTTTTTTTGTAGAGATGGAGGTCTCGCTATGTTGCCCAAGTGATCCTCCTGCCTTGACCTCTCAAAATGCTGGGATTGTCAACATGAGCCAACCACCATGCCCAACCTCTAGTCCTGTGTTTTAATAGAGCTGGAACACAATGCAAATGAGTATCGATTTAAAAATTTTTAAATTTAACCCTTTGGTAGGCAGAACCACTGTAGTCCTCTCCCTCCTAACAATTATACCTAGGTGGCCCACTATGCTTTCATTTGGCAGAATCTGTTGGAGTATTATTTGGGCTGTTTTTACATTTATAGAGTTCAAGGTAAATCCCAAGCAGGGTTATAAATCACAGGAATTTTCAAGCCTACATGACCCTTGATTTTTAAATAGCCTCAAGATTCCCTAGGCCCCCTCGAAGTTAGATTCCAATATGGGTAATTTGAGAAATTCTCACTCTGTTCCTGCCTTGAAGAAAATTCAAAAGCAGTGAGTCAGCTTCTTGGGTCTCTTTTGGGATTGAGTCAACCAAGGGAAGGTACTTCATACGCAATGAGATGACTGCCTCAACAATAAAATCTTTGATTTGTTTTTCTTCCATATATATGGATAGATATATTTGGATAGCGTGATGGATCGTGAAGAGGTGGAGTCTTTTTCCCTTCCCTTGATACTGTGACATATTTTGGCAACAGCATGTAGTAGAAGTGATGTTGTGTAATGTTAACTCTTGGAACCCTGTGTGAATCTCAAGTAACATGGAAAGTCCGCTGGAAGGAGAATGGAGGTGTTTCAGTCAACATTACCAGCTGAACTTCCAACAACATGTGTGTGCCATCTTGGATTCTAGCTCAGTCTGGCCTCTGGAGGAGTGGCCAGGCTGATTCTGTTGCTAGCCCTAGCCAAGAGGACATGAAGCAGAAGAACTGCCTCGCTAAGCCTAGTTAACCCACATATCTTTACAGACAAAACAATCATTGTGGGTTTTCTATGCTACTAAGTTTTAGAGTGGCTTGTTACACTGATCAAAACACATAGAGACATTAACACTCTCTTAAAGTTTGCTTTGAGCCCAGTGGCACTTATTTGTAAAATGTCTGGCTTGGGGATATCTGTGCTTTTGAAACCTCTTTTCTCTAAATGTAATTATTTTGAGTGTATAAAAATAAAAGTTGGGGCTGTGGCAGCAAAAGCACCACACTTAAATCACTGGAGAAGAGGTGAAGTCAAATGTTGTGAAGACTGTGATTGGTATTGGGGAAGAGGGGTGTATATTTGTGGGAAAAGGTGGCATCAATACTATCTGGTCACTGTAACATGCCAGTACCCCCTAGGGGAAGCTCTTGGACTTCAAAATTCTGCCGAGATTTTTTGAGTTGCATGAGTAAGCCTTCATTCTTTTATTATTTTCATATTGAATTAGAAGCTTTTTTACATAAATATAATTTTCTTCAGCATCTGTTGATTTTTTTGGACCATGAAATTTAGCAGAAAATTAAAAGCATGAAGATTTACATAGCATAATGCTGAGTTATGCAAGTTTGAAATAAAACTTTATCTAATTCTGTCACAAAAATCTGTTTTTTAGAAGCATAAGGCCTGACAAGCTCTCATTACTCACATCCATATTTGTGAATGCCACCTCACTCTCCTCTCAAGATGATTCTGTTGCTCACCAGTTTGATGGGCCAGTAGAAAATGCATTTGCCAATAGCCTGGGTCAGGTGCCAGTTGCTTTTGGGTTCCTTTGACTGCCACGTCCCTTCTGGAGACGAAACATTGCTAAGGAATTAGCAGGAGTCAGGATAGAGTCAAGGTCAGGAGATAACAGACATAGCCTCAACCCTGGTGAAAATTAGCAGAGTTAACCTTGGGAGGCAGGCATTAGGTAAAAGGTCAATAATATGACTAGAACCATTCAGGCTGGTGTTGAATTTTATGGGTCCTCAGTTCTCTGTTTATTTTATGGCAGAGTAGTTATCAGGTTCCAAGAGAAGAAACTGGTTGGAAAGCTGGTAAGGTTGTTGTTTAGCTCCAAAGAAGGAAGGGTAAAAGGCCAGATCTCCAGGGTACTGTCATTTGGTGTAGGGCATTAAGCCAAGAGTTCTGGTGCTAAAGTATTAGGTAAAGAAAGGACAGGTAATAAAGGGAAGTGTTAAGTGTCAGTTCAAGGGAAGCAGGCAGAGAGCAAGAATGTAATTTGCATAAAGGGATGGCTACAGAAAGACTGATAGGTCAGGTTTGGGAAGGGAACCTTGGAAAGATTCTTGGGGGCAAACTGGTACAAGTGGTGGGAGAATTTTAAATGTGTGTATGTGTTTTTCAATAAAACCTGTGGAAAAAAGAGGAAGCACTAATAAGTACCAGAAAGATCACTGGATTAAGAATCGAGAGGCCATAGCAAAGACTTGGAACCAACCCAAATGTCCAACAATGATAGACTGGATTAAGAAAATGTGGCACATATACACCATGGAATACTATGCAGCCATAAAAAATGATGAGTTCATGTCCTTTGTAGGGACATGGATGAAGCTGGAAACCATCATTCTCAGCAAACTATTGCAAGGACAAAAAACCAAACACCGCCTGTTCTCACTCATAGGTGGGAATTGAACAATGAGAACACATGGACACAGGAAGGGGAACATCACACACCGGGGCCTGTTGTGGGGTGAGGGAGGGGGGAGGGATAGCATTTGGAGATATACCTAATGTTAAATGACAAGTTACTGGGTGCAGCACACCAACATGGCACATGTATACATATGTAACTAACCTGCACGTTGTGCACATGTACCCTAGAACTTAAAGCATAAAAAAAAAAAAAAGAATTGAGAGGCCAACAATGCAGACCTAGATTAGAGGCTAGCTAGCCAAGTGACCTTTAGTGAGTCATTTTATGCCAAGAAATCAATAGCAAAATGAAAGGACTGATTGTACCAACAATTGATTTTAGGTGTCCACTTTCTGCTAGAATATGTGCTGTGTGCCACAAAGGGGAGCCTTTGGGACAACTGGCCTATAAATTATGTATTCAAATTCTAAACAGAATCCCATCCTTGTTATTATTGGAGTTTTTCTGTATCTGAAATTTAATCTATTTGTGACTCTGTATACTTCTTTTATTTTCGTCTTGAACTTATAAGTCAGAGTTTATTTTCATGGCTGGATGGACTGTTGACTTCTAGTCTATAAGAAACCATTAGAAAATCAGATGTCTGTGGTTACTGACATTAGAAATATGGAAGCAACTCTTGTTCTCACTCTGGACCCAGATTATTGGGTGTGGGGAAGAGCTTGGGCATAGTGTCCTTGAACCATCCTTTATGAACCAAAATAAGGTAGGGCTTCATGAGTGTGGGCAGGAAATGAGGGTTTACTACTGGGGGTTCAGAGAGTATGAACTTCAACTCTGTTTCTTGATGCTCAGAGAGAAGGGATTTCTTTGAGGGCAAAAGACTATTGATCTTTTGCTAAAAGGCACAAATGTCTGCAGGGCAGAGGCCATGCTATGTTAGAGTTCCTTAGTAGCTCCTTTAAATGTGCAGGGAAGAGAGGACAATTGTTTTATATAGACTAAAAAGTATATTGCCCTACAAAAGTTATAGTATAAATCTTTGAAGTTATTTGTCCTCTGAGGGGCCAAAAGTATTCTGCTTTTCCCTCTCAAATGCTGCATAAGAGTATTCTGGGATGTGTATAATAAACAAAAATAGTAGAGTCCAGTTTCTTCTTCTCATCCATGGAGAGGATAAGAAAGTTGGCCCTAGGCACAGATAAAATTTTGCTTTTATAGTTAACAAATATACCATCAGTCTTAGCAACATATGATTCTGATTAGGTTACTTAGAATCATCCTAACATCACCACCATTGTTGCAATTCCAGTAAAGTTACTTACTTCACACCAGACCTTGTGCCTAGTACCAACATACTGTAACTCATTGAATGACCCCAGGAATGCTATAAGGTTGGTATGATAGCCCTTATTTCATAGATGAAGATTCTTCAAGTTACTGGATAAATGCAAAATATTTAACACTCAGTCCCACAAGGTCAGTGGCTGATCTGAAGTGGTGCACAGATACTCTAGTGTTAACATGTTGAAAAATTTAGCCCTCATATTCTCCTGTACTCTTTTCTTGGTTAAAACCAATTCTTTCCTCAAGTCTGTTTAAATGTTACTTCTTCAAAGAGGTATCCTAAAGGGCTGGGCTGGAGATCCCTCTGCTCTGCCCTCATAACACTGTCTCTGAGTAAAGCCAAGCACCCCTATAATAACTTATATATTTAGAGTCTGCATCCTCACCAGAGCAATAGTCTTTTAATCAGGCCTCTCATCCTATATCTCCTTGCAAAAGGGGTGAACAGATTTATTTGGCCATGGATGGGGGCATCTATCAACTATCTGCAAGTTTAGACAAGTTTAGCTAAATTTTGCGTTGTCATTATATATAGTTACAATGTAAAAATATATATATTCTCAATTATGTTGGCACTAAATCATGGCCCTTTAATTGTCATGGGTTAATAAGACTGGAACAGAGGTGAACACAAGTAAATAGTGTATATGTGTCAAGTGAAAATGTTATGTCACATTGTGCCACATAAATGAAGATTTATAGATTTATAGATATATTAAAAAGATGTGCTGGTGATAGCACAATTTGTTAGGGCAATGGAGTATGTTGTGAGTTAATACTGTTTTCAACAAAATATCATCTATTATACTTAATTAATGAGGCTAATTTGAGTTTTACTGGTGTTGAAATTGTGTATTTGTTTTATAATTCTGATACCTTTTTATAACTGTTGATATGGTTAGGCTTTGTGTCCCTGCCCAAATATCAAGTTGAATTATAATCCCCATAATCCATGCATGTCAAGGGAGAGACCAGGTGGAGGTAATTGGATCATGGAGGCGGTTTCCCCCATGCTGTTCTCAGGATAGTGAGTGAGTTCTCACGGGATCTGATGGTTTCATAAGTGGCTCTTCTCCCTTTGCTCAGCACTTCTATCTTCCTGCCACCCTGTGAAGAAGGTGCCTTGTTTCCCCTTTGCCTTCTGCTATGATTGTAAGTTTCTTGAGGCCTCCCCAGTCATGCTGAACTGTGAGTCAATTAAATCTCTTTCCTCTATAAATTACCCAGTCTCAGGCAGTTCTTTATAGCAGTGTGAAACCAGACTAACACAACCATATAAGAGCTGGATATATAATGTATTAATATTTAGTTGTATGCTAATATATTTTTATTTATCATTGTAACACAATTAATTTAGGTTAGCACTAGTTCTCTGGGAGAACTTGTTTTTTGTCCATACGAATGAGACTTACATTCTGCAAGTCTGAGCAACACTAGATGAGACAGTAATGTCCATGAAGACAGGACTTGTGTTTCTCTTGTTCACAGCTGTATCTCTACAGCTAGTAGACTGCCCACTGCCCAGCACATTCTATGATCTCAATAAATACTCAGTGAATAAATGGGAGACTAAATATTTCATCTTCTTACTGAACTCTTTCTTTTCCTAATTTGTTTTCCTATATGAATTCCATTCTCTAGGCTTCACAGTGAATCAATATTGGCCTATCTGACCTTTTTTTTTCCTTCCTGCTTACTTAATGCCATGCCCTGCATTTCATCTGTTTCTGACAGCACCCTTGGTAATTCCCAGTTTGCTATCAGTCTTTCTGGGCCAGTCTTGCAGAACTCCTAGCAAAAAATAGACATATTGCTTTATAAAATGAGTCATCTTCAGTCTCTTTTTCATACCAAACATTTTTAGAGTATTTTGTAATATGATTCAATTTTTCAAAAATTTCCAGCAACTTTCAGGAGCACACCTTAGTGTGAACATGCTTAGGACATTACAGCTGATGAAAACAGGATGTAATAACACAAGAGATTTCTTTGACACCAAGTCATTTAAACCCCAACATAAGAGATGAAACAAAATAGCCTCACTTTTAAATGTATTAATATTGAGATACATTCTCCAAATATTTTACTAGGTAACAAAATGTTAGGAGAGACATATAATAAAAGCTAGGCAATGTTTTCAAACGAAAAATGTTCTCTCCTTTACTAAGCTGCTAAAATAATCTGCACTGATATAATCACTTGTGTCTCTATAGAGATAAAAGGATGTAGAGATAAAGTCACTGAACTTGCATTAAATATTGCAAGTGTGTCACTTATTCTAGACAATTTCTTTGGGTCTCTAATTTCACAGGGTTGTTGGAAGGTTTTTTTTTTCAGCTGGAAAAGGCTATATTTATTTTACAAGTTTTGAAAATAATGGTTAAAATCATTTAATTAGCTAGCTGGTAACTCGACTTGCTACTAGCTGTTTACTTTAAAAGTAACCATCTGGGGCCCAGGCAAGGTGCGTTGTGCCTGTAATCCCAGCACTTTTGAGTCTAGCAGTTTAAAACCATCCTGGGCAACACAGCAAGACCTCATCCCTCCAAAAAAAAAAAAACAAAAACAAAAAAAAACGCTGGGAGTGGTGGCTCACACCTGTTGTCCCAGCGACTGAGAGGCTGAGGTGGGAGAATAGCTTGAGCCTCTGCGGTCGAGGCTGCAGTGAGTCATGATTATGCCACAGCACTCCAGCCTGGGTGACAGAGGAAGACCCTGTCTCAAAAAATAAAAGTAACCATTTGAATTGCTTTCCTACCATTTCAAATGGATTCAATAATTTTACTTGGCCTGCATGACTGTCACAGAGATGGCCTAAAGGTGAAGTGTACTATGGCACCCATTTCACTGGGTTTTATCATTTAGTTGGAATATTGCATGTATAGTTGTGTTCTTGACTATTTGGCATCCATTAAAATTGTTTAAAAATTAATATTATTGTATGGCATCTAGATTAAGAAGACATTAAAATACAGTTAAAGTATCAATGAAATAATGCAACAGAACAAAGGATTGCATATACAGAATTTTTAAAAAATGTGTTATTTCTCATTCTCTATGAATTAGGTTTGTGACAGATGGGAGATAATATGGGTCATCTGGTAGTAGGAGGCCGCCATTATAACAAACACCTGTTCTGGGGTGTTATCTTCCCTCCCCTCCTCTTCATAGTAGTAGGGAAATCAGTTCAAAGGAAATATTTCAAAAGAAAAAATAACAAACAACAACTGCAAAAGAAATGCAGGAACGCTGCTATTCATCACTGTATTTTTATGTGGTTCTTCTTGTACTACCTAGATCACAGCTATGGGGCTGTGAGACTACAGGATCTCCTGAGAAGGAAGAGTCCAAAGAATTGTAGTCCAGATCATTCAGCCATTTACTAGCAGAGATCTTAGGTAGTCACTTCATATTTCTTGATCTCATGTTCTAAACTGTGATTTGAGAGTTCATTGAGAAAATGTACATGTATTCTATAAAAGAGTATTAAAAAACCAACAATATATATATTTTTAAATTAAAACAGGATTGCCCAGAATGTGTTCCATGCTGATAAAGTGTACTGTGAAAATCAAAGAGAACATATGATTGAGCATTTCTCAAACTTACTTGCCTTGATAACATTTTCATCTATTAAAATTCAGTAAAATTGTGTTTAACTGAAACCACATATCAAAATCACTTAAAAGAGCATGGCAGGACAGGACTTGTCTGGACCCACACCACATCTCCTAAGGCAGAATGGCTGGTGCAGAGGTTGTGGTGGGCAAGGATCATCTCTTCACAATTCTGATATGTACTCTAATTGTTGAAGGAATTCAGGACATGCTACCCCAGAATATGCATCTTTGGCTTATTGCTTTTTTTCACCTCATATAGTTATCATTTATTCCTCTGTCTAATGGAAACATTATATTCTTTGGCCAACATTTCCCTATTCTCTTCACTCTCTAGTCTCTGGTGACCACCATTTAGCTTTCTGATTCTTCTATGTGTTCAATTTTTTTAGTTTCCACATACGAGTGAGAACATGCAGTATTTGTCTTCCTGTGTCTGGCTCATTTCACTGATTATAATGTACTCCAGGTTCATCCATGTTTTTGCAAATGACATAATTTTCCTCTCTTTATGGCTGAATGGTATTCCATCATGTATATGTACCATATTTTCTTTATCCACGTATCCACTGTTGGACACTTAGGTTGACTCCACATCTTGGCTATTGTGAATTGCGCTGCAGTGAACATGGGAGTGTGGATATCTCTTCGACAAACTGATTTTAATTTATTTGTATATATACCTAGTGGTAGGATTGCTGGCTCATATGATAACCCTATTTTTAGTTTTTTGAGGAACTTCCTTACTGTTTTTCATAAAGGCTGCACTGATTTACATTCTCACCAACCGCGTACCAGAGTTTTCTTTTCTCCACATCCTCGCCAACACTGTTATCTTTCATCTTTTTGATAATAGCAATTCCGACAGATATGAGGTGAAAATCTCATTGTGGAAAATCTCTTTGTGGTTTTAATTTTCATTTCCCTAGTGATTAATGTTGTTGAGCATTTTTTCATGTATCTGTTGGCTATGTGGGTGGAGTATTGATTATTTTCAAGCTGAAGTCACTTGAGAAACAGCAGGTGCAGGAAGGGCTTTCTGATCTCCCCTTTTCTGCCTAAAAGCAGGCCATAAAATTTCCCATAAGAAAGATGCTTCCCTGTACCAGAAGAACATCCTTATCACCAGAGATGGGGTGATAAGTAACCAAGTTATTGAAATAACCCTTATCTTCCACTAGAGTTCCCCAATATATCTCTTAGTTACTTACCCACAATTCACTGCTGCTAACCCAAATGTATCATTTCTTTGTCTAAAGGTAGACACTTTCTGCTCTGCTCATTTCTTCAGGTCTTTATTTTCTGGTAAGGCCCTTAAGTACATGTAAAATGTTAATAAAATCTGTATGCTTTTCTCTCATTCATGTCTCATGGCAGTTTAATTTCTATGCCCAGGTGGAATCCTAGGAGGGTGGAGGAGAAATTTTCCTCCCCTACACATGAACATCTGCTCTAAGGAGAGAATTTTCAGACTTTGTGTAAATAAGAATTACCTGGGGCACTTGGTAAATACTCAGATGCCCAGGTTCCAAAGATTCTGATCAACCTTGGATGGAGGTCCAGGAATCTGCATTGTTCCAGAACACTCCAGGTGATTCTGATGTAGAGGTTTTGTGGACCAAATGTTGAGAAACATGGGTTTGCAGTTCACATCTCTGGTCGCACATTAGATTCATCCAGGGAGCTTTTATAATCCACTGATACTCAGGCATCACCCACAGAGACTCTGATGTGATTGTTCCAGGGAATGCCTGAGTACCACCAGGTGAATGTATTATTTAGCCAGAGCTGAGAATCACTGATCCAGGAGTCCCACACCTGTCAGATAATAGGGTTCACATGGGCATGCTTGACTGAAGCACAGATTACTAGGCCTAACTCTTACAGATTCTGATTTAGAAGGTCTGGGTTGAAGTCCAGGAACTCATATTTTTAGTTAGCCAATGAACTGATTCTCATTATTAGGCAAGTTTGGGATAAAAGGTATTAGATATCATGAATAAGCTTATCAGATGATTCAGTACCATTGTATAAAGTGGAACAGAGGTCCCTGGGGTGGTGAGACCTAGG
Source organism: Homo sapiens (assembly GCF_000001405.40). Classification (NCBI taxonomy): domain Eukaryota; kingdom Metazoa; phylum Chordata; class Mammalia; order Primates; family Hominidae; genus Homo; species Homo sapiens. The sequence goes on from NC_000012.12 coordinate 89,898,355, forward strand.
TTAAGAAAGATTTGATAAGAAAGAGCAGAGCATGGTCAGGAAAGGCAAACTTATGAGTCTCGGGAAAAGTGGGGAATGTGTTTCAGTGGTTGAAGGGTATTAAGAGCCATAAAAAAAGATAAAGCAAGAATTAAGAAAAAAATCTTATATAGATTTTTCTATTTGACATTTTTACACAGCTCTGGAGCCTCAGTAATTCCAATAAGAAACAGTTCTGAATTCTGCTAGAGTAATGTCTAATTTATGATATATTTTTGAAAAGTATATCATTTTTAAATTTAAAAAAATGTATAAGTTAAATGTTTTAAATATTAAAATGTTGTTTTTGTGCCTGTTTCCTGAGGATCCATAGTTCTTTTACATTTTAAATGGTTAACATTTATGGACACATTGTATGTAGAACTCTCTTTACTACTTTTCAAGGTATTGAAAATTAAAATTTATTTGTGTGTGTGTGTATGCACATCACATGGATTTTTTAATTCACTGTTGAACTTTACTATGGCTTTAGGATTTTTAATTTTAAAAAGCATGTTATCTTAAATTACATCCAATAATCAGAGAGCAATGTGGCCTCTTTGTGTGTATAATTCGAGGAAGCTAGTGTGTAATTCCAAAACCATATGGAAATGCCCATAGACACTTCCCATCTTGGTATGTTTACAGTCCATTGAAATATCTAATTTTCAGAAACATTTAACAAGACTGATTCTAAATGCTTTTGTTTAAGGATACTTTGAGTAGTGAGCATTCTTAGTGGAATTTTAAAATTTACATTTATCTGATGGGATTGTTTCATGATAAATTCCCAGAGTTTGAAATGTAGCAAAATGGATGGAAAAGTATGAAATGGTTAAATCAATAATTCAGTTGTTAAAGATGTTTCAGATGGTTTCTTGTAGCTTTGAATGACTCCATTGATTTCGCCATTTAAATCCACTCTAAGAGAGCAACTCCAATTTCAGCTGCCTTTTCCAGGCTTCTCCTCCCCCTAATCCTCACTGACCCACAAGTCTACCCCTTCCTCATTTCCCCTGCCCACCCTTAGGCTCCAGGTTTATTTTCTCATCAATCAGCTGGTGGGTAGACATGATAAACGGGTGGGAAGCAAAATGCTGAGTAAATTCCATCAAGAATGTGCCTAATAAACAGAGCTGATGGTTAAGTAAATACAGGATATTTTAATAAATGCTATGAGTTTAATGTGGAGTATTTACAGAGAATTTGGGGAGAAAGGAGCACTGAATTGAATGTTTTCAGCAGTAGAGGGATTCAGCCGCAAAAACTGTCCTTGTTCCTTACCATGCTTTAGTTTTTGGAATTTAGACATATGCATCTTCTTTGTCATTCTCCATTCATCAACCTGCCCTCTCCCCCACTGAGTTACAGACACTTCTAATTCTGTCACCACCCCCAACCCCCAAGAAAAGAAAGTGTCATCCAATCTCTCCAAAAGGGTTTGGATCGAAATGGGTGAATCTGTGACTCCCTGAAGTCACAGCCTCATTAGGAAGGGATCATCTCCCAGATGGCCTCCACAGGGGCCCTGTGTGCTATTTTCATTAGTTATTTAGACCTAGTTCTATTTATATCAGTTATGTGGTCTGTTTAGTGTTTGGAAAACATTTGTGGAACCTGCGAGGCCCACCATTATTAGAAATGTGAAGGACTGGAAAAATTAGGCATTTTGAAAAAACTGGGATTTTTTTTTTGGTTTCTAAGGATTCCCCATGTGAATATTTTCCAATTTGGGAGCAGAGGAAAAGGAAAAATGTAGAAGATACTTTCCTGCCATTTTTTAAAATCCAGTCTTTAGGTCACACCCTAAAAATTTCCAGGGTAAAAATGTCCCTCAGTATGTGTGCATTTTATGTTTAAGGACAGCAATGTTAGCTTAGGCTTGTGGTTTCAGGGCAAAAAGCTGTTTTTGGAAAATACCAGATTCAGGGTTTATATTGGTTGATAGAAAATAGGCTCAGAGATTCTGTTACTTCCAACAAAACAGTTGGCTACAGCTGTAGACAAATCTATATTTGATAATCCCCTCTTACGTGTAGGAGGATACATTCCAAGACCCCCAGTGGAGACCTGAAACAGAAGATACCACTGAGCACTGTATATACTATATTTTTTTCTATACATGTGTATCATAAAATTAAATGTATAAATTAGGCTCAGTAAGAGATTAATGACAATAACTAGTAATAAAATAGAATGACTATAACAATATATGGGGGAGACTACTGTAGATATTGATAATCTCATCTTGAATTATAATCCCCATAATCCCCACATGTCAAGGGAGAGACCAGGTGGAGGTAACTGAATCATGGGGGTGGTTTCCCCCCATGCTATTCTTGTGATAGTGAGTGAATTCTCATAAGAGCTGATGGTTTTATAAGAGGCTCTCCCCCCTTCACTTGGCAATTCTCCCCCCTGCCGCCTTGTGAAGAAGGTGCCTTGCTTCCCCTTCACCTTCTGCCATGATTGTAAGTTTCCTGAGGCCTCTCCAACCATGCTGAACTGTGAGTCAATTAAACCTTCTTTAAAAATTACTCAGTCTCGGGCAGTTCTTTATGGCAGTATGAAAACGGACTAATACAGATATGAAACTTCCAGGTGAGAAATTGCCCAGTGTAATAAGGTGAGTCTTACTAAAAAATAAAGCCAAGAGATGTTGTAGGAAAAATTCTGTTCCTTTATTCACTGAGTGACCTTATTTAAGTCCCTTTTTGGAGGGCACGCTGGTTTGTCTCTTCTTACTGATCTTCCATTGCTATCAATAAATATTAAGTACGGCCCACAAATTCCTTCTTGGCCTAGTTCTCTACTTTCTAATTTCTCTGTCTTCACTTATTCTTGTGCTACATAAATTTTTTAAAGGCCTAATAAGACTGAGAAGAGTCTTAGAGGTTTTTCTACTCCAATATCTTCACTTTACAGAAATCAGGCCCAAGGACATTTAGTGGCTTGCCCAATGTCACCCAGTTAGTTCGTGATAGGATCAGGACTTGACCTCCTTAAGTGGACTTCTGTCCCACATATAGAATGCCCCTTTCACACTGAAGCATCACCACAGTCCAACACTGTGTCCTCTAGCACTCTGTTCCCTCCCTCTCCCTTCCCAGGGAGGCAGGCACCAAAAAGAGCAATTAGAGTGAATAAGAGAGGAGGGAGGATGATAAAGAACAAGGCGATTGCTGTTTACCCAAAGGTAACAAGGGCTCTCTTTTCTTATCAGCCCTAAGAAAGGACAGAGTGTTCCTTTCAGTAGGAGTTATTTATAAAACTCTGAAGGCTTTGCCAGTTGGGAAGGGGGTTCCAGAATTAAATCTCCCTCATCCCCAGTTCCCTGTGAATTCTAAAAATGGATTCTGTGTGTATGCCATGTTAATTCATATGGCCCCAGTGTTGGTATGGAGCTGATGGAAGGTGAAAAATGCAGGCCACTGGAGCAGGATATTAAGAGAAATTTAGATTATAGGCATAGGTAAATGGCTGTCTCCATGGAATTTTGACCAGAATGTAAATTCCTTGGGGTTGGGGACTTTGTTCAGTACTGTGTCTCCTAGGCTTAGGATACTCCCCTGGTACATAGAGGATGTCAGTAAATATTTATTGAGTAAATGAATAAATGAATGAAATGGTCCAGGTTTAAGAACTCACATATATACACACCAAAACAAACCCAAAACACCCAGAACACATACTCATCTCCTGCCACACTTAATCTCCTCTCCCCTCAGTGGCTCAGGTAATAACGTCATAACAGAGATGACTAAAAGCCTGCATTTTTTTTGGTCATTGAGATGCCATCAGCTCCTCTGTAGTCATGCTTCTCTGCTTACATTTTAATTAAAAGATTATAATTCCTTTAAAGTAGAATTGCAGTGACAGCTGATGAGGCCCTACCTTTCATCAGAATGGCCCCACCTTTAATCAGCATGGCCCCACATTTTACCCTTTACTGTTCAAACCACAGAGTAACTGATTTTCTGCCTTTTGAACCATCATTCCATTGCTTTTATAGGAAGGTTATTTTCACTTCTGTGTCCAACAGAGAAATGGAGAAGTGACTAGATTTCCATTTCACTGGTGGTTAAGAAACAAGTTAATGCTCTGAGAAGAGATTGTATGGGTATGAAAGGCAGGTAGCTCATGGAGAAATTCCCAGAGTAGCCACCAGAAAACAAATCTGTTTCAGCTGACATTTTAGGGAGTTCTGGTAGAATAAGTAATAAACTTTACTTTTGTTACTCATACCAACATTTGTAATATTAATTGCACATATTTAGAGCAAGACCTAGATAAATCTCTACTCTGAATTAGAAATAATTTTATAGCTTCAAGGACATAGACATGATAGAAATACTATAGAAACCAAGGAAGGGAGTAAAAACATTAGGTTAGTGAGTAAATGAGGTCAACTCTGGGTTGACTTTCATGGTACTGCCATTGTTTCTATTTTTGATTAGCTTTTTAAAAAATGTAATGTTGGTCCCTACAAGTATGAAAAATCACAAATATTTCAACCCCTTTGGTCAAAGAGTTGGAAAAGTCATCTGAAATGCTTTTTTTCAAGGCATTCTTGGCACTAAGGTCCATGACAATATGTTTTTAAACGCATAAGAAGTTGAGAATTCTTGTCTAGATCAGTAGAAATAGAAATATAATGTATGCCAAATATGTAATTTAAAGTTTCTAACAGCCAGATTAAAAGAGATTAAATTGATTTTAATATTTATTTAGTCTCCTATATCCAAAATTGCTTCAACATATTCTCAATGTAAAAATTATTATTATTATTATTTTTGAGACAGAGTCTCACTCTGTCTCCCAGTCTGGAGTGCAGTGGCATGATCTCGGCTCACTGCCACCTCTGCCTCCTGGGTTCAAGCAATTCTCTCACCTCAGCCTCCCAAGTAGCTGGGACTACAGGTGCCCGCCACCATGCCCAGCTAATTTTTGTATTTTTAGTAGTGACAGGGTTTCGCCATGTTGGCCAGGCTGTTCTCTAACTCCTCACCTCAGGTGATCTGCCCACCTCAGCCTCCCAAAGCGCTGGGATTACAGGCGTGAGCCACTGCACCCAGCCTTAAAAATTATTAATGAAATATTTTGCATTCATTGTTTCATACTAAGTCTTTGAGACCTGTAATGAATTTTACACATACAGCACATCTTATTTTGGACCAGCCACATTTCAAGTGCTCAGTATCACATGTGGTGAGTGTCCACCATATTGGACAGTATAGCACTAGACAGTCAAGTTTCATTATGGCTGATATAAGTTATGTAGTCCTTTGGTGTTTATAAATAGTTCTTATTTCTGTTATTCCACTTGAATTGCATAGCAACTCTGAGAGTGGTTTTAGAGGTGAAGAAAGTGATTAATGATATTAAGTGCATTACCAAAATCCTGGCAGAGACACATTCTTTCAGGTTTACTGCCTTCCAGTTACTCATGTCCAGGAGATCCACATCCCTTTGGGGTCTCTTCAGCACAATAGGTGCTCTAGAAAACAAATATTACTATTTCTGACAGGTAAGCAGATTATCTTTACATTTGGCCAGTTGTTGGAAATCATAACTGAGAGCAGGTAAAATGATCAGCAATCCATTACAATAAACGGGAATGTGGGTTTTGTAAGAGGACAAGATAATTTGCTAATATTTGGAATCTAGAAGCTGTGGACAAAGAGACAGTAGTGAACATAATTCCACTTATTCATAGAACATGTTAGTCACATAATGATAGACATTGTGTTGGGTACACAAAGTTCTCCAGAGCTTCCTGATGCCGACCAGTAAATAGATAATTGTACCTCCATTCAGGAAGTTCCATTACAGAGCTACAAACTAGGGTCTGTGGGAGCGCAGAGGAGAACTTCCTTAGCTTTGCTAAGGAAAGCGGAGGAGATACTTGAATTGAGTCTTGAAAAAGATGTGTGCCATTAAGCAGACAAGGTGGGAGAAGGTTATTTCAGGCAGAGCAAACAGCAGGTAATAATGAGGCTAACACTGTTTTAGAGCATGATGGGCATCATTTCTAAGCTCGCTCTCTCATTTTTTTTTTTTTTTTTGAGACAGGGTATCTCTGTTGCCCAGACTGTGGAGTGCAGTGGTGTGGTCAGAGCTCATTGCAGACTTGAACTCCTGGGCTCAAGTGATCCTCCCACCCCAGCATCCCAAAGTGCTGGGATTGCAGGCATAGCCACCACTCCTGGCTCTTTACAAGTATAACCTAATTTGATTCTCAAAAAATCCTGTTAAATATTTAATTCCAAGTTTAGGGGAAAGTAGCTGGGTGATTCTGAATATGACCTCTTTCCATTTTAAAGAGCGATCACTCTACTTGTGCAGAGACCAACTGAAAGTGGGCAAGAATGAAAATAAAGAAGCATATTGGTGTGCGTGCAGTTTCATTGGTCCAGGGGGGAGCTGAGGTTTGGATAGGGAACTTCCACTAGAATGTCTACCTGTGCTTTTTTGAGTTGGAAATCTGAAGTCAACAGGGCTACACTGTATAACATCGCATAAGGAGAAAGGAAAAGTGGTGGATAAAAAATTAAATGCTGACTGACCAATGTATGTTAATAAATTGGGGGAAGACCCACTTAAGCTGTTCTTCTATCACCTGTGGCCTAGAAAAGGAATAAAAAAAGAATACATTGTTCTTTGATGTTCCCAAAAGCCCATATAAGGAAAGAAATTTAAAACAAAATAAAGACACTAATATTATGTGTTAAATGACCACAATAAATCTGCTGCAGGAATAATACATGTATTTTGGGTGGTTGAAGCGTTATTATCTCCCAAGCGTTCCTTAGCTGACAGCTTTCTTGTTTTTGACACCATCATTTTACTGAGACAGTTTTTGCAAAGAGATGTTATCAGCTAGGATGCTTTCTGCTAAAACTATCAGGAGATCTTATTCAAATGAGCTCATGAAATGGAAAAGTCCAGATGTAGATCTAGCTCTAGAAAAGGCTTGATTTGGTAACGTATCAAGGTGACTGATGACCTGGTTTCTTGCTGACTTTCTGTCTTGAGAAGGCTGCCATCAACTTCCATGGCCATTTGCTTCCTTGTTCACAATCTGGAACATCTGTGTCCTGAGATTTCCAATAAAATCCTAAGGTTCACCTAAACCATCTTAAGTTTACGTGCCCATCTCTGAACCCATTACTCATGGCAGGGAGACGCAGCCCTATGTAACTAGTGCTGTGGTCAATCCTACACAATTAATATGGCTGAGAATGAGTAAAGCAGAAAATCTTCCTGGAAACAGAGAAAATCTGGAATTCTCTTACCAGAAGGCAGAAGAATAAAAACTGGGCAACAAAAGCAAGCCTTCACAAATGCCCAAATCCAAGTGCTATCTACTAATAAGCCACTTACTTTGTCTCTCTGCATTATGTGACCCCATTTCCTTTTTGAAGAAATCTCATTTCTTCATTTAATTAAACCACTCTCATCCGTTTCTTGGTACCTCTATGACTGTTGTGCTCATCTTTGGGAGATCATCTCCCTCTGTCTGTGACTTAAGCATTGGTTTCCCCAGGGCTCTGTTCTTACCTTTGTTCTCTTCCTATTCGCTCCTGGAGTTTGTTGACCTAAGCCAAGATTCAACTATCACTGGTCCGGGGATTCTTGATCTAGGCTCTACAATCCCTTAAAGTATCCAAGTAGACTTCAGAGTGTTGAAGAATCTCCCAGAGATTGTATGCACATATGGTGCACATATGTATATGAAGAAAAATTGATAACTGTCATTAGTTTTTCCAAATGAATCAGGAGTAAAAGTTTAAAGCCATCGTTACTTATGCCATTATCATCCCCAAAGAACTGTGTCCCTTCAGGCCTGTCTCCTTAGCTCTAACCCTGCCTTTCCCAGTCTCTCCATCTGCTTCCAGAGGTCTCACAGGCACTTTAGTTCAGATGAATGCACTTTTATGAAGTTATAGGCCACTTACCTACTGTTTTAGGTCATTCAGAGCTAAGAAATGGTCTCTTATCTCCAATGCTTTATAGTTCAGTGAATTGTATTGATTCATTTTAAACTCAGTATTTGTTTTTCTAAACCTCTTCTCTTGTTTTCACCATTTTATTTAAGAACCACAACTGAGCTTTCTGCCCAAATCAGAAGCCTAGGAGCTACTCTGGCACATGACTCTAGTAGGTTGAGAAATAAGTTAATGCTTGTTAACCTACTAGAGTCACTGTGCTGGGATAGCTCCTGGGAAAGTAGATTAGTCTGTCTTGATTACTCTGTAGAGTGAATATTTATATTTTACATTAAATGTAATTTTATATTTGAAAACTATTTTTATTGTTTTTAATACACATTACAGAAATAAAGTTTGACAAAGTGTCTCCTGACTAATAGGGATAAACTAAAGAGAAGTGGTTTTTAAGTGTGGTGGGATAGGGCATGTTCTGCTAGAGGCACACATAAGAATGTTTCCTAGGGGCAGTGTGAGGGTTTTATTAAAAAGGGATCATGGGTTTAAAAATAAAGAAACATTCTCCTAGAATACCCCCAACTTCTCAAAAAGCACATGTAACCTTCTACTAGTACTCGTCCTTTCTGCCTTCCAGATCTTTCTCAAGTTTATCTCCCACCCTTCCATTTCCGTTGCTGTTGCTGGAATGCCAGGCCCCTCGGCAGTATCCTTTCCCTGGTCAATTATACTATTTGCAGACACTCTTTTGGCATCTAATCTCATTCTGTCCCTCCCCCTCCTGCCATCCTACCTAGGAAACCAGAAATATATTTCTTAACCAGAAATCCATTAAAAAACAAAAATGCTGGTCACTCCAGCATCAAATCATTTAGCGGCTTCCTATTGTCTACAGAAAAAACTAGTCACATTCTTTAGCACGTTGAATTGCTTTAAAGACCTTCTATCATCCGACCTTTCCTTACCTTTTCATCTTCTCTCTTCTCTCCTTCCCCCCTTCCAGTATATTCTTGAACTTCTGAGATGCTGTCTTCAAAGGCAGAATGCCCTCCAAATTTATCTCGATCATCTGTCCTCTCCACATGATCGCATTTTCTGCTTTTTTCACATTATCAGTATGAGAAACTGAACACCCTCACAGCACAGCCCTTACCAATGGTGATTTGGTAACAATATGTTCAGATATAAAGAATATTACTATCAATTTTTTTTTATCCTAAGAGGTCCTTCCTGGGCACTCATCATCTAAGTATACAGCTGTTTCCTTACTGTTTCTGATCTGCATAATGAGCACAAGACAAAGTGTTTTTTCTTTTTTCCCTTTTATTTAAAGCAAATTTCTGCATCCTAAAATTTAAAACAGAACCATGGAACATTATCATTTAACTAACACCAGACATGTTTTTTCTTCTCATTAATCTTAAACTCTGAAGGAATTACTGAAGTCTCATATCCCTTGATCTGACACTTTAAGAATTAGGAACAGCCACAAAGACAACAGCTGAGAGATAAGATGTAGATTAAAAGAACCATTAACTCACAATGGCATTAGAAGAAAGATCATAAGTGCTGAATTCAATTTGGATGTGGTTCAAAGCACTAAGTAAAGTGGGAGGTGGAAGGTTGTAAATAGTTTTTATTGTCCTGGAACTCAACTAAATTTTCCCTTGGAGCAGCAACAGAGCAATCTAATCGGTTAAAAATTAGGTAATTTGTTAGCCACTTTCCTCTCCGTGAGCCACTAAATTTCTGTTGCTTTATTCAGAGAGGCTGTATGGCTAGTGGTTAGGAGTATATCCTTGGAATTATATTCCTAGGTTTGAGTTGCAGTATTTTGACCCTACTGTGGGATATCAGGCAGGTGATTAACACTCCGTGCCTCAGTTTACTCATCTTTAAAATGGGAGTCATAGCATCTGCACCAGGTGGTGTTGAGACATTTAAACAGACGACATGTGTAAAGTCCTTAGAATGACATCTCTCATATGTGCTCTCCATATCTAGTTATTATTATTTTCTATTGAGCGTTATGTCTTTCTAGGAGACCTTGCTAATTACATTAATTCCCCAGAGTTGTGAGGAAAATAATCATAGTAAACCTTTATGAAGGCTTCCTTTGTGCCACACTCCAAGCATATATATATACAATATATTTACCCCCAATTTGGAGATGAGGAAACTGAGGTATACAGAGGCTAAGCAAAATTTTCCGGGGGACACATCTTCAAATCTGACTGTGGAGTTCACGCTCTGAACCACTGTGGTGAGGAAAATGTAGGAAGGGCAGTTTTAAATAAGTGGTCCTAACATTTTGAACTACCCTCACTGTTTTCATTATGTCTGATTCCTCCTCTTAAACATATTGCATTCCAGGTAGTTGAACCCGCACGGGGTAGGATGTCTCAGGCCTAGGTGCAGGTTAGGATTGCTGGATGGCTAGAGTCGAGGCAATCTGCAGACCAGTGTGATGCCCACACACTCCCACCTCCAAACACTAGACCCAAACCAAATGGATAGTTCAGCTGTGTCATCGATTTGAAGGGCTGAGGGATGGGAAGATGCGTGTCTACAGCAGGACATGGTGGCAGAGGTGGGTGGGTGAAAGAGCCTGGAGTAAGGACTGAGGTCAATGGAATGCAGTGCCATCATTTGTTATGTGGTGGCATTGGCAGTGAGCACAAAGGAACCTAGGAGGGACATCGATTTGGCATAAAAAAAAGTTCCAGAGACTGTGCAAACCAAAGGCATCCATAAAATTCTCTTATATTTTTGAGTCATTGTACTACATTGGCACTAAAGAAAAATTACTGTTTCCTAATATCCACAAAGACAAAATGCAAAGATATGTGCACAAAGATTCTCATTGTAGCATTATCCAATGAAATAGTCAAAGAATTGGAACTGCCTAATGTTTGACAATAGTGGAGATGATAAGTAAAATAAAAATGTACCACCTGATTTAATATTATGCAGCCACTAAAGCAATAATTATAAAGACTATGGAATAACAAAGAAGCATACTTAAAATATTTTAAGTGAAAGGAGCTGAGTATAAAACTGTATCTCTATTATGGCTATAACTATGTAAAATTATATAGGTAGAGAGAGATTGGAAGGGAACACAAAAATGCAGTAAAAGGTGAATTTGGCTGTAGTTGTAAATTATTTATTCTTACTTTCATCCATGCTTTTATTAGTATAATCCAGGGAGGGGTTAGGTAGAATTCCAAGCAGAGTATAGAACCAGTATAGATGCTCAGGTTGAAAGAAAGTTGCATGTAGGGTCATGACAACTCAACATGTTCCAAATAGACATCTTCTTTTCCCCAGATCCTTCCCTTTTGCTAGGGAAAGACATTATCATTCATCCAATTCCCTGCAGTGCAAACTTGGGAGTCATCCTAGATACTTTCATTGAACATCCACATCTAATCAGACACGTAATGGTGATTCTAATTCTGAAACTGCCTGGAAGTCAGTCCTTATATCTCCTTCCCCTTTGCTATTGTCTTAGATCAGGCCCACATCAATTCTTATCTAGATATACTTTTCCTCTACCCCTACATACCTCTCCTCTTTTCCCAGTTTTTCCAGTGTTACCAGACTAGAGTTCCCAAATAGAAATCTGATGATGTCACTTTCCTTCTTGAAGTTCCTCAGCGACTCCCTTTAGGCTAGTTAGGAAAATGGATAGCTCTTCGACAAGGCTGAAGGCCTTATTTCATATGACCTTGCCCCCCATCTCCAGGTATTAAATCTATAACAAGCCACGCTGCTTCAGACGTCAAAGTTTTGCATTCACTGCTCTCTCCACCTGGAATATAGTCACCACCCTCTCACACGTCTTTATTTGCCCCTCACACTTAATTAATACATAGTTTGCCTATAGAATTCCAAGTTGGACATCTTTTCCCTTTCAAACCTTAAAAGCATAGCTCCACTGTCTTCTTACTTTAGAGATGCAGATGGGAAGTCTGATGCCATTTTGATTTCTGATTCTTTGTAGATGGCTTGTTTTTATGTTTTGGGGTTTTTCCCCCTTCTTTCCCTGAAAGCTTTTAAGGTTTTATCCCTGGTGATAAAAAATATCACTGTGATATATCCTGGTGTGGGACTTTTTTCATTCATTTTGCTAGAGATCTTGTGAATCTTTCAATCGAGAAACTAATTTCCTTTAGAAGTGGGGAAATTTATGATTCCCTTGGTAATTTCTTCCATTCCTTTTTCTCTATTCATTCTTTCTTGAACTCCTCCTCTTTGGATATCAGATCCCCTGGATTGCTACCTTAATCTTTCTGTCTTTATTTTTCTATTTTTCCAATCTTTGTTATTTATTTTATTTACTAGATTTCCTCAATATACCCTTCTAAATATTTATTGACTTTAAGACATTCTTCCAAAATTGTATTTTTAATTTCCAAGAGCTGTTCTCCATCCTCTCAATGCTCCGTTTAAAAAAATTAATCCATCTGTTCTTAATTTACGGATGAACTGTCTTTATGAGACTATGAGGGAGAGTTTCATTTCTGTTTGCTGATTTAGGTTTTACCTCATATTCCCTGCATCATTTCTGTTTCCTAGAGATCCCCTTTTCTGTTGATCTGTTTTGGTTTCTCTGCTCATGTGAGAGGTTTCCCACATGTATCTGTTGAGTTTTGAATGTCTATTCCTATCTCAAAGTGAGACACTGAAAAAAGTTGATGAGAGGCTCTGTGATTGTGTGTTTGTGGGGTGTGTGTTTGGACTGGCGGTGGTTGGTGTTTGTTGAATGAAGAGCTTTGCTTCAGGGTGAGTGGACCTGTGCAAACATTAGTGTCTTTAGGGTGTTTTCTCTTGGGTTTGCTATGTTTCCTACAGAGGAACAAACACTCTATTCTTATATCCTGGGGATAAAAGGAGATATCTTGGTTGTATAAGCCCTACTACCAGCACACTGGGAGGTGATCAGAGAAAGGGGGTTGGGGAATCTCATCATCCCCAGTGTGGAATTCCTCTGTATTCAGTGTGGCAACTCTTTCTCCCATTCAGCTTGCTGATTCCTGGTTGCTGATACCTACTTCCCTGAGTTTTTCTGGGGTGTGGCCTACTCATTGATCTTCTTCATAAGCATTTCTATTTCACTTTTCTGCAATGTCAGCTAGCACATATCCATCTGTTTAGTACATTTTCTGTTGTCATAACAGAACACCATAAACTGGGTAAATTACAAACAATGGGAGTTTATTTGGCTCATAATTCTGGAGGCTGGGAAGTCCAAGAGAATGGCACCAGCATCTGGCCAGGGTCTTGTCATGATGGAAGGTGGAAGCAAGCATGAGAGACAGAGCAGGAGGGGCCAGGCTAGCTTTTATAAATCACCTGCTGTTGTGGTAACTGACTAGCTCCTGAGATAACTGTATTCATCCATTCATGAGGGCAGAGACCTCATGACCCAGTTGTCTCTTATTAGGCCTTACCACCCACCACTGTTGCACCATATGAATTTTGGAGGACACTTTCAAACCATAGCATCATACTCTTTCCATTTTCCAAAATTTTGCTGATAAGCCTTATATACTGTTGTCTCCATTTTCTCTCTTTGTCCTTGTGTGTATGTTTTGTTTTTGTTTTTACATTTTACTTAAAAATTTTTCTTTACTGTTATTCTGGCCAAGTTTGAGTGGTGATGGTGATAAGTAAGTGCATGTGTGTGTGTGTGTGTGTGTGTGTGTGTGTGTGTGTGTGTGTTCAATTTACCATGTTCTATGAACCCTTTCTTGGTAGGCCAGGGGCAAGTCTGCTATAGGCCTGATGCTGCAGTTAGGAGGTATATAGTTGTGGTACAGCAAGAATTTCTTGTTTGCTAAATAGGCAGACTTGTGGGTGACGACACAGTCCCTTCCACAACCTAAAAGTTTAAATGTCTGAGAACCTGGGGTTCTGAATCCTCTGACCTCACAGTTTCTTCTCACCAAGCACAGTGAGCTTCAGGGACACCACTTGAGCAACTAGCAATGCATCAGGAGCAGCTTGTGCTCACCTGTACCTTCGATTTTGTGCGATCATTGTCCTGTTAGTTTGAAGTTTTGGTAGTCAACAAAGGGAATGAAACAAACAGAGTCTCTATTATCTTTCAGCTTAAAAAAATTAATTTTGATAGTTTTTGAGGAACAGTTGTTTTTTGGTTACATGGATAAATTCGTTAGGGGCGATTTCTGAGGTTTTGGTATACTCCTCACCCGAACAGTGTACACTGTATCCAATATGTAGTCTTTTATTTCCCACCTACTCCCACTCTTCTCCCTAAGTCCCCAAAGTTTATTATATCATTCTTATGCTTTTGTGTCCTCATAGCTTAGCTCTTACTTATAAGTAAGAACATACAATACTTGGTTTTTCCATTCCTGATTTGCTTCACTTAGAGTAATGGCCTCCAACTCCATCCAAGTTGCTATAAAGGCCATTATTTTGTTCCATTTTATGGCTGAGTAGTATTCCATGGTGTTTATTTACTGCATTTTCTTTATCTACTCATTGGTTGATGGGCATTTAGGTTGGTTCCTTATTTTTGCAATTGTGAATTGTGCTCTATAGACATGTGTGTGCACGTGTCTTTTTCATATTACTTCTTTTCCTTTGTGTAGAAACCCAGTAGTGGGATTGCTTGATTGAATGGTAGTTCTACTTTTAGTTCTTTAAGGAATCTCCATACTGTTTTCTGTAGTGGTTGTACCAGTTCACATTCCCACCAGCAGTGTAAAAGTAAAGTGTTCTCTTTTCACCACATCCATGCCAACATTTATTTTTTGGTTTTTTTAATTATGGCCATTCTTGCAGGAGTAAGTTAGTATTTCTTTTTCTTTCTTTTTTTTTTTTTTTTTTGAGATGGAGTTTCACTCTTGTTGCCCAGGCTGGAGTGCAATGGCACAATCTTGGCTCACCACAACCTCTGCCTTCCGGGTTCAAACGATTCTCCTGCCTCAGCCTCCTGAGTAGCTGGGATTACAGGCATGAGCCATCGTGCGTGGCTAATTTTGTATTTTTAGTAGAGGGGGGGGTTTCTCCATGTTGGCCAGGTTGGTCTCGAACTCCTAACCTCAGGCAATCTGCCGGCCTCAGCCTCCCAAAGTGCTGGGATTACAGGCATGAGCCATCGTGCGTGGCTAATTTTGTATTTTTAGTAGAGGGGGGGGTTTCTCCATGTTGGCCAGGTTGGTCTCGAACTCCTAACCTCAGGCAATCTGCCGGCCTCAGCCTCCCAAAGTGCTGGGATTACAGGTGTGAGCCACAACTGGCTGTAAGGTGGTATTTCATTGTGGTTTTTAATTTGCATTCTCCTGATAATTAGTGACGTTTAACTTCACACTCTTAGGAAAAAGAATTGACTGCTATGTATGTTTTTGTTTCCTTTATGCCTTGGTTATGTTCTACTCCAAAACATCTAAGATTTATAAGATTTATTAGTTTTCATGTCTTTTCTCTATCCATTAGAATGTAGTCTCCTTGAGGGCAAGACTGAGGCTGGGCATGGTGGCTCATGCCTGTAATCCCAGCATTTTGGGAGGCCAAGGTGGGCAGATCACCTGAGGACAAGAATTCAAGACTAGCCTGGCCAACATGGTGAAACCCCATCTCTACTAAAAAACACAAAGATTAGCCAGGTGTGGTGGTGGGCAGCTACATGGGAGTCTGAGGCAGGGAGCATTGCTTGAACTCAAGAGGCAGAGGTTGCAGTAAGCTGAGATTGCCCCCACTGCACTTCAGCCTGGGGTGACAGAGTGAGACTCCATCTCAAAACAAAGAAACAAACAAAAAAACTGAATCATCTCCATCATTGCATTCCTAGTAACACAACTGTCACATAATAGATGCTTAATATTTATTTGTTGAATTAATGAATTCAGAGATCAGTGGCATATCAGGTGAAATATATAAAATCAGTTTGTCGTTTTGGTCATTTGCAATGACTTATAGAAAAATCAATATTGAAGGTTCCTATTAGAAAAGCAAGTACTCTTCAATGATTAGACAGCCTACAGTGATTCCTTTTTCTCAACAAGAATTAGTCTCTGTTTCTGTTTTTTATTTTGTTTCTACATCTGTGTAAAGATTTATTTTATTCTGCTTGGATTATATATAGTTAGCTATCCATCTGCCCTTATAAGATTATAAGCTATTTGAGGGTAGAGGCCGTACCAATTATCTCTGCCTTCTCATAGTGCAAAGAACAATGCACATATACAGTGAATTCAATCCATGTTTGCAGAATTATATTAAACTGTCCTGAATTTGTCACATATGCAAAGGTGGAATACATGCTGGTGAGTATGTGAGATTGTTAGTGGGCAAGGGAAGAAAATTAGCAGGGATTTGCTGTTTGCTCTGAATTACTTTACTTATATAAATAGATCAACTGAAGTTTTAGCATACTGAGCAGGCTCTGATTTCATACTCCTCCTTATTCCTTATCTTACACAAATAACTTTTCTATGGTGCCAAGTAACAAGGGATTGGCATACAAATCAGTAACATGTCAATATGCTTTATGAAAAATTGATACATAGTCCTTACCAAAACAGTCAATAATTTAAATACACTAAGAACTATTATCCTGACACATATTATCAGATTTACATAGAATTAATTTTCTATTTATTTTAGGATGACAACACAGACATATCCAATTTTTTCTTTTACTTCTCAAAAAGAGCAAATTATGCAAAGCTATTGCTGATGGATCCTTCAAAATGTTGAATGACAAGGAGGATAAAATGACTCTAAAGTTCTAGAAAGATCAGTCCATGTACAAAAACTATACGAAATCAATGGCATGATTCAACTCTCAAGTATCCTATGGCGTGCTCTATGTGGTGCAAACACAGAATCTAGTGGCATTGAACAGATATTTCTGGAGCAATGTTATAAAGTTCCTTCAAACATTTAGTAACTATATTTATTTTAATCACTTTAATACCAGGGATGCATATAGGTGCTTAAAATAATACAAATGGCACCTATATGATACAAGTCATTGAGCAGTGAAAATGATTTCCCAAACTGCAAATAGGCAGGATAACAAATATATTTCACTTTGAAAATTTGAGTCACCACGGAATAATTTAGTGGTGATGATAAAAACATTAAACTTCAAATACAGGGTCTAAGGTTTAATCGGATTTCTGAAAATAGCTAATAGCACAATCTATAAAGTGCCAAAAAGAAAAAAATATGTATAATATGAATTTTGGATCAGGGTATGAGCTGCTAGGAAAAAGCATGAGACAGGAACAAATATTAGTAATCTGAAGATGAGTAATAAATTGAATACTTGAATTTAAAGGCTTCTGGAAGTTTTAGCATCTAAAGATGCTAAAAGATGGAGGACGACTCAGGTCAAGACTGTAGAAAAGTACGTAAGCCCTTGAGTGAGGCATAGATCAGGCGAGAGCAACAGGATACCATGATCCCAAGGCTGTGAGTGTCATTCACGTGCTAGACTCTGCTTGTACGCTCTAACCTGTGAAATTTTCTCTTCTTTCTCAAGTCTGTATTCCTCCCTGTACCTAAACATGGCTTGCCAACTGGTGCACACCTCTGGATCCTTATATAATTTCTTATATTTGCTTACACCAGTTTGTGTTTTCTAGCTTGGTTACTTGACTCAAATTACTTGATTCACAATTGCTTGCTACATTTGGTGGGTTTATGTTAGCTTATACTTTAAGCCCATGAAATCTTTAGTAACTCAAAAGAAAAGGTTTAATTCCTTCCTGGGTAGACCAAAGATTGCAGAATTCGAAATTTTGTCATTGATGACAAAGGGGTAATTTGAATACATTTTGAACAAGAGTTGTATTCTCTGGGGGGAATTTAGCCAGATAAAATGCAATATATTTCTTTGAGTAATTTTAATTCTCAATGATGTAGAATGAAATTTTCTTTTTTTTTTTTTTGAGATAGAGTCTCACTGTCGCTCAGCCTCCCGAGTAGCTGGGACTACAGGCGCCCACCACCACGCCCGGCTAATTTTGTTTCTGTATTTTTAGTAAAGACAGGGTTTCACCGTGTTAGCCAGGATGGTCTCGATCTCCTGACCTCGTGTTCTGCCTGCCTTGGCCTCCCAAAGTGCTGGGATTACAGGTGTGAACTGCTGTGCCCGGCAGAAAAATAATTTTTATCTCTTCTCGGACTGATTCTCGAGCTGTGAAAATGGATGGAAAATAAGGTTTTATAAGTCAACTTTTTACAGTGAAAAATCAACAAAATATTCTGTCATTATCTTCCTTTACATTTTCCAACATCAGCTTCATTTCTTGGTTTCAGGGATGCTTTACTTTTTTAAATCCTCCCCACCCCTAAGTAACCTCTCCCAATTGTCTTCCAAATACTATCCATGATTGCATTCCCTGTTCTTTCTCTCCAGTTTTGTTTGTCCTTTGCTTATCTTATTTACTCTTGTAGCTTCTATCATCACCCTTTTAGTGATGGCTCAAATCTATATTTTCGACCTTTTCAAAGTTCCAGGCACCTATTTCCACTGCCTGCCAAATATCCTTATGTCTAAATCCACCTATATTTAAAATTTAGTATTTCACATGGACACAAAGAAGGAAACAACAGACACCGGCGTCAGCTTGCAGGTGGAGAGCGGGAAGAGAGTGAGGATAGAAAAACGAATCAGGTACTATGGTTATTACCTGGGTGATGAAATAATCTGTACAGCAAATCCCCGTGACATGCAATTTACTCATGTAACAAACCTGCACGTGTATTCCCTGAATCTAAAATAAAAGTTGGAAGGGAAAGGAAAAAGAAAATGATATTATGGGTAACTCTGCTTTCTGGCTAACTTAAACTCGGATATAGGTACTGCCCAGTCTTTCAGGAGTCTGACAAATTTGGCATTCCTCAAATTTGTGCCAAACTCCTTAGAAATGCCGATTGAAAAGGTATAAAATTGGGTCAGAAACATCAAAGTAAGAATCTGAGGCCATTTTTTTTTTCTCTGATAAAGTTTGATTCTGTTAATATTTGCCCTTCTAGGTATTTTTTTCTTTTCCAGCCATGTTTTCCTATGCCATCGTTTTAGTTTCCAATACTGCTGCAACTGTGCTTTTAAAATATCAAAATTTTGTATTCACATATTAGTTCCTTTTTATTTTGTAATAAACTGTTTACCAACTAATATAATTTAATAGAAAAGCCCTGTAAGTTTATTAAACTATTTCCAAAGGAAAAAAAAATTAACACATCTCAGATACAGCAGCAACAACAACTTTTGTATAGCACTTTACAATTCACAATGTGCTTTCAACTTACATTATCTCATTGAATCCTCACAGCAACCAGAATTGAGGTAGGTATTTTTGCCAATTTACAAGTGAGGTAACTGAGGCTCAAAAGTTCCAGGACCTTTAAAGATATCCACAGCAAACGATTGGTAAAGACGGACCATAAAACCAGATCTTTTGACGCATAGTCCCATTTAATGCCAAGTGTTTATTTCTCAATGTAGAATTATACAATATAATATTAAAGATAAAAGGTCTTACAACTGATCCAACTTTTCAAAAATGGAAGCTTTTATAAGGAAAAATTTAATTTCTTCGATTTATATGAAAATTCATGACTTGTTCAGTTTTAAAATTAATTTGGCCAACACTGCCATGACTTTAGTCTCTCTCTTTCGGAAGTACTGATAAATTATATAGCTTTCCGTTTGTTTTAGGATCACAGAAAATCCTCTACTGAAGAACACATAGGTAGGATCTGTGAATCTGAACACTAATTCAAATTCCATCCCTCCTTGACCTACCAGCAAATGCACTAAGAAAATAAAGTCTGTTTTCTATAGGAGATAGCAGCAGAACATAGGTTATAAGCAGTCACACTATGCGAACAATTAGTTTCTTCACAACTCAAAGAGAGGAAAGGCATTATACTAAACCTCTATTGAGCTTCGGGTGCCCCAAACTAACAGGCATATTGCATTTTACATGGATGGATTTGTTACCACAATCATGACCAAAGAGCAGTTACAAGGCATCCTCTTGTGGTACTAGTACAAAACAAATAGAGAATGTGGCCTTTACCCTAGAGCAGCTTGCTGAAGTCTCTTCTAAGGTCTGCCACTTCTAGATCACGGCTCTTGTCACAAAACAATGATATGGAACTTGACACAAGTAAAGAAAACAAAGGAAAACAGGCCACCAAATAACTACCATATAACCAGCTAAAATAGAATAATTACAAAGTGAACAGGGACACAGAAGAGGAAGAATATAAACAGTTTCCTGATTAGTGCCACAGTGTGGCATGGCTAGAGCACTAAGAAACAACTAAAGCTAACAAACCGGTTTGGCACAGAACCAAGAGGGAGGGTTGTTCTTTCTCAGTTAACCTTTATATTGGTGGTGCACCTAAGAGATAGCATCGCATCAGCAATAGCTCATAATAAAAAAAAAATCATGGAATGAAATTGATGTATGCTCAGGATCAGAAGAACCAACAATATTTGGCCATTAGCAGTTTAGTCACATGTACACAAAGATTATATCACATACAAACACTTAGTCTAAGTCATATATCACCAAGCTAACAGAAAAAGAATAGCAATTCCAAACATTTTGCAAAAAATAAAACTTTGCAAAAAATTAAATTAGTAAAAAAAAGAACCATGCAATTTTACATGTTTGGTGCTTGTTTTCAAGCTGCTACCAAATTTAGAAAATCACTTCCCTTTATAACAAAGGGCTTTCAGAATCTAAATATCAAATGAAATTCTAGCATTTAGAGTTTATTAGACACATGCAATCACATTCAATGAAATTATGAGTGAGCTACAAAATGGAAAATTAAGAACTCACCATGATAAAACCTCAAATACATCTCAGAATAAATTCAACCTTTTTAGTTTAACATCTATATCTTTATCAACTTTTTAATGCAGAAGGACCCATTAAACACTTAGGTAATAAAATTCAGTGTTCTATGCTAAACGAAGAGAATTTTATAGTCCACATCATGATTTATAGTTACATTATCACATTTCTTCCACAATGCTTACATTACTTCACATTATAATAATTATTAAGCTATTGATATGAAGCAGAACACTTCCTCAAATTAAGGTACCTTTCGCTGTAAGTAGCAAAGACTGCCTTCCTGCAGTAAGTAAAGAAGTGACTCTTCAAATACTGGGTGGAATTTCTTTATCCAACATATTACCAATGCGCTGGCAGATTTACAACAGATGATCAGGAGCCACATGCTTATTGGACAAGACCAGTTCCTCGTAGCTCCTGTTATGCTCATTGCCCTCCCAGTCCAACCTGTTCGGCAACAACTGGTACTGCTCCAGCTCCTGCACCAGCACCTGGGCCCTTCTCCAACACAGACCCGGTGAGAGGTACTGGGCGATGAGGAAGTACAGCTCCAACTCCATGAGAGGCACCGGGCCTCAGGTGGACAAGGCCTCCTCCTTGGCCGGGCGCTGGGCGGGAGGCGGGAGCGAGCGTGCTAGCCAAGCATGTGGGCCGCGCTGAGGCTTGACGAGGCCGGCGTCCCTTTTCCTGAGGCACGTGCGCCGCCGCCGCCATCATGCCGTGCGCGCCGCCCTAATGCTTTTTTTTTCACATTAGAATCAACTGGGAAGCTTTTATTTTTCTCCCAGATTTATTGAGATATACTTAATAGATATAAAATGTAAAATTCTATAATTTTTTAAAAAAATCAGTATTTTCTTAAAATTTCAATGTTATGTCCCTGAAACAAGAACGATCTCAGTCATCTTTGACTATGCTTTCTCCTCAGCCCCTCTATCTAAGTAGTTTCTGCTCATTCTTATCTCCACTATCACGATCATATGACCTCTAATGTTTTTAAATCATCATTGTCCTCATCTACTATTTCATTATCAGTAGTACAGCTTCTATATGAAAGGTAGGACAAGTGCTTGATTCTTTCTCATTAGTTATCATCTTCATTGCCTTTCAGCTGATTTATTCTGGCAGAATTCTGACTTCTACCATTCTTTTGCCCTTCCAATTTATATGACATGTAGCTATCAGATTACTCTTTTCGATGCACAGGTCTGACCAATTGCTATTACCCAATTATGTTCAAAGCAGTCAAGACATTCCTTATAACCAAATGTGACTCTACCTTTCATCTGTATTTCCAAAGTACTTTTAAATTACACTTCTAAAGACAATTTAAATTTTTTGCTGCGATATTTTTTGATATAGATTAGGCTATATATGATTAGTGGACCATATTTTAGAATTAAAGCCAAAATTCTAGTGGCCACAGACTACAAAACCAGTTAAATACCGCTTCTTATGGAAGTCTTAACAAGGTTTATTTCTTTCTGGGCTTACAATGGTAATCATTTATGCTTGGTGAGAATGCAATTTGTTAATGAATGGACTTGAGCATTTTAACAGCCTAGATAATCAATTTTTATTCAGATGGTGTTACTTTCCTAGAGTTATTTGCAACACAAACAACAAAACATGTCATAATAAATAAACCAGTACATCATTAATTTTTTGGTGGAAAAATCTGTTTGGCTCAGGTTTTTTTCTTACGACAGTAATGCTTGCTATAAAAGTCTAATAATATAGAAATGTGGAAAGTCAATTGTGAAAGTCTCCCTTCACGAATCTCACAGTCGACCATTAATAATTAGATTTGTATCCTTTAACATTTTTTTCTATGTACATACAGGCATTTGAAATAAAGGAGCCCTTTATGTTATTTCTGTTACAGAACCAGGAAGATCCGGATAAAGACACTGTCTGCACTCTACTCAGATGCCCTTTGAGTCTATGCGCTGTTTCTGGGCTCATCCTCCAGCCTCAACGTGTTTGCTGTAAGTCTGTCTGTCCTTGGGCTCCTGGAGGAGTTTTGCAGTGCACAGGGGATGGAAGTACTTGGGAATTGATGTCCCACTAGATCAGTCTGTAGTCAATGACTGGTGCATGAAGAATTCACCTCCAGAGCTCTTCTGGGATTTGGCTGAGGCTGGGACTTTGTCTCAAATTGCACCCTTGTTTGATTTCCTCTTCCCTGTCCTATTGGCCCTCCTCTCTACAAGTTTCTTTGCAGCACTTTCTTCCTATCACCTGCATATAAATCCTTGTCTCAGGGTCTGCTGGTGGGAAACTCAGCACAGGGAAAGTACACAAAGAACTGAACAAAACTGACATACTTAAGGGAGAATCTGTGACTCTGTTTCAATTTGTCTTCAACTAAATGACCTCAGGCCTTAGATAGGGCCATTGAAATTTCCCTATTAGAAATGCGGTTACACATTTAAGACCCTTAAAATTATAAAAAGAGATTTTAAGTAGTGATAATTAAGACTCAACACCAAACATAGTGTATAGTTTTATAACTGTTCTGTTATCTGACTTTTACTAAAGAAACAAATAAAACCACTTCTCATTATCAAGGTCCTCCAACTACTTGCAATGCAGCGGGAGGCAACTTTATAACACAAAGCAGTAGAAAAAAATTATTAAAAAGTGATAGTGTATAATTAGATTCACATGACTTATGTTGTAGACATTTAGAAAAGTGGATAAGAATTCTGTTCTGAAGTTACCAGGAAATGCTTCACTGCAAAGTTGAAATTGAAATTGAGTCCAGAAAGCTGTAGCACCTAGATAATGGAAAGTCAAACATTCTGAATACTTGGTGTGCTTTGGGGAAAGAAGGTGGCATTAGGGGGAATTCTTTGACTAAAGCAAAAGGTATGGGTCCAGGAATTATGTTCTAATGGGGTTCTATCCGGTTGGATAGGCAAGGTAGGGTCAGATAATGAATGGACCATCTCAAATGCTGGGCTAAGTAATTTGGGCTTGATTAGAAAGGCTGCAGTGAAAAAGCATACATTTTTAAGCAAATGGTGTGTTACTGGAGGTTCTGTAAAGACTTACTTAGCTTTAGTGTCAGAGAATTAACTGTGACAGACAGAGGCTGAAAATGTGTTGGAAACTGCAAGTCTGTACAAGAATAAAACTCTAGATTTGAGGGAATGGCAATGTAGAAATGAACACTAGCGATCATAACAAGAAAAGATGGTACTGATTATTAGGGGAGGAATAGAGAAAAGACTCAAAAATAGGTCTAAGGTTTAAGCTTGAGTGACTTGGAAAATGTAATGGAAAACAATGAAGCTGAACTTAAAGCAAGAAAAGTTTATTCAGGTGGGAATGTGCCTCAGTTTGATTTTTGGACACTTAGAATTAAAGCAGGGTGTTCTGATGGAAATGTCCTGGAAATATGGAACAAGGCTGACTGAAAAATTAGTGTTGGAGATACAAAGTTTGGATTGGTAGACATGAGAACTTAAGCAATGGAAATAGATGCATTCTTAAGAATGGAAATATAATATAGAGAGAAAATAACTGAAAATGGGAAATTAAGACCACTAGAGTTATGTTTAAAGATTTCATTACATCTGAATGGAAATTGGAGGATATATGCTAGTTTACCCAAAAGACAGCCTGTTTTGTTAATTTAACACTATACCAAGCTAGGAAAGATAACCTCTTTCTCCATGGATCCTCCATTGAACTTTGGCTCTTTAGAATTCCCTCATTCCTTCTTTGGGAAAGTGGAATGGGAAAGTCAAGGGTGCGAGGGGAGAATAGGTGACATCTCCTGGATTTTCTCCTCCTATTCCACCCCATCCCCCCACTCTATTTTCTACATACTTAGATTTGGGGTAAATTCTCATTGTATTTCTATGTCAAGACCTGAATCCCTCTGGATGGGGGTAGTATATTATGTCAGTGGACAGTTAAACTCATCATCTTTTTTATTTCTTTTTGTTTTTTTTTAATCTGATGACTGAAGACAGCATCTCTCTTTCTGTTTCAAAAGACCTAGTAAAGAGTAATGAGAA
Organism: Homo sapiens; assembly: GCF_000001405.40. Lineage (NCBI taxonomy): Eukaryota > Metazoa > Chordata > Mammalia > Primates > Hominidae > Homo > Homo sapiens. Next base: position 89,923,210 of record NC_000012.12, read on the forward strand.
AAATTTGAGAGGGCCCAGGGGATGCATATCTATAGATATTTCACACCACACTCAGGCAGCTTATTGTCTTTAGTTCCAGTAAAAATAGACCATTGGGAACAAATTCAAAATCTGTGGAATCTGGTGTTAATGTGAAGTGACTCTTGCTCTTGCAAAGAAATATGCTTTAGAACTCTTCTCTAGAACTCAGATGTTTTATGAATGGTGATGAGGATAATGAAGCTAATAATTATAAATAATAATCCTATGTGTTAGAAATTGTCTCCTTGATGATACAATTGTTCCTCTACTCTTCTCACATTTTAATTAGAACATGCCGCTGCTTTAAATTGGGAAGAGGCAGTAGTCTGATAAGACAACACATATTAGCACTGTCCCCACTTCATACCCTCTTGGTTACAGCCACCATGCCACTGGCCTTCTTCAGTTTCAAACTAGATTAATTTTCAAGAGGAAGATTTCCTAGGTAGCTCTTGGATCCAGAAATAAACTGGCAACTGGTAAAATTCTTGTTGTAACTTCCACTGCAATTTCAGCATAACTCTGTAGCAAAGGTTGTGTCACTTGAGAGAATACAGTGACCCACAGGGAAATTTCAAAAATTTAGACCACTCTGATAGAACAAAGCCTTTTCAACCCTGCAATCAATGGCCGTTTAAAAAAAACAAGTACACAATTTAGATTGTCACTCAAGGACTAAAATACTAAGGAGATGATTTTAGATCTGTAATGTCTTCCTATAAGTTATATAATAATAACTTAAAAAGAGTAAGCAGGGTGTACTTTTTTATTTCTCTTGGGGAAGAACATAGTGAATCAATAATTACAGTTATTGGTAAAGTATAGAAAAAGTTTAGCATATAGAGTAACATTTACATTTGTCTCTTTCATTCAAATATCCTCTATTGACAAAGACATTTTTGGTTGTGAAGGGGAAGGGAGAGTTTGGGGGAAACAGAAAGAGCTTGAGATTACTGTGAGTTCTGAACTCAAATTCCCACTTTGCCACTTTCTGGCTTTGTGGCCTTGAATAAAATATTTACTCAGATTTTTCTTCCTTTTATTTCTTGGTCTGTAAAATGAGGACCAATAATGATTGCTTAACAAGGTTTATGCAGATTAACTAAATGTACTTGGCACATAATAGATGCCTAGTAAAAAGAGAATATCCCTTTACTTGCAGTTGTGAAAGTTCGTATGACATAATTGTATGACTTCTTCTTTTAATAATTCCCCATTTCAAAATCTCAGCTAGTGAAAACATCCAAGGATAAAAGAGCTAAGGAATCAACATTTGTTTATTTTATAGCTGTAATATCACACAACAAATATGCAGTGATTTTTGGTGCGTGATCTTCAAAAAAAATGAAAAAGTGTGAACTAGCAAAAAGTCTCACTATATCTGCTACTTAGTTTTTAAGCTGGGTTTTGAGTTATCTAAGCTACTATAGAAAATGTTCTGAAATTGAGGATTTTTGTAAGAGCCACACAAACTCCTTTTGTAGTTTAAGTGGGTCCTCCCAGTTTTCATTGTAAGATTGAAACTCAGGTGCTGAGGCTGCCTGGTACTTTACCTAAACCTAACCTATATTATTATTGTTCTGTTGGGAGAGTGGTTTAGAAATATAAAATATAGTAGAAAAAGCATTGGTTTCTAGACAAGGCATCCAAATGCATTTCTTGCTTTGTTACTAACTAAATTATGTAATTGATCTTTACTTCTTTGGGCCTAAATTCCTTGTTGGTTCTATATCAGCAGTTCTCAGATGCTGGTCTCAGGACTTGGACTTCATTAGAATTACCAGGGATATATCTTTAAAATCACATTTCCGAACCTACCTTCCACCTTCTGAATCGCTAGGAATGGGGTCAGGAATCTAGGGTTAACAAGCTCTGTAGGTGCTTCTGAGTAGTAACTGGGTTTAGAAACCAGTGAAGTCTTTCCAAATCTTCCTTGCCTGCAGATTTGAAGTCTCTTTCAGATTTTTTACTTTCAACTAGGCTTTTAAGTACTATGGAGGTGGTTGCTCTCCCAGCCTTCAAGTGACAATCTGGGCTATAGGAGAAGCTTAATAAAAAAACAATTTTGTGAATCAAGTAATTTGATTTCCTTGTTGGCATTGAATTCTCTCCTTGGGTAGCCTCCAACTTTCTCAGATATCAATTCTTTCTCAGTTCTTAAGAGAAACAAATTAGCTTTAAAGAATTGTTGCTTAAAGTTTTCCCAAATACATAAGTATTAAAAGTGTATGGCAGTATTCATAACCGATTGTATTACTCCTAATGATATCGTGCCTTGACTTGATTTAGCCCCTGTTCCGATCACATATACCTGTTAAAAATTGCTTTTCAATTGCCTTTGGTTGGAAATGATGTGTTTAATTGATTTTGGGAACTGATTCTATCCTATTAATCTTTGACATGCTATGGTATTAAGTTTTTTAAGCTCTCAAAAGGATAGCTTAAAAAATAAGCTCTTATTGTAGAATATTTAGGGAGCATAAAAAATTATAAGGAGAAGGCTGGGGCGGTGGCTCAGGCCTGTAATCCCAGCACTTTGGGAGGCTGAGGTGGGTGGATCACGAGGTCAGGAGGTCAAGACCAGCCTGGCCAACATGGTGAAACCCCATCTCTACTAAAAACTACAAAAATTAGCTGGGCACAGTGGCAGGTGCCTGTAATCCCAGCTACTCGGTAGGCTGAGGCAGGAGAATTGCTTGAACCCAGGTGGCAAGGTTGCAGTGAGCCGAGATCACGCCACTGCACTCCAGCCTGGGTGACAGAGTGAGACTCCGTTTCAAAAAAAAAGAAAAAAAAATTACAAGGAGAAAAATGGAAATTACCCATAATCTCATTACTCAGAAACAACATTCAATATTTCAGCACATTTTTTCTAGTTATACAAGCATACAAAAAATAAATATTTGGGATATTTTCCAAATATGTAATTTTAATTATTCTTTTTCCACTTAACATTTTATATTGAACATTTTCGTATGTTATTTTTCTTAAAAACAAACAGTTTTAATGGTTATATACTATTTCTATAATATGAATAGACCATAATTCATGCAATCACCTTCTCATTTTTATATGTAGATGGTTTTTAACTTACTGCTCTTATAATAATGCTATAATGAACATTTCCAGAAATGATTCTTATCTGCATTTCTTACTATTACCTTGGCATTTTCTCCTAAACAAGAATTACTGAAACAATCTGAATTTTTAAAGGTTCTTAATATGTATTATAAACTACTTTTCAGAAAATTAAAAAAAATCAATAACAGGACTGAATGAGTCCATTTTTCTTAATACTATTTTTAATAGTTATTGTCATTGAAAACAATCTTTGCTAATTGAAATTCTTGGTGTTCATAACTTGCTTTTCATTAAACATTAGTGAAGTTGAAGAGTTTCCTTACTTGAGTCAATTATATGTCTTATACTGTAAATTGTCTTATAGTCTTTTTCCATCTTTTCCTATTAGATGGTTAAAGCTTTTATGTGTTAATTATATATATATATAAAATTTTTTTTTCAGAGTCTCACTCTGTTGCCCAGGCTGGAGTGCAGTGGTCTGATCTTGGCTCACTGCAACCTCCGCCTCCAGGGTTCAAGTGATTCTCCTGCCTCAGCCTCCTGAGTAGTTGGGATTACAGGTGCCTGCCACCATGCCTGGCTAATTTTTGTATTTTAAGTAGAGACAGGGTTTCACCATGTTGGCCAGGCTGGTCTCGAACTCCTGACCTCAGGTGATCCACCCACCTCAACCTCCCAAAGTGCTGGGATTACAGGCGTGAGCCACCATGCCTGGTCTGTATCGTCCTTTAATGTGATATGGTTGGCAAATATTTTCTAGTTGGCTAGTAGATTTTTAATTTATTTGTGATGATGACAATATTTAATGGTATTAGGAATATTATGTTATTATACTATAGTCCACTATACATAAAGACTTATCTATGGTAAAAAGAGGTGGAAAATCCAGATAGTACAGATCTTTAGTACATTTTAAATTTGTTTACGTGATTCACATGGCTTGACTTTTGACAAACATATGCCTCCTAGAGCTAAAAGAGTCCTCATAGATTGTTTCACTTCCTCTTTCCTGGTAAGCAGGTCACCATGAAGTAAGAGCATGTCTTATCTTTGCATGTCAAGCATTATTTTGTGTTTCACTTTTATAGGAGAAGAAAAAGAGACATTATGTCATTCTTCTGATTGTGAATTTAATTAAAATCCTGATTCCTGGATGGTATCGTGGGCCTATTGAATGAGAATCTCTGGAGCTAGAACTGGAAATCTGCATTTTAACAAATAAGTCTGGTGATTTTTAGCATTCTAACATTGGAGAACTACTGGTGCTGGAGAGTTCAGATGACCAATGGTGAATTTTATCTCACATTACTAGCTTCTTCAGTTTTCTTCCCCTCAGTGCTCAGGTACTCAATTTGCATAATATTAGATTGTACTCTTTATATATTGGTTCAGAAAGGTTTTTAAGTGTGTGCTGTGAATCTGAAGCTAGATGGAAACTCACTCAAAGCAGGAATTGTAATACCCGGTTTTTGTTTTTTTAATCTCCTTAGACAACTTTGCATAGTGCAACAAAGTTATTGACTCATAGAGATTCAAAGTACCAAAGAAAATGAGATACTTAATATTTTAAAAATATAAGCCTATTTTCTGTATGAGAAAATGGAGGTAGAGTTTTAAAGTCTTTCAAAGTTTGTCAGGTTTCATGGTTTTTGATTTATTATTTTTTGAGGTTTTGGATGATGAACCTTGACTGATACTACTCCAGTGATATTTTTAAAAGTATTTTTATAAGATGTTTTAGAGGTGTCTCTTTTGTAGGAAAGAGACATGAGATAGTAAATTAGAATTTTTATTTAATTTAATCCAAGAATTTGAGACAGTACCTCTTCACAGAGAATCAAAAAATAGCTTGATTTAATCTGCAGTGTACCTATCTCTGTGCTTAAAACTGTGGATCTATTTCAATGGAATGGAACACGATCCTTATCCTTGAAGAACTTAACTGTATTTTACTTGCACTTAATTTTTGGCATTGTTTTACATGTTACTTCATATAATTTTACACTCTATAATTATATTTCTGGAACATTTGCATTGCTCTCATCTGCTTTAATAATGCTATTGCTGATTTATATTCATATATAATATCATGTTCTTTTCAAAGCCTATTTATGTATATGGTTCTAGGAGAGCCTCAAGAACTTAGTATAATATTAATAGAATTTTTTGAGTGTTTGATTCATGTGTGACTCTGAGCTTCACATGAATCCCATCACCGAATTATCACAACAATTCTATAAAGTAGGCTGTGTTATTATCATCTCCTATTTACCAGGTGTGAAAACAGAGCTGAACAAAGTTATTTTAAGAGCTGCAGTCTGACTCAAGAGCATACAGTTTACCTTAAGATCCCCTAGTCTAAACCATTAAACACACTGCCTCCTCAGCAGCATAGGTAGTTGCAAAAACAATTGGACAGATAGTCAAATTCTTGTCTACTTATATTGCTCAGATAGAAGGGGGCATATTTGCTGAACTTGCTCTGCAGTACTCAGTAGAATATTTTCTGTAGGTTAATATAATCCTTGGATGATAGTCAAAAGGTGATCAGAACCCCCACCCCTGCCCTTGATCTCTCCGAAGCCAGGCAATATATTTTTATTCAGTTACTTCTTTTAACCTGAAGTCACCAAATAGCATACTACTAAATGTATAAAGCAAAAACTATAAAGCAAAAAAAGAGAGATTCCAATATACATATTCAAAATCAGATCACATAGAGAACACAAAAGTAATGACACAGAAGAAATAAATGTTATAATCAATAACATTGACTACTAGCCAAATACAGAATTTTTCATCCTTCAAATAGATAATATTATTTTTTAAATATCTCTGGAATATTCACAAAAATTGATCATGTTCATAGCCAAACAAAAACAAACACAGAAAAACTTAAAACCAAAAGTGGAGATTTTACAATCCATGTTCTCAAATAGCTATGTAACTCAAAACTTATGAAACATAGTAAAAGTTCGGAAACATTGTACTTAGATGCAATTTATAGCTTTAAGTGGCACCATTATTAAGAGATGGCTAAAAATAGGGTTTTTTTGTACTCATCCTAAGAAATTTAAGGACCCATGAAGCCGGGCTTGGTGGCTCACGCCTGTTATCTCAGCACTCTGGAAGGCCTAGGCTGGTGGATCACCTGAAGTCAGGAGTTCGAGACCAGCCTGTCCAACATGGTGAAGCCCCGTCTCTACCAAAAAAATACAAAAATTAGCCAGGCATGGTGGCACACGCCTGTAATCCCAGCTACTTTGGAGGCTGAGACAGGAGAATCACTTGAACCTGGGAGGCAGAGCTTGCAGTGAACCAAGATTGTGCCACTGTACTCCAGCTTGGGCGACAGGCGACAGAGTGAGACTCTGTCTCACAAAAAAAAAAAAAAAAAAAGAAAGAAATGTAAGGACCCATAATATAAATCAGAATGTATTAATAAAGATAAAATCAAAAACTTATGAACAAGAAAATAAATGGAAAATCTAGAAAGACTAAATAAACCTGGAACTTGGTTATTTGATAAGGCTATATAAAATAGATAAATCTCTCATAAGCCTGGTTAAAGGAAAAACAAAAAAGATGCAAAATAAATAATAAAATATTAGAAAAAAGAGAAAAATGACAGTAACATGTGGAAGACAGTAAAAGACATGAGAAAATCTTCATGAAACTCGATTGTAACACGATTGATAACTTAGAGAAAATGAATATTATACTAAATGTAATTCACTAAAATTGATCTAAAAGAACAACTTTCGTATGCTAAATGCTATATAAAATACTGAAAAATGAATAAAAATAAACCATTAAAGAAATTAATAGGACCCGATGTCTTTGTGGCTGAGTTTGATCAAATCCTTAGAGATCATGTAAGCTAAATATTTAAACCTCATAAAAAGCCAGCATAATCTTAATGCTTAGTAAGGGTAGTGCAGATAAAACACTACAGTCCAACTTCCTGTGAACATAGTGGCAAAAATTCAAATTCAAATATAAAGAAATGGAACTCAGCATTGTATCAAAAAAATGGAAACTATAATACACTATCACTAAGTAGGATTAATTCCAGGAATGCAAGAATGGTAGAAAATCAAGAAAATTATTAGCATGATTTTATATGTTGCAAGAGAAAAATCATGTTTTATCAATAAAGACAAGATTCTTAGAAGGAATTTGTTAAAAATTTTCAGGCATTCCTAATAAAAACTATGTAAAATAGGAAAAAGGAAAAAATGCCTTATCTATGATTAAAACCTACCAAAAACCAACAGCAAACAATTAAAATTGTTTGTGCTAACTATTCACTAATATAAAAAGAAGAAAGCAATATTTACCTTCAATAAGAAAGTAAAATAATTGGTATAAATTTGGAAAAGAGATAAAATGACATCGTATTGCAGATAATATACTTCTGTACTTAGAAAACCTAAAAAAAATTCCACTATTATGAATTAGAAGAAGAAAATTTGGTAAGTTGACTGGGTATATAATATTTCAAAGAACCTAAGATATTATATATTTTAAGATATCTGTTACTTTATGAACCACCAAGAAGGAAAAAACAGTGTCAGAATTAAGAGGTCATTATTATAGAATATGTCCCATTTTCAAAGATGTTAAAAATGTGTGTTTCAGAATTGATGATATAAGATAGATATTTAAAAAGCAATAGTTTTGTGTGTGTCTGTTGGGGGGGTGGCAATAACCACTTACTTGCTAAAAAAAAAGCTATTTAATAGTTAGGATTAAATTCATCAAGAAATATATAGGACCTACATGAAAAAAACTCATACATTTTCATGTAAATATATAGAACTCCCTAACCAAATAGATCAAGATGCCATATTTTAGATGAGAACAGTTAAAATTGTAAAAACATCCACGCTCTCAAAATTAATATACAAATTCAACACAATGCTGGAGTGTACTTAGGGGGAAAATTTGACAAGATTATTTAAAAAATCATATTGAAGAATAAATATTCAGTATTACCAATAAAATTTAAAAAGCAAGAATAGTGAGGAGAGATTAAGCATAATAGACAATAAACCATTCTGTAAAATTACCATAAACCAAATGGGGAGGCAATTGGCATGGAAATTGACAAACTGATTAGGAGCAGAAAAAAAGACATCGTATTTTAAAATTCAATGGGAAAAGATTGTTTGTTCATATATGGTGCTGGTAAAAACTGGCTTTCTACCTGAAAAAAATAAAATAAAATTAGGCCCTTACCTTTGGCCTTGTCAATTCTGGATAGATTAAATCACTACTTATAAAAAATAGAATAAGAAAATTCAGGGGGCTATATGTAAAAATCAACAGTTGAGAAAACATTTGCAACACAAATGACAAAGTGCTATTACCTATAATATACAATGAGAGCTTGCAAATTGATAACAATAAGACAAGCATACTACAGAAAAAGGAATGAAAAATTTGAATAGTTAATTCATAGGGAAGTAAGCCCAGATGAACAATAAACAAGTAAAAAGCTGTTCAAATTTTTTACTAGTTAGGAAAATACAGATGAAAGGGAAAATGAAATCATTCTTTTTACACATCAGTTTGAAAAATTTTAAAGGAAGATTTATACCAACTATAGGTGGATATTTGTGAAAGAGAATATTCACATGCATGGTTCGAAGAATGTACTTTTTGAAAAACAACCTGGCGATTTATTTTTTTAAAAATATACACATCATTTGACTCAGCAGTTCTATTCCTATGATTCTGGACTATAGAAATAAAAGTGCAAATAATATAAAGGATGTTTATTTCATCTCTGTTTCTAGCAGCACAACACTGAAAAGGTGAATAACCATTAATAGAAGAATGGGTGAATAAACTGTGCTATATTTGTAACATAGAGCATTATAAGTCTACTAAAAAGAATAAGTTAGACCTGTATCATCTAAGTTGAATGGATATTCTGTATTGTTAAGTGAAAAAAAGCAAGATGTAATTCTTGCATATAATGTCATTTTGGTAAAACAAATAATGACAATGATCCCTTTACCCCTGCATGTGTCTATGAGTATGGAAAAATGTGAAACTATACGTTTAACATTTGTTATCTAGATGAGAGGTGAAAAGGGGCAGAAGGAAAAGACAGGGAGAAGAAAGAAAAAAAAACAATATATAAAGAGTCATCTTTGAGCAAGAACATGAGAAAAAAAGAAAAACAACAATAGCAAAGAAACAAAAACTTCTAAGAGTTTGGAATTAAATTCCCTGATTGGAGAAGATACCATTATAGGGTTGGAATAGACCTAGAGTCACACACACACAAGAGAATTTAGGAAACTACCAGAACTTCCATTTAGCTATGTTACTTAAGAGTTAAATCTAATTTCCATAGCAGAAATTGGGACTAATTTTAGAACCCACACTGTAATCTTTACTTTCAATTTTATGTATTTGGGTAATGTTTTGGAGGTCTCAAATAATATTAAAAAGTAATAATTTTTTAATTTACCTGTAAATCCAAAGTCTGTATTTGTCTGGTAAGATTAAATAAATGATAAGAAGAACATTTTTCTCTCACCATTTTAATATTTACATCATGGTGTATCATATTTATTTTGTAAATTCCTGGCGTTCTTCAGAAATGAGAATGAATATAATTTGCTACTGTTTTTCACCATGTGCCTTACACATAGTAGGAATTAAATAAATAATCTGTTGAACAGGATTGAATTCCACTTTTTTTTTCAAGAGTGCTTTCCAGCTGAGATAAATCACCAAAGGCTGACCAACAAGAATTCCTAATACTAGAGGACCTAACATTCCTTCTGAGGCAGGAGATAGACTTTTATTTCAGCGCCAAAAGGATCTACAAAACGCAGCCCATCGAGTCATAATGAATAACAATTTCACCTTCACTCAAGTGTGTGCTTGAACAGTAACAGGTGATTAAACCTATCACAGTATTACCTTGCAGACTGGAGGCACTCACCACATTCTCGTGGTTTCTAAGGCAACTGATTAAGGATTCTAAGAACTGAGGCCCCATTTAGGCTGATGCCCTTGGAAAGGTAGAATTTCTTTTCCAGTAGGCTGTACTGGAAGACAAGGCTTATTTGTTTTAATGTTTTCCATTTCTCTGAATTTCACAACACAAGGTGCTCAGATACCTTTTGGTAGAGCCTACTGGAAAATGTTACCAGTATAAAAATAAAGAGCTCGGTTTTGCCAATCCAAAAAACACTTGGTGTGATTACTGGTAAATAGGAGGCAACTCAATGAGGACTCTGTTTTCCTTTTAGCCTCACTTTTTATTTACTTCTTTGCAACACAAACTGTAAACGGTAACATTGATGATGTTCGGCCAACACCTCAGTGAAGGACTCTCTTTAATAAAACCTGTGGTGTTGGATGGGTCCAATACAGACAGGCTTTTCATGCAGTTCTGCTGTTCAGGCTTGACACCCACCGTGATGAACTGCCGTTGAGATAAATTCAGTGATTCTCTGGAATAAGCTCTTTAGGGTTACAAAATGGCCTCCAGAGAGAGTCAGGGCTTGCTTCCAATGGGAAGTTAAGTGGATTTTTTTTTTTCTTTTAAGCAGCTAGTCTGATCTCCAACCAGCAGGTTGTTCACATACTTCTATAGTACTCCCAGCCTTGGCTGCAGCCTTGCTTTCTCTTTATGGACTCATTACCCAAATCTCTGAAATGAAGTGATTTTTTTTCATTAACTCACTGAGGCATAACACGAGCATTTCACTACCACATAAAATTTACTACCTTTGTTCTTTTCTCTGGCAGAAGGAATATTAAATCTTAGCTATCAGCTATGAAACACAATGCCTGCTGTTTTTTCATGCAAGAAAAATGTTGATCAGATTCCCACACATTTTTGGGGCAATGATGGTTGTTATTATGACTCTCAAGGTCCTGAGATAACTTGAAAGTGGCAATACATTCACACATCTTATGCAATGACTTTATCATGCAAGGCTCACACTAGAATGTAAACTCTGAAGTTTTACCTGTTTAACTCACTAATACATTCTTGTGTCTTCTACAATACTTAGGAAGTATATAGAAGGTAGGGCCCTGATAACTGTTTATTGAATGAACGAATGAATGAATGAATGGTCCTGTTCTGGGACATGGTGAGGTTAGCATGGCATGCCAACTGGGAGTGATGAGGACTTGGAACTATGCCACCTACCAAAGCAGAAATTTTAGGACAAGGCCTGGCTTCAATGCTCTGGGGAAATGTCCATTTCAACAGGGAGAACACATGATTTAGTTGTATAGATGGATACAAAAAGTGATAGTAATGACAATAAGTTGCTATATACTTTTTGCACAGTAGGATTAATCTGCACAAAATCTTACAAACTAGATGGCAGTGTCTCCATTTTACAATGTGACAAATGAGTCCCTGGAGGTTTAATTAGTTTCCTAATATCACATAAGTAGTAAAATGGTAGAGTTGAGATGAAAAATACTGGCTGCTTTTAAAGTTCATGCTCTTTTCATAAATGTGTGTGGATAATAGGCATTGGATGTGGGCACATAATAGGAGGAGGCAGGGGAGCCCAGTGACCAGTTATCCTCAGAGTATGTAAGTCAGAGGCCAGGGAGTTCAGGAATCTAGGTAGGCCCATAATCTAATCCTTCAAGACGTGGGGAATCTTTTGAGCAGGTAGCAGGGACCCAGTTACTGGGCTGGAAATTTTGGTGAAGAGGCAGGAGGATCTGGTAAGAGGAAGGAAGGACCCTCATCTTAGAAGAATTGGGAAACTGGACAGGCCACAAGGATAGTGTCTCTGGTGCAGGGATATATGTTTTCTACTATTGAGTAACAAATTACTACAAATTTAGCAGCTTGAAAAACACCCACAGTTCTGGAGGTCAGAAGTCCATGCAGGGTCTGCTGAGTCCTCTACCTAGGATCTCACAAAGCCTAAAAGTATTGATTAAGGCTCTTAGTGGGAGCTCTGGGGAAGAGTGTACTTCCAGGCTTATTCAGCTTGTTGGTGGCATCCAGGTCTTGTGCTTGTATGACTGCAGTTCCTATTTTCTTGCTGGTTGTTATCTGGGGACCACCCTCAGCTCCTTGAGTCTGTGTTCAGGTCCTGCCCTGTGGTTCCCTCTACTCAGCAATGGGAAAATGCAAACCTCCTTTGCATCAAATTCTTCTCACACTTTGAATCTGTCTGGATTCCTCTTCTACTACTGGTTGGATTAAAAGGGCTCATGTGATTAGAATAGTTTCACTTGAAGAATCTCCCTATTTCAAAGTAACTGATTAGTACCCATTAATTGTATTTCGAAATCACTTTTTTTTTTTTCGTGTTAAGTAACACAATCAGAAGCATGATACATCATCATCTTCACAGTCCTGGGGAGTAGGGACTGTGGCCTCTGGGGTGGGGACATATTAAAATTCAGCCTAGCAGGCAAGGCAACCATCAGGATTTGAGAAAAGGCAAAAATGGGGATTCTGAGTTCCAGTGTGTTGAACTGTTTAAACTTCTTTTGCTTTAGGTCAATTAGATCAAACTGTGGATATAGGATGCCTGCAGCCAAACCACCAATCTTGACCCATCGTGAGTCTCGGCTCACTGGCAGGGTGACTTAGGAGAGTGAGAAGAAAGCTGCCCAAGCTTTTACGCATGTGGAACACATTCACTTCTGACATCCTTTACGAATGGTATGAGAGATGTTTGACTACTTCCTGACATTGAGAATTTTGTGACTGGAAGGGAGGTGTATGATAATGATGAGGAAGTCTAGTCATTTCTGGCCTTCTCTAAAACCTGTACTTGTTCATGGAAGAAAAAAATATGTGTTTTTGCCCAAAGGTCTATTCGCCTGTTCCCAGTTGTCATTTTAGTGTTAGGGAGTAGGCAGGGGACTCTTGCCTGCAGAGTGACTTTACAACAGCCCTCACCTAACCAATCAGCTCCGCAACTAGACATCCTGACACTGTGGAATGGTAATTTATGAGGCCTTTGCTATTTTTATTTCTTTATGTGGCAGGGAAGAAAACTCCATTTTTTTTCAGAATAAATTCCCTCCCTTTAGGCAGAGAACTTTTGCCAAAAGCAACAACTAAAAATAAAATCTTCCTTTCATGTCTATATTTCTGGGCTTCCTCACTTAATCAGAAGATTCTACAGGGACAGGGAAGTAAATGATAATCCTAGAATATTTTAGAATCATTGAGTTCCCCAGCTGGTTCAGAAACTGCATCAAATTAAGGGCCTAGCTTACCTATTTGTAATATAAGGCTTAAAAAGCAGTCTGAATGAGACAATTTAGTATTCTTGACAATATTAAATGTCAGCATCAACTGTTGGGAAAAATTCAGATTTCTTTCCTCCCATCTTCAAAACATGCTTTTTTTCTTTTTTTTTTTTTTTGGTTTCTCTTGAGAAGACTTAAGCTCTGCATTTTTACTCATAATCAAATAGGATAGATTTGGCTAGCCGGTTCCTCAGAATAACTGCTAGACTCTTCAAACAAGCAGCTGTCCCCAATTAACCTGTAAGGCATGTCAGATGCAAGGCCTGGTTCTACAGGCAGACAGGCAGCTAATGGGGCAGTTCTTCACACACTCCATTTGCATTTCTGGCAGTCAAAATATATGTTGCTTTTCTCTTGGCTCTGTTATTTAATTTCCACCGGTGAACTAATGAGGATTAAAAAAAAAAACTTTCCTTATTTTTATTTTTCAAAACCGTGTTGATAAGAAACAAGCAACAATGCCCACATTGAGAGTAATGCTTTTTGCTATTTTAATATTTTATCTTTAGAGGAACACTGCAAGGCAGTATCTTAGAAAGGCATTCCTGGCACAATTTCTTCTATGAGGCCTTGGTCGTCCCAAACAAATGGCACCAAATTGTCCCATAAGGTATGTGAAGCTTATAGCTTTCTAAATACAAAGCTAACAGATGAGATGAGTATAATTCAGCACTTTAATGTGTAGATACCAGTGGTACAATTATCGTATTTGAAATAGGTGCGTGTTACAGCTTTTAATTCTGTGTTTAGTTTTATTTTGCTTTTAATAGAGAGTTACTTTGTCCCTGACAGCCCACCTTTGGAATGCTTGGCCACCTTCGTTGTGGTCAGTGAATGAGGTGCCTGCCAACTGGCCCCTCCAGGTGTCAGGACTGTACTCTGGGAAGGCTCGATGTGTCTTTCTCTGGGCATCAGAAGAATGTGCCCCCAAGCTGCACCACTGCGGTTGGAAGTGGACAAGAGGGACTTGGTTTTGTTGAGGATCTGGAAGACATCACTGACTTAGTTTCCTGGGGCTGCCCTAACAAAGTGCAACGAGCTGGGTGACTTGAAACAACAGAATCTCACTGTCTCACAGTTCTGGAGGCTAGAAATCTGAAATCAGGATGTCAGCAGGGCCACGCTCCCTCTGAGAGCCTGGTTAGCACCCATCCCTGGCTCTCCTAGCTTCTGGTGGTGATTGCCAATCCTCAGTGTCCCTTGGTTTGCAGCTGCTGCATTCTTGTCCCTCTGTGGATGTCTTCACCTGCCTTCCTCCTCTCTCTCTGTGTGTCCAAATTTCCCTCTTCTTTCAAGGACACAGTCATATTGGGCTATGACCCACCCTAAAGACCTCATCTTAATTTGATTAAAGCTGTGAAGAGCCTATTTCCGATAAAGGTCACATTCACAGATTCTAGGAGTTAGGACTTCAACATATCTTTTGTGGTAGGACAGAAACCAACCTAAAACACACCTGTCTCCCACTTTGCTGTACAATGAACTGAGCCTGGAATGGGAAGAAAATGTAACACAAACTCTCTTTGAATAGGGATCACTTTCTCCCCCACAGGGTCTCTGTAGGACAGCAGGCCAAAATTTACATGTTTTACTTAATTTTTTTTTTTTTAAATGAACCAGTGTCTCTATCGTAAAGGCTCACTCCCTAAGAGGAAAAAGAACTTCCTTCAATTCCAGTTCCAGAAAGGGAAAAACAGTCTTTAGGGGATTAATGTGAGTGTCTCTATTTTATAGGTGAGAAAACTGAGGCATGGGCAGCTTTAAACACATTGAACACACCTATGTTTCAGACATGGTAGGTGTTTCTATTTATGTATTTAAGGAGTTAGGTAGTAGTCATATGACTTTCCCTTGCTTGTGTATCTAGAAGAGAGAAGGCAGCAGGTCTTCAAATGTCTCATCTGGAAGTTTGGGCATATGCATTGTTATTTCTGAGCATGTGATAAGGAATATATTTTCGAGGATGTAATCTCTGTTATACCCTTCTGAGTTTACCTCTCCAACCTGTACTAAAGTTTTTTCTTTCTAAAAAGCTCTACTGCCTGGGCACAGTGGCTCACACTTGTAATCCCAGCACTTTGGGAGGCCGAGGTGGGTGGATCACCTGAGGTCAGGAGTTCGAGACCAGCCTGGCCAACATGGCAAAACCCTATCTCTACTGAAAAAAAAAAAAAATAGCTGGGCAACCCTGGGTGACAGAGTGAGACTCCATCTCAAAAAAAAGGCTCTATTTTACAGTAAAATAAATATTCCCTATTTATGAAGACTATGTACATGTTATTCTCAACTGAGCCACTTAGTAGACTGTGATTTTATTTTCTTTTTTGAACAACTTTAGTTTTGTTGGACTTAATTTGCTAAAGTTTTCATTTGCTCAGTTTTTCTGTGTACCTATCACATAGTGACCTTCCAACTCTGGTTACCTCTTTTCAGTATCTTCTAACACACTAGTAAGCTTATGTCTTATTATTATTATTATTTTGTAATAGAAGCATTCCCCCCTGGAGCCCTCCTTTCTCTTGTTTAAAATGTAAACTCATTGTTCTCCAGACCTGCTCTGCAGCTAGCATCCTGAGACAACTCCTCATCGTCACCCTGGGTGTTCCTTTATTTTCTTTCCTGCGCTGGATTCTCTGCTTTCCATGTTTTGCTCCCTCATTTTGGTCAAGAACATTCTCCAGGCCCTTTTTCAGGCATATTGGAGGTAAAAAGATGATGGTTTACATATCTGATAGTTTAGAAAATTTTTGTTTGGGCTTTTTAGGCAAACAAAATAAAAGCCATTTTAAGGCATATTTATACCAGTTGGCTATATCTGGAGGTTTGGATATCTCCATGCATAGTGTCTACCCATTACCTGGCTACAGAGTTCTTAGTAAATATTTGTCAATATGAGAACCAATGTCTAAACAGTTCATTGATGGAAATCCAACTTGTTCCTCATCAACTCAATTCCTTGAAAGTCAAACTCCGGACTTTGGCTCATTGGCAACTAGTACTTTTTCAAAATTATCTGAGGTCAGAGGGTTTAATGAGGAAGTCTTTATAGGTATTGCAATTCCTTCTCCTGATAAGCCTCACTACACCTGCCACACCTTGCTCTGATCTCATCTACATTCTATCTTAAGGGTGGGGAGAAGTAGGCACTGATTAATATTGGCAATACTTAGTCAACATGTTATTAATAAGTAGTTAGTTCCTAAGTGTTCATTAAGTACCCACTCTGTTTCCAGCCTTATCCCAGGCAGTATAATAGATAAAGAAGCAAGTAAAAGAATTTGGACCCTTCCTTGATAGAATTTACAATCTAGCCAGATATATTAATAATTAAGGAGTTTATAAGTTGTATGCATTTTCCTCCTCCCTCCTCCTTTCCAGTTAACTCTGACTCTCCCATTGGCCTCCCTGACTGCTTTCCCTTCCCTGTCACCCATGATTCATCATCTCTTCAGGATTGCTTAGCAGTATGGCCCATTCTCAGTGTGGAGGGTAGAAAAGGATTTGCAGATGAAGAGTATTTTTGTCACTTGTTAAAATTGTGACCTTGGGGAAAATCATTCAAATTCTAAGAGACTCAGTTTCTTTATCCTTAAAACTGAGATAATTATGCCCACCTTATATGTTTATTACAAAGATTAGTAATAATTTATACAAGGTATATCAAATGTTGTGTGCATGGTGGATGTTTAATAATTTAAACTAGAGATACAACTGCTGCCAATGTTAAATGTCAGCTAAAGAAGCACTTAGCAGAAAATGGCTCAAATTCCAGGAAATACTTTTGAAATGTTATTAGGGCAACAGGACATTTGTGTCTGGTCATAACATTTAAGTTGCTTGTGTCCATACCAATATTTTTATTTAATTTAAATAATTAATTTATTTAGAGTCAGGATCTCACTCTGTTGTCCAGGCTGGAGTGCGGTGGCACAACCATTGCTTCCTGCAGCCTCAATCTCCCCAGGCTTAGTTGATCCTTTCACCTCAGCCTCCCAAATAGCTGAGACTACAGGTGTGCACCACCACACCCAGCTAATTTTTAATTTTTAATTTTTATTTTGGGAGAATGGAGTTTCGCTATGTTTCCCAGGCTGATCTCGAACTTCTAGGCTCAAGTGATTCTCCCATCTCCACCTCCCAAAGTGATGGGCTTACAGGTGTGAACCACCATGCCCTGCAGCCCTTTACCATTATATTTATTAACTAATACTATTACTTGTAGCCATTGCTGCCTCCACCTCCCATTTCTCACACCAAAAGGAGAAGAATTAAAAAATAGCAGGTCTCTGCTCAGAAAAAATACCTATCAGTTTTCTCTTAGTAGCCCTGAAAGTAAGAATTTATTCATTGATTCAACAAATACTTAGAAGTCCAGTCCTCGAGGCTGAACATGAAAGAGAGCAGGACATGGAGGCACTTAAAGGTGCTTGGTATGGCAGAATTGGGAATAGGAAGTGATGAGCAATAAGGTTGAAGAGTTAGGCAGGGCCCTGGTCATCTGGGGCTTTCTAGGTCATGTTCTGCCTTTGGACTGTATGATAGGAGCAAAATGGGAGAGAAGATTGACCTTTTTTGATTATTCTGACTGCAAGTGGAAAAAGGATTTGAGGAGGCAAGATTTTGGACAATGGAAGCAGTTGGGGTGCTTTTGCTGCAATCCAGGCAAGAGATACTAGTTGCCTTCTCTAAGGAGTTGGATAAAATTGGAAGACCTTGAGAGCTAGTTAGGATATAGGAGGTACAAATCCACAATCTCCAGGACTTGCTGAGATGGAATGCTTTGGGGTTTAGAAATCTTTTTGATATTCCTAGAAAGGCAGTATGATGTATATAAAGTATGTTATATCACACCCTTAGGGAGGGCTGGGCAATAATCAAGACATCAATATTTGCACAGTAAAAGTCACATATTCACAGTAAATTAGATGTATCAAGACTGTTAGTAATTCTCAATCACTTCAGAGAGGTTTTGCTGCCAAGCGAGCAGTTTGTTTTGGAATTGTGGGTAACTGTTGATAATTGTATGAGGCAAATGGAATAAACAAAACAGTGACTTCAGGCTGATACTTGGGTATTTTTTGGGGGAAGCTAGCTGAATGATGGCACCATTCCAAGAGAGGGGTACAAAGCAGAAAATGCAGGTTTGAAGCTATAAAGATGTGTTCAGTTTGGAGTCTGCACTAGCAGTATTTATGGGACATTTACGTAGATATCAAGTAGCAGCATTTCAACAGCAAGGGAATGGTCATCAGTTGTCAAAAGCTGGAGACAGAACAAAAAAGATGAGTGCTTATGCGTTTCTTTGATTTAGCAACCAAAGAACTATTGGTGACCTTGGAAAGAATGGCAGTGGTGTGGCAGAAAAAAGAAACCCAAATGTAGTAGATTAGGGAGTACACAAAAGGTAAGAAAATAGAGTTAGTAAATGCAGATATATCTTTTAAGTTTACCACATATTTATTTGTTTTGCTGGCCAAAATAAAATCCATCTTGCATGTCAATGAGCATAGAGCTGCTAAATAGTTATAAAAAGTGTAAAAAGGTAAATAAGCCATATTCCTTGCTTTTAAGAATCTGGTACAGAAGATAAACCAAGGAAAAAGGTATCATATGATTAAGTCTCTCAAAAGAATTGTTTACAATTTTTTTTTTTTTTTTTTTTTACAAACAAGGAGTACACATCTAAATTCCTATGGAATTTTTTGAAATACACCCAGGTTCTATATCCTTGAATATTTTGATTAATTAGGTCTCAGATGGAGCCAGCCAGGGTTTTGCATATTAAGTAAATTCCAAGGTGATTATGATGAGATGAATTAGGACTAGGAATGTACATTTAGGAAATAGCCTTAAAGAGGTGAGAATTTAAGTTGTAAGAGAGAGGTAGAACTTGGAGATGAGACTGAGGAAAACTGAGAGCAGAACCGATATTTGTCCTATTTTACTTAGAAGGGGAGCTGGGAGGGGGAGATGAAATAAATACAATAAATAAATAAATAAATAAATAAATAAATAAATAAATAAGGCTGTGGGAACTTCCCAGTGCCATGCAAATATAAAGGGGTGTTATGGAGAAAGGCTTTAAAAAATGCTGAACTATAGGAAGACTATTTAAAAAAATAACTTCCGATGCATGACAAGAAAGCCCCAAAATTGGGGTTTAGCACAGGAGGGTTCTTGACTCCACCCAGGAAAGAATTCAAGGGTGAGCTGGTGGCCTAAAACAACAACTTTTATTGAAACGTCAGTGCACAGCAGCAGCAGAGGTACTGCTCATTGTGGAGCAGGGCTACTCCATAGGCAGTGTGCCCAGAGCACAGGTCAGAGGCAATTCTACAGTCACATTTACACCACTTTTAATTCTATGCAAATTAAGGGATGGTTTATGCAGAAATTTCTAGGAAAGAGGTGGTAACTTTCAGGTTGTCAGGTCATTGCCATGGAAAGGGACAGTAATTTCTGGGTGTTGCCATGGCAACTGCCATGGCACACTGGTGGGCCTGTGTTATTGAGAGGTGCTTCTGCTGGGTATACTATTTTAGCTAGTCCTCAATTTGGTCTCGTGTCTGAGCCCTGTCTCTGGAGTGGAGTCCCACCTCCTACCTCACTTCCACTGTTTTAGTTTCTAATTACAAAAATGTTACAGAAAAGTACAATGAAGAAAAAAAAAATCCTTTGTGGTCTCACATCCAATAATATCCACTGTTTATTTTTTAGTGGGTATCCTTCCTGTCTTTTGGCAAACACTTTCAAGAACTTTGATGGAAAGAGTAGCCATTTATGGGAGTTGACATTAGTTTCAGACCAAAAAGATACTTTGCAAAAAAAACTTTAGGTTGAATTGATTGTTTTTGAATCTTAACATGTAGAAAGATGACTTTGTAACATTTTTGGTATAGCTATAGCTGCTTTGAAAAGGTTTAGTGGAAAGCATAGACCAAGGGTTAGCATACTAGAGCCCTTGGGCTAAATCCAGCCCACTGCTTGTGTTCTAAGTAAAGTTGTACTGGAATACACAGCTACACCCATTTGTTTATGTAATGTCTATGGCTGTTTTCCTGCCACAGCTTCAGATTTGAGTAATTGTGACAGAGACTATCTGGCTCATAAAGCCTAAAATATTTATGATATGCCTCTTTACATAAAAAGTTTGCTTATGCCTTGTATAGACTAATGTTTTCCAAATTATGTCCCATGACACATTGGTTTCCTGTGAAATGTTAATAAACTTTCTTGAACAAGAGCCTTGTATTCAAACAAGTTTGGAAAATGCTGAATTAAAGTTAACCAGGGTTTCTTTCCAGTAGGACATCTGATAACATTTACTATGTTAATTGATAACCTACAAGAGCAGGGTTTATTATATATAGCATGCTCCCAAATTATCTGGTCATAGATTTTTTTTTTTCTCAGCAACATCTATTAACGTCATATAGTTTGGAAAATCTTAAATTAGTCTGTTTGGAAGGCTTTGCCAGGGTCATAAAATGGTATAAACTTGAAGCCATGGAGTTTTAATTCTAGGAGGTCTGTGTAGAAAGCCTGCTTGGTTCCAGAGATCAGAAAACCATTAACTGCTGGTGAATCACCTGAGCTGTCTTTGTCCCCTGACCTCTGTGAAGGAAATTTTAGTGTGAAGTAAAATTCCCAAGAGTTCTATTCAGAAATAGAGATCGGTGGTAGATTTATAAGGCCTCTAAGATGGTAACTGGAGTAAATGATACATTCAGCTTTCTGAGACTGTTTCTGAAAATTCAGCTTTCTCAATGTTTTAGGGTAAAATTTTGGGGGTAGATATTTGGAGTATTGTTTTCAGAGCTACAATATGACTTTCATGGGCACCAGGCACTTTTTCCTCTGTGGGACCCTTTTTCCATAAAAAAATTATTGACAGTTATATTTTATGACTGTATTTGTATAAAGACAAATATAATCTAGGCTGAATATATTCATTTTTTCTTCTGATTTGAAGAGATATTAATATTAAAACCTTTCATAGCCCCTAAAAATATTGTAGGCCTTAGGCACTGTTCCTGCTGGATGAGTCAGGCTTGAGAATTGTCAAGGCACAATCTATTTTCTGCAAGACCAAAACCTTCTTGAGAGTTATGTACTTTGTACTCCCCTTCTACCTTACTCACTTAAAATCTCTTGTATGTAGTATTGGTTCAATAATGTCTGTTGAATGAATGAATACATTATTAATTTCAAGATTCTCAAATACCTTGTTCGAGGACAAACATGAATAGCTGCACTAAAGGACATTTACTTTTCTTCCAAAGATCTAACCAAATTAATACAAATTATTGAAATAAATCGAAATACCAGAATGTGATAGAAAGAACTCTTTATGTTAGGTCTCTTGCCAGTAAGTAGCAGTGAAGCCGGTCATTTCGTAACTTTGGGCCTCAATTTCTAAATTAGTAAGAAAAATATTAGTTAAAATGATGGGGTTCTATACATACTTCTAATCAGAAGCCAGAGAAAATAGCTAAAATTTTTATAATTTTATAAGGTTATGAAATACTTAATCGGTTTTCAAAACAGCCTCAGTGGTAAATCTCCCAAGTTCATTTAAAAGTTAAACTCTCTCAGAAATGTTAATCATGGCAGATATGGTTACAGACTACATAATATGCTTTCAAAGGACAGTACATGAGCCCCTTCTAAGAGCAAAACAAATCAGAAAGTTCTTAAAATTCAATAAGAATCCTAATAAGCCACCTAACTCAATTTTCTTCCAACATAATCCTCTTCTTGGAGAATATTATTACCTGCTTTTTGTCATATCCTACTTGAAAGCTTTAGTACCCTAACCACAATGTTTTCTTTTACCAGGAATTTTGTCTAACCCAATGTACAATTAATAGAAAAGACATGACACAATTAATATATCACATAGTCAGTGATACCCACATAAGACTGTATGAGTGTAAATATTTAAAAAATAACTTACCAAACAAATATGCAGACTACTATCCATTTGCTATTAAATCAGGGATAAGAGCTTCTATTTTACCTGGTACTACTTCCAATTGAATTAAAAAAACCCATCACCATAAAAAAGGTAGGTTGGGCCAGTCACTTTTAAATTATAGAAATTTCTATCATTTTGTCTAATGGAATAATAGACAACTCAGGAAAAGGCCAGGCAGCACATTTCTGAAATACAGAACTGGATCGATGTGCTATGATTTTCATTTCAAGAGTGAGTAGACGTGAAAAACTGAAATTAGTTTGTCCGCAAGTCTCTCTCCTTTCTTTGCAGTTTGTGCTGTTCTTTCCTTGGAAGAGAAGAGTTGTGTAGGCTGACAATGCTGGTTCCCAGTACCCTCACCCCTCTCTGCCATTTCCCTCCATCCTGGATAAAAGAAGGCAGATTTATCAGTAGAAACTGAATGTGGCTGTGGAAAGCATTTTACCATTTGTCCCCTAAATATCATTTCATAGAGGATTCTTCTCTGGCATGGAGATCATATGTTTTGGATATTCCAGGAAAGTGTGAATTTCACATATTCTATTCCTCTGTCAGGCATGTGTACTGGTTTTGGGTTAGGGGTAGAATACCCACTTACTCCGGGTAGGTCTCTAAGCATGATAGTACATTTTTGGGTGCTAACCAAGACTCAGCCATGAAAGATCTGGGAAAAATGTAGCATTAATCACGGGGCCAGGACATATTAAGAAGAAATTTCTCACACATGTGATTCTAAACTGCACATTCTTAAACAGGTTTTCCATCTCAATTTTCAATGGACTTTATTGACTTAGTCCATTGCATGAAGGCTCAAGGTGATTTTGCTTTGAAACACTCAAAGAGAGCCTTATTGAAATATGTTATTGATGTTGAAAATGACGCTGGATAAGAATAGCTGTCCTAAATGGATCTTTGACCCCTTAATGTAATCAAGATTATCAGGGATTTTTTTCCCCCTCTTGAGGCAACGGTTTTGTCATGGAAAAAAATGAGTGAGAACAATCAGAATGTTTTCTAGATTAGATACTAGGTGTCGGAATACAGAAGATGTCTGTTCTGGCAGACTGATTATTTTTCCAATACCAAGTACAGTACAGTTTCTGGTTTACAATCCCCGCCTTCCCTGGTGCCAGGTTGCTTTGCCTGAAAACTCCCATCCCAGGAACTTGAAGCACCATTCAATACAGCTACAGTATACAGGGCAAAGCTCCATTTCAAAGGTCAATGTATAATGAGATAGGAAGAATCAGCTTCTAGAAGGGTATGAAGTCCATATTTGAATGGTTCTCAAACTTATATTCTGAAGGGAAACTTATTACTTTTGTTTCTTTTCCCAAATTTGGTCTTCCCAGATGTTAAGGATCCTGGTGTCAAATTGGAACCCAGCCTACTTGACGTTGAAGTCTCCAGAATATAGTTTGGCTTCAGGGAATGTAGCTGCCTTGTGCGGTATCTGGAAGAGGCTTCTTTGATTGTGACTTTTACTATGTGGCCAGTTCTGATGGTCTGGTGTATTTTCAGAAGAATGTTGAACGTAAGGTTAATCAGGGAGATTTTAATTTATTGGGCACTATAGACGTGAAACTTTTTAAAAGCTGATGAAAATATTTGAAAACTGGAAAAAATTATAGGCTACAAAATAGAAATACACTGCAAAATGAAAGTTTCAAAAACAAAATTATAAAAATCCTTTTGCAGCATAAAGAAAAATGTTATGTTTAGGATGAGATTGGGTATGTATGTATGTATTAACATGTTTGGTATGATGTGGGCAGAGCAGGAAGGGCTCAGCTATGAACCTCTTACTGTGGCCCTGCGGCTGGGCATATTGAGATACAGCAATAGATACTTCTGGGTTTAAATAAACACTTTTTCTTTTCTGGATAAAAGTTTATTGTTTCTGGTTTGCCTCTCAACAAGAGATACTAGTAATACCAGCTTCGATCTAAAAACTTCAATTTCCTATGACAGCAACTGAACAATGTCTTGAAATTCCATCATTGTTAGACTGGGTGGGAAAATTCTAGCTGAACCTGCTTCTTTTATTAAGAGGATTGGGCTTTGTGACCTCAGAGAAGAATTTTGGCAAAACAGATATGCTGATTCTAGTCCTGGTAGCAATTGCTGGGCTCTCAGCAACTCTTCATGTGGGCTCTTCCCTTCCCCCTTTCAAAACTTGCAATTAACCCTGGGTAAGAGCCTTTTTTATTGAAATTCAGTTGAGGGACCCATAATTTAACTGTACGTCAGGAAACAAGAGAGACAGAAACTAGGAGTTTTGCCAGACACCGGGGAACAGCTTTATATTATCACGGAATCCTCAAGTTGGAAGGGGCTTTCAAAATCCTCCTGCTCAACCCCCACACTCTACAGATGAAGGAAGGCAGGAAGGCCAAGATGAGAAGTTACTTACTCCAGGTCTTAGAGGTGATTTGTGATTTGTGGCAGAGAAAGGATTAGCAAACAGGCTCCTGACCTTCTGTCTCACTCCATGCTGACTGAGAGTGGAAGAAAAAATAAAGTCCACTTTGGTGTGGAAATGCTTTCTACTAAGATTAGAGGAGAATGAATCATTGGAATTTTTTTTTTTTTTTAAACAGTGATTCAGAGCAAACTGCGTAGAGTATGCAAGATACAGGGAAACACTGAATCCTGGGGCTGACAGTTTACATCCTGGCTGTTTACCAAGTGTGTATAGACATGGAGTCTTTTGATTCTGCTTGTTGAATAATTATATTTGATCTTAAAATCTCCCCAGCTATACTGTGATAGGTTTTGTGCCTTACAGTTTATGAAGTCTCCAGTTATTAGTGTGGGCAAAGTCTTGTTGTATATAGAGAACAGCTTGTAAATTTTTTGCTCTGAGAATCTCCAAGGTGAAATCCACTCATATATACTCATTGCTAATAGGAATAATGATAGATTCTGTGCTTTTCTTATTAAGTGTTGAGTTGATTTGGATGCAGCAGTTCTGCAATTTCCTAAAATACATCTTTGTGTTTCAGTAATGGAAAGCTCAGAAATTCTCTACAGAGATATTCTCTCACTTTTAAGCCCCACCTGCTATTTAGGCAAGGCAAATATTCCACTGGTGGAAGATGTAACTCAGGGCTAATAATCTGCTTTTCAGAAATGTTATTTCCAAGATATTGACAGAATGACTTCAAACTCCTGAGCAAAGCATAGGGAGACGGATTTCCTAAGAGGCAGAGTGTTTTCTTTAAAAAGCTCTGCAACAAGCCCAGGTTATCTTTTACAGTCTGGAAGATAGCAGTTTAACCAAGATAAAAAGCTGTAAATGGTTATTAATCTACAACAGCCATTACTTTTGCACTGGGACATGATTTTTCCACTGAGCCCAAGCCTGTTCCAGGTTGGATTTCTGATTTCTTTCCATTGAATGAAAGGACAGGGCTGTTTTTACCAATATAATGACACTTCCTTTTCAACAAACAACAGAGCAAAGGCCCTTGTTTTTGTACTCTTGTCTCTACATAACTTTGCTTTTGTGGTGCAATGAATGGCACAGTTGTCCTCTTCTTTATGTTTTAAAAAATCATACTTTTGCTAAGTTGCTAGGAACTATATACATTTTAGTTTACTTCATAAACAACTGAAATAATAAAATTCCTATTTTTCTGTTCTTGAGGGACTAAGGGCCCTTTTAAAAAGCACTTACTGTCTCTCTCTCTGTGATTTTAATTTTAATTTCCTCATTCAAAAATGACAATAACAATATTACTTCAAAGGGTTATTGGGAGGGGTAAATGAAATAATATGTGTCTGAGAAAGTATATGTTAGTTGTCCCTTTTGTACAAATGAATGAAATGATTTACTCAATTGAAATCCATGTTGGCCAAACTTCAGCTCCGGATTAGACACTGATGAATAACTTTTTTTTTTCTTTTTATAGGTCCATCTTGAAAATCTTACTGTGATTCATGAATATAAATATTCAGTATCTTTCACTGTATCTATGCCCACTATTGAGCAGGTCTATATTTTCAGTCCTGTTTATATGCTATTTACAATGATCGTCAAACACACTTAAGCAATTCCTTTTTATTCCTCATGCAATGGGAAGTAAGCAAACATTCCATGAGGTTCATTTTATGAAGCAATAAAAGAAAGTTAGTCATCAAATAAAATAAAATGGTAAAATCAAGAGACTTACTTATTCAAACTGTTTACAATCTTTCAAATAAAAATAAAAATGATTTTATAGAAAACAGATATTGAAGTAATACAACCTTTAAGCTTCCACTTGCATCCCAGATTGGACCCCACCTAGAAGAAATTTGGAATAGAGTGAATTGAATTTAGTGGTTGACTCATAATCTGGGCAAGAGACTTTTAGTCTTTCCCTTCCTGTAGTTTGCTGATTTCCCTAGAACACTTACTGCCCTTCAGAACAAGCAGGCTTCTATGGTAACCAGTGAAGTAAATGGACCCCGTTGCCAGGAAAGGTACATGAAACAAAACCAAAACAAGGCAGACAGGAAGACAGGGGCTTCCCTAGCGGTTGAATTAAGAGTTGTCAGGGGAAACATAGAAATACAATTATGAAACAGCTCAGTGCGATGTGTTAATATTGATTGTGATAATGATAGCAGTAGCATATGGATTAATATGTGGTAAAAGCTGCGGCCTTTTTCTTTCCTTTTAGAACTTTGCCTTTGATTACATATGCACAGATTTCTATGACACTGTTCAATAACTAACATCTATTGAGAACCAACTATTTGCCAAAATTTTACATTTAGTTTTAAAAACCATTATAGCCACCTTAAAAGTACATTGTGATACTAATTTTACAGATTCTTCCAAACTCAGTTTATCAGCCATCCCTGATAAGCCACTTAGGTCTCTCAGTCAAATGGTCCAGTGGAATCCTGTGGAGCTCTTAGAACGTTTGTAATTATGCAATTAATGATCATAATACTTAAAGTTTAATGTTCATGTTCTCTGCCAGTTTTTAGAGTGAGACAAGCACAATGCCTTGTTCACTGGCCCATCTCTAGAGCCTGGCATGGTAGCTGGCACACAGTGAAAGCTCAGTAGACACCTTTGGCTGAGATATAAAAAGACCAAGGCTTTCTGACTTTTGCTCAATTGTACACAAGTATTGAAACCTCAGCCAGGGGCTTTTCACTAAACACTCTGCCTGAGATGTTGTTTTGTCTTAAGAATTCAGAGTACATAGACATTCTATCCTCTTGGGTATTAATCACATTTCAGTAATCTAAAAAAGAGAAATAGTATTTTCCCTCTACTTTAAAGATGCAAAAAAAGAGTTTAGTGTCTTGCCTGAAGTCACACATGCTCTGTAATAATAAATAGGTTGATGATGATAACAATGGTAATGACTTACAAAAACATGGCAGGACTGGACTCCTAGCTTCCAGCTGCACGCTCTTTAGACAAAGATTTCCCAAACTTTTCCTTACCATATTTGACTGATTTAAAAAATATATATGTAAAATTCTACCATAATTGTTTTTACATTTGTCAATTTTTTTTCTTTTTTTGCCCTCTCTTTGAGGGCAACAACTTTATCTTTTCTCTATTTTCTCATGTTGGATTCTTTCACTTACATGCCAATTCAGTAAATGTGTGCTAAATGAATCCTGTTGCCAACATCCTTATGACTGCATGTGCTGGTTAGTATCTTTCTTCTTTTACTTGTGTCAGAATAGTGTAGGTTATCCTGTGATAACAACTCTAAAATTTCAGGTTATTTCTCATTCATGGTGTCAGGGAGAGCTTTGCTTATCACTGTCACATACGGAGTAAGGCTGAAGGAGACTCTGTCATTTTATGACACTGCCATCTAATGACGTCAGGCTTCAGGGTTCACCCCAGCAGGGGATGAGAAAGAGCTGGCAAGTCAAACACAAGCCATAGAAGCCTTAGTCCAGAGTGTCATTCACATGCCTTTGGGCAAAATGAGTCACATGGCAGCATCTAACTTCAAGGGAACATGGAAATGTAATCTCCTTTCTAACCAAAAGTAAATAATTAGAAATTGGTGGACATTAACAATGCCTATCATACAACCATCATCTATGGAGTCAGGCTTTGTGAAAGAAAGAAGGTAGATGCAGATAGGAAGCCAAAGGGGGAAAAAAAAGAGAGAAGATCTGGGAGGGGGAAAGATGGATAGGGAAAGGAGAGAGGAATAGCTCAACTGCTATTCTGACAAGATTAGCTCCATTTCCAAAGGAGAACTAAGCCCTTAAATAAACCAGTCTTGTCTTACCTGTGCCTCCGGATCATGCACATGACTCATTAGTGAGTTGATTATATTTTACCATTGTTGTTCATATTTTGTCGATGTTCTTATACCATTGTGGGTCATGGTTCATTGGGACAGACAATTTTTAAGGTTTCCTGGATTGTCTTTCATGCATGAGGTATAGAACTATAAAGATTGCTGCCTTCAACTTGAGGTAGGTGTGACAAAGAAATAAAACTAAGAAGTAGAGGTGTGTTTGCCATTGGAATGCGTCATTACTGTCTTCCTCATCTTTCTTTCACTAAGTAAAGTTTCTAACTATACTCCTTCCTTGCTGGGGTTGAATACCACAGAGGAAAGAGTTGTGAATATCTTATTTATCATTGTATTCTCAGAGTCTACAAGTACCAGGCAAATAGGTAGTGCTCAGTAGATAACTGCTCATTGGTGGCTTGAAAGGGGCAGCTTAGCAGGCCCAGTTATAGCATTTTTTTTTTTTTTTTTTTTTTTTTTTTTGAGACGGAGTCTCGCTCTGTTGCCCAGGCTGGAGTGCAGTGGCGGGATCTCGGGTCATTGCAAGCTCCACCTCCCGGGTTCACGCCATTCTCCTGCCTCAGCCTCCCAAGTAGCTGGGACTACAGGCGCCCGCCACTACGCCCGGCTAATTTTTTGTATTTTTAGTAGAGACGGGGTTTCACCGTTTTTAGCCGGGATGGTCTCGATCTCCTGACCTCGTGATCCGCCCGCCTCGGCCTCCCAAAGTGCTGGGATTACAGGCGTGAGCCACCGCGCCCGGCCGTATAGCATTTGTAATTAAAGGTTTATTTCCCAAAGTGGGCTCTTTGGGGAAGGGAATTGCAGAACTACTGAAGTTACCTTTCATCTGATGAGTTGTGCTGTAGGCAAGTTAAATAGGGAGGCTGTTTTTAATCTTTGAGTTGGGCCTTGGCAAGATTTGCTCAGTTGTTTTCTTTTCAGTTGGTAGTTTGGAAGTCCCAGCAGTATAGCTTATGGCTGACAGTCAATTAGTTGTGAATTTATTTTTAATCTTCAGCAAATGTCCCTTGTGAACAAACAAAGGGTGCATGATAATTACCATCAACTACTGTCTCTTCAACTCCCCTGTGTGCTTGGCAAAAGTACTGTGCAAAACAGACAAAATATAGTTCTAGTGTAAGGGATCTGACAGAGCAAATAAGGATCATTAACTTTGCCATAGTTTTTAAAAATAATTATTTTATGTGGGAGAGTGATTTTCTTATTATCTGATAAAGTGCTTCACGGAGGGCTAGAGATAGAAAGAAGATTATAAAAGAAAGAGGAATAAAGATAGAGCATGTAAATACCCAAAGGGGTCCTTTGATTACTGTACAAGTTTAATAATTAGAAAATAATATGATTACCAGTTGATGATGATAGTTTATGGAGGAGTTGATAAGAGGAACATTTTTGGTAACATTCTGGTACTTTTGTATGCTCATTTAACTGTCCAACTGCTATAGAATAAATGTTAGAATATATTTGATAGCCAAAGTATAATTCTGAGGCTGTTTCATTCATTAAAAAATAAAGAAAAGGAATAACATTATGTTTGTTATGTACAGAAACCCTTTCCTCATCCTTCAATCAGGGACAAACATCTACTCAATTGTAAATAAACCTTTAAAAATATATCTTTATCTGATTGAAAATAAAATTTTGGTGATAACTTCTGTTTGTGAATAGAAGCTTTTTCCAATTAAAGTGTTTAAAGATACTCATATACTTCAGAACAAATGGGTATTTGGTTTTTAATTTCTAGTTTTTGAATCCAGGATTATTTTTGCATCTTTAGGGGCACCAGTTTGATTGTTTTAGGTGTAGGTAACAAATAATTTACCAGCTGATGAGAACAATGAATTCTGGATATTTTTGTGATATTGTATCTGCCTTTAAAGCCTAAAAAATATTTCTTGAACAAAAATATCTTGGAAATATTAATCACTGGTAAAAAGCAAGTTGCTTTTAAAAAAATACCACACTAACAAGGGACTAAATCATTACCATTTCTTTCCTTTACCCTTCATCCCACTGAAAATAAGTCTATTTTTGCCAAATATATCCTATGAAAGATAGATAATCCTGAGGTTGGCTCTGTGGACAATTTGAAATTCCAGAAAAGCCATGAACTTAAAAGAGGACAGGGTTACTATCAAGCCCTAGGAGAAGAAGGAGGAAATAAATAAACTGTTTCTCCCCACTCAAGGGCATAATAAAGAAATATTTAATCTTATTATAATCTTGCATTTTTATATTTTAAATAAGAAACTTTGAGGTACACTTTTTAATGTGCAGCTGTGATGAGATTTGATACGGAACACAATGTTCTGTTATTCCAGAAATGTGACTAAAAAGAGAGAAAAAAAGTTCTGTTTAGAACAAAATAAAGAGCACAGCCCAAAGCCACACACAGGCAAATGTGTGTGAATGTGAACACATTTTAACATTTTTCTTAAAATTAGACTTTGATGGCAGTTGCTCTGCTTAAGGGGACAGTGTCCTTGCTCTGGGATGTGGCTGTGAGGTCACCTTATCCAATTCGTAAATGTGGGAATCTTTTACCAGTCTCCAGTTTTCTTCACCCTTAGGGAGACAGCCTAACACTCAAAGGAAGGGGTCTGGGGCAGTGGAAAGACCAAGGGTTCTGGAATCTGTCAGCCTTGATGAACTCACTCTTTACTATTTCGTTACGTGACCTTGGGTCAGTCTCATAGGCCCTCTGAGACCTAATTTCCTTATCTGTAATGTAGAAATAGTAGTATCTTCCTTGTAGGAGTTTTCATAAGGATTAAATGAGACAATAAGTAAACTATTTCTAGTATTATAGAATAACTGAACATCATATCTTGGTGCAATTTGTATGTGATCAGTTGTGAGCTCTATTTGCTCTTTTATTAATTTATTTAATTATTTACTCATTTGAAAAATATGAATTGAGCCCCTGCTATGTGCTAGATTCTGAGTCTACAAGTCTGTGTTAGATAGACATGGTCCCTATCCTTACTGAAGTACAAAATCATGGAGGCAAATGACAGACCTGCAAACATTAATTACAATACAGTGAGATGCATTAGTTTCCAAATAACTTGTAAGCATTATGGTACTAAATCCTGAGAAAAATTTATTTTTAAATTTAAGTAATGTATTCGAGGTAATAGTATAATTTTACTTTCATTTATTTATTGTCCACAATGCCATTTTTCCCTGCAAAGAAGTGGAAGTGGAAACACTGTGGAAGAATATATCTCCCTAGAAACAATAGATGTTGGCCTAGCATGTAGTTAGTGCTAAGTGAATAGCAATTAAGATGATGATGATAATGGTGATGATGATGATGATGATGAGAAAAGTGCCTTGGAACAATGCTACTGGCAATGCAACCCTGGCAGTGTTTTATTGAGATGTTTTGCCATAAAAACCACATACAGAATAAGCCAAATATTCTATGCATTTTTCTGGTCTACAAACTCAAATACAGAAAACAGAATTTTATTTCCCCTCTAGAATCTGAATTGTAAATTAAGCTATGGAAATAGAATCAGTATTAAGAAAATATGCCTGTTAAAAGAGATTCTCCTTATAGAAATGCTTTATATATACGGACACATGTTTTAGAGACCTTTGGAAAGTGTTTCTGGGCTCTCAGCATCTCCCTGGCTGATAGGAGCAGACCAGGGACTCTGCTGAGCTTTCTGCCTGTGGCTCTATCTCAGGGCATTTGTTGCATTACCTTCCCCCAGTTCTTGGCACACAGGCAGCAGGGACACCATGAGGCTTCCTGAGAGTACCCATCTGGCCTGGCACAAACACCACCCACTGCCCTTAAGTTCTCACTCAGATGTCATGGAAACCTTGCTGATGCCAGTTCCATTGTTGAAGCAGTCTCCTCAGCCACAGAGACTAAATTGCCATAGTTTTCCCAAAGAAGCTTAAGGTCATGGAAACTCTAGGGTAAAAGGTGCAGAAACATAATCCACATCCTTTAAGAGGATACAGGTGGGAACGGCCCATTATATACATTCTGGAGTTATTTGCTAAATTATCTTTCCAGGACAGATTGCCCCCAAAAAGATGAGGTGAGTCTATCAGGCACAGCTATTAATGTATAAAACCACTTTTTTTTTCTCCTGAAGTTCAGAGACCAACTATAGAAACACTACTTTGTATGGTTCTTTTTCTTTTAAACTGATAATATCAGAAACCAACTATAGAAACATTACTTTGTATGGTTCTGTTTCTTTTAAACTGATAATATCACACAATTTGGCAGAGATTTCTGTGTTTTTCGCAAGGGTGAATAATATTGTGATAAATAATTTTATACTATGTTATATTTTCAGGTATTTGTAGTCCCTGGAACTTGGAACATGTATACCTAGATAATATGTATCAAGGTGTACCTCATTTTAAAAATAAAACCTTTCATTGTGAAAAATTTTAAACTTATATAAAAGTTGGTAGAATTGTATAATTGACTGCCATTACTTATCACCTGGGGTCAACAATTATCCACGCATAGACAATAAATTTTCATCTAATTCCCTATCTACTTCACCTCCCATATTATTTTGAAGCAAGTCCTGGACATGATATGATTTTATTCATAAAATAAAGTATTAAGTATGTATCTTTAAAAGATAAAGGCTTGTTGTTATTATAATCACAATACCATCATCAAAGCCAGAAATTAAAATAATTCCTTAATATCATAAAATATTCATATCCAGTAAGTGTTCAAGTTTTCGATTATATTATCAATGCCATAATTTATTTTATGATTCTTTTTCTAAAAATTAAAATGGAAGCCAAAGCCACACAGTGTGATTGGTTGATATGTCTTTTAAATGTTTACTAAATTGTAGATTCTCTCTCCATCCTTTTTACCCCTTCTGGTTTCTTTGTAGAACAAACTGGGTTATTTGTCTTGCAATGTTTCCCACAGTCTTGATTGTGCTGATTGTATGCCTGCAGAGTATATTAACAAGTTTCTACATCTTTCGTATAACAAGCATTACATCTTTCTTGCAAGTTGGTAGTTGCATATATGAGCTTGATTAAATTCAGGTTAGATACTTTTTTTTGATGTGACTACTTCATAGTGATGCTATGAACTTCCTTCCTTCCTCTCCTCTCCTCTCCTCTCCTCTCCTCCTTCCCTTTTCCTTTCCCTTTCTTTCCCTTTCCTTTTCTTTCTACTTTCCAAAACAAGGTCTCTCTCTGTTGCCTAGACTGGAATGCAATGGTGCAATCATAGCTCACTGTAGCCTTGAACTCCTGAACTCAAGGGATCCTCTTGCCCCTGTCTCCTGAGTAACTGGGATTACAGGTTCTCACCACCACACTAAGCTAATTTTTAATTTTTTAATATAGACACGATCTTGCTACGTTGTCCAGGCTGGTCTTGAACTCCTGGCCTCAAGTGATCCCCTGCCACTGCCTCCCAAAGTGCTGGGATTACTGGCATGAACCACTGCACCTGGCCTGATTCTGTGCTTTTTCTATCATCAGGCATGAGATGTTTAGTTGACTCTCTTTTGGTGATCTCAGCAGCTACTGATGTTCAATTAATGAACCATTAATTCACTACAATTTGCAAAATTGTGATATTCTAATTCTATGATTTCTTCTTCACTTATTACCTGAAACATTTTTATAAGTGAAATTTTCCTTATTGATTATATAGTAATTCAATTCACATATGGAATCCTGGATAAAGGCTTGATTTTTTTTTTATTTTTTGCCTTTTTTTACCCAGTGGTCACCAAGTATATGTTTTTGTAAGTATAATTATGCCCCATGAATTCAAACATATTTTTTGTTAAACTTTTTGCCTTTTGTAAAATTATTAACGCTCAAATTGTCCCAGTTTTTGTGAAATGGAACAGGAGTTTCTTCAAGTTGACTCTTGCATCCTGCTGATATGAACCTTGTAGTATATGATAGTTTCCTTGCTATCCGGTTTGACAAGATGCTGCAGACTCATCTTGTATATTTTCTATCCCAGTCCTTTTAGTTTTTCGAGAATGGTATTAGAAATTATAATCCAGACATAGGAATGCTAATGGATCTATGTATATCATGTATGTATGTATGTGTATGCATTTATGTATATATACATATACACATAATATACATATTTTAAGAAATATATCTTTTAAAAAGATAAGCTATATTATGATTCCTACTGACACTTCCAGTTCAAATTTAGGCGCACAAGTTTTTTAAATTTAACTTCTTCTA
Organism: Homo sapiens; assembly: GCF_000001405.40. Taxonomy (NCBI): domain Eukaryota; kingdom Metazoa; phylum Chordata; class Mammalia; order Primates; family Hominidae; genus Homo; species Homo sapiens. The sequence continues at coordinate 89,958,076 of NC_000012.12, forward strand.
TCTTTCACTTATGTCTTCTTTTTTTTTTGGTTCCTGAGAATCCTGGTTCTCAAGGTTGTCAGAAACAATTAAATTAAAATATTGCACATACTACACAATTTTCTCTGCTCTCCCTTTTTCACTGAAGAATGTGTCTTTCTCTAGGTGGTTCATTTTATTTGTTTCTTCTATTTTTAAAGTATATATTTTTGGTATTAATAAAGGCTTGCTCTTTTGTTTTAATTTTTATGCTAACATTAAAAAAATTACCCATTCCTGTTCTGCCCCTGCCTTTGTTGTCTATTGAGTCCATTCTATGAGATATATTGATATTAGCTAGTATTCTGCATCAATTTAATCAGTATTAAAATAATTGGATTTATTTTAGTAACTATAAGATAATCATCAAGATTATTCTACTTTTCTGATAGCGTCCCCATTCTGCCATTTTTATAGTTGTAATATAGGTATATTGTCACAGCAAATATAATTATATACTATATATATATTTCTTACAAACTTCATTTTGTCATAAGATTGTGAATATATATGGTATTTTGTCTTCTCCTGTTTGGATTTTGGAATTCAGAGGATATCTTGTCATCTGATTTTGTTGTATATGTTTTGGGATCTTAATTGCTTTTTATTTTGAAGAAAGATTTATTTAGGGGGCTTCAAAAACTATACCATTACCACCACCTTCTCAGAATTCTCAAAATTGCATGAGTGTTGAGTGGTTTTCTCTTAACTCTTTATTTTATATAAGCTGCATTATTTTTAGTGCATGCTTTTGCAGGATGTGTTGTTCTGGGGAATGTATATGCGGTATTTTATCAGAAATACCTATTGTGGCAGCATCTCATAAACAGACTTAAACGGAGCATTTTGAAAGAGACATCATTATAAAGCACGTTAAGCACTTATGATTGAATAAGTATTATTTCTGTGTTGTTTCAATTTGCATCCTCAGAGAATGACATACTCCTTGGGTACATAAACATAAATATGTAATTAGAAATAAGGAGAAAGAGGAGGAAGAAGAGAAGGGGAAGGAGAAAGAGAAAATATAATATTTTCTCTTATAATATAAAGAACAAACTTTAAACTTTGTTCTGATAATTTATCAGTTCTTAGTAGAGCAATAATGTACTGGGTTTAGTATCATTAGTAGTAATAATGAGATTTCTTGCTTTAAGCAAATCCCTTATTTTAGAAGAAAAGTAAAATGTTAACTCTTAGGAATTATTATGCAATAACAAAGAGCAGTAAAATTTTATAGTGGTTGGACCAACTCCAGTGGCTTTCTGGTTTGTGAAAAGTTCAGTAAAAATTGAATAAATGGCTCACATAATGGGAAGTTTAAGTAATAAAATGGGGGGTAGGGTGGGGAGATGAGGCTTTCCCCCTTCCCTGCCGTGTACATAGTAGAGTTGCTGGTGATTTTTGCCTTAGGTTATAGTACTGTGCTCATTATAGGCATAGACAGATTATCATAATTATAAAAGTGCAAGTTTGGTGTAAAAAATAAAAAAAATACATGATGGTAGAGCCTCCGGGCTTAAAAAAAAAAACTTGGGATATCTTATTAAACGTATTGTTTTCCAACTAGTCTCATCTTTGCTCCCTTGGTGCTTAGAAAGAAAACTCCAAGTAGAATAATGATAACTACCATATGTTGGTTCTTACCATAAAGCTAAGAGCTAAGCAGTCTACATATAGGTGTCTCATTTGGTCTTCCCAACAGCACGATGAAAGACATATGTGAGGAAAGTAATGTACAGAGATGTTAGATGACTTGTTTAAGGTCACAGAGATGGTGAATTGTGGAGCCTGGGTTTGAATCTAGGTTAGTCTGACTCCTGAACTGCATTCTATGCCAGTGTATGAAAGAGTCTTCAGAAAACCACATAGTTTAATGTGAGAAAGTGAAGCTTTAAAAGAGATTCTAGTCCTTTCCAAGCTAAGTTTAATTTAGGGAGGCAGGGAGTGTGTACACTGTGCAGAAAATACAGTTCTTACCTGAGGGTATCACAGTCCCCATTCAGTTGACATTCAGCAGAAGATCAACTCAGTT